>NC_000019.10:30990874-31615874 GCF_000001405.40 Homo sapiens
GAGAGGGTGGGGGATACTTAGCAAGAACACAACTGCATGACAGGAAGCCACTGCAAAGCCTCTAAAACCCTCTTCTCTCTCTTTCAGCAAACATTGCTAAAAGCTGTAATCTCCAGTTAGAAAACAACCTTGAAGGGAGTTTCTCAGTGGCCTCATTAGACAAACAAGAGGTGGTAGGACCAAGCCTCCTTTGGAATGGACCTGCCCAGAAGGAAAGGGGACAAAAGGTACACAGAAAGCCCCCTGGTGTCTGACGGCCCCTGGAAATAATAATTGGAAAAAGAATGAAAACAATTGCAATACTTCTGTGAACTCAATTGTTCTATATATAAAATGAACATGTTGGACTAGCTCAGTGACTCTAAATGAAGGCTACAGAGTTCTTCTCTTCTGTGACCTCTAGGGAGAAAAGTAGAGTTACAATGTTAGGGTAGTGATGCTTTTAAATTACATGTCCAAATTAGCTCCTGGCATTGATGAGAATATGTTGTATCTTTCTAGTAGGTAGGGACAGGAAAAGGTAGAGAGTGTGCTATTTGATTGTCCTGCCAACTCTTTCATTCCTTAATTTGGGAATTAGTTGACCCCATTTGACAGGTGAATCAATGAATAGCTAAATTACTGACATATATAAATAAAATATTCATTTATTTTCTTTTTTTTGCATTTGTAGTTTTGGAACAATTTTACATTTACAGAAAAGTTGCAAAGAGAATTCCTATATAACCTTCACCTACTTACCCTTAATATTCATATCTTTCATAGATGTACATTTGTCAAAACATTTGTACACTACTATTAAATAATTCCAAACTTTTTTTGGGTTTCACATTTTCCCATTTATATCCCTTTTCTTTCCCAGGATACAATCTAGGATACTATGTTGCATTTAGGAAATATTTATTTTAGTGTGTAAATATTTATGCTATGCATTGGTTTGATGGAATTATGAGTCAAAGAATGATTTATGATCCCCACTTTACACAACCTCTTGTCTGGAAGGCATAACCACATGTGCAGAAACATCGATGCATCCTTGTCCTTAGATCTTCAAATCAACATGCTAAGTTTGAGGATGCACAGTCAGTGGGAAGGCCTTCCCTGGAAAACCATGCAGGCAGTCCATATTGGTGATGCCAGTTATATACCAGCTAAGCCCCACATCCTGACTGCATGGAAATGTGGCAGGAATTGGTTGGTGGGATGCTCTGAGCAGGACCATTCAGTGCATTGGATGAGTCAGTCAAACAAATTACTACTGATAAAAAGACTCAAACAAGTTCCTTCTCATCATGTATTCAATTTTGCTTTACTTTCTTCTGGTTCTTTTGGCATTATGCAGACTCAAACTGAAGTGTGTAGATATCATTTGTCATAAAAAAAAACTCAAATAAAACTGGTGTAACCTTTTTCAAATGGATCTGCTTTGATGGAGATATGGGAAACTGGGCACAGCATTGAACTGCTGGAGGGTGAACAAATTGATACATTCTTCAAGATTGTCATGGACTTTTTATAGTTCAGTACATCAAAACATGCATACTCGTTACCCAAGTTAGCCAAAAGATATTCACAACAGTGTTGTGTATAATAACAACAAATTAGAAGCAACATAAAAGTTTGGCCAAGATTCTTTAAACAAATTATAGAACATGATGCAAAATCAATATGCAGCTTTAAAAAAATAACATTGAAGAATATTTAATGACACATTCTATTACAAAAATAGAAGATTAATGTATAGTATAATTCCTTTTTTCTTTTTTTTGAGACGGGGTCTCACTCTTTTCCCTAGGCTGGAGTGCAGTGGCACGATTTTGGCTCACTGCAACCTCTGCCTCCCAAGCTCAAGCGATCCTCCTGCCTTGGACTCCCAAGTAGTTGGGACACAGGCATGTACTACTACACCTGGCTACTTTTTGTAATTTTGTAGAGACGGGGTTTCACTATGTTGTCCAGGCTGGTCTCAAACTCCTGAGCTCAAGCGATCCTCCCACTCTGGCCTCCTAGTGTGCTGAGATTACAGGTGTGAACCACTGCACCCTACTGTCCTTTTGTGTTATATATACATATATAAAAATATTTGTATCTTGAAAGTTATTTTTACTAAATATATTAACAGTGATTACCTCTGGGAGCAGGGAGCTTTTGAACAGTTTTATTGAGATATAATTTACATACCTTACAATTCCTCCTGTTTGCTTATTCTAGACATTTTCAATAAATGAAATTATACAGTGTGTGGTTTTTTTTGTGACTGGCTTCTTTCACTTAGCACAATGTTTCCAGGGTCCATCCATGTTATAGCATGTATTGGTAATTCATTCCTTTTTTGTTGCTGAATTATCAAGTTTTGTTGTATGGATATACCACATTTTATTTTTCCATTTATCATTTGATGGTCATTTGGGTTGTTTCCACTTTAAGGCTATTATAAATAATGCTGTTATAAACATTTATGTACAAGTTTTTGTGTAGACATATATTTCCAATTCTTTTGTATATATCTAGGAGGAAATTTCAGGGTCATACGGTAATTATATTGCTTAACTTTTTGAGAAACCACGAGATTGTTTTCCAAAATGGAAGCACCATATTACATTCTTAACAGAAATGTATGAGGGTGTCAATTTCTTCACATTCTCACCCACACTTGCCCTTACCTGTCTTTTAGAATATAGCTACCATAGGCTGTGAAGTGGTATGTCATTGTGGTTTTCATTTGTATTTCCTCAAATGTTGAACATCTTATGCTGATTGATAATTTAGATATCTTTTTTAGAGCACTGTCAGATCCCATTTCAATTTATAACTGAATTTTTATTTGTTGATTATTTAGTTTTATGAGTTGTTTATATGTATTCTGTATATCCTGTATACAAATCCTTTATGATGTGTATGTTATGATTTTCAAATATTTTCTCACATTCTGTGAGTTGTCGTTTCTCTTTCTGAATGGTATCATTTGCAGCATGGAAACTTTTGGTTTTAAAGAAGTATATCATAATGAAGTATAATTTATCTATTTTTCTTTTGTTCCTTATGCTTTTGGTGTCATATCTAATATACCACAGCCTCATGCAGATAGCAAAGATTGACTTCTATGTTTTCTTCCAGTAATTTTGTAGTTTTAGCTCTTTTTTTTTTTTTGAAACAGAGTTTTACTCTGTCACCCAGGATGGACTGCAGTGGCATAATCTAGGCTCACAGCAACCTCAGCCTCCCACATTCCAGTGATTCTCCAGTCTCAGCCTCCTGAGTAGCTGGGACCACATGCGTGCACCACCACGCCCAGCTAATTTTTTGTATTTGTAGTAGAGACAGGGTTTCTCCATGTTGGCCAGGCTGGTCTCGAATGCCTGACCTCAGGTGATCCACCCATGTAGGCCTCCCAAAGTGCTGGGGTTACAGACATAAGCCACCACGCCCAGCCTAGTTTTAGCTCTTACATTTAAATTTATTTTCCATGTTAAGTTAATGTTTGTGTGTAGTGTGAGGTAGACGTCCAATTTTATTCTTCTGTATGTGGAAATCCAGTTGTCCCAGCACCGTTTGTCATAAAGAGTGTTCATTCTCCATTGAATGATCTTGGCACCCTTGTGAAAAATCAAGTGACTTCAAATGCACGGCTTTGTTTTCTGGATTATCAGTTCTACTCCTGAAGTCAGTACCACACTGTCTTGATTACTCTATCTTTGTAGTAAGTTATGAATTTGGGAAGTTTGAGTCATCCTACTCTCTTTTTCTTTCCCAAGATTGTTTTTTCTATTCTGAGTCCCCTGAATATTCGTATAAATTTTGTGATCATTCCTGATCATAATTTTCTGCATTTTCTACAAAATGGCAGCTGAATTTTTACAGGGATTGCATTGAATCTGAAGACCAATTTAGGAAATATTGCCAATATTCAGTCTTCCTATTCATGACCATGGACATCTTTCTGTTTGTTTAGATCTTCTTTCATTGTTTTCAACAATGTTTTACAGTGTTTCATTGTACGAGTCTTGTACTTTTTTGTTAAATTTATGTTAAGTATTTTATTCTTTCTGATGCTATTATAAATATAATTGTTTACTTAATTTCATTGTTAGATTGTTTATTGCTAGTATATAAACACACAAATTTTTAAATACTGATCTTATACAATGCTATATTGCTGAACTCATTTATTACTTCTAATGGGGCGTGTGTGTGTGTGTGCTTAAGAGTTTCTATGTACAAGATATACAAGATAACTTAATCTGCACATAGTGGTGGTTGCACTTCTTCCTTTTCAATCTCACTAGAATCTCCAGTACAATGTTGTATAGAAGTGGCATGAGCAGACATCCTTGTCTCATTCTTTTCATTTTCTAATTTTTGGCCCGGAGTAAGAAAGCATTCTGCCTTTCACCATTAATATTGATTAATAATATTGTTGATTTTAAATTTTTTTCTTCTTTTCCTTATATGTATTTGTTATTTTTTAAATTTTAATTTTAGTATTTTTAATTTTTTTAAATTTTTTATTTTTAGACACAGGGCAGTGGTGTGATAATAGCTCACTGCAACCTGGTCTCAAACCATCTTCCCATTTCAGCTTCCCAAGTGGCTGAGACTATAGGCACTTCACCCCATGCCCATCAGCTAATTCTTTTTTTTTTTTTTTTTGTAGAAACAGGGTCTTACCATGTTGCCCAGGTTGGCCTTGAACTCCTGTCCTCAAGCGATCCTCCTGTTTCAGCCACCCAAATGCGGGATTACAGGCGTAAGCCACCTCACCCAGCCTTAAATTTTCAATAATTTGCAAATCATATTCGTAATATAAAAGTTAGTAAGAAAAAAGAATAAATGTCCCAGACCATAGCAGTTCATCTTAATGGAGGAGAAAGGCAGATATGAGAGAAGGGCCTGAAATACACACTGCTGCCATGGGGGGGGTCTTCTGATTACTCAGAGTCTCTGCATTTTAGCTTTCTCACTGATCCAAGGCTGCCAGCCAGCTAAGGAAGTAGATGGAGAGAGGACCAGGAGCACCTTGTGAATTTCATAACCAAGCCACACTTTCTAAGCCAGGAGAAAGGGGAGAGGTGACCCCAGTATAAGAAAATGTATGTTATAAAGCCAACGGTCACTCATAGAATGTACACAACCAAGAGTGATCCCTAACTAAACTAGAGACGTTAGGTGGTTATAACACGTCACTGTGGGTTTATCGGTTACAAGGAATGTACCACTCTGGTCAATTCTGTGGATAAAGGAGATGCCTTGGAGATCGAGGAATATATGTGAACTCTCTGCATCTTCCCTTCAATTTTGCAGTGAACTTGAAACTGCTTTAAAAAATAAAGCCAATACATAAATAAATAAGTAAACAAATTTAAGCAAAAGAGATGGTGATAAGCAAAGGAATTGGGTGGGTCTTACATCGCAAACCTTTCTAAGCACACCCTAAAATAAGGCTTTAAGTTTAAGTTGCTCATTTGGGAGTTGACCCCAGGAAGCACCAGTAGGGGAAAGAGGAAATGAGACCAGGAATGGGAACAAGCCAATGTGGAGAGTTTTGATGTACAAGATATGATGGGGGGTCTACCGGGGACCCCTGGGAGACTGTGTAAAACACACCTCAGTGTTGTCGTCCCATCTGAGGGGCAAGGAAGCTGGGGTGTTTGTCTTCAATGGCCACTGGCTTTTCACTGACACAGGCAGGGCATGCCTTGCCTGGCACAGTAGGCCTATCTCATGTGGGAGCTCGTCGTGCTCTTGCGGCCATGGAAAGCCCACCTGCAGAGTCACAGAGACCTGCAATAGAAGCTCTACTCATGTTCGGGAACCGTGAGCCCTGAAGGGAAATGCTCTCCACTAAAGGGGTAATCTATTTTTGTACAGGAGTTCTCTTTAACCAGATAACTTTTTAGTGAACTTAAAATATAATATGATTTTAACATTTCAGATTAGCACACTTTGTGACAAATTATGGCACTCCCAAAAGAGAAACTTCTCATCCAGTGCTAACTCCTTTCCCCATTCACTGTATTTTGCATGGGGCCAGGAATAAAATTCCATGGGGCTCTTCACAATTTTGTGGAATTGATCAAGGAAATACATCGTGGTGTCCAGATCACACCTGGGTAGTTGGCAAATGTGAATCTGAGGCCAGGTTTAGGAGTACTGGGAAAGGTTTTAATGGAACCAAGCTCAAGCACTGTGCACAGAAGCTGGGGTGAGGAGAGGGGGACAATTGGGGGGCAGGCCTTTGTAGCCTCTTTTGAAAGGAGACTGCCTGTGGCCTGCTCTGCAGGAGCCCCCTCCAGAATCACTCTTGATGATCATCAGGGCTCTTTATTGACAAAAACTCAGCCCAAACTCACATAAAAGAAAACAGAATCTACTGGTTTATTTGGTTGGAAAGTTCAAGGGATTCCTTTGGACAGATTCATAAACAAAGTGTCTCTTCCTTTCTCAGTTCTGCTGCTTCTGTGCTGGTTTCACTCTCAGGCAGGTTTTCCTCTGATGTGTTGGTGGTCAGATCGCAGAGGCCAAGGTTCTGCATCCACTGCTGGAGGAAAGAGATGCGGTCAGCCTCACCCAACCCACGTGGAGTGAAGATAGACAAAGAGCCCTCTGCAAAGGAAAATTGGAGTGCAGCTGCCAGACGCAGGAGTGATCCTGGGCAAGTGAAAATGATGAAGTCATTGTCACCATCAAAGTGAGTGTAGACATGCCTCTCTGCCTGTAGACATGCTCTTCTGCCTTTAAGACACACTTAAGTTATTCTTTATTTATTAACTATACACCCCCCTGACAACCACACACACATACACATGCTTAAACCAATTGTTATGATTTGTCTGTGTCCTCACCCAAATCTCACCTTGAATTGTAATAATCCTCGTATGTCAAGGGTGGAGCCAGGTAGAGATAATCAAATGATAGAGGTGGTTCCCCCCGTACTGTTCTCGTGGTAGTGAATAAGCCTCAGACATCTGATGGTTTTATAAAGGGGGATTCCACTGCACAAGCTCTCTTGCTTGCTGCCATGTAAGACGTGTCTTGCTTCCCTTCACCTTCTGCCATGATTGTGAGGTCTCCCCAGCCATGTGGAACTGTGAGTCCATTAAATCTCTTTCCTTTATAAATTACCCAGTCTTGGGTATGTCTTTATTAGCAGTGTGAGAGCAGACTAATACACCAGTGTTGGGGCTCAGAAAGCAATATCCGAAGTATAGCATTTTGACATGAGGAACTGAAAGTTCCAATGTATACATGTTCAGTAAATTTGCATGCCTTTTCTTCTACTAATCAATCTGCCTCATGCCAGTGAGGCAAAAGGAACAAAAATGAAAATACTACATATAAAGGCAGTTCTTAGAACAAAATATATATTTTTAAATATTTGTGTTAGAGAAAGAAGCCTAAAAACTTATGAGCTAAGTGCCATATTGAGAAAGATAAAAAATAAACAGTATTATCCAGGCATGGTGGTGTGCACCTGTAGTCCCAGGTTCTTAGGAGGATGAGGTGGAAGGGTCTCCTGAGCTCGTGAGTTCAAGGCTGCAGTAAGCCATGATCACACCACTGCATTCCAGCATGGGCAACAAAGAGAGGGCTCATCTTATAAAAAAGAAAAAAGAAAGAGCAACAGAGTACATTAAAGAATATGGAAAGAAGAAACTAACAAAGGTAAGAGAGAGGACTAATGAAACAGAAAACAAAGACACAATGAAGAAATCAAATCTTATCTTTTTCTTGAAAAGATGATAAAAATAAACAATCTTCTGGCAAGACTGAGCAAAGCAAAAACAGATCAGGCACAAATAATTTTAGGACTGAAAAAAGAGACATAACTGCAGATTTTGCAGAGATGTAAACAATAGAGAATACTTGGAAACTTTATGGCTTTAAATTGGAAAACTTAGACAAAAGGGAACATTTTCTAGCAAAAAAATGAAATCTGAAAACTGACTCAAGATTAGGGAAAATCTTCACTGTATATATGTATATGTGTGTGTGTGTGTGTGTGTGTGTTTATAGTGAAGTTTTGTGTGTATATATATGTATACACATATATACACACACACAAAGAACTTTTACAATCAATATTATTATTTATCATATTAATAATACCCTTGATTATAATTATAATGATATATAATTACATTATCATTAATCTTATTATTAAATAAGACTACTTAATTTTAAAAGATGAGCAAAAGATTTGAACACACACTTCACATAGGAAGACACACTTGCCAATAATTAATAAGAAGTACTCAAAATTAGTAATCCTCAATGAAATACAACTTAATATAACAATGAAATACAACTTAATATAACAATGAAATAACATTTCATTCCCAGTGGAGTGGCTAAAATTAAAATTCTATCACCAGATGTTGGTGACGATATGTCACAACTGAACTCTCACACATTGCTGGTGCAGTGTAAAATGATAAAACATGATAAAATTATTTGGCTGTTTCATATAAAGTTCATCATGTACATATCGTAAGACTAAGCAAATCCACTCTGAGATATTTACCCAAAGAGTTAACACCACTGTTCATGACAGAAGTACATATAATAGTCCAAAGCTGGGAACAACCTAAATATACGTCAAGGGGAAAGTGGCAAAACCAATTGTATATATTCATACAACGTGACACTACTTAGGAATAAAAAGAATAAACTACTAATACACCATTAATATGGATAAATTTCAAAAAGACTACTTTGAGTATAAACAGCGAGATACAAATTAATCCATATTATGTGATCCCATTTACATGACGTTCTAGAAAAAACAAAGCTAATCCATGATAAACTATTTCTTAGCAGTGGCAGTTTGCGGAGAGCATGAGGAGGCAATGACTGGAAGGGTGCATGGAGAATTTTCCTAGTGATGGAATTATTCAAAATTTTTGTGGAAATGTGGGTTATGTGGGTGTATGCACTTGTCAAAACTCATTAAATTATAAACTTAACAATAATGCATTTTACGATATATGAATTATATCATAGTGAAAATATCTTAAAAACTGGCCCAATAAAGATAAGCAAAATGAATCAGTGGCTAAATATCCACAAACGCCTACACACACATGTGCATACACTCAACTAGCAAACAAATAAGCCTAAATGGTTCTACAAAGTTCTACCAAACATTCCAGAGATGGATTGCCTCAGTCTTGTTGATTCCACAAGATGGGGGGTACTTTTCTCCACACTAAAATCAGGAGTTCATCTGCCTTCCAGCATGTGGGGTGGCTGTAGGGTAGGAAGACCTCAGAGAAAGAAGGAGAATAAAACAATATGAGGCTGGAGGACAGCCAGGGCCATACCTGCGGGTCCTAGAAACATGGGCAGCAGACATTGTTGGTTGATTACCGCAGAGTTCTTCTGATGTCCCTACTTTATTGCTAATAAAACCCTATTTTTGTTCAGGTAGAAGGAGACCTTGAGAATGAGTGCATGCTGGGCCCTGCCTCAATCCCAGAAGATGAATCTTCATGAGTCTAACTTACAGACGTGCCATTCTCTTTGCCATGACTTGTTTTAAAGAAAGGCAGCTGACAAAATACAGGCCAAGGGGATGTGAATGAAGTCCCATAGTGGAGGAGTGGTAGTGGCTGGTGGGACTTTCAGAAATGTTTCCTAGACTTTAAAAAGGGACCAAGAGAAGGGAATTCTGTCATCTGGCTTTGAGTTCTGCCATGTGCCAGTGTGGTACTTGGAGTTCTTGCAGAGATCTTCAAGCCAGGAGGACCAGTCTAGGGGACAAAACCCACATTGAGGATGCCAAGAAAGCTAGAAGAAAGCTACTGAACCACCAAATTAACCAAATATGCACACTTCTTCTGGATATTTACATAAGAGCATAAATGTTCCCAAGTCATTCTTAACATAAGTTGATCCTGTTCCCTTATCACTCGCTCCCCAAAGCACTCTAAATACTTCCCTATAATAGGGATTTGAGTATTTACGGTAAGAGCAAAGGGAAGGTACTGACAAATTTTAAAGAAGGGATGCTTGAATTACGGTTTAAAATGATCACTCTGCCTGCAGTGTGAGGAGTGGACTGGGTGAGAAGAAAATGGGGAGGGGGATAAGGAGCCAATGGAAATACTCTGCAGAAGAGATGAAACATATGACATCTAAGACCCTGGTGGTAGAGGTGATGATGGAGAGAAGTGAATCAATTCACATATATTTAGAAAGAAAAATCTTATATGTTGCCTCCTCCAGAAAGCCTTCCTTGATTTTTTTTTTCCAACTGGATCCCTGCTGCATTGAACTCTCCATGTGTTAAATCTTCCAATGAACGTTGTGTGGACTTCTCTTTAGATACTGGTTCTGACTCAGGGCATTCAAACATGTTCCTCCCAGAAGACTAGGAGCCCCCTGAGGACTGAGACCCCATTCTCGCTCATCTCTCTTTCCCTGAGTTACTGATCCCTGGCAGCCACTCAGCCATCTGTGGTCAGCTGAGCTGCCTGCCTTGCCTGGAGGAACGCAGGTCCCACAGCTGCCTCTGTCCGGCAGGCAGGCAAGTTGTACCTTCAGTTTTCATCCACCCGCCTGTCCATCTGTACCTAACTCATAGGGAGCTGACATGGTGCTGTGTGGAAACAAACCGTGGAGCGAAGGGCAGTGAGGGGCACCCTAGCCCTCCATGCATGGCTGCAAATGGGGAGACTCACCCTGCCTCTGCCACCTTGAGAAAATTACTGTTCCCCTCTGAGCCTCAGTTTATCCCTCTGTAATGCAGGTGGAGGTCGGAGAGTGGTTATTCCTCAGGATTGACCGTCTGGTTGAGGTGTGGCCTTCCTTCCACAACAGGCTCCCAATCACGTCCTTTCTTCCTTGGAATTGATTTCTACTGCAAGAAGCTGGAGAGAGTTACATGAGGAACCCACTGACAGATGACAAAAGCAAGCCTTTGCAGAGCACTTTTGTTTTTCTTTCTCTACAGATTCACATTGTGCGTGTTCAGTGAGAAACAGAACACAGGGCTGTTGGCTTTGGAGGGCTGTTTATTTTGAAAATGCAGGTAGATGGTGGGAAGGGTGATGGAGCCATTCGCAGACAATAGCCATTGTTTGTGCCCAGACTTCGAAGTGGCTGCAGGGCTGTCCTTGGCCTCCCCTTGGGTCCCATGACACCTGGGGAGCCCGGCTGGACAGACCCTTTGCAGGTTGCCTGACTCTAAGACATACCAGAAGGACATAAATAATCAGCCACCGACTCTTTCGCTCGACTATAAAAAGCGTGCATATGCTCTGCGCAGGTTTTCCTAAGGTAAGGGACAGAGCTGGGCAAAACCGGGCTTCTGGAGCTGCCCATATGGGGAGGCGGTCTTTCACCGACGATTCTGCAGACAGAAATTGCCCATCTGCACTGTTTGCAGGTGTTTTGAATGATTATATTATTAGCTCTGTCTGTTCAACTTTGCTTTTTTATGGTGGCTTTAGTATTGCAGTAAAAAAAAAAAAAAAGGGAAGACGAAGAAGAAAGAAAAAAGAAATATAAAGGCAGCCATCTGGTTCCCGATTTGTGATCGTGTTCTCTGTCAGTAAAGAGGGGAGAGGCAGCCACTGCTCTCTCGGGGGGTGGGGCAAGCACAGGGCAGCCCCCAGTTCTGCCCTTTTCCAGGAGAGTGGGATTTGGGGTAGGCAAGATTTTTCATTTTACCAGAGGAAGCTGGTTTATTTTCTAATTTCTCCTCCCCCGCCTACACCTTGATGCTTTGCAGCTGCTGCGGAGCTCACCTGGGTACTGGAATCAATGATTGATGTGTCCCCCAGAGCTGCAGCCTGGCCTGGAGAACTGGCTGTGTGTGTGTCCGTGTGGCCCCGGAGAGTCAGGCTGGGGCTGTCCATCCCACCCATGACTCTGGGCCTTAATTTGATCTGTGCTGTGACCTGTGAAACTTCTCAGGGCATCCCGACTGCAGGTAGCAAGACAAAGATTTATTTGATTATCTGTGCATAGGTAATTCATCAGGGAAATGCTCTCTGTGTCAGATGGCGCAGAAGCGGGGTTATTTAGGGTTGTGCAGCGCATCCAGGGCTGGGAGGGTGCCAGGAGCCACCAGCCCAGCAAGGTCATGACGCCTCCCCGCTGCAGGAGATACCAGGCAGATCCGGAGTCACACTTGAGCCAGAGGATGCTGTCTGCCTTTTCATTGGCTTGGGCAAAGAGAAGAGAATTGTGTAGGATTTCTTTCCCCCATAAAAGGGCAGAAACAATGCTCCGATGTAATCTGAGGAAGCCAACAGGGGGTGCTGACACCCAACCTTCTCTTCTCTTCAGGTACCCTACCCTAGGGACAGACAAACCATGACAGTAAAAAGTATTCTATAGATAAGATATATTCTACCCTATATACATATACAAAACTACACAATATATATACATTGCTCTTGTGACCTGTCTCCTGCAACAGGCAATCATGGTGACACGTGGATTCATTTGTCAGTTCAGTGAAAGAAGCAGCATCAGCCATGGGCCTCTTAGAGATCCAGAAGCCAGAAGGAGGAGGCTGGAGGAAGGCTCCAGAGAAAAGAATCCCTAAAAATACACTCCCCTGATTGTAGAACTGTTTCCATTTGGCATTTCTGATTGCAACGAGCAGAATCCCACCCAAGCATGCAGCAGGAAGGCAGGCTTCTTGGGTGTTCTATTAGGGTGGGAGCTGAATTTGGATCTTTGCATTCTCTCCCCACTGCATCTCACTTCAAGAAGTGAACCAGGCAGTTTGTATTTCTTTCTGTGGGGTACAGGTGCAGAGCTTACAGCAGAAGCTGGGAATGGGAAGAAACCCTTTTCCTTTACTTTATAAAAGCCGAAGCCACTGAAGATTGTGTCCACAGGGTTCCTGAAGGAATATGGATCTGTGGAAAGCAGCAAGGGAGAGAAAGATCGTCCTTTAACCTAGGAAGAGGACCGAAGCCAGAGCCTGGGGTGGTCAGCACTCTGCCCTAGGTCCTTGTCAGTGCCTGGAGTTGGTAGGACATTGGAGGTGATGGATCCATGGTGCACACGGCATGGATAAAACCAAGTCTTGTGGTACCCAGCCATGGCAATTGGTTATGTGAGCAGCAGAATTTATAGACATCAAAAACTATATAAATGCAGGTAACCACTGTAGGGAGAAGAAAGGTGGGGTGGAGGGCCTTCCTGGGACATTTTGCTTTGCATAACACCTCACAGTCTTTGCCTGACCCTGAAGGAGTGGGTAAAGTAAGGAGCTCCTCATATACCAGAAATGGTGCCTTCTTATTGAATGAAGCGATTGTAAATCAAGGGTCGAATGTCTTTGATTGAGTAATAGTAAGAAATGAGATACTTTGGCACCATTGAGCTTGGAGCTGCAAATTCACATCTGTAGAGGCGTTTGTGGGGTGTCAAAGGAAAGTTTAAAGAAAGACAAGATCAGGAGCCACAATAGCCTAGAGTGAGAAAGGAGGTCAAGGAAGCCCCAAAGGCCTCAGCAGTACAAGTCTGGGTTTTGACTCTGTGATCCATGGAAGTTATAGGTGTGGTGCCAGGTTTAACATATACGAGTGCTATTATTATGTAGGCCAAACAAGCCAAATGCTGGTCATTTCAGACTGTTCAAATTGATAGCTGAGAGTGCACCTTTGGGATTCAGACTGCCTGAGTTTGAAGTTTATCACCTTTATTTATTAGCTGTAAAATACTTTGCCTCCCTTCCTTCCTGCCTTCCTGCCTGCCTTCCTTCCTTCCTTCCTTCCTTCCTTCCTTTCTTCCTTCCTTCCTTCCTGCCTTCCTTCCTTCCTTCCTTCCTTTCTTCCTTCCTTCCTTCCTGCCTTCCTTCCTTCCTTCCTTCCTTTCTTCCTTCCTTCCTTCCTGCCTTCCTTCCTTCCTTCCTTTCTTCCTTCCTTCCTTCCTGCCTTCCTTCCTTCCTTCCTTCCTTTCTTCCTTCCTTCCTTCCTTCCTTCCTTCCTTCCATTCTGGTTAGCCTCCCTCTCTTATCTCTTATTCCCTTTCTCCCTCCCTCCCTCCTTCCTTCCTTTTTTTTGCCTCAGTTTCGTCACCTGAAAAATCAATTTTATAATATTTGCACCTGCTGCAATACACCTGTTAGAGGATTAATACAGATGCACAAGACTACCTGCCATGCAATTGGTGTTCAATAAACATTAGCCAGAGCTATTCTGATTGTTGTTACCCTCAGTATATCTGCTTCCTTCCTTTCTCTATACTGAGAGTTAGTATAGCTTAGAGTTAAGAGAACAACATTTGTAGCCATACAGCCAGGATTCAAAACAAAATGTGTGAATTATTTAACATTATTAATCTCATCTTCATCATATCTGGTTGCTGTCTTTACTTCTTCCTTCTGAGTAAGGCTTGTCTTGGGCTTGCTGTGGTCCCAGCTCATCATTGGTATAGAAAGAGGAAAGAAGCCAGGGCCTTGGGTGATCAGCACTCTGCCCTAGCTCCTCAGCAGTGCCTGGAGTTGGTAGGACATTGGACGGAGTGGAAGCATTGTGCACATGGCATGGATGCAGCCAGGTCTTGACCCTCAGCCCCACCATACCAGGCATCTTGTTTCTTCACTCCACAAGGATCCTCTTAGCAGGGCCCACACTCCACCAGGGACAAGAAAGGACTAGAAAATTTTCCTGTAGGTCAACTCACCCAGAGCCTGAGCAGAGAAAGCAGCAGCTTCTCCCAAGCATGGACTCTTCCAGGAGAGATATCCTTGCGGGATGCTTCACCTGCTCCCAGTTGACCAAGAGGCTAGAGAGCCTGTCTTTGGTGTGCAGGTTCCCTTAATACACCATGGAATACTATGCAGCCATAAAAATTGATGAGTTCATGTCCTTTGTAGGGACATGGATGAAGCTGGAAACCATCATTCTCAGCAAACTATCACAAGGACAGAAAACCAAACACCACATGTTCTCACTCATAGGTGGGAGCTGAACAATGAGAACACTTGGACACAGGAAGGGGAACATCACACACCGGGGCCTGTTGTGGGGTGGGGGGAGGGGGGAGGGATAGCATTAGGAGATATACCTAATGTTAAATGACGAGTTAATGGGTGCAGCACACCAACATGGCACATGTATATATATGTAACAAACCTGCACGTTGTGCACATGTACCCTAAAACTTAAAGTATAATAAAAATATATATATAGAAAGAATTTTTATATCAATAAAAAAAACTTTTCTTTATTTTCAACTTCTCAATGACCACACGCTCCTATATTTCCCAAACTCCCCTGCCCTCTGCAAGCTATCTCCAGACCTTCCCAAAAGGTGGACCTGGAGGTTTGAACAGGTCCTCATTAGCACATGGCTTTGCTCCTTGGTGTGGGCAGGATTCTTGTTAACTGCAGTCGGGACTGTGTGCAGCATGCTTAGGCCACCCCATCCATGGGTCACCCCTGGGCTGTCTGGTCAGTCATGAGTCTGCCCTCATCTCCTCTTCTCTTCTGTGGCCATCAGGGAACACACCTGGCTCAACCTCCCCTTCTTTATGTACTCCCCTTCTCTCTCCCCATAATCTCTGGGGGCCTGTCCATATTCCCTTGAAGTCACTAATTCCAATTAGAATCAACACTGAAAACTGCTTTATAATCTATTCCACTTCAGAATTCTCCCACTGAACAATCCTCTACACTCAGCAATTTTCATGTTTTTGACTTCTTATTCCTAGGGCAGAAAATCAGATTGATCCAAGTCATCTACTGAGATGCCCTCTCCTGGTTCTCGAATCCGCCTCCAGCTAAAGGGTGGAGTTCCGTGGAGCAAAAGAGGCTGCCTCACAGTGCCTAGCTAGCAGGGGAGCTGGGCAGGGAGATGTCTCCCACAAGTCTGCACAGGGCTATCTCTGGTCCTGGGGCCAGCGTGTGCCTCAGCATTTGTCTTTTACACATAAGTGGGGTGGGGGAAACCCACTTCTTTATAAAGGCTTGGAAAGAAGTAGAGCTCCACTGTGCAAACTCAGCCACATAAAAGCAAAACTAGTCCAGAATCCTCCCCTGCTTCAGTGTCCTGAAACTTCACACTCTCCTGAGTTTCTTGCACACCTTGAGGTCTTTGGGTTCTTTGAATGGTGGCCCAAGCTCAAATGACCTCAGTGAAGCATTCTATGATGCCAAGTCCAGGGCAGGTTTTATTTATTTATTTTTTATTATATGCTGTCTTACAGCCATGACACTTTCTTGAAGAGCCACTGTGTCTTTACATTTACACGTTCCTCACTCAATCTTTTTCTCACCCATCACATTTCTATTGAAGCCCTGTTAGTTGCTCTTCCAAAGATCAAGCCACTGCGTTCACGTGGTTTACAATCTAGAGGAGGGGATAGGGCAGAGGCCTGTGGAAGAGAGTGCTGTTTCATGCAGATTGGTCAGCGAGGCCTTTCTGACAAGTTGACCCCACAGCAGAAGTCTGAATGTAGTGAGGTTGTGAGCTACAAGGATACCTGGGGAATGAAACTTCTAGCCACAGGAAGGAGAATATGCAAAAGGTTTAAGACAGGGCTCTTTTGGCATATGTGAAAAACAGCAAAGAAGTTAGTATAGTGGAAGCTGATGCTGAGTGAGTGAGAAGTGACTAAGAGTCAGACAATCTAGGGCCACATAGGATTCTACTGTGAAAGACTTGGGGGCCATGAAAGAGTTCCCACAGAGGAGGAGTAAGGTCTCACCTCAGTCTTCATGGGATTGTGTTACTTCAGTGCTGACAGCACCAGTTAGAAGGTCATTGTGGTAATCCACTTAGAAAACAATGGTACCACTTCTGTAATCCCAGCACTTTGGGAAGCCGAGGTGAGTGGATCACTTGAGTTCAGGAGTTCGAGACCAGCCTGGTCAACATGGCAAAACCGTCTCTACTAAAAATACAAAAATTAGCTAGGCATGGTGGTAGGCACCTGTAATTCCAGCTACTTGGGAGGCTGGGAGGCTGAGGCAGGAGAACCCAGTGAACCTGAGAGGCGGAGGTTGCAGTGAGCTGAGATCATACCACTAAATTCCAGCCTGGGTGACAGAGTGAGACTCCGTCTCAAACAAACAAACAAACAACAACAACAACAACAACAAAACACACAAGAAAACAGTGGTATCTTGCAGTGGTAATGCTTGGGTTGGATTTTGTCTTTTTGAGGTGGGATCTTGCTCTGTTGCCCAGGCTGTGGAGTACAGTGGTATGGTCATAGCTCACTGCAGCTTCAAGCATCTGGGCTCAAGCGATCCTTCCGCCTTAGCCTCCCAAGTAGCTGGGACAACAAGCACATACCATATTTTTTGTAAAGGTCTCAGTATGTTGCCCAGGCTGGACTCAAACTCCTGGCCTCAAGCAGTCCTCTTGCCTCAGCTTCCGAAAGTGCTGGGATTACAGACATGAATCACCACACCTGGCCAGAATTGATCCTTTTATTGTTTTCAGCTACTGATTTGAAGAAATTTGTTACAGAAGCTAACATGAATTTCCCTGACTAATAAAAGCAGTCTACAGAACAGACAGGGTTCCTGCCTTCAGGGAACTTACTGCCTAGATGGGAAGACAGATATTAATCAAAAGTAATTTCTTGCTCAAAATCCAATGAGGATTAGACAGCTGTCTTAGGAGGTTTCTTCCAAGTGGTGACTCAGGGATTCAGGATCTTTCTACATTATGCCCTTAACATCTTGGATTCTTCCAGGTCCATCCAAGGGAAAGGGGGAAAGAGAGTAATTCAAGAAAAAGTATGAGCTAGAGAATATTGTAAGAGTGTTTTAGGGGCAAAATCTAGAAGAGGTGTGCATCACTTTTGGACATCACATTTCACTGGACAGAATCAGTCTCATGGACTCAACCTTTCTGCAAAGAAGCCTGGGATATGTACTCATCCTAGAAGGCAAAATAGTTCAAGGGATGAAGCCAGGCAAAAGTGCAGCTTCAGCTGAAGTCTAGCCCCAGCCTGATCTGAAACTCCAGAGAGTGAATAGCATCAGAATTGTCCTATTCTGAGGACAGGGTCTAGTCTTCTGTACTCCTCGTCAGTCAGTTATTGGCCTTTGAGCACCCTAGAAGAAGGGTATAACTTCCAATGTGTTTCAGAAAAGGCTTCCCGTCAGCTAAGGCAAGGGTTCTCAACCAATGCTTGGAGATATTTTTGCTTGTCAAAACTGGGTGTGGGGGCTACTGGCATCTAGTGGGTAGAGGCTAGGGATGCCACTGACCATACTACAATTCACAGACTAGACCCCACATCAAAAAAAAAATCTGGACCCAAAATGTCAATGGTTCCAAGGCTGAGAAATCCTGAGCTAAGGGCAGTGGTCAGGAGAAGAGGACAGCTATGAGCTTCTGGGAGTCATGCTCTATGAATTTGGGAGATGGGTGCACAGGCCAGGGATCTGGGTCGGGTGCCCACAGTGCCTAACCTATGGCCACAGAAGAGGAAATAGGAGTGTGGGGCCTCTAGTCAATCTTGGACACACTGTTCGACTCCAGTTCTAGAACAGCACCTTGCACGTGGTCAGCACCCCTGACAGATTTGGGTGAATATGCATTTTTACAACTCCTGGGCTCCAGGCTGGCACAAACCTTCAACCTAGATAACTGACATGATGGTTCCAAAGAAGGATGCCTGGGAAAACAACTCTGAATAGGGCAGCCTGATGGAAGTGGTTCTTCTGACACCAGGATCTCAGGTTGTGCTATGCGATTTCTTCTCTTATCCTGGCAATTTTAGTGGCAAATGCTATGTGATTGGGGCTGCTTTAGACTTCAGAGAGGAGTACTAGATTTAGCTGCTGAGACCTCAATTCTGCTACTGAATTATAATGACTGCATGAGCAGACCAAGTCTTCTCAATTTTAGGACGCTGGGTTCTTCCATTTCTACAAGAACACTGTGCACTTCCATTTTTCTTCAACTGCATTCTAAAGCATTCTGGGTTCTCTGTGATGTCAGTGCCAACAAGGTCACTTCTGGGGGAAAAGAGGCAGAGGTGAGGGGTGAACTATCCCAGCCCCTGTATAGGCACTAACCAGAGCAGCCCCACATTTAGCTGTTTTTTAAAATATACATTAGGGTTCCACATGAGATTTTTGTTCCATATAAAAATTCTGCTGCAAAAACTTGAATACCTGTGCATTGGATGACATGGAAGTTACCATGGGGAACAGAGACGTAGTGCCTGCCCTAGGGACTTACATGCATGTGTTCACCACAGGCCATAATTCAAGGCTGGAAGAGTGAGGGATCAATAAAAGAGTGCAAGGAAATTTGCTATTCCAATTAACAGGATTATTTGCATATATCCATTTAATTTAACAGTATAAACTCCGCTGTGACAGTTTAGAAAATTGGGAGTTATCCAGTGTGGTGCCATGCAACTCTGCCATAAAATCATTTCTCTTCTGATGATCCTTTTGTTTCTTACTATTAGGAGCTGCAAGTGGTGAGGGAGATATAATCTATTGTTCTATAACTATCCACTTGCCCTTGCAAGCCTTTCACTTATGACCAAATAAAGACAAGGCCTGATTTCTGTATATAAGCTTCTTAAACTTGGCCAGGCAGGGTGGTGGTTCAGGTCTGCAGTCCCAGCACTTTGGGAGGTTGAGTTAGGAGGATCAATTGAGGCTAGGAGTTTGAGGTTAGCCTGGGCAACATAGCAAAACCCCATCTCTCAAAACAAAATAATAATAAATTAGCCAGGCTTGGTGGCATACACCTGTAGTCTTAGCTTCTCAGGAAGCTGAGGCAGAAGGATCACTTGGACCCAGGAGTTCGAGGCTGCAGTGAGCTATAATTGTGCTGCTGTACTGCCTGGGCAATAGAGCAAGAATCTGTCTCAAAAAAAAAAAAGAAAGAAAGAAAGAAAAAAAGTTCTTCACACTCACTATAAGTTAAGCCTCAAAAATTCTATTGACTTGAAAATGGAAGCCCCATTCTCATGGGGGTCACTAAGATAGAAAGAGAAGGATATACCCAAAGAGCCGTTTTCTCACTGGATGCGAGACCAGAGCTAAAGCCCTCCTAGGCTGCCTACATTCTGACCCTCATTGCATTGTCTGGGCCTTTGGAAGTCATCTTTTTTGGGATTTCTGAGCAGGATCCTAAGAGGTGCTCATTTTAGCTGAAGCAGGATTTAAGAAGGCTGCCACTTAGAATGGAGATTAGGGTTGGGTTTGCCATCCCAGATCAAAACAACAGAAAAGAAGAAATAGATTAAAGAACTCCATGGTTTATGTTAAAATTGTTGAACTGAAGCCATGAGACAGACATTGTCTAGCAAGCAGACGCTGCGGGCCTGCCTTAAATTATACAACCTAATGTCCTAAAATAAGCCCAGATTCAGATTCCACCCTCCTTGGTCTGTCTCTCTCTTTTCTTCTCTCTCTACTCATTTCACCTCATTTTATTCTTACAAGCATCTTAGGAGACAGGTTTATTTTTCCTCCCACTTTCAGAGTGAAGAAACCGAGACTTAGAGAGACTGAGTAACACGTTCAAGGTCACACAGCTAATAGGTTCAGAGACTCCATCAAGATTCTTTCCAAATAGAGATTCCAAGAGCCATTTCTGTATTAAATAATCAGTTCGCTCCTCGTTTGTGGAGCATGAAAACCCTTTAGACTTGCCGTCTTTTGTGCCTTTGCTCAAGAAGGCCATGCACTTGGATAGCTCCATTTCATCCCCATGAAACCCATCTTTCTAGACCAGAGGTCCCCACCCCCAGGCCACGGACTGCTTACTGGTCCATGGCCTGTTAGGAACGGGCTGCACACAGGAGGTGAGCAGTGGGCAAGCAAGTGAAGCTTCATCTATATTTAGAGCCGCTCCCCATCACTAGCATCACCACCTGAGCCCCGCCTCCTATCACATCAGCTGCGGCATTAGATTCTCAAAGGAGCAGGAACCCTATTGTGGTTCCAAGATGGTGGAATTGAGCTATTTGGGTTGAACCATTTGAAGTTGCCAGTAATCTGCCATTTTGTAACCTACCTATTGTGCGAGGGATCTAGGTTGCATACACTCCTTATGAGAATCTAATGCCTGATGATTGGTCACTGTCTCCCATCACCCCCAGATGGGGCTGTCTGGTTGCAGGAAAACAAGCTCAGGGCTCCCACTCAGTCTACATGATGGCAAGTTGTGTAATTATTTCTTCATATATTACAATATAATAATAATAGAAATAAAATGCACAATAAATGTAATGCACTTGAATCATCCCAAAACCATCCCCTCCCCCATCTGTTGAAAAACTGTCCTCCACGAAACCGATCCCTGGTGCCAGAAAGGCTGGGGATGCTGCCCTAGACCATTTCCCAGGGCCCTTCCTCAGACAGGAAATGACTCCATTGTTACAACCTCATTTTGAACCGTTGTGACGTCAGCTGTATCCACCTACTGTGAGAACCTCTGTTTATTGCCTCACGACACACTGGTCTCTAAGTTTCCTGGAGGCCAGTGTTGTGTTTTTGTATTTAACACAGGGCCCCATGTGCATTCTGTAGGTCTGGGTAACGATGGTGGAATTGAGCTATTTGGGTTGAACCTTTTGAAGTTGCCAATAATCTGCCCTTTTGTAACCTATAAAAACTGTAATTTCATCTGATTCAAAATAAATAAATCACATTTTTCTGCATTGGGGTTTATGACATTAGGAAATGATTCTGAACTTTATACAGTGATATGTGCTCATTTGAATATGTTCAAGATACTCTAATTATAACATCCTGTTTTAGGGATGCTATGATTTAGGGAATCATAGGTTTTGCTCTTAGGGTTTTCTGTTTGTTTTAGTTATTTTTAAAAAATTAGGAAAAGAGTCTTGCTCTGTCACCCAGGCAGGAGTGCAGTGGCACCATGATAGCTCACTGTAGCCTCGACTTCCTGGGCTCAAGCAATCCTCCTGCCTTAGCCTCCTGGGTAGCTGGGACTACAGTCATGCTCCACCAAACCCAGCTAATTTTTAAAATTTTTTATAGAGATGGGGGTCTCGCTATGTTTCCCAGGCTGGTCTTCAATCTCGGGCTTAAGCAACCTTCCCACCTCGAACTCCCAAAGTGCTGGGATTACAGGCATGAACCACCATGCTCAGCCTACTTTTTGTGTTTTACGTTCAACACCTTAAAATGTTAAAGATACACAGAAAAGTAGAGAGACAGGTCTAATGAAGACCTAGACTCACTCCTTACCTGTTTCAATGATTATCAAATTCATGACCACATTTGCTTCATCTCTATCCCACCCACTTCCCCTCTCCTTCATCCCAATTATTGCAAAGCAATATACCAAGGTATCAAGCCACTGGAAAATAGTTCAGCATATGTTTCTAAAGGAAAAGGAATCTTTTAAAAAATAACCAAAACATTTTAAAATAAGTTAACAATGTCTTAGTATCATCTAAGATGTATACACACACACAAGCATAAAATCAAATAAAATACAATTAGACAAGCTATACTTTGTTTCAGGGAGGGAGTAAGGTCCACACATTGTGTTTGGTAGATATGCTTCTTATGTTTCTTGTAATCTTGTTTTCCTTCCTAGCTAGTGCTTTAATCAAATTAGTTCTCTGAAGTGTCCCATTGACTTTGGAGGAAACTGAGGCCCCAGGAGGTTAAATGGTTGTGCCCAATGTCCCCAAGCAAGTCCATGACTCTGACCAGGGATGGAGTCCAGATGTTTGAGAGTGTTCAACTTTCCTGCCCCAGCCCCAAGGCCCCCGCCCAGGCCCACTGAGGAGGGTCCAACCCCGGGTGCCCCGGACCCATCCTGGGGTCATTGGAATGCCCTCTGCAGATCACTACTTCCTGTTTGCCTTTCCATGAGGCAGTGAACACTGCTGTGAAAAAGGTTCAAAGTGTTTCCTGACACACAAAGCCTCTAAAAGGCAATATTTTGATGATTTAAGTATAAATGATCAGAAACATGTGGATTTCATTTCCTTTAGAATACACTTGGGTATGAAAATTAACAGGAAACGTGCTTGGCAAAATACAACCTGGGTTTCCTCAAAGCCCTGAAGTGGTTTAAGATGTTCAGTGGATTTGAAGGGAAGGTAGCCTTCTCTCTGTACCTTCCCACCAGGCTTGCACTCGCCCACACATTAAATCTGGGCAGGATTTGCTACTGGTGTGGCCTTGACCTTGTTGAGAAAGGCAGGGAGGAAGAGAAACAGGAGAAAGAGGAGGGAGAGTCTGGGTAAGAAGTAGGCAGCTTTTCCTAACTGGTGCTGCCTTCCCAAGAGGGGGACCTGACCTCTTTCCTTGGAAACAGCCCTCAACAAGTCCCTACTGGGTCCTACCTGTCCTCAGGTGTCCAGCCATGCTTTGGCCCCCTCTGTCCCTTTCCCTGAGAAAAACCACTTGGAGTTACAGAAAGACATGGCACACTCCACAGAGAGGCTTCTTTCCATCTTTACCCGTGTTAAGATAAGGTTCATTCCATGATAGAGGTAGGCAGCTTCAGAGCTCCCAGAAGTCCCAGAGCACAAGGCAGTGAAAGATCCTGGTAGAGCAAGAGGAGATGGAGAAGGAGAACCTGAGGGCAGGAGAATGCTCTGGAGGGAGAGAGGAGAGAGGAGGAAAGGGAAGAATAAACGGAGTCAGAAAGGAAGGTAAGAGAGGGATAGGGAGACTAGAGAGGGAGAAAAGAAGGGAGGAAGGGTCGGGGGAGGGAAGAAGGGAGGAAGAGAAGAAAGAAGAGAAAAAAGAGGTGAGAGGGAAGGAGGAAGGGAGGGAGAGAAGGAGGGGAGACGGGAGAAAGGAAGAGCAGAAGGGAGGAATGAGGGAAGGCAGGCGTGAGGGAGAAAGGAAAGGAAGGAGAGGGAAGGAGAAAAGAAGGAAGGAAGAAAAAAAGGAGGGAGGGAGAGAAGAAGGGAGGGAGGAAAGGAGGGAGAGAGAAATGGGGGGAAAAGAAGAAAAGATTGGAGGGAAGGAGGAAGAGAGGAAGACAAGAAGGGATGGGAAAAGGGAGGGAGGGAGGAAGATAAAAAGAAAGGGAAAAGGGGAAAAAGGGAGAGGGAGAAAAGAAGGGAAAAAGGAGATATAGAAAAGAGAGGGAGGAAGAGAAGAATGGAGAGAGGAAGGAAGAATGGAGAGAGGAAGGAAGAAAGGAGAGAGAGGAGGGAAGGAGTAGAGCAGAATAGAGGGAAGAAGGATAGCAGGAGGGAGGGAGGAAGGAAGAAAAGAAAAGATGTGGGGAGAGAGACAGAGAGGAAGGAAGGAAAAGTGTGTGATGGCCGGTGGGAAGGGTAGACAAAGGATAGACACAGAGATAGGCAGTGGATTCCTGGTTAGGATTTCTGGCTCTCAAGTAATGTGCTTGTCAGCAAGAATGTCCAGAAATGCCCCTTTAACTGGGCGTACTGCAAAAAGTGTGAGAAGCATTCTGGGAGTGGGTGGGTTTCACGAACTGGGGTAGTCTTCCTCACTCTGCTTTTTTGTTTTAATCATCAGTCAGCAGAAATGTCTCCAGAGGCCTTGCTGCTTGCCCTGATTAATGAACTTCAGATCTTTCTGTGCCCTGGGGTTCTGCCCATCATGAGCACTGGGCGGGATCCTAACACCATCACTCCTGGGACCAGTTTTCATAAGTGGGCCTGCTAGGCATCTGCAGGCAGGGCTTGGCCACCTCCCAGGAGCCAGGCCCTGCTATGAGGTAGCCTGAGGACAGGACAGAGGACTGGACCACAAAGGCAGGGCTTTCCCTCCTGGGGACACACCCAGGACAGGAACACTTTTCCTGGTGGAACTGTGTGGGCAGAAGGGGCAACATGACCAGGGGGCAACTGGACCAGAAAGACAGGGCCAACAGGACCAGAAAGGCAGGGCTTACCCTCCTAAGGACACAGCCAGGACAGAAACACTTTTCCTGGTGGAGCTGTGTGGGCAGAAGGGGCAACATGATACCCTCAGTAATATGCCTGCCTGGGTCAAGATACAAGTGACTTGGTTTGGGGTTCCCCTAAAACAGAGCGCAAGATAAGGCTTTGAGGGCAAGGAGTTTATGTAGGGGGTGACCACAGGAAGCACAGAGAGGGTGGGGAGAAGTGAGACAGAGAAGGAAGAAAAGCCAATAAGGTCTTGTTAGTGAGGAAGTTACTGCAGTGGGCAACTGGGGCCCAACAGCACGGGTGTTCCTCTGGCAGACGCTATGAAGAATGCGCCTCAGATGGTCCCACAGAAAGATAAGGAGCTGAATGTGCATCCACCACATCCTGTCCCCTGCTGGTCAGGTGGCTCCTGTGGCTGTCACCTCCCTCACTCTCTGGTCCTCTCCCCAGCATGCTCCCTAGGCCAATGTAGTAAGTTATGAGCTTAAATGGGAACTATCTTCAAGCTGCTTCTAGAGTATGCTCAGTAGATCTTGGATCCCTTGGATAGGAATCTTGGCAGGGTCCCTATACCAGTCCCACCCTTGAGGAAAACATCGATACTTTGCCCAGATGAACAGGCTGAAAGCTGGTGAGTGAAGGGTGCCAAGTAGCAGAGGCCCATAATTGCACCTGTCCTGGCAAGAGATGAGCAATGAACAGTTTATCAAGCATCGCCCAGCATGCACCAAGCACTTATGGGCCCAGCACCCATTCAAGGGACTTTTGCTCCCTGGACTCCAGCCTCTTCTGCCCAAGGCAAGAGAGAAAGAACTGGAAAAATACCTTTGCTCTGGGCTTTGCATGGCCTGGATCAGGTTCACAGCTAATTAGAAGTAAATGTGAAGCACAATTATGTATGAACCTTCGGTGGCCAAATTCATGAAAGGAATAACGGGTATATGTTTCCTTTCTGTAGAATTTTAACAAACAAGTGGCATTGTCATCCATTATTTATCTTTTTTCAATTGCAGTGAATTGTTGCAGTGACAAATATCCAATTTCTGTATTTACAGAAAACTCACACATGTGTAGATCATGGTACAGTTTCATATTTACTGTATAAAGTACTGACTTGTTTTTTTAAATAGAGAAATTTGGTAATTATTGCTCTATTTCTTAAGATGTGAAAGATGATGCATAATAAATTGATAGGCCATTTCTTTTGTGCTCCCGTAAAAAAAATAGCCAGCCAGCTTCTCCTTGGAAATCGTGGCTCTTTATATTTGGGGAAACTTAACCTCTAGCAGGATGAGACACCTGGAGAGAACACACTCTAGGCACACAGCAGATGAGCAACAAATATATGTTTATAAAATTTGTTGGTTGACAGAGTCACGGAGAACTGGTATTGTTTTTAAATACCCCAGGCAGGGTTGAAGACACACCTTGAAATATACACTGCAGTCTTGGGCCCTTAGCATTGGATGACCACACAGTCATCACTTGTTCACATCTTCAACTTGGTTACAGTTTTGTGTAGGATTGTGAGAAAAAGGAGCTTGCAGGACTGAAGGTAAAAACCTGCACAGCATCGTAAGACAATCCTCCAAGCTGACTGAGCAACCATGGCTCTCTTACCCAGGCTTCTTGGCCTGGGAGAAATGAAGTGTATTAGTCCATTCTCACACTGCTAATACAGACATACCTGGGACTGGTTAATTTATAAAGGAAAGAGATTTAACTGACACCCAGTTCCAAAGGGCTGGGGAGGCCTCAGGAAATTTGCAATCATGGCAGAAGTGGAAGCAAACACATCCTTCTTCACATGGTGGCAGCAAGGAGAAGTGCCGAGCAAAAGGTGGAAAATCCACTTATAAAACCATCAGATCTTGTGAGAACTCACTAACTATCAGGAGAACAGAAAGATAGGGGTAACCACCCCCATGATTCAATTACTTACCACTGGGTCCCTTGCACAATATATGGGGATTATGGGAACTACAATTCAAGATGAGATTTGGGTGGGGACACAGCCAAACCATATCTGTACCTCCAATGTCGCTTCATTCATTCATCTGTTCTAATGGAATCTACTACAAAAGTCAGACGTGTTGATTGCTGAGGAGGCACAGCATTACACATGGCCTTGTTCTCCAGAGACTCAGGGCTTGGAGATCAAACATAGCCATGGACGGAAGCTAACAGTGGAACGTGTTCAGGATGATGGCAGAGTCTGAACCAATTGTACGTAGCAGGTGAGCAAAGGAAGGAGGGGCCATAAGGACCTTCAAGCTCTTGCCCATGAGCTGGCCTCTCTTCTTCTCTTATGTGATGTGTACTGACTAAGTGTGGCTCAGTGTAAGAGAAACAAGTAGATGTCAAAGTAACTTGTGTTAAAATGATTCCATCTATTTCAGGAGTCCAGTTGTCATTTCTAAGCCCTTGTTTACAGATGCTTTCTCTTGAGTCCAGTAACATGTGAATACTATATTCTGTGAGTTCTTGCTTTTAACCCCACTTCTCCTGAGTTCCCTACATTTGTAAAAAAGAAAAAAAAAAAGAAAAAAAAATCAAACTAATTAGATAACTGAACCACATGTACCTTCCCTACCCTGAAAAGAAAATTGAGCCTTCTGAACTTGTCATCCCTACTACCTCATCCCATACTCTCATTTTCTTCTTTACATTCTAGCAACAAATTTTCATATACGTACACAAAAACAAAACAAAACACAATAACAAACAAAAAATAATAATAAGAGTAAGAGAGAGTGCTTGAAGGGGCACCAGCTAGACCAAGTGTGTGGGCCTCCAATTTCTCAGAGTCTGGCTTGAACTACTTACAGAACAGAGGTCCTTGGGGATCACACTTGGGTCTGCCTGTGACTATAGAGCTCCCCAGGATATGAGCCCCGGACCAAAAACAGCCTTTTATATGAACCCATGGGCTCCACCATGAACCTGGTCCTAAAAATTAGCCTCTTGATTTTTTCTTTATTATTATCATTTTTTTTTTTTTTTTTACTGAGCAGCTGCTATCAATGACTTCTCAAGTTTTGCTTTCTGGTAACTACCATTCCAAAGCACTCTAAAAACCAATTTTACACTTAATAAATTTTAACTATTCAATATTTTTCATTTTAAAACTAAATAACAGACATTTAAAAGAGTATTTCTTTTTTAATGACACTCATGCCACTATTTTAGAAAGTCAGGTGACATTCACCATGCATTCCTATCTCCTTAACTGCCAAATACTCTATTAGTCAAGTTTGTTCATATTTACAAGATTTTTTTTTTGGATGTTTTACTGCTATCAGAAGATCTAACATCTGTTTCTCCAGGGATTCTCCATGTGTTCTGTAGTTTACAACAATTGAAACCACTGTTTTCGAAATACATTTGGATTAAACTCAATGTACTAAGACTCAATTTCACAGGGAGCCCCATGCACGCGTCTGGGGTTTTCTCTCATGTAATTTTTCCGAATGGTGAGACATTTGCTCTGGATTTAGGTGGGTGAGATAGAATAACAGTGGAGTTCAATGGAGTGCATGTGTAAAATAACGCTGTTAAAGGCCCAAGTGTGGGGAGGGTTTCTGGGAGTCCCTGTTTCTGCCTGGAGCACAACAGAAGAAAGAAAGCTCCTTTGACTTTGCTCTTTTGGGAACCACAGTGGCAGGGGCAAGTCCAGCACATCGCCTTGTGTCCTTCCCTGGCCATCAACAACACCGTCCATAGACCTTTCTGTGGTGATGGGAATGTTCTACATCTACACTTCCCAATATAGTGTTGCCACTGGTCTCTGGCAGCAATTTAGTGTTGAAATATGGCCAGTGAGACTGAGCAGCTGAGATTTTTATTTTATTTAATATTTTAAATTTAAATTTGAATTCTAATATCCATGCACGACTAGTGGCTATCTGTATTAGTTCTTTCTTGTGCTGCTAATAAAGAAATACCTGAGCCTGGGTAATTTATAAAAGAAAGAAGTTTAACTGACTTACAGTTCAGCATGGCTGGGGAAGCCTCAGGAAACTTACAATCCTGGTGGAAGAGGAAGCAAACACATCCTTTTCACATGGCGGCAGCAAGGAGAAGAATGAGTGCCCAGTAAAGGGGAAAGCCCTTTATAAAACCATTAGATCTTGTGAGAACTAACTCACTATCACGAGAATAGGATGGGAGAAACCACCCCTATGATGCAATTATCTCTACCTGGTCCCTCCTATGACACTTGGGGATTATGAGAACTACAATTCAAGATGAGATTTGAGTGGGGACACAGCCAAACCATATTACTATCATTTCGGACGATGGAGGTCTACATGCCTCAGCTACTCTGAGATGTGTCTCCACTGAACCCTCTCTTATTTCTCCAGACCATCAATGTCTCTGATCTACACTCCTTCAATAGAACAAATTACACCACTGGTCCCAAACTGTTGACTACTGTGCCCAGTGTCAGTCCATATGCCATTGTTGTACAGACCAGAAAAGGGGCTCTTCCTAAAGCTTTCTTCTCTCAAGTATTAGAAAGTGACATACCGACATGCAAATTCACCAGGGCACAGATATAACAGGCACCCCATAAGCATGGGCAATGTGTGTGGCCTGCCCAACTCCAACTGCACGTACTTGTCCTGTTCTCCATGTGGTTTCCAATCCTTGGATGTGTACACAGCATACAGACTGCTGACAGCATGCAGACTGCTGGCACCATGAGAACACTCACCATCTTCCCCCAACACCTCACGGTAACAAGCAGAGGTCCAAACAAACCACGGAGTCCTGACAAGAAGCTGACTGCTCTGACAATCTTCTTCCTGACACAGAAGTCCATTTCGTAGTAGTGTCATTTCTGTGGGGTCTTCCTGAAGAATCATCATCCATCATTTCCTGTAGGATATCCCTGTGTGCCTTCAGATATAGGGAATCAGTTACAAAGCCCCACTTCAGCCTCTGCTTTGTGGAACGGAGATCCTGGAGTGCTGTGACCAGCTTAGGCATTGTGTTCATGATGGAGGCAGAGGTCAAAGGGTGCAAGCCAAAGTACACAGGACTCTGCAGGTCTAGGCATGGGGTAACTAACATGCCACCACTTCTGCTGTGGGTTTTGGCCAAAGCAAGTCACATGGGGTGAAGAAGAACACCCTAACTTTATGAGAGGAACTCCAAAGTCACAGAGCAGAGTGCATGGACACAGGAGATGGAAAGGAGCGAAGAACTGGACCATCGTTGCAATCCATGGCTCACAAATTCTAAAGCAATGTATACTGAGAGGTGAACACTGGATGTCTTGGCAGCAAGAACGTGAATATGGGTGATTGTTATTATCTTTGCTTTATCTATATTTTATCATTTCATTTTACAGTGTCAAATTATAGAATAGGTATAATTTAATCTTAATAAGGGAAATAGACTCATGAAAACAATCTGGAAAATATAGAAAAGTAGAGGGGGAAACCCACCTAAACTGTGTTTTTCACCAAGATGGTTACTAGCATTGTGAGTGAGACACTTCTTTCTTGCTGAAGACTGTCTCGTGCATTGCAAGATGTTTAAAATCTTTGGTTCCTGGACATCCAATGCCAGTAATGGCTTCTTGTCATTTTTGCAACCAACTTCACCACCACCGCCACCCACATTTCTAAATCACCTCCAGAGGCCTCCCTCATTGAGAACACAGAAAACCACATTTATCTTTTTGATGTGGTTACTCTTTGGCTTTTACGTGCATGACATTCATTCATTCACTCATTTTAAAAATAATCGTATGGTTTTACTTATTTATTGTTCATTGTTTTCCATTGATATGGTACACCACATGGATAATGTTGAATATAGATTTTTAAATTCCTATTTAAATTAATAATGTACAGATGATTCTGCATGTCACCTAAATGGCCGAAAGTCTTCTGATCTTCTCACGCCATCTGGCCTTTAACAAGAAAACATTTTTAAATAGGTACCTAATTGGCTGTAAAAAGTCCATTGCATTCCCCAAGACTTTTCGTAGCTTTCTAAGGTGAGGGAGGGGTGCCTCCCTTCTTGTTGCTATGGCTTTAGTCACTCCCTTCCATCTCTCCCCATCATCCCAGACACCTCTACTATCTGTTTCCTACAGCCCTGCCCTCTTTCCCCACCACTTTTCGTGGACACCTCTCTTCTCATTTATTTATCCAGGAATTTCTTACTCAAGTCATTAGTAGGTAATAGACTGTTACTACACATTTGGTGATAATGGAAGATCACTGCTGCATGGAGCTGGAAATAACCCCAAAGTGTGTATCAGGAATCACAGCTGCTCAAGTTCAATGGCCACTATGTGTTTTAGGGCACACTTCAGGTTTGCAGGGAGTACTTACTCGTAACTTTCTTGCCTGCAAGTTTTGAGTCAATTTAGACACGCTCCAGTGAGGGAGGAAGATATCGGCTAAACTGTTGGAGAACATAGCTTGAATCTGCAGCCAAAGTCAGCATTCTGATGCGTTCCCCTCAAGCTGACAACCTGCGAGTTCTTACCCAGCCTACTGCATGGAGGATTGTGACCTATTTTTCAGGAGAGGCTGGTTATAGAGATCACATAAGGGCAGTTTCTTTAACACATTAATCCCACCTGATAGAAAAATACTGACCAGCGAGAGTCCAACTCTTCCTATTCCCTATCAGATGGATCTCTCTCCTTTCTGAAGGAGAGAGGAGGACAAAGATCCCCTGAATTTCTGGTGAGTCCAGCGCTCTTTTTTGTCTCCATCCCACCGTTAAACTGCCTTCTCCTTTATTATTTTCATCTCTTCTCCAACATCCAGTGAACAATGCCTCCCTCTTCTTCCTCTTTCTGGCCACAGAAAAATAAAAATATTTATTGCTTTGAAAGTCACATCCAATCTGATCCTGAGTTACTGTTATACCTTAAAGGAATCCTTGTCAAAGATGTTGAGGAAATTCTTCCATATTTCATTAGTAAAAGAAATTTATAATTTATACACACAAACACACACACACAAACACAGACGTAATGTTAACCAAAAAACTCTATTGTGTTTCCTTACTCTTGTACATAAAGACACCTTTTTAAAAAAATGCATTGAAGATGAAAAACTTATAAAAATGACTAGTGAAAAATAAACCCAAAGATTCAGGGTATGAGAAAGGCCCAAGTGCACTACTGATACTATTCAATAAGTGAGCCTTTGTATAAGAGATGAATTAAACTAACAGACTAAGGACAAAAACCACTCTGTTCCAACTTCCCAAAAATAATAGAAAAATATTTTAAAACAAAATTAATAGAGAATAGGTACATATGGACAGTGCAAAACAAGAAAATGTGGATCAGCAGACCAGAACATGTGAGGAATTCCTAGAAGACAGAAACCAGATGGGATTAGAGTGACAAGAGTAGATGAATCTATAGCCAAAAATCATAAGCAGCGTGCAGGATGAATCCCCACATGGCCTTGGCTCACCCAGCTCTTCCCCCTTTCTCACTTGTAGTTCTCAAAAATAACTATAGAAAGTGCTGGGAATGTAACATCCTGAGATAACGAGGAACTGGCTAGAACAGAGCGCGGGCTGTTCCTGTTCGTCCTAGAACACGATGTCCTTCAGCGCGTTAGCCCAGAAACTCAATTGTGCCTGGGTATAAAACCCAGGGCAGAGTAGCCTTTTGGGGTCCGTCAGTTCCAGGGCAATGTAATGTGAGACATTGAGATAAGACTCCATCTGCCCCAGGAGCAGATTTCCTGAGCCCTAGGGGACTGGCTCGCCTTGAATTCCAGACACGGATTTTCCCTTGCTGGCTATCTGTAGGTAATAAAGTTGCTTTAATTAATTTGCTATGTTAGTCTTCTGTCTCCCTAGACTTGTGCAAGTGATAGAATAACCAGTGACTAGTGAATCTACTAGAGAAACTGGGGCTTACACGGTGAATCCTGCTTCACACACCCCACAGTTACTCTGAAGCTAAAAACAAATGCAAAGAAATCCTAAAGCCCAGGTTAGAAGACTGCAATTAGAGCAGCTTCCAGGAAATTCTCTCCTGTCCCCTGTCCCACCCTCTATGCAACTCACAACTGAACGTCTATCAGCTCAGTCCATGAAATGCCCTCCAAGGAAAGTAAACCTTCTGGTCGGGGCTTAGTAGAAGGGGATCACCAGAAGTAGTAGAGGGAGGCTGAGGAAATGCCAAGTGTTTATAATATTATACAGTTCCACAATTAGTAATGTAGTTATCAATTTTTATATGTTTGTTGTTCATTGGGATTTCTCTATAAAGTTTCTGTTCAAATACGTTGTTCCTTTTTTATTAGGTTATCTTTTTAAATTTCATTTTTGTTTTTATATTTTTTGAGATGGGGTCTCACTACAGTGCCAGGCTGGAGTGCAGTGATGAGAATATGGCTCACTGTAGCCATGACCTCCCAAACCAGGCACCTCAGCCTCCTGAGTAGCTGGGACTACAGGCACACACCACCAAGCTCAGCTAATTGTTGTATTTTTAGTGGAGATGGGGTTTCACCATGTTGCCTAGGCTGAACTTGAACTCCTGGGGAGAAGTGATCCACCTGCCTCAGCCACCCAAAGTGCTGGGATTACAGATGTGAGTGACAATGAGTATGCCTATGTGTCTTTTTTCTATATATATTTGAAATAATTCTGTGCATATTCTGGGTAAAGATCATTTGCTAATTTGTGTTGCAAATGTGGCTTCTCATTTCATAATGTCTCTTCTAAGTTCTGTATGGTATGTTTAATTTCCTAATTTTAATGTGGTAACATTTAATCAATTTCTCTTCTTTATCATTAGTATATTTTGTATCTGTTTAAGAAATATTTTTCTGCACCAAAACCTTAACATATGCTCCTATGTTATTTTTTGAAAGCTTCGTAGTTTTGCTTTTCATAGTTAGCTCTATAATCCAGATACAGTTTATTTTGTCAGTGGTGTGAGGTAGGGATTCAATTTTAATTCTGTTTCCATATAAATATCTTTGAGGTGGGAGGATCATTTGGGGCCAGGAGTTTGATTCCAGCCTGGGCAACTTTTTGAGACCCTCATCTCTACAAAAAATTTAAAAATGAGCTAGGTTTGGTGGCGCATGCCTGTGGTCTCAGCCACTCATGAGGCTGAGGTGGGAGAATCACTTGAGCCCAGGAGGTTGAGGCTGCAGTGAGCCATGATCATGCTACTCACTCCAGCCTGGGACACAGTGAGATCCTGTCTCAAATAAATCAATAAATAATATATAAGTTTATAAAAATATGAATATCTTTATTGTCTAGGGACATTTATTTAAAAATCTACTTTATCCCATTGCTCTTCAGTAATATGTTTATTTATGACTTTTCCATTCTATTGTGTTGATCTTCAAGATACCAAAGACTTATTATAGAACTAGTGTGATATTGGCTACAGATAGATAAATAAATAAGTCCTCTTACCACTTTCTTCTCCTTCGAGAGTGTCTTGGGGAAAAACACTTGGAAAATATTGAGTCTTTCCCACCCATATTTTTCAATCTTTATTATTTCGTTTAAAGTATGATTTAGCAAATAGCAAACAGGTGGCCTTTTTTTTTTTTTTTTTTTTTCTTTGAGATGGAGTCTTGCTCTGTCACCCAGGCTGGAGTGCAGTGGCACGATCTCAGCTCACTGCAAGCTCCGCCTCCTGGGTTCACGCCATTCTCCTGCCTCAGCCTCCTGAGTAGCTGGGACTACAGGCACCCACCACCATGCCCAGCTAATTTTTTGTATTCTTAGTAGAGACAGGATTTCACTGTGTTAGCCAGGATGGTCTTGATCTCCTGACCTTGTGATCTGCCTGCCTCAGTCTCCGAAAGTGCTTGGATTACAGGCATGAACCACCGTGCCTGGCCACAGATGGCTATTGTTTTTTAACCCTGAGAGTTGCTGGCCTTCATTTACTCCAGCAATTGCTGGAATATTCATTTAGGGCATTAGTCCATTTTCATTTAGGGCAGGCACTAATACACATGATTTCAGCTCCTCCATCTAACTCTGTGTTAATTGCTGCTTGCATGCTGTGGCATCCCCTTTCCTTATGTTGCTTGTTTGATCATGTTTCTGTTCATTTCACTTTTGCCTTTCCTATTAAGAAGTTCTACAGTACTTTCTTTTACATTCATAGCGAATTTCCTTCTTGTTCCTTTATTCATACACATATTACTTAACTATTATTTTATAGTAAATTAGCAATTTTTCCCCATCAAGATGCACTTCCATTACAATGTCTTAATTTCCTCCTACCTCACAATTCCTTAATGAGAGCTGTAGAACACTTTGATGTCCCCCAACCCTTCCCATGCTCTATGCCTTCTTATTGCTTCTTACATGATCTTTGATATTATTTTTTCCTTCCCTCCTCTCTACCTATTGCTGTATGGTAGAATTTATTGAACTAGTTTACCTATTAAAATTTCTGTTAATTTGTGTGCCTTTCCCTTTGTGTATTTCTAAATATAATTAAACTTCCATATATGTGCATGTGTGTGTTGAATATTTTATGTTTCATATATTAGTCAGGTTCACTGATCACTACTCTTTTTATTCATTTTTATTTTTTATTTTTGAGATGGACTCTTGCTCTTCTGCACTCGGCTGGAGTACAATTACATGATCATGGCTCACTGCAGCCTCTACCTCCCAGGCTAAAGTAATCCTTCCATCTCAGCCTCCGAGTAGCTAGGACTACTGGCATGTGCCACCACACACATATAATTTTTTTTTGTATTTTTGTAGAAACAGGATCTTGCCATGATGCCCATGCTGGCCTTGAATTCCTGGGCTATCCACTACTCTTTCTTCTTTCTTTCATCTTGTCCATCTTAATTTTTTCATTAAACTCTTTTTTATAGGTATTCTCCTCAGATGAGATACTTAGGTGATGTACTTTCTAAATTCTTGAGTACATTTCTTTCACACAATTATATTTATGATCTATTCAGTGGGCATAGAAGTTTCAGTTTGTAGATCTTTTCTCTTACATATCTGTAGACACAGTTCCACTGTCTTCTAGCATCCAGTATTGCAGATGAAAAGTCTAATGTCTCTAATTTGTGCTTTCTACTTCAAAGCATGAATACATATTTATTTTTCTGTAAAATCCAAGAATCTTATCACATAAGTCTAGATATATGTTTGTGGGTATATGTGTTTTCTCATCAATTTAGTCCAATCTGTTTAAGTACTTTAAATGTGCAGATATTTCTCAGTTCAGGGAATTTACATATTCATTCTATTTTGTGTTTAATGAATGCCTCTTGTATATCTGCTTTTTCTTTTCCCATAACTTATTTCATTCATGTTAGACCTCCTAGATTTATCCACTAACCTTATTTTTTTCCACCGAGTTTATAATCTCTTTTTACTTTTTTCTCTGTTCTTTCAAATACCTCTTGATCTTGATCTGTGTTACTATTAATTCAATCTTAATAGTAACAAATTGCTTATTTAATTTATTTACTATTTTTTAGTTCAAAACTCATGTTTAAAGCCCTGAAAGTATTTTATACTGAAAATTAATTTGCTTAAATTCCACATTTAAAAAAAAATCAAGATATTCATCAATCTCACCCAGCAGTCTCTTTTACTGGGTTTGCATATTAATTATTCTGCTCAATCTTCTTCATTAAGGTTTCTGGGCATTTTTAAATGGGACATTATTATTATTTATGAGTTTATAGAGTTGACTTAGCTTGGGCTGTTGCAGGAATCCTGTGGATGATAAAAGACATGGTGAATGCTGGCCCTGAAAGCCTGGGGAGTCCAGGCAGCTGTCACCTGCCATTAAGGCACCTAGAGAGATCGCTAGCTCTCTGATGTCCTTAAACATATCCAGCCGTAAGTTCAGGGAGGTCACAGTTCACCAGCAGCTTACTCTTTGTCCTTTAAGAATGTCCATAGGCAAGCCCTCCCAGGACATTCCTGTCCTCCTCCGGAGCTCTGTTGCTACTGTTTGGTTGCTTGTCTAGCATCTATGCTTCCTGCCAGGTCTATGATATTCCAAATACTCACACCACCAAGCTGAATCCTATAGAACCCAGCAGCCCTGTGCTTTAGGAGAGGCCAGCAGCTTGGATTAGGAAGTGGGGGAGGGAAAAGAGCACTGGATTCACTGTGTCTACAGATTCGCCTTGACATCATTTGCCAGGGTGTTCCAAATCATCCTTCACTGCAGGTACGAATTCAGTGGGACAATGTCCAGGGATTTTGCACAAAAAGAATTTCGAATCCAGACATTTATATCCAACCAAGCAATTATTCCATTGAAAGGGAATAGTAAAGATGTTCTGATTTGATCTTTTTTATCTGAAAAATTGTTCAGACAATGTAGGAGAAAGTTTTCATGACTTTGGGTTAGGCAACAAGTTCTTAGATATGGAATCTTAACTATACTCCATAAAAAAACCAGAAAAATTGGACATGATCAAAATTAAAACTTTTACTCCAAGAAAGACACTACTGAGAGAGTGAAAATATAAGCTACAAAATGGAAGAAAATATTTAAAATCACATATCCCATAAATAACTTGTATATAGAATATATAAATAACTCTTAAAATTTGACAGTAAGATAAGTACTCAATCTTTCAAGTGAACAAAAATCTTAAAAAGGCACTTCACTGAAGAGAATATATGGATAACAAATAAGCACATAAATAGATGTTTGACATCATCATTCATGAGGAAAATGGCCACAGCCATACAATACTTCATATTTATTTGAACAGCTAATATATATAATATATACAACTTATATATGATGTCTACACAATATGTATTATATATTCAATATATACAATGTGTTCAATATATACATTATATCATATAATGTGTATATAATATATAATATATCATATAATGTACATATAATATATACAATATAATATTGTATATATACAGCAATCTATATTGTATGTCTATTATATATACATTGAATTATATACATTGTATTATACAAAATATTATATATAATACAATATAAAGTATTGTATATATTATATATTGTATATATAATATATAACATGTTATATATTATATACATTTTGTACTATACATTATAATGTATAATACATATTATATATGTTATAACATGTAATATAACATATATTATGTAATATATTATATAAATTATGTATCAGACAATATCAGAGAAAGTTCACCAGTTACACTAGAATGTTTGTACATTGCTATTGAGTATCCAAAATGATACAGCCACTCTGGAGATACATGACCCACCAATTTAACATCTCAACATTTACTGTAGAGAAATCAAACTTACATTTATGTAAAAACTTGTAAGCAAGTTTATAGCAACTGTATTCACAATCACCAAAAACTGGAAGCAAATCAAATGTTATTCAATTTGTAAATGAAAACACAAACCATGATACAGCCACACAGTGGAATACTATTCAGCAATATAAAGGAATCAATGTAAAAAGATTAATGGCTTTCAAAGGCATTATGCTGAGTGAAAGAAGCCAGTTTCAAAAGGCTGCGTACTATACAATTTTATTTATACGACAGTCACAAAAATTCAAAACTACAGTGATAGAGTTCAGTGGTTCCCAGGAATGAGGACTGAGAGACTGATGTGACTAGAAAGAAAAGCAACAAGGGAGATTGTTTTGTGTGTGATACTGTTCTGTACATGTATGGTAGTGATAGTTACAGAAATATATATATGTGTTAATTTTTTAAGAAATGAGCACACACACACAAAAAGTCAATTTTACTAAAAATTTGTGGTGGCTACATGAATCTATATCTATATATATATATGTTAACTTTCTTAGAAGTGTGCACACACAAAAAAGTCAATTTTGCTAAAACTGATGATGGCTACATGAATCTATATATGTGTCATTAATAATGCTTTTTATAAATGTCCACACAAAAAAGTCGAGTTTACTCAAAACTCATTTCAAAAAGAAAAAAGTAAAATAAAGGCATGGTGGATCAAACCTAAAGCTATGCCTTCTGACTACTTCTAGAAATGGGGAATTGATAACACAGAAGGAATACAATTAAAAATATAATATGTTTTCCAGAGCTGAGTTTTTAAAGTACTTTGTACAATAAATAAAAATATATCTACATTTAGACATACCATATCAGTATACTTAGGATAATAAAATGTCAAAACATTCAGAAAGTGAAATAAAACGTCCTTTACAAAGGAGCAAGCATTAGCCTGGCATCATGTATCTAATACTTTATACTGGGTGCAAACAAAAACAAAAACAGGGCAAGACTTTTAAAGTTCTGGGAGTGTGGTTAGGGAATCTGAGCCAAGTGAGAGAGAATAATAAAGATATTTTCAGGCTGCATGGACTCCAGAAACACCTCAAAGACACTTTTACTTTGGAAGTCATTTGATGACTGTAGCAACGTGGAGTAAACCAAGAAAGAAAGAGATGTGGACTCCAGATAACAGTGGATCCAAACTAAGAAATGGTGGATGTTCTATTTCAGGATCACTGCAACTCCCAAGCCCAGAGAGCACCCGGTTCAGACGCAGATGGAAAGATGGTGGCTGCAGAGGAAACGAAAATTGGAGGGTTATGTGGAATGACTGAGACACTGGAAAAACTGGGGAATATGCTCAAGACGACTAGTGAAGCTGGTTGCCAGGGTTTGTTTTGTTTTGCTTTTCAGAATTAATTGAAACTTGACTGTGGGTACATTCTTCCCTGTGTGAGTGGCTTAGGGGTCATGATGTTGGACTCCTGGTGAAAGAATTGCATCTTAATATTCTACTTTGTTCTGCTGTCAGCAACTTTTATATAATCATAATAATGGAAAGACATTGATCAGCCTTTGACTTGTAAAATCACCCCATAGACAAATCACGGAACGTATAACTTATTACAGTGCAAAATGTAAATGTGATGAATCTTGACAAAATAAAAGAGGTACATTTGAAAGAGGTTGGGAGGTGAAAATTGAAGAGGTTCAGAGTACTAATACCTTCATTTTACAAAGTTGGAATTAAGAATCTACAGTTGAGCTAATAAGAAATGATGTAGCATCTAAGAGAGGGATTCTGAAACCAGACTGCCTGGGTTTGAATGTCAGCTCTGCCATTTATTAGCCATGTGACCTTGGGCACATTACGTAATCTTTCTATGCTCCCATTTCCCAATCTGTAAAATGGGGATATTAGCAGTATCTTCTTCAAGTTGCTTAATATATGTAAAGCACTTAGAATAGTGCTTAATATATGTAAAGCACTTAGAATAGTACTGTATATGTGTTTGCTATGAGCTCAGAGATGAACAATAGAAAAACTGGTAAGATGAGTGACAAAAGTAAACGGGAGGAAGGATATAGAAACATAATATATTGCAATTGAGCAAAAAATCCAATCCAACAAAGAAGTTAGTAGACAATGTCTACATCCAAGAATTCGAAAATGGTAATTTACAGGTATCACAATAGTGATCAGATTTATAAAATGGTTTATTTCTGGTAAATTAGGCTGTGATTTGGTGATAAGAGTGAAGTCTTCTGAACTGTTCAGTTATTCAGCCATGGAGATGTAGTCTTTTGATTTTTTGTTAAAAGTATGTGGCTGGATTAATAATATAAATAAGTCATCTCACTCCAGTTAGAATGGCAATCATTAAAAAGTCAGAAACAACAGGTGCTGGAGAGGATGTGGAGAAATAGGAACACTTTTACACTGTTGGTGGGACTGTAAATTAGTTCAACCACTGTGGAAGACAGTGTGGCGATTCCTCAAGGATCTAGAACTAGAAATACCATTTGACCCAGCGATCCCATTACTGGGTATATATCCAAAGTATTATAAATCATGCTACTATAAAGACACATGCACACGTATGTTTATTGCAGCACTATTCACAATTGTAAAGACTTGGAACCAACCCAAATGTCCATCAATTATAGACTGGATTAAGAAAACGTGGCACATATACACCATGGAATACTATGCAGCCATAAAAAAGGATGAGTTCATGTCCTTTGCAGGGACATGGATGAAGCTGGAAACCATCATTCTCAGCAAACTATCACAAGGACAGAAAGCCAAACACCGCATGTTCTTACTCATAGGTGGGAATTGAACAATGAGAATACTTGGACACAGGGCAGGGAACATCACACACTGGGGCCTGTTATGGGGTGGGGGTCTGGGGGAAGAATAGCATTAGGAGAAATACCTAATGTAAGTGACGCATTGATGGGTGCAGCAAACCAACATGGCACATGTATACCTATGTAACAAACCTGCATGTTCTGCACATGTACCCTAGAACCTAAAGTATAATAAAAAAAATAAGTTGTCTAACTGCTAAATCACTTTTGTGATGAAATTGAACAAGGAAAACTTAACCCAATAAAATGAAAGGAAGCAATACAAACAAACAAAAAATCATAGTAAACGGAAAAGATTAAATAAGGAGGCGAGAAATAATCGGATATTTAAATATTTGTGATCACTGAATGGACTAAGTGGTCCTATGTGTCAGCCATGAAAACTCGCTGCATGGGAGCACAGTGGGTGACAGCATCACCAGTGGCCTCTCTGGGTCCCCCACTGCGTTCCCTCCAAGGCCACCTGAGCCTCAGGCAGCTCTCAGGGATACACATGCAGTCCCGTTTTTACAGGACATGAGGTTTCTCTAACAGGAAATTTGGCTCCAAGTCTCACCTTGACCAGGCTGGAACTTTCTTGGATCTGAACTGCAGTCAGAGACTCTTCCTCTCCAGTCATTCCTTCCCCTTCTGCTTCCCTAGTGGTCAGACCTATTCACTTTCAAAAGGCCCTCCCTGACTTCTGCTTTCGACTTTATTCTTTACTTGCACTCTTCGAATAAACAACATGCATGTCTTATTCCTTCTTTGTGTTAACTTTTTGAAGGATCCAAATTGACATATCCTACCAGAAGATATGGTTCTCTGATTTACTGATTAAACAAGATCCAGCATGTAGCTGTCCTCAGGGATGCAACTGAACAAAACTGCACAGAAAGGCTGAAAATAAAGGGATGGAAAGAAAATGCACAAGATAGAGGCTTACACAACTAAAAAGGAAAATGCAGACAAGTGGAGCTAATAAAAAAAAAAAGAAAAAAAAGAAAAAATGCAGCAATATTGATATTTAAACACAGAAACTGAAAAATTCATGATCATAGAAGATGACTTTAACGCAACTATTTGAGAAAATACAGATCAAATCAACAGAAATCTGCAAGAATATGGAGAGTGTGAGCAAAACAAATAAATAAGCCTCAGTGATATACACACAAACACACTCTTTCATAACCCTAAACTTTTTAACACTCACAGAACATTTACAAAATTGTATTATGTATTAAACCCAAAAATTAAGATAAATTACAAACAAGCAGAAATCATTCAAACCATTGTTCTCTGACCATAATAAAACTGAATAAGAAATTAATATTAAAAGAAAGCAAGAGTGTGGGCTGTGGGGTGGGGAAAAGCAACAATCCACTTGGAAAAATTATTTAAGTAACTCTTGATTTAAAGAAAAAAACTCAAGTCATTAAAAAGTCATAAAAAGCAATAAATGCTATAAATGTCAAAACATGTGGGATATAACCAAAATCGGACTCAGAAAAATATATAGCTATAACTGCATTTTTTAGAACCTGAAACAAAACAAGTTAAACAAAAGCTAGGTATAAACAAAGAAGTATTAAAAAAAAAAAACAGTAAACTCTAAGAAAGTAATTTAAAAAAAAGAAACACAGAGGAAAGTAATTAAACAGAACAGCAATATGAAAAGCACAACTTACCAGTGAATCCAAAAGCCAAATCTTTCTATGTCAACACTGAGGACAACAGTAAGAAAGTGGACGGGGCCAGGACTGTTCCACCAAATGCCCCTAGAGTGATTTCCTTGATGTAACTCATGTCACCATTTTCACTATGAATGTGGGTGCCTCATAACGTGTGCCATTTATGCAAGACTAATTCTGTGTTCCTATAGTGTTGCTTTCCTCCATTGCATTACCTTAGCACCTTTGCCAAAAAAGTCGATTTAACATATATATATACGTGTGGCTGTATTTTTTGGCTCTCATTCCCTGTTTTGAAACTTTGCTTTCAAATGCATACACATTTAGAATTATTTCCTCTTGGTGAATTCACTCCTTTATTATTTTATAGTGTCTTTCTTTTGTCATTGATAGTACTCTTTGTTTTAAAGTCTACTATGTCTGATATTAATGTACTCACTCCAGTTTTCTTAAGATGAATGTGGGCATGGAAAATCCTTTTCCCATTCTTTTATTTTTAATCATCTATGCCTTTCTATTTGAAGTAGTTCTTTTGTAGACAGCCTATATTTGTTTTTAGTAGTAGTGCTCTTTATATAATCTGACAATTTCTTCTGACTTTTAATTGGGGTATTTAAGTCAATTATACTTATTGCAATTATAGATAAATTTAATAGTACCGTTTTGTTAGTTCTTTTTGTTTCATCTGTTTTTTTCCTCTTTATGCCTACTTTTGAATTCAGTAATTTTATGATTTCATTTTATCTTCACTATTTGCGTATTAGTTACGCATTTTTAAAAAATTTTTAGTGGTTACTCTATGGTTTCAATATACATCTTTAATTTCTCACCTTCAAATAATTTTATACTGCTTCAGGTATAATGTAAGACACATAATATTTTCATAATTGCTTCCTCCTTTCTTTGTGCTATTATTGCTGTGTATTTTCCTTTTTAAATAAATTTCATAATACATTGTTACTATTTTCACGTTAGATAGATAATTATATTTTAGAGTGGTGAAAATAAGAAAAAAATTCCATTTTTATATTTACTTCATGGTTGCTGTTTCTAGAGATCTTCATTTCTATATGTAGATCCAAGTTTCTATCTGATATTACATTTCTTTTGCCTGAAGAACATTAATATATTTTGTACTGGCTCCTATTGGTTAACTGTGAATTCTCTCAGGTTTGTCTTTTTCTTCCTATCTGGAAAGTGTTTATCTCACATTTATTTTTGAAAGGTATTTTAGCTGGATATAGAATTTGGAGTTAATAGCATTGTTTCCAATACTTTAAAAATGCCTTTCGATTGTTTTCTAGCTTCCTTAGTTACTGAAAAGAATGCTGCTGTAGTTTCCTTCTTTTTGAAAAGCGTCTTTTCTTTTCTTGCTGCCTTCAAGACTTTTTCTCTTTTTTCATTTTTTTTTTTTTTTTTGGCAGTTTCACAGTGATATATCTAGGAGGGGATTTTTGTCCTTATCTTTTAGAATTTTTTCTGATTTTTTGAAATTCTTGGGGCTTTGATTTGGTGTTCATTGCTAATAAAAAAAAAAAACTTGACCATTATCTCAATAAATACGTTTTTTACCTCACCTTTTGTCTTCTATGGCATTCCATTTGTATGCTTATTTAACAGTTTGATATTATCCCGCACCTTTTAAATGCTTTGTTCTGATTTATTTTTCACTCTTTTCTCTTCCTTTTGTGTTTCAATTTGCATAATTTTATTAAATTGTCTTCAAATTCACTGATTCTTCTTTCAGTTGTGTTGAGTGTACTGATGAGCTCATTAAAGGAATTCACTTCTGGTATGTATTTTAAAAAATATCTAGTATATCCGTTTGACTTTTTTCTTATGGTTTCCCTCTGACGGCAGAAATTCCCCCATCTAATTACAGATATGTTCATTTTTTTCCCACTGGATCTTTTATACATTAATCACTGTTATTGTTAAATTGTTATCTGATGGTTTCTACATCTGGTTATTTACGAGTCTGACCATGAGTTGCGTTTTGTTTTCTGCTGTGTTTTTGTTGAGACTGTGTGTGTATGTGTGTATGTGTGTGTGTGTCTGTGTGTGTGGTGTGTGTATGTGTATGTGTGTGTTGATCTTTTATATATCTTGTAATTTTTGCCTGAATGTTGGCATCGTGTGTAGACCAGAGATACTGAGATAAATAGCATTTATTCCTCAATATTTGCATTTTTCTTGTTTTGTTTGGCTGCTAGTACGGTTTGAGTCAATCTAGTCAGAAATTGGTTTTATTGTTGCCATGGTTACCCTCCATGCACAATCTTTAACTTCCATTAGTAATGGGTTGTTTTCATTTTGTGCTTGAGTGCAGGCTGATGAGCCTAAATACGTTTCTCAGAATTACTGCTACAGCCTCAGATTTTAAACAATCTTTGCTCACCTGCACCACAGGAGGGGTCTCTCACCATTCTTTTGCCTCTTCTACAGTGGTAGAGTGCTGTTGCTTCTTTTGGTGCTTGTCAGATAAGTAGTAATTGTCAACGAGGCTTCTCTCTTGTCCTTTTCCAGCCTTAATCTTATAAAAGTCTTCTGTGCCGTGGCACAAAATGGCAAATAAAGACATAAAACTACACCCAACTTTATTAGTCATTAGAGAAGTGCAATTTAAAACCATAATGAGATACCACTACATCCAGAACTAAAATTAAAAAGCCTGAGAATACCAAAAGTTGACCAGTATGTGGAGTTACTGGAACCTTCATACACTGCTGTTGACAATACAAAGAGGTACATTCACTTGGAGAAAACAGTTTGGGACTTTCTTATAAAGCTAAACACATACTGACCATATAATGGAAAAATCCCTTTTAGGTATTTTCCTAAGAGAAATGAAAATATACTTTCACACAAAGACTTGTTTCATATATGTTCATAGTAGCTTTATTCCTAATAGCCCCGAACGGGAAACAACTCAAATGTCTATCCACTGGTGAATGGGTAAACAAATTGTAGTATAGTCATACAAGAGAATATTACTCATCAATAAAAAAGAAATTACTACTCCCCATAATATAGAAGAATCTCAAAAGTATTATGCGGAATGAAATAAGCCAGACATATAAAACTTCTTTATATTATATAATTCTGTTGATATAAAATTCCCAAATACATAAAAACTAATGAAAGCAGTTGTTTTTGTCATCATGGTAGAGACCACAAAAACAACAGCTTTCATGGTAGAGAGAGAATTTACTGTAAAGGAGCCTGAAGAAACTTTCTGGAGTCATGGAAATATTCTACATCTTGATGTTGGTGGTAGTTACAAACCATGTGCATTTGTCAAAATTTATCAAACTGTATACTTGGAACTGGTGAATTGTGTTGTATATAAATTATACCCAGTGATTAAAAGTAAAAGGTGAATAATTATTCCAGTTGAATAAGGGGAGCAGGCATAGGCTGGGGGAAGATCTATGCTCTTGAACCCTTCTTTAGCTGAAGCACTTCTTAGGAACCACTAAACTTCCATACATCTCAGTCTGAAAATCAGTGGCTTAGTTTTCCCCACTTGCACGCACTTGAAAATGAGAGCCAGAGGGGATGTGAATTTCCCAGGTCGTATAGTTTAATAATCAGCTCTAGGATTTTAACCAGAATTACATAAGGAACCAACAGAATTTTAAGGAGAGAATCAATTGTCTTTTATTCATTGCTTTCATCTTCTAAGTAATTTATGATTACCAACTATATATATGACATAAAGCTGCTATTGGAGTGATATACAAAGAAAATTCACATATTTGGCACTCTGCATACCTTCTTTTGAGAATTGAATTTCACATGGGATTTATTTCTCTTTCTCAGGAGTGATTCAGACTGACTGCAAAAGTATGTCTTTTACAGCAACAACAACAAAAACACATAGAGATTCAGTTATGAATTTGACCATCTGCCCCTGGTCAAATCTCCACTGCGCACAACACACTCAGATTATCAGTGACAAAACTCTCTGGATGAGTGTGCTTTCCTTGGAGCTGCTATGAAAACAAAGGGTCCAGGGAGATGTTGGGATGCAGCCAATCCTTGGGGGCTGGTAGGTGGACAAGTGCAATGGAATTTGAGATTAGGGAATCCCACTCACCGCTTCTTGCAGGAGGGACCATCTCTTTTCTGGAGCTTCAAGTTTACCCAGGAAGATTATCACAGGTTCAGAAAACTGTTTTATTTTTTAAAAAATGACCATTTTGGGATTCGCTTGCCTTTTCCTCTTTCCAAAGAGGAATCATTCTTGGAGGCTCTGACATCAGCACCCCTCCTACTGCTCCAGCACAGCCATTAATCACCCATCAAATTCCTGCCTTATTTCCTTTTGGCCTTGGAAATTGTATGTCTTTTCTTTTGGCCTTGGAGATTATATGTCTCAAGCTTTCTTGGTTGCTTCTTTTTTTTCCCCTTTCTTTTTTTTTGGCTTTTTTTTTCTTTTATGCTTTTATTTTTTCTTTCTGAGAGATGAGGACTAGGGAGGAGAAAGCCATTGTCAATTAATAGAGAGACATTTTCACCAGGTGTTTCTCAATTATCACATTGGCAGCCAGCCCCTTCTGTGTAAATTGTACTGAGGAAAAAAAAAGAAAGAAAGAAAGAAAAACACCTCTCAGTACAGACATTCCCCTGGGATTGTAACCAGCTCTGTGTCTTCTTTCCTCGGAAGGACAGTCATCCTCTGGGAACAGCCCTGCTTAGAACTATAAGCAAAGCCAAGGCTGTCTCCTGCAACATCATGATTTGAATGTGTTAAAGTGTGTGATTATTATTAGGTCTTAAACATTCTAGATTTGCTCCCTCATTCCACACAAGTTTCAGAAATAAACCCGCAACTAGTCTCTAGGAGAGACTGATGCTTATTCTGTGTCAGAGGCCTGGTCCCCAGACGTCCCCATAAATTTGTCTGCTGGAAGACCATAAACATAATTCTGAGCATGGAAGTTATTTAGATTTGAATTAATTGCCTTTTCAGTTGTTTTCAAATATGCAAATTGAAATAGCCAAAAAAAAATGTACATTAAAAAAAAAAAAAGCAGTCCATTCTCCTGGAGAGATTCTAGAATGTCCTTTGCCAAGGTGATCTGCTTTTTGTCAAAGCAGACTAAAAGGCAAAGGTGCATTTTTTGAAAATGGCCCGTGTATGTGTGGGTATTTCCTCCTGCTCTGACATTTTCTTAGTGGGGTGATCAAGTATTTTGTGTTGGTCAGAGCCTCTTTGACTTCAACAAGCCACCACAAAATGAAGTAAGATTATTAAATCAACTGTGGATAGTAAAAGTGCCTTGATCAGCTCTTGGAGGCTGTAGGAAAATGATTTTGTAAAGAACGCTGAAGGAGAATGCAGGAAAAGACACACTCATCATCACTAAAAGTCACCTAATGACACAAGCTAGGCAATCGGCGTTCTTCTCATCAGTAAGGTCAGAAACGTCTCTGCTTACAGCTGTTATGACCCAGCACCCTGGCTTCGATGGAGACCTCGAGAGACCTCTTGGGGGGAACATGGTGGTTTATCTGGGGACACAACTTGTAAACATCCCTCATCTAGGAATTTCCATGAAACCTCCTGAGCTTGGAGAGATGCCCAGCTTGTGCCAACTCCTGTATAACAAGCTCCAGATGCTTTCTCTACTCCATGCCAGGTGGGATTCCCTGAGGTTTGCCCTTAACCCATCTCCTCAAAGCCCAAAGTCAGGGATGGGGCAGTTCTGGGGTTAGACACTTGCACGGGGCTGCATTGCATTTACCCCATGCCCTGCTCCAATAAGTGTTCAGCTTCTGGTTGTGTCCATTCATAGTCTGCCCAGACAGGGTCAAGTTTAGCGAGGAGAAGGGACTTCCCCTCTCTCTATGACGTCACTAATCAGTAATCACAGGTCAGCTGGTCACATGAAGATTCAGTTTTTGAGCAGATGTGAGTGCAAGTCCTGAGCTAGGAAATACAGAAGTCGGAGAAAAATGTAATCTTAAGCTCATCTCTTTGCCTTAGGCCAGTTCCCCAGAAGCACAGCCTGAGATGGAATTCTGGGGCTAATGACTTATTGGGGAAGTGCTCTCAGGAGAAGCCAGTGAGAGGTATAGTTTGGGGCAAGGGAAGAATCAGGCCAAGGTCTGGTTGTAGCTGAATCCTGGCCTCAACTTGAGTGCACTGGAAGTTCCGGGAGGGTGCACAGTCCCAGGTTAGTCTGGGTTGTGGGAAGAGGGTGAGCCTCTACACATTTATATCTGTCTGTCATGGGCTATGGATGGCCTGCAGGAAGGAGATCACAATCTCCCAGTGTCTCTAGGCAAGGCAGCTCCTGAGGGCAGGTCTCCTGGGGGTGGAGTGCATCTGGGAGCACCCATGCTTTTAGCAGTGGACTGTGGGTGCTCAGGCTCATTAATAGGCATCTGGGCAAAGCAATAGGACAGTGAAGATGCAGCTGTAGTGGAAAACAAGATGGATGCATGGTCATAATGGACTTCCTAATACACTCCCAGATGTCAGCCTTCAGCTGTGCAGGGAGGGGAGAGGTGGTGCCCATAGAGCAGATGCTTCCCCAGCCAGGGGACACAAGGCCAGGGCTAAGGCCAGGCTCACCCCAGTGACAAGGATGTCTGCCCTGCATCTCTGCCACATGAAGCAGTGAAATAGCAGCTCTTTTGGCACACAGGGGAAAAGCCAGGATCAAGGTCCGGCCTTTCAGCAGCACTTACCTGCTGGAGTCTTTGTGTATCATGCCAAGCCCTCCCTGGGAGCTGGAGCATCCTGAAGTCCTCAGGGACTCTTCTGGAGCAGAGGTTGCAAACTGCATGCCCAAGAGATGCCTCCTCCTGTGAAAATCGTGTGTGTATGTGGGCATTTAAAAAAAAAGAGCATGAGACAAAATTTAAAAATCTGGAGATTTCTCGTAACACCTGGGCTTTTAGGTTTTGCTGTTGCTGTTTTATGAATCTGATGTCCTCACCATAAGGCCTGACCTTCCTACCTGGACGCAGGTGTGTGGTGGCTGTGCCTTTCATGTAGGGTGTTTACTCTCCAGGTTGTCAGCTTTCTGGCCCCTGAAAGTGTCTACAAGTGTGACTTCAGAATATATGCATGAAGACTCAAGATTGACAGAGGGGCCAGGCATGGTGGCTCAGGCCTGTAATCCCAGCACTTTGGGAGGCCCAAGCGGGTGTATTACTTGAGGTCAGGCATTTGAGACCAGCCTGGTCAACTTGGTGAAATGCACGTTGCTCACCTGTAATCCCAGCTAATTGGGAGGCTGAGGCAGGAGAATCACTTGAACTCAGGAAGCAGAGGCTGCAGTAAGCCAAGATCGCATCATTGCACTCCAGCCTGGGTGACAGAGCAAGACTCTGTCAAAAAAAAAAAAAATCAAAGATTAAAAGAGGGACACACACTGACCTTTGCAAGCACAGATTGTCACAGAAATGAAGAGAAGCCCCAGGCATCAGGGCCTTAGGGTCACAGGCAGAGCGAGGCCTCCCCAAGAGGAGAAAGAAGCCAACATGGCCAAGAGGTAAGACTTGGTCCCAGAATGCATGATCAAAACCCAGAACACAGGCCCATGTCTTCCTGTCGTCCTCATTGCTCTGGCACTTGACACGTTGTTCTTGTGCTGGGCCAGGGTCAGTGGGTTTGGCCTCCACAGGGTCACTCACTGTATGACCTCATGTCCCTGCCCATTGCTTCTCTTCATCCAGACCTCAGGTTCTCTTACCTGAACCAACACTATTGTCCCATCTCCCCTCAGCCGCCCCCTTCTTCTCACCTCCAACCTCTACCCCTGTTCTATCCCAGCCTCCACAGTAATCTGCTTTCAGCTCAGCCCAGATCATATTCCTTCCTTACACATTTTTCAGGTGCCCCCAAAGCCTGGGGTGGGTCACTGGACATCACCAGAGGAATCTGACCCATGGGTCATCCATGTGAAAGGACAGTCCTGATGTATCAGGAGGCTGCTTCTTGGGAAACTTCGGGTTCTGAGTTAACACAGTAAAGTAAAAACTCTCAGTCCAGCCAATATTCTGCTCAGGATGTGTCTATGGACACCACAGGCTCTGGAAGGAATAAGTCTCGGGGGCCCCTAGTGGAGGATGTGCATCCTTGGCCCACGTCCTCTGCACCAGAGCTGTTAAGTGGGGAAGGCAAGCAGCTGGAGAAGCTGGGGAGGATGCTGGAGACCCATCCTGGAAAGGCCCTCCATCCCTCCACCCAAACTGCATGCACTAGAATTGACTTGTGCTCTACTGGGACACCCAAGCCCAGCCTGCACCTGCACATACTCAGAAACAGTGAAGCAAGAGGAACACATGTTTGAGTTCTGAAACACACCTGAGAAGATGCTTCCTCCAAGCACATATCCATTATGGTGAGTGCAATAGTGATATCATCCAAAGAATAGAATACTGAAAGGCACATTATGCAAATGTGCATTCCCAATTATGGATTCATCTGGAAGCTTCCAAAACTTCTAAGACCTCATTCCAGGCTTAGCCAACAACCAGTGCTACCTCAGTGATTGCGCGAACATTACTTCTAGGATAAATTTCTCTCTCATCAAATGAGGGACCTTAAGGTCCATGCCTTGCCCAAGGTCATGTTGCCAGTGGGGCTGAAGGGCAGAGAGAACCTCTCTGTGAGGTGTGGTTTCTTCCTGGCAGCTCTCTGGGGAGGCCTGAAACTCTCGTGGCCCAGGGACAATGCTGTTGGATGTGGGGTACTGGCAAGTACTGGCATTGGTGATTAATAGATAATGAAGCTCAAGATCAGGGGATTTCAGAAATCTTCCCAATTTCGGGCAACTAAACTTCAATGTATAAATTCAATCTAATCCAAGAATTTTTTTTGGAAAATGATCATTATAAAGTCCATTTGCAAGAATAAACATCAGAAACTGTAATGACAATTACAAAATTAACCAAACCTACAGTAATAATAGAACAAACAAAAAAGAAAAGAACGGCAAGCTTGCTGTTTCAGCTAGTAAATTGCAAAATAAAGCTTCAGTAATTAGGGTGAAATGCAGGTCACAGGTTAACATAGTGCTTTTGATTGTATTTGGAGTCACCCCAGAGTTTAAGAAAAATACGGATGCATGGGTCTCTCTCTCAAGATGCTGATTTCATTGGTCTAGATTAAGTGAGACCTGGGCTTCACAGTTTGTAAGTGCTCTTTAGATTATTGTAATCAGCAGCCAACGGTTAAGAACAACTGGATTAACAGAAGGGAATCAACTGGAGAGACTGTCAAAAATGCGTGTTCCTGTATCTGGGTCCACTGTTTCAGGCTCTGAGAAGGGATCTATGAAAAATAAGGCATGCAACACATATCAAAGTTTTGGAAGCACTGGAAAGTCCTTATACAAAAGAGAGTCCTTATACAGTTCTGCATACATGTAGGCATTCAGTAGATTCTAAAGTTGACAGCTCAAAACACCGAAGGAGAGATATAGCAAGGGTGTTAGGGTAATCCACTAGCCATTTGGAGATCAAGTTGGATCTCCAGTTCACTTCTTCCAACTAAAACCATAAGTAAATAGGTTTAACTAACTTATAATATTGTGCTGGAGAAAGGCGTTCTAGGCTTTCTAAGGAAGATGGAAACTTTATATAAAGAAGAAATGTAATAAATTTAACTACCTAAATATGAAACTAAGTCATGACCTACAAAAATATGTAAACTAGAAGTAGCAAAGTGCAAAAAAGAAAGTTGTCACACATATTACAGATAAAACGTTAGTAATCTTAATTTGCAAATAAAGAAAATTTAAAATGAACATAAGCCAAAAGGAAAACAACAAATGTTCAGTAAAAAATTAAGCAGTAAACACAGAGAGGTAAATTACAAAATAAAATGTACAGTCAATACATTCTAAAAAAGATGTTCTACCTCATAAGTAATCAAAAGTGCTAAATAAAAATCAAAATGAGTCATCTTTTTCACCCATCATATTGGAAAGGATTAAAAGTTTGACAAAACTTAAAAATAGCAGGGATGTGGGAAAATTGACATTCTCTTGCACTGTTGTTAGAAATGTAAATTGGTATTCCTTTCTGGAAGGCAGTTTGTCAACTGAAATTAACTTTTTTAAAAAATAAGAAGCATGCCTTAGCCTAGTAATCATATGCTTGGGAATTTATTCTAAGGAGATAATTGCTAAGTGGTGCAAAGATATAGATACAATAGCATTCATTAATGCTTTTAATAGTGAAATTTTAGTAGCAACATAAATATCTATAAATAAATGATTGGTTAAATAACCTATAATATATGTATACTAAAAAAGCCCCCACATTTGAAATAGTGTATTTCTATAGATTTCTATTTACTGAAATGATGGTTCTCTTTTACTCCTCCTCCTTTTGTACACATTATTTCTTCTCCTTGGGCGGCCCATTCTCCCACACTTTCATATTTGGTTCACTCCTGGGAGTGCCCAACCAACTGAAATTGCCCCTTCTTCTGTGAAGTCGTCCCTTCCCTTCTGAGCCACATAAGTAGTCACCACTCTTCATACCCAAGACATCCCTTTACCATTCCCATTGCAGCACTTGTTCACTCATTTATTCAATATATGTATCAGGCTCTCTACAGGGCTCTTACCACCCTCTAAAGTAGTTTACTCTGCCATGGCCATCTTTCCCACTGGATTGCAAACCTTTGCAGAGCAAGAAAGCGCATGATTCATTCTGTTACCCCAGATTTTAGCTTGGGACTTGATATATGCCCAGTACAAGCTTAATGAATGAATATAAGGAAGAATGAATGAAAGAAAGGGTGAATGGATAGGTGGATGAATTGGAGGAAGGATGGATAGATGAATAAATAAGTGGGTGGATTAATGAATAGAAAAAAGGATGGATGAATGAATGGGTGGGGGGTAGATAGATGAGTGAATAGAAGAACATGGATGGATGGATGGATGGATGGATGGATGGATGGATGGATGGATGAAGGAATAGAAGGAAGGATGGATATATTAACAGATGTGTGGGTGAAAGGATGGATGAATGAAACAATAAAATAAAGGACAGATAGATGAATGGATGGCTGAATGGATGGATGAAGGAATGGGTACGTGGGTGGGTAGATAGATGGATAAAATAATGGAAGAAAGGATGGATGGATAAATGGATGCAGGTGGATGGGTAGATGGATGAATGAATAGAAGGAAGGATGGTTAGATGAACAGATAAGTGGATAGATGTATGAATAGAAGGAAGAATGGGTGAATTGATGGGTGGGTGTGGGAATGAATAGAGGGAAAAATGAATGAAAATGGATGGGTGGGTGAAAGGAAGAATGGATGGATGGATCAATAGAATAAAGAATGGATGGGCCGGGCGTGGTGGCTCACACCTGTAACCCCAACACTTTGGGAGGCCGAGGTGGGTGGATCACTTGAGGTCAGGAGTTTGAGACCAGCCTGGCCAACATGGAGAAACCCTGTCTCTACTAAAAATACAAAAATTAGCTGGGCATGGTGGTGCATTCCTGTAATCCCAGCTACTCAGGAGGCTGAGGTGGGAGAATCACTTGAACCTGGGAGGCAGAGGTTGTGGTGAGCCGAGATCGCACCATTGCACTCCAGCCTGGGCAACAAGAGTGAAACTCTGGCTCAGAAAAAAAGAAAAGAATGGATGGATGAATTGATTGGTGGATGGATGGATGGATGGATGAGTGAATACAAGGAAGGATGGATCGGTGAATAGATGGGTGAGTAAATGAATGGATGGGTAAATAGATGGGTGGGTGAATGGATGTATGGATGAATGAATAGAAGGAAAGATGGATATATGAATTGATGGGTAGGTAGATGGATGAGTGAATGGATGGATGGATAGATGGAGACTGGGTAGATTAACGGATGGAATAAGTGAGTGAGTGATTGAGTGGTAGGGAAGACAGATGATAGATGAAAGTAAAAGGATTGGGTTGTTGAGGAGATGGAATAGATGCATAGGTTAGTAGATGGATTATCAGATGAGTAGGTGAGCAAATGGAAAGGATGCCATGTTCCTCAGTCCATCTTCTTGCCATTCTGCCTCAGGAAGGACATTCAGATAACTCTTATCATTAAACACGCTTTCCACAGCTATGTATTGGGTCTACAAAATGTTAAAAGTTATCAAAGCTATGTAACTGTTTGAAATAATTGGTTTTACCATAACAAAAAGGAACAGAATAAAAACCCCTCTAAAACAAAAAGCAACAAATTTGTTTCATGGACCTTGAACATGTTCAGAAGCCAACAGGGGAGAAAGAAGCAGCTCAGAGATTATCGACAGTAAGAACCCACTTCCATGCCCAGGCCTGAGTGAGAAAGGAAGAGCTCAGTTACCAGATCCAGGAGCAGCCCACAGGGTGGCATCTGGGGCCATCCTGGGCTACACCAGTGGGAGGCAGTTGCAGAGAAAGTACAATCAGTACCCAAGTGAGAGGACAACACCCTTGCTTCACTTTTCCTCCTCCCCTAACTCACCCACCTGTGCCTCTCACTGGCCAAACCCAATAGGGAATCATCTGACAGGGGAACCTGGAAACATGGGCTCCAGGTATCAGCAGAGCAGGGAGGAGTGATGAATGCATTTGAGGACAAACAGGCCAACAACTGCACACCCGACAAAATTGAAATCAATAAATATTTAAATGTGTCCACAATGTCACATTATTTGTCAGCCAAACAACTGCAAATGAACTCTTACATATGTTATGAATAAATTATGTTGGGTGTGTGTACATTTTAATACAGCTGATGTGGTAGAGGGGAGGAGCGCCTGGGGACAATGAGGCCTTCAAGTGACCCTCCCAACTCTCTTCTTGTGCAAGTCTCAAGATTCAGCTTCCTGTTCTCTAATAGAATAACTATGGGCAAATCACTCAGTTTCCCCCTCTTTAAAATCCATGTCAATTTTCCAGGATCCCAGTGAAATGAAAGTGAAATAATGTTTGTAGAAGTACCCAGGACCCCATCTGACCTGATGGAAGCCATCGTTTTAATTGCTTCTAAGGGGCACTCAGCCAGCCAAAGGAGGCAGGCACAGGTGCCCTTCATCAGACCACTTTGTCATGACATAACAAAAACCTGAAGAAGTACATCTTTCTGAAACTAAAAATCCCACATCCATCAACTCATGGCGAGGACATCATGGTGGACATGGGCAATGATTTAATGACAAGGACACTCACCCCAGCATATTTATATTAGTGCACATATTATATTCCTAATTATTGAGCAGGAACGGGTAAATTAAATGAGGGGGTATCAACACAATGGAACATGGAGCACATATGTGTTTTTGTATGGAAATGTCTACAAATTTGTTTTCAGCTGTAATCTCTGAAATGAAATTATGGGTATTGTTTTCTTTGCTTTCTTTGCTTTAAAAAAATTATCAGTGATAGCTGTGCCAGTTCAGCTGTGCCACTGACCCAGCGCCACAGTTCAGAAAAGAGCAATATTGACAGAGCAGCAACTAAGGACAAATTACCTGACTGAGGTCCTTCTCAGTGATGTCACTCTGCTTGCTGATGAACTGGACGCTCGTGGTGGCCCCCGGGCAACTGGCACTCACAGGCTGGAAGAGTGGGTCTTCTAATGAATGCCTCGAGGGTCCTCTGTGCGCTGCCACCTGCATGGCCACCATCTACAGTCAACAGGTACAAATCACAAAAATAACCTCCCCTCCTGGTCTACAAGGACATTAAGACCCTGGCTTCAAGACCATTCACAGGGAGTTATATGCAGCCATAGCTAACACACATGTTTGTAAAACCTTTGTATTTTCTATTTGCCTTTAGTTTTTTCCCCCAAAATTTGAGATAGCTTCAGTGCATTCCTGAGGATCAGTACCTGCTAAAAAGACTCTGAAGCAGAAGTTGGCGGTGAAACCCAGGGAGCCTCAATCAAGTGGCTTTCCGCAGGCACCATGTGTGGCTTTGGTGTAGCCCCGGGAGCCTCTTTACCTCTCTGGGTCTCAGCACCTTCTATCTGAAAGGTAGGATGGCCATGATGACCCTGGAAACCCTGCCATGGCTCTAAGGTAAGATAACTCCTCTGATTCAGTTTTTAGTTTTAGTCTGACATAGTGAAGCAATGATTTAAAGCTCTAAAGCCAGCATGAGCAAATTTTTTTCTGATAAGGGTCAGACTGCAAATCTCTTAGGCTCCATGGCCCCGATGATCTGTCTTGCAACTGCTCAGCTTTGCTATTGAGCACAAAGCCCAGCCATGGACAATAAGTACACAAATGAGAGTAGTCATGTTCTGAGAAAATGATGTTGACGAGACCACCTGGTAGGTTGGATTTTGCTTGTAGGTCCTAGTGTGCAGACCCTTGCTCTAAAGTAAACTGTTTCCAAAGACTTAACTAGTGACTGATGGAGATAATTAAAAATGTAGACGACGGTAATGATGATGAAGATAAAAATAATACAAGCCTCTTTACTTCCTTTTATGCAAAGTGCATGTGTGTGTACTAAAAATTAAAATAGCACCAGTGGCGATCAGCAAAAAAATGTCTCCTCCACCCCTAAAGATGTTCATTGCTTATCCCCAGAACCTACCTCACCTTACACGGCAAAAGAAATTTTGAAATTGTGATTAAGGTCATGAACATTATCACAGAGAGATGATGTTCCTGATGATCTTGGTGGACCCAGTGAAATCACAGGAGTCCTTAAAAGCAGAGAACCTTTCTGGCTGGGTCAGAGAGAGATCTGAGCATGGACAAAGGTTCAAAAAGAACTCACTCCTCTGTGGCTGGCTTTGGACATTGAGAAAGGATACGAAGAGAGCAAAGGAATTCGGGCAGCCATAAGGAGCAAGAAAAGGCAAGGAAACAGATTCTCCCCTAGAGCCTCCAGAGAGGAATGCAGCCCTGCTAAGACTTCATGCTCAGCCCCAGGAGATGGAGAGAAGTGTAAGATAATAAATATGCATCACTTAAACCATCAAATTTGTGATAATTTTTATAGCATCGGTAGAAAACTAATACTCTAACTCCCTGAGAAAAATTTGGATATTACAAAGTCTAATCTCACCCATAATGTCACTACCCAGAGATACCCACTATTAACATACATTAGAAATATTATTTTAGATTCCTCTGCATATATGTGTATGTATGTGTAAACAGAGAATATATACACATTATATATAATATATATTATGTACTACTATATCATATATACTACATATACACATATTACATATAATACATAATGTTTGTATATACTACACATGTATTTATATACTATGTAATATAAAATTGTCATATATATTGCATATAATGTGTATATATATAATATACATTCATGTATATCTTTATAGGGAGAGAGATATAAATATAAACCATTACACTAGTTTACATTGGCTGTAATTCAGATTCTTTTTATTTAATTAAACATTTTTAAATAATTTCCTTGTGCCAATAAGTTTTCTTCAAAAACATGCTATAGATGAGTTATAATTCCTTCACTTCTCCCCTTTTAATTGTTTCTGATTTTTTCACTAGTATAAAAATGCCCAAGGAGAAAATTCATGCACATATTAAACTGTTAGGGTGCTATAAGGTTACTATTCTCTTATTGCCATAAAAGTATTTTTCCCTGTTTTGTTTGCCTTTAATTTATTCGGGGTTCCTTTTGAGGTATGGAAATTTTGCATTTTGTTTTATTCCAAGAGATGAATGCTTCTCCATTACTTTTTTTCTTCCATGGCTGGAAAGGTGATTCTCAGTCTTAGATTTGTGTCTTCTTCTAGTGCTCATAAGGGTTCTTGTTTTCAGTTCTGTCTTTGGGCTAGGTGGTAGTTATTCAGTTTCCCAAGTTGCTAAGCTGTGTTTCCGTCCTCATTTATTGAATGATCCTTCATCTTTGACCACAACTATTTGATGCCACTACCATACTCCACAGCTTCTAGAATGAAATTTTTTTCCATGTTAGTATCTCTTAGATCTGGGTCACCTTTCAGACTCCAGCACCTAAAGGTCTTCATTGGCTTGGCGTGGAGGCCACTTCTTCCTGGAAACTTTGGGATTTGCTTATGCTATCATCTGGGGACACTATGGACCTGAGACCACTTCAGGTTTCCAGTCTGAAGTTCCTTTGGACTTCACACTGCAACACTGTAGGCATTGGCTCTGATTCCAGTTCTCAGGGGGAGACGTATTTTCTTCCCTCCACCCAGTGCAAAGGTTAAGATGCAAGCGCATTTCCTTGTGATCTCTTTCTGCGCGGTGCTTGTCTTTCTTAAGGACACTTAGACCAAGAATATAGCCCTTGTCATAGTAGTTCTATTAAATTCCACCTTGGGGGTTTTTCCTCTGTTATTGGTACATAGGATAATACTGGGTCATACCATCAATAATGTAACTTATATTCAACAAAATATAATATATTACATATAAAATAAAGTATATCCTAAGTTCAGTTTCTGGATCATCTAGTATATTTGTTTTTCCTATTTCTTGTTAATTCACTAGTATGACAGTGTTTTGAGATTTTTAACTTTAATGTTTCTTTTAATATCTGGTAGGACAATTTCTTCCTAATTACTGATTCTTTCTAAAATGTTCCAGGCTATTTCTTTCATTTGAGATTAATATTAGAATTAATGTTTCAAGTTCTCACACATCACTCACATCAGTAAATGAATAATTTTTTTAAAACTCTGCTGAAATTTTTATAGGATCTTCATTAAACCTACAAATAAGTATGGGACTAATTGATAAGTTTACAATATTAAAAGTCAATATATTTTCTAATCAAAACTATTTGATCATCTTAAAGACCTTTTATATCTTTTCTATCATTAAAATTTTATAATTCTAATTTTTTAATATTTCTGGTTAATGACATTCTTTCCCAGTTATTATATATTCTAATGTTACTGAGAATGGAATTCTGTTTTTCTTAAATTTCTGTTTGATTATTTTTCACATACGAGACAGTTAATGGTTTTTGTATTTGATTTTGTAACTACCTTTCTAAACTTGCTTAATCATTTTCAAATATATTTTCATAATTTTAAGATACCATCAACTTATATTGATCAACATTTTAAATACTTTAGGAAAATCAGAGAAACATTGCTACATTAAATACATGCACTGATTGTACAATGCATTCTGATGTTTTAAAAATTCAGCTCCTTAGAATGAAGATGTGATTTTATAAGCAGAACAACCATCTTATAGATATATAATGTTAATACCATTCTGTCCTCCTAGTTTCTCCTCTTATTCCTCTTATTTCTACATGCTATCATTGCTGATATTATTTTTGATTTTAATGAGAAGGCCTCTAGTGCAGTGGTTTTTAATTACCAAATTTTTCTTTAGTATGGGGGAGGTCAGAGGCCTTTTGAAAATCTGATGAAAGATGTTCATTCCATCCTCCAGATAAAGCAAATGTGCACTCACAATCTGACTTCCTGAGCCTTCAAAATTCTCTCAACCGTCTCTATATAGGCTTCCACCAATCGCCAAAGTCCATGAAACCTGGTTCAGGACTCCTCTATGGTATTACCTCTTAGACGAATGTTAAATGTTAACATCGATTACATTTGCTTGGTTAGGACATCCTCTTTATTCATCCTCTTTATTTCTTTTTTTTTCTACATAAAGTTAGTAATTAGTGTTGGATTCTTTTCAATACCATTCAGGTATCGCAGTAGGTTGTATCATTCCTCCCATTTCTTCAGCCTTCTCTGTACCCATGATTTACAGTGAAACCTTACAGTTTCTTCTGTGAGAGGAAGAGTGGATTTTTCTGCCCTGCTGTTATTGGGAACAGATATGTGACTTGCTTAAATGGTCCAAATTGCAGGTTGAAGCCAGGCTGAGATGAATCCAGCTTAGATCAGCTGACCTCCAGCTGACCCACAGACATGGACAGTATACATTTTTGTTGTTTAAAACATCTGTATTATTCAGGGTTCTCCAGAAAAGCAGAACTGATAGGAGATAGATAGATAGATAGATAGATAGATAGATAGATAGATAGATGATAGATAGATAATAGATAGATAGATAGATAGATGGATAGATGACAGATGATAGATGGATAGATTATAGATAGACAGATGATAGATGGATAGATAATAGATAGATACATAGAGAGATAGAGAGAGACAGACAGATGATAGACTAGATAGATAGACAGATGATGGATATATAATCTATACATAGATAATAGATAGATAGATAGATAGATAGATAGATAGATAGATAGATAGATAGACTGACCAATGAGAAGGGGGAATTGGTTCATGCAATTATGGAGGCCAAGAAGTTCTTTTACAGGTTATCTCCAAGTTGGAGAATCAGGGAAGCTGGTAGCATGGCTCAGTTCAAGTCCTAAAGCCTGAGAACCTGGGAGTTGATGGTGCACATCCTACAGTCTAAAAGCAGGAGAGCCTGGAGGTCTGATGCCCAAGAGCAGGAGAAGATAGGTGTCTAAACTCCAGAAGAGAGAGAGGGCAAATTTGCTGTTTCTTTTTGCTTGATCAGGTCTTCAGCTGATTGATGGAGTCTACCCTAACTGAGTGAGAGTGGATCTTCCTTACTCAGTCCACTGATTCAAATGCCAATCTATTCCAGAAACACCTTCACGGATATACCCAGAAGTAATGGTCTACCAGCTATTTGGGTATCCCTTAACCCAGTCAAATGGGCACCTAAAATTAGCCATCACAGCCACTGAGTCTGGGGACTGTTTTTTTTAAACCAACTTTTGCAGCTAACCAATACAGGTATCTATTTATTTAACAGTGTAGTATCATTCCCTCGCCACATAACAGACTGTCATCATCTCAGTGACTCAGAACAGCACATGTTTTCCATGGGTCAGGTGTCCAGCACGGCTTAGCTAGACCCTTTGCTCAGAGTCTCATAAGGCTGCAATCAAGGTAGGAGCTGGGCTGTGTTTCTATCTGGACTTTTGAGTTGGGAAATAATACACTGCTAAGCTGAATCAGGTTGTTGGCAGAACTCATTCCCTTATGGCTGTTTTGCCAAAGTCTTGTTGTTGTTGTTGTTGTTGTTTGTTTGTTTGTTTTGTAAGCCGTAGACCAAGAACCAGTCTCAGATCCTAGAAGTTGCCCTCAGGTCCTTGCCATATGGCCTCCTCTGTAAAGCCACATCTCACAACAAGGCAGCCTACTTTTTCAAAGCCAGAGAGAGAGAGAGCATGCTTACCTCTGTTGAAGACTCTCTGCCAGTTAGGACCTCCTGATTAGGTCAAGATAATCTCTTGATTTATTCAAACTCCACTGATTAGGAGCTGTAATTACATCTGCAAAACCCTTTCATCTTTGCCAAAGATTCTATTGATTAGAAGAAAGTTACACTTTCCAACCATAGTCAAAAAACAGGGATTATATAATTTCATTGGGGGTCATCTTAGAATTCTGCCTACCACAATCTTGTATTTAATATGCTTAATTATATTAATATGTTAATGTAATATTTGCATGTTAAATCACTTTGCATTCCTAGAACAAATTATGTTTGGTTATAATTTATAATTCCTTTAAAGTCCTGCTAGTTTTTTTCCATGGGTAATTTCATTTGTACTTTTGTTCTCCTATTCAAATAAGAGATTGATCTGGAGTTTCTTTGCCATTCTGGTGGGTTTGATAGCAAAAAGTGAAACTAACTTCATAAAACACATTTGGAAGTCTACTGTATCTGTCAGTGTTCAGTCAGGGAAACAGAACCACCTCAAATATCCTGACAATAAGAATGACTTGTAGCTGCCTTCTTGTCTTTGGTTTCACAGGGGGTGTGTTAGGGAGGTATTTTTGGTGTTGAAACTTTGGGATGTAATCTAGTGGGTAGTGCTCAGGTGTATTGGTCAGCTAATAGGCTCTTGCTCAGTCATGTGGCTCCACTATATTTCCTCATAGTTGAAGCCATGCTCCCTCTCAATGCTCTGAAAGTGTGGGCTCCTCTCCCACTTCAGTGCTGGCTGTAGATAGTGGCATGACACTCCTGGGCTGCCCACTTCAGCTCTGGGGTGATCTCAGGGTTTATGGTTCTTCTCCACCTTGGAGGCAGCAAAGGAAGGGATCTTAATAGTGGTTGTGACCAAGGGTCTTTGCGTGTCTCCTGAGGACTTCACCCCAGAGAGATGCAGGTAAGCGATTGCTCAGTGCAATCATCCCGGATAATCATTAGAGAAATGCAAATCAAAACCACAATGAGATACCATCTCACGCCAGTCAGAATGGATATTACTAAAAAGCCAAAAAAGTAACAGATGCTGGTGAGGATGAGGAGAAAAAGAAATGCTTATACACTGTCAGTGGAAGTGCAAATTAGTTCAACCATTGTGGAAAGCAGTATGGTGATTCCTCAAAGAGCTAAAAACAGAACTGCCATTCAACCCGGAAATCCCATTACTGGGTATGTAACCAAAGGAATAGAAATCATTCTACCACAAAGACACACGCATGTGAATGTTCTTTGCAGCACTATTCACAATAGCAAAGACAAGGAATCAACCTAAATGCCCATCAATGGTAGACTGGATAAAGAAAATGTGGTACATATGCATCATGTAATACTATGCAGCCATACAAAGAATGAGATCATGTCCTTTGCAGAAAAATGGATGGAGCTGGAGGCCATTATCCTTAGCAAACTAACACAGGAACTGGAAACCAAATACTGCATGTTCTCACTTATAAGTGGGAGCTAAATGATGAGAACACATGGACAAATAGAGGGAAACAACACCCACTGGGTCTTACTTGATGGTGGAGAGTGGGAGGAGGAAGAGGATCAGGAAAAATAGCTACTGGGTACTAGGCTTAATAGTGAGGGGAGGAAATAATCTGTACAACAAACCCCCATGACACAAGTTTACCTATATAACAAACCTGCACATGTACCCCAAACCTAAAATAAAAGTTAAAAAAAAAAAGAATGAGCGTTTACATGGACAGGAAAAGATCTAGTAATGTAAAGGGTGAGGAGGAGTGGGGAAAGTTGGAGGATCAGGGAAGCCTTTGTTGACCTCTTGAGCCCGGCTGCCTGGCTGGATGAGCCTGAGCTTGTGGGGAAATCTGAAAAGCACACACACCCAGTCACTGAAGTGGGACCCTGCAGGGGGAGCTCATTGCAGTGGACCCACAGTGGAAACTGTTCCCTCTGTAGGAACCACTGCCTCTGCAGACCTACAGCTAAGCACTTGGGGGCAGTCTTGGCGGTGCTATGGGAAGATGAGCTGGCCATAGAGCAAGAGCAAGGTGAGGCCATGCTGGGGCCCAACAGGCAGCTCAGCATCTATCTGTCAGCGTGTCTGCCCACACCAACCTCTGATAATGACCTCTGCCTCCTTCCCACCCTGGGAAGCTCACATCAATTCCTCCTTGGTCATTCTGGGAAATATCATTTGGGGCCTTAGACAAGAACTGTAGTGCCAAGTTGACAAGGCACAAGTCAGTCCTACCTGTCATGTTCTTATGTCTGAGATGATCCAGGCAGCATGGGAAGATATATTCCTTGAAAGACTGAAAGGGCTTGCCTATAAAGTTTTGGATGCTGGACAGGATCACCAAGAGGCAAGAAGTGGGAAACACATAGGAGGCAGCTCACAGGGCAAGCAGGGAGAGGGAGGATTCCAGACAATCATAACTCTCCACCTGTACCAGGGAGTGCTGACTGGAGCTGAGTGATCCCCACAGAGGTGGAATCACTCCTTGGAGCAAAGGACAAGTAGGTCCACACTCAGAGAGTGCATGGAACGGGAAAAGCTGCTTTCCTTCACCATTTTTACAGTATTAGGCTTTCTTTGTCAACTATTAAGCTTTTCCTTTTTGCTTGGTTTGAGGTTTTGACTAAAGGCAAAGAAAATTGTCTTTAATAGAAAAGTTGATTGAGAGGCTAAGGCAGGAAGATAGCTTGAGGCCAGGACTTCGAGACCAGCCAGGGAAACATAGCAAGACCCTTTCTCTAAAAAATAATAAAATAAAATAACCAGGTATGGTGGTATGTGCCTGTGATCCCAGCTACTCAGGAAGCTGTGGCAGGAGGATTGCTTGAGGCCAGGAGGTCAAGGCTGCAGTGAGCTGTGATTGTGCTATTGAACTCCAGCCTAGGCAACAGAGTGAGACCATGTCTCTAAAAAAAAAAAAAAAGAAAAGAAAAGAAAAGAAAAGATGACCTCATTGACTTTAATTGCCATTTTGTTTTTGTTTCAGTCAGTTTATTAAGTAATATGCCACTCTTTCACTGGGTTCTTTGTATCATGTCTTATGCTCTCTGAATTATCTTTTCTTCAAATGTTTTTGCTTTAATTATTTTAATTTACACAACAGACAACAATTCTAGCAGTAGTTTTCTTTAAATTTAGAGAAACAAAGGTTTAAGTGGTATTAACTGCTTCAAAAAATAGCTCTTGCTTCATAGTTATTTTAAATTCCCTGTCTGATAATACCAACATCTTTGCCATTTCTGAATCTATTTCTAACACTTGTTTTATCTCTTCAGACTGTGTTTTATCTTTCTTTTTAGTGGGACTTGTGATGTTTTGTTGAAAGTCAGATATGTATGGGGCAATAGAAACTGTGGTAAATCAGCCTTTAATGTGGGGATTTATGTTAATCTGAGTAGGAGTTGGGCTGTGTTTAATGTTTGCTGCAGCTGTAAATAACAGAAGCTTCCAGTTCCTCTAGTGTGCTTGTTTTGATCTCACCTCTTGACTTTGGACTTCCCTATGGACTCCACCTCAGAGAGTCTGCAACATGCAACATTTTCCGTTGTTATCCAGTGTTACGATAAAGTGTGATGGTAACATGTTGTGGCAGGGGACCATTCTATAATCTGATCAAATCTCAGTATTTTGGTGGCCTTGCTTCTCGGGGTTGTGACCTTTGCAAGTGTTGCTCCACTTCTAGAATGAATAAAACAGTGGTACAGTTTTCCCCTCCACCCCCTACTCCCTTTCCTGGCTTCAGTATTCCCAAACCATTTCCTTGAAGCCCAGATCCCAGATCCTGGCTGACAGTGTTCCAACCTCTACCCTTTTTTAGGTACCATAGGAAGGCTGGAGGGGCCTGAAGTGGCAGACCCTTTCTCTGCCTGGGATCAAGCTTCAGAATGGTGCTCTGGATACATCCTTTTCCCTGGAGAGAAACTCTTCGAACTGGAGAAGGCTCTAGGTGTATGTCATAATGATTAGTCCTGGTAAGAGCCATGAGGAAATCTCACCATGAGAACTTGTTGGGGTTTCTGGAAACTCACAGAGCTGTGGGGTTCTTCCTAAGACTTCAGCCCCTGGAGTTGCTCATTCTCACACCAGTCCACTTTCAACCTCCAGCAAATCACCAAAGCAGTCATCTAATGATCCTGCCAGTTTATGCCTCCTATGGCTTCAGCTCCAGGCAAGCAAATTTTTGTTGCCATGTCTGTCCAGATACCCCTGTCTTTCCAGGTCTCAGCGTGGCTTTGCCCTGCCACCTCATCAATGGGTCAAAGAAAAGTCCTTTCTTTTCAGTTTGTCCAACTTTCTGTTCTTGTTGGGACAAAAACGTTGACTTCCAAGCTCTTTTCTTGTTGGAGCTGAAACTGGAAGTCCTCATTACCCTTTAAGATAGACACAAAAAGGAATCTTATATAGATTATTTTGACTAATAAAATGCAGATCCAACTGCCCATTGAACATGTTGTAATCGGTATCTCTGGGTTCCCTGTGTCAATGTTAAGTACATCTTTGTAAGTGTGTTATTTTTTAGAATGGAAAGAGATGCCAATCAGGGCCTAGGGGGAAACACTGAAAGCTTTGGCATAGGCCATGCCTATTACAGTGTGAATTCTGGGCACCTTCTCCTTTGTCTACTCTTATGCATCATCAAGCGAGACTTCATGGCTTCCTTAAAAAAAAAGAGAGAGAAAGGGTTATTAGTGGGATCACAGAACAAAGACACTCTAGTTCATGCATCTCATGTGCCTGGGAAAGACCCAGCAAGATAAAGAGACACATGCAAAGGGAAATGTCAGAATTTTAAAATAAGCAATAAATCATTAAAAATAATAGTTATTTTTCAGAAACAATTATGAAAAACATAAACATAGAAATAAACCAAAACAAGAACTGAGATGCAAAATTGCACAATGGCCTGTTGAGTTAAGAAGTGAAGGTCAGGGAGACCCCATGATCTCAGAGCAGCCTATGTGTAGCATGCCTTGGCATTCAGGTCAGGCTTCCCCAAGACAAGCTAGGCGTTTGCCTAACATGGCAAGACTGGAGAGAGTATAAGGAGGAAGGAAGTAACACTGATTAAACATCTGCTGTCCCACATTTCTCTCACTCATCCGTTTGCTCATTTGAATGAATTATTAAGGTCATGCTACATGCCATGTACTGTTCTTGGTGCTGCTGATAGACAAATTAGTGTGACCTGGTGCATTCTCTTGCGAAGCTTATCATTCAGTGTGGAAGACAGACAGGTGGCCAGGTAACAACATTCCAGGGAGATACGTGCTAAAGGAGAAGTCTGCAGATATTTTCTTGGAATGCCCTTGGAGGAGTCTGAGCCTGCCAGGGTTGGGGCAGGGGATGCCAGGCAGAGGATTCCAGGCATAGCATCCTATACCAGGCACATGAGATGCAAGGGAAGAGAGTGAGCATGGGGACCAAGAGTGAAGAGTAAACCAGGCAAGGGAAGGGCCTGTGTGAAGCTCCAAGGCCCAGGGTGCAGGGGAGCATGACTTACTTGAGAATTGTTGGGTTCAACATGGATACCACTTAGGCAGCTGCTGGTAGGTCAGGATAATGCCTTCATCCCCGGACAATGGGAGCTATGAGAGGTTTCAGCAGGACAGCCTCATGGTCAGGTTTATGCTTCAAGGAGACCATAGTGACAATTATATATGAAATGGATTGGGTATATAAGACTGGTAGCACAGAGATCAGTTGACAACCCCAGGCAGAAGTGAGAGAGGCTCAAAATAAGGATTAGTAGTGGAGAAGGAAAGAAATTAAAGGGTTGAATACATATCGAGAAGGTAAAATGGCAGCACTTAATGGCCAATTTGATTGGGGACATGGGGGAAAGGAGCTCAAGTGCATGACCCAGGTCCAGATTGTAAGGAATGGAGTGATGGGTGGTTCTATGTATGAGGAGCAAGGAGGAACTTTGTATGAAGAGCAAGGCATTTTTGAGGGGATAGGGAAGATGATGACTACAGTTTTGAGTGTGTTGATGAGGCTTCCAGTTGGATGTATCCAAATTTGGAATTGAGGAGAGATCTAAACTTGGAAGCTGTCATAACCTAGATGAAGGGATTTGAAGCAGACCCTGTCATTGCCCCACCAATACTCCCTGGCCCACCCAGAAGTTGCTCACATGTGGCTGCCATTCAGACCTGTGGCTTTCTGTGTCTCTCTGCCTGAGACATTCTCTGGTTTTGGCACTGCCTGGCACCAGCTAGTAAGAGACAGAACGTTCTGGGAGGTGACCCCTCAGGAACAACCTTCAGTTGTTGAGGGAGGGACACTGTTAGATAAATACCCATTTTCTGGCCCCTTGGGGAGCCCATCTGTGTGCATTCCACGCCATTGTTCCTCAAAGCTGAGCCCAACCATTTCCCCTGGAAAGACTGCTAAAACTCAGATTCCCAGGCCTTCTCCGGAGACTCTGAGTTATTAGGCCTGGTTGGGAGGGGAATAAGATTTGCATTTCTATGCACATGAAAACCACAATGAGATATCCTCTCACCCTAGTGAGAATGGCTATTATTAAAAAGACAAAAAATAACAGATGCTGGTAAGAATGTAGAGAAAAGAGAACTCTTATACACTGTTGGTGGGAATGCAAATTAGTACAGCCACTATGGAAAACAGTATGGAGATTTCTCAAAAAACTTAAAATAGAACTACCATTCAATTCAGCAATCCTACTACTGGGTATTTATCCAAAGGCAAATAAATCTGTGTATCAGAGAGATATCTGCACTCACATGTTTAGCCTAGCACTATTCACAATAGCGAAGACATCGAATCAACCTAAGTGTCCATCAATGGACCAATGGATAAAGAAAATGTGGTATACATACACAATAGAATACTTTTCAGGCAAAGAAATAAAAACAAAAGAATGAAGTCTTGTTATTTGCAGCAACATGGATGGAACTGGAGGTCATTACATTAAGTGAAATAAGCCAGGTACAGAAAGATAAATACCACATGCTCTCACTCATATGTAAGAGGTAAAGAAATTTATCTCATAGAGATAGAGAATAAAATGATAGATACCAGAGGCTGGTTGGGTGTGAGGGTGGGAGGAGGAAATGAAGAGATGTTGGTAAATGGATACTAACATATGGCTGGATAGAAGAAAAAAGTGCTAACTATCAATGCTAGGCTAGGGTGACAGTCCTTAGCAAAAATATATTGTTTATTTCAACATAGCCAGAGGAGAGGACTTGAAATGTTCCCAACACATAGCTACTGAAGGTGATGGATACCCCAAATACCATTATTTGATCTTTACACATTACATGCATGTAACAAATACTCACATGTATCCCATAAACATGTAAAATATTATGTATCAAGAAAAGGATTTTTTAAAAAATTTGCATTTCTAACAACCTCTATTTTGCGATATCTCTCAGCACAAACCCAAGGGGTCCTTCCCAGTTTGCAGGAGAGGTAACCCCTGTTTAACACTCACTTCATTGACTTTCTGTCTTTCCTATCTCCCCTCCCTCTTATCTGGCTTCTTGGCATCACACTCCAAATGAACTATAGGCACCCAAATCCTTGTCTGAGGTCTGCTTTGGGCAAATCCTAAATATGATAGCCACTGAGGCCCCTGTCTTATGTATAATAAGGGGATGCTTGGGGAAACTATCTCAGAATTGTCATCCAAGTTGGGACACATGGGCATGCATGAGGGACACTCAAGGTAACACGGCAGCTTGGGGATTGTGCCTGATTCCTGTTCCCCTCTTAGAAATATTTCTATCACAGCACTATTCACAGTGGCAAAGATATGGAATCAACCTAAGTGTTCATCAATGGATGAACGGATAAAAGAAAAGGTGGTGGATATACACAATGGAGTAGTATGCAGCCATAAAAAAGAATGACATCTTGTCATTTGCAGTAACATGATGGCACTGGAAATAGGATATTCACAGAGAGAGGGACAGACATTTCAACAGGCTTAGAAGCCTGGCTTACTGACTGATATGGTTTAGCAGTGTCCCCACTCAAATCTCATCTCGAATTGTAGCTTCCATAATTCCCATGTGTTGTGGGAGATACCTGGTGGGAGATAATTGAATCACGGGGGTGGGTCTTTCCTATGCTATTCTCATGACAGTGAATAAGCCTCACTAGATCTGATGGTTTTATAAACGGGAGTTCCCCTGCATATGCTCTCTTGCCTGCCACCATGTAAGATGTGCCTTTGCTCCTCCTTCACCTTCCACCATGATTGTGAGACCTCCCCAGCCATGTGGAATGGTGAGTCCATTAAACCTCTTTCTTTTATAAATTACCCAGTCTTGGGTATGTCTTTATTAGCAGCATGAGAATGAACTAATACACTGATCCATGATATTAAGGTCTGTGGGAGGAAGTCTCAACAACCATGTGGAGATGGGGCCCAGTTCTGTCTCCATTCACTGTACTTCCTGCTCAGTAAGGAAGCATTAGTTATTGTTGTTGTTGTGTAGCTTTTGAGACATTAATAAAGCTCAGTTATTGTTATTGTTATTGTTGTTGCTGTTGCTGCAGCAATAATATTCTGTTATTATAGAAGCTTCAGGGAGTCAGTGTTAGTTATTATCATTGTCATTGTTGACATCATTCTATTAGGCCCTCAAGGAGTCTACTCCTTGAGGAGTGGTGCAAAATTCTATACCTTTTTTTGAGGAGAAGGTCTACAACTTTTATCAGATTTTTCAAGAAACCTCCTAAGAGATAACCTTTGATTTAGAGGGTAGTTTAAGTCCATGAGAATCAGTGAGATTGAATAGAGAAAAACAGCCAGACACAGTGGCTCATGCCTGAGATCCCAGCCCTTTGGGAGGTGGAAGTGGGAGGATTGCTTGAGCCCAGGAGTTCAAGACCAGCCTGGGCAACACAGGGAGACTCATCTTAAGAAGACTCACCTCTACAAATAATACTTTTTAAAACATTGTTAGGCCAGGTGCAGTGGCTCATGCTTGTAATCCCAGCACTTTGGGAGGCTGAGGAGGGCAGATCACGAGGTCAGGAGATAGAGACCATTCTGGCTAACACAGTGAAACCCCATCTCCACTAAAAATACAAAAAATTAGCCAGGTGTGGTGGCAAGTGCCTGTAGTCCCAGCTACTCGGGAGGCTGCGGCAGGAGAATGGTGTGGACCCGGGAGGTCGAAGTTGCAGTGAGGTGAGATCACACCACTGCACTCCAGCCTGGGTGACAGAGCGAGGCTCCATCTCAAAACAAACAAACAAACAAACAAAAAACTGTTAGTCAGGTGTGAGTTGGGGTGGCACGCACCTCTGATCCTGGCTACTTGGGAGACTAAGGCAGGAGATTCTCTTGAACCTGGCCTTTGAGGCTGTAGTGAGCCATGATTGTGCCCCTGTACTCCAGCGTTGGTGACAAAGGGAGACTTGGTCACACACACACACACAAAAAAAAAAAAAAAAGAGAGAGAGAGGAACAGTTCTGTGTGCAGATTGCTAAGTGAGCAGGGTCAAGTTCACAGTCTGGAGGCAGCAACACACAATGGTGAGCAAGGAGAGGTGGTGGTGTGGATGGCAGAGGGAGGCATGTTCATAAAAGAAGAAAACTGCCAACGGTGGCGAGCTCTCTAGAGAAACAGGCAAGGATGAAAGCAGACCATGCTCAAGGCATTTCAGGAGGATGGCGAAGTCAGGAGGCATCCCAGGATGACCCAGGCACTGTAGGGCGTGACTGAGAAGAAAGACAGCCCCAACAGAAGATGCCAACAACTCTTTCAGCGAGAGGGTTTGAGGAGACTCTGCAGCTAAAGGAGGGAGGTGGGATGGTGGGGAGGGGGAATAGTTTTCAAATGATGGAAATAAAAACAACAGTGGACCAGAATGTTCACAAAAGACATAACATCTCTTCATCTCTGCTTTAAATATGGAAAATGAGTCTCAAGGGTGTAAAAAAAAAATGTTCAGTTTCACTTAACCCATTGATATGGTTTGACTGTGTCCCCACCCAAATCTCATATTGAACTGTAGCTCTCATAATTCCCATGTGTTGTGTGGGAGGGACCTAGTGGGGGATAATTGAATAATGGGGGCAGTTTCCCCCATACTGTTTTCGTGGTAGTGAATAAACCTCATGAAATCTCATTGTTTAATAAGGGGTCTCCCCCTTTCACTTCGTTCTCACTTCTCTCTTCCCTGCCACCATGTAAGACATGACTTCCACCTTCTGCCATGATTGAGACCTCTGTAGTCAAGTGGAATTGTGAACCCATTAAACCTCTTTTTCTTTATAAATTACCCAGTCTCAGGTATGTCTTTATCAGCAGCATGAAAACGGACTCATACACCCACTAACCACAGAACTGGAAGCTGGCTTCGGTCTGTCTCTCTTTGGAGTAAGCTGTCCATGGCATAATATTTCTTAATAGTGTTTGTAGTCACAAATATCCATCTTTCCATGGCTACCATGCTAGATCAAATTCTTCCATAGGGTTCCTTGCCACCGTTTCATTACAGCTCTTTCTCAAGATCACTTTTCAGGGTGCAAGGACCCCAGGAAGGCGTCATTGTAATCAAAATGTGTGGATGGGTCTGGCATCAGATGTCTCCCTCTGACCTAAGGCAGGAAGCTGAAGGCACTGGGCACCTGGGGTAAAGCAGAGGAAGGGCCCAGAAAGTGGACTAGACAGACAGCCACCAAAGATGCAGTGCCACTGGAGTTTTACCTCAATGGGACTTGCAGTAATGACACCCACGTCTTGTTTCCTTCTTTTGTCGTTTGATGTCTTGGTGAAGTTGGGTCAGTGCTATGCTAGTAGCCTTCTCCAGAGGTCAGGGGACCTGCCAGGACAGGAATAGGGAGTGAGTTCTAGGTCCAGGCAAAGCCATACAGTGGGCTGGGCTGTGACCTGCACGTCCATCTGTGGCTCACCTAGGGAGAGCAGCTGTGGTTCATGCGTGAATGGGAATATTGCAGTCCTCACATCTTGCAGAAGATGCTGCAGAAGTCCATCCTCTGCTTGTTCTCCATGCTGATTCGGGCTAGAAAGAGCTTGGTCACCAAGACATGGGAAGATCATGCAAGAGCGTAAAACAGAAGGATCACAAGGCTACAAGCAAAAACAAAGCCAAAATTTGACCACAGCAGAAAATCAGCTGCTAAACGCTAAGAAAGGCTAGATCCTAATGTGTGCTCATTGTCTCTGGAAGAATATATCTCTTCCCTATTTGAGAACCCCCTGCCTCCCTGACTCTCTCCTACAATTAGGGAAGAAGTGATGGGGAGGACACAGACGCAAGACTGTAAACTGAGTAAATCCCTGATGCCACAGAGACAAGGTGGAAGGGAGGCACTGTGATGGCAAGGTGACTTAGCAAGCCCAGAAGGCACCAGGCCGGCTTTATCCAGCAACAATCAACCTGGTATCTGCCACAAAAAAGTAGGAAAGAAAATCGGGACTTGATCCAAATAAATCTATCAAGTATCAAGTTTGGCATGAATAAAAATGCACCTAGTGTATCATTGACTTTTGTATATCTGAACTCCAAACCTAACCAGCTGGAATACCCTATTTTAAGTAGCATCCCATTCGACCTTCCAAAAGGAAGGCAAGTTTTAGCAGGTTGGAAGTCAGTGCCTTAAACAGTATCTTCTTCTCTGGATGCAAATGAGAGAAGTACTGATCTACTCCATGGAAGAAAAAAAAATCAGAACTAAGCCCCAAAAGCCAGAACTAAGCCCCAAAAGCAAAAAAAAAAAAAAAAAAAAAAAAAGAAAGTAAAAAAAAGAAAAATCAGTGTGATGGTTTCACCATCTAAAGAGTTATTGGCAAGTTAGTGGTCCATGTCCTGTGACCACATCGGTTCTGCTTTACAAAGAATGCGTCAATCCTACAGTCTTCACAGCTAGGAAGTACCGGGTGGTTATAGACCATCAGAGCGCACATGAGCTTGAAGAGTGGACTTGGTTTCTGTCCAGGTTTTAGAGCTCATAATGAATGATGGTTGCCAATATGGGCTCAGACAGACCTGAGTCAGATTTCTACTCTGGGGCTTGGAGGCGCTCAGTAACTTGCTCGGTACCCTCCCCTCCCACCACAGGACTGTGATTCTGCCCCGGCTTGCAGGACTTGGTTACAGACAGATGAGATAACAGCTGCAGACCTCTTGGCTCCGTGTCTCTTCCCTTGTAGGTGCTCAGTAGCTAAGTAGATACCCGTTCTATTTTCCTCTAAATTTTCCTTACAATTTAATCATTAGCACAGGTCTCTCCAAAGAGCAATTTATGTTAAAGAATAATTTTAAGGCATTCAATTTGATTTTAATAGTCATAGCTAGGCTGTGTCTAGTTTGTGATTTTCAAACAAAACCAAACAGAAACACACCGTTTAAAATGAGTTAAGCTGAAATGAGCCCTTGAGTGAAGCTAAGTTGGATACATTTTGTATGTCATAGAAATGATGGGAGGGAACCAAGCTGAGGTATGTTAGGGATGAGGTTAGAGACTAGAAAAGAAAGGGGAGTGAAGCAAGGGGTTCTGGTTTGGGAGACAAGAAGGCTGTTTTCAAGGTAGCCAAAAGGCATAAGGAAATAAGGCCATCTCCCTGCTGTGCCCTGGGCCATCTTCCTCTGCCCATCAGCCCTGCTTGGGCCAGGTGGGCAGGATGAGGGTCCTTCACTCATCTGTGGAGCCACTGCAGTCCCTCCAGCCGAGCTCTTCTACCCCACCCAGCTTCTCTTAAATCTACCTCTTGAGACCAAAGGAAAACATGATTTTCATCCAGATGAAAGTGGTGTGTGTATGTGTTTTTAACTGTTGCTGAATTTCACATCAGAAATTAGAAGCCCTAAAAATTAATTTTAACCAAACATACTCACTTTATTCTTTCTCGCTACATTCATCTTTTCTGTCTAATACTGCTATCACTTCCTGAGAACAAGAGGAGAAATATTAGATCCTTCAGTTTTAAAAAGTAAAAAGCCATGGACAGAAGCATGCCCTTCTCCTTTGGTTCTTAGCATTCTGGAACGCACCTGTGTTAAAATATGAAGAAATAAAACAAATATAAATTATGCATTTTCCAACTTAATTTAAAATGCATTATGCTTTGCTTTGTTCTCTGGAATTAGTCTTATTAAGGGGACAGATCTGTATGGATTAATTTTGAGTCAGTTTATTCACTTCTTTGTAATTCAGTGGCAAGAATTTTTGTCCCCAGGCATCAAATTAATTTTTTTTTTTTTACTGTAAGTAAAACATACAAAATGTAGACCTCTTTGTGTTATTTCTTTGTTTACCTGGCATGCAACATATTCTCATATTATGCTTCCACCAAATCTGAAATCTTCTCCCTTTAAACAACAAAACTTTACCCACAATTTTTAAAGCAATGTAACCTTTGTCACAATATTGGAGTTGAACACAATAATAGCATTATTCTCTGGTTGTATTCATTTCTATTAGAGATCTTCATGGCCTCCCTCTAACCCAAACTCAAGGAGACCAGCCCCCAAGCCCCTGCCTCCCCAATAATTTTGTCAACATGTGAACTGATATTTTATGGCTATTTAAAATGGGTACTAAATCATCATTCTTAAGTATTGTTTTAGTACAGTAATTCTTTGTTCTGCTTCGACATTTTAAATCTTTATATTTTTCCTCCCTACACGGAGCAAGAAAATCGTCTGCATTCTTAATTAGTCTTCTTTAAACAAAATATCCTTTCATATGCACTAATAAAGACTAAGGAGCCTTACCCTCTTGTTTAAATAACTGCTTGCTGTAGTATAAAATTGTAAGAGAAACGATGCAGATCAAGTTGCGGGCTTGAAGTGGGGAAGAGGAACAAGCCGTGCCATAATAAGCAGATTTTAATGATTTACTATAAATCAGCATTTTTGCCCTGTCAGTGAGATTGAAGAGGCAGACAGCTCCTCACATGTCTGCCGAGCAAATGCCTTCCTGATGAATCATGTGCACTGAATCACTGATCACAACATTCAAACGGCACATCCAAATAATGAGGGAAACATATACACAGGCTCCCGATGGCTGCTCCAAGGCAGCAGGAATATATGTTTTTCCGTTGTGTGGTGGTTAAACCCCTCGCATTGATCCTCCGAGGACTGCATGGAGGGTAATAGAAGTGTATATTACCCGGTTAACCGCTGGTGCCCGAAACACAGGCTGATCTCCATAAATGCTCTCCCCAACCCCCTAGACTTTCGATGAGGATCTAATCTGGTCTTGAGGAGAAGGGAGGAAAGCAGAAAAAATAAAAATAAAAGACAGGCTGTAATAATGAACTTGAACGTAAAGAATCTGGCTGCAAAACCCAACAGAAATTGGAGCTAATTTCTGGGGACTGGTCTTCCGATATCCCCCTCCCAAGCCTCTGCCCCTGCTGTTTGCTTCCTCTGCTAGTGCCTAATAATCCCCAGTGGTAGTGCTTCCGGTCGGCAGGATCATCTCTGGGGAGAGGAGTGCCACTCTTCTTGTTGGAAGGACCCATTTGGAAACTGAGTATGGAGGACCCCCCGACAGGACAGTGGTCCAGAGAGCCAGGCCCCTAGAGCAGACTCTGAGGCCATCCCTGACCTGGACTTGGAGATGTTCAGGAAGCCTTTCCAGCAGACCAGAGGCTTTCCCTGATGGCAGCCTTCAGGGCCTCACTCCTCTCGACCGCCGCAGCCCAACATCGGCAGCTCTCTCTGGTGCTGCTTGCTTCTTGTTGTCTTTGTAACACTCATCCTCATGGACTGTGGCTTCCTCAGTTGCAAAATCATTGTTTTAACTTTTTTGGAAACCCTTAAAATAACTTGCACATAGTACAGGCTTTTCCATCATACACCTACCTCCATGAGTAATGAATGAATGAATGACAGCCACAGAGGCCGGGTATTGGCCGGCCACACTGAGCCGGCTCTCTAGGACACCTCACTCTCCGAGAAAACGAGGACGTCCTTGAGCCTAAGACAATCAATTTCTCTTTGCCAAATCCTAACCTCACTCCCTCTGGCATCCAAAGCCCTGCTTTGGGGCCAGCTGGGAATCTACGAGCCCTGGTCCCACCCGTGGACTTACCTGGCTGCCTGACTGCCTGGCTGCTGTGGGGAAGATCTCCAAGGGAAGTCCCAGCTCAAACTGGAGAGGAAAAGAGGGAGGCCTCCAACACCAGGGCATTTCACACTGCATTCTCGTACGTACCCCACATTACATCCCAGTGGTGCTCCCGGAACACAGATGGGGCCCCACAGTTCCACACTTTCTGCCTCTGGCTGGAATGCCCACTCCTCCCCTATTTAAATATACGTATTGTCAAAAATAGAGCTCCCCTTCCTCCCTGAAGCCCTGTCTCATCTTGTGCAATGGAAATAATCTCTCCCTTCTCTAAGCCCGATTATGCTTCAGATATTTCCTTTGTTCATTCATTCATTCAATCACCCTGCCTCACACCAGGAGATGCCTGGTCTCTTCTGGTAATGGTGAAAAGAAGAGTGCCACCCTACGGGGTGGCGGCGGCTGCACCGTCCATTCTTCAGTGTGCATTGAGCATTCGCTGTCTGCTAGGCACTGTTCTGGGCCCGGTGGTGACCTAGTTGGGGCTGGACGGGTCCTTTCCAGGAGGTCACCAATCCGTGCTATCTGTGTCCTCAATCAGAATCCTGCACTTAAAAGGGCCTTTCCCTGGTTTACTGCTCTAATGTCACCATCACATTCGTAACATTCATGAAATTCGTAACAATTTTTGAACAAGAGGGCCTGCATTTTCATTTTGTGAAATACTATAGCAGTCCTGGCTTTTATTTTGAAGGACTTGAATTCAGGGTGGGGGATGGGAGGGAGATGAAAATAAACAAGTAAACGAATGAACAAGACATTTCAGATGTCTCTGTGTGATGGGATGGAGAGTTGAAGGAGGGCTACTTCACATGGGGAAATTAAGGCAGGCTGGTGTGAGGAGGACTTCTGAGCGGAGTTGCATGTGATGGGAAGACACAAACATAACAAGCATGAGATAAACCAGTTAACCCCATGAATGAAATGAGCCGATTAACCCCATGGGTTGCTTCAGTGACGGCTCAACCTTTTATTCTGTTCTGGATGCTTGGACTGGTGGGTGCCTTCCTTCTCCCACCCTAGAGGGAAATTTTTGGGACGTACAGGCCCCTGTGGCCTTCTCCCGTAGCCAGAGACAGGCAGACCATTAATGCCACCAGGAACAAGGAGGAACACCCTGGTGTGTGCACTCTGGAACCCTCCAGAAGTCCCTGGAACCCTCTGGAACAGAAACCTCACCTTCCTCCTCCTCCCCTGGCAGCCTCAGCCCCTAGGCCCCCTGGGCCTTCTCGGTTCCTCTGTCCACCTGACTTTGCCCAGGAATCTATCTTCCATAGGAGATGCGGGGTCCTACAGACAGCCTTGAGAAACTCATGCCCAGGAGGTGCTCTGTCTCTGGGCCTAAGGTTTAGGGAAATGGTGCAGACCAGCCAGTGCTTGTGAATTTCCTCTTCTCCTTGGGTCTCTAGCCCCTGGCCCCGCTGTGGTGTCTCAGAGCACCCTGATGGGTTTGCATCACAGCCTTTCGCAGCAGCCTTCCTTGGCCAGGTAAGTTAAGTATGAATTCTTTTACACAGGACTCATGATTCCTTTAGGTCTCTGTGGAGAACGGGAGTGAGGGGACCAGGGCCAGAGCTCTGCCCTCCCACAATGGCCTCTCCCTGTCCTGTTCAGGAACCTCTCCTGCCATTTGAGCCTCAGGCCAGCTGTCTCGTGGAGAAGACAGAGAACCAAACCACCCATTATCCCACCTGGCCAGGAGGACTTGAGATGACAGATTAGTGCAGCACCAAGCACAGTGGCTGGCACAAGAGACCCTTGTCACCTCCTCCAGGCTGTCTTCCTTCAATAACAGGCTCCGTTGTCATGCTTGGGTACTGCCACAGCAGTCACTGATTCTCTACTGTGGCATGCTCCTGATGAAATTCAACAGTTGGGACAAATGGGCTAGAAAGAAACCTCTCTGAGGGCAGAGGCCTTAGGTGCCACAATGCTTACCTGGACCTGATACCCAGCAGGTGTGCAGGGAAAGGTATGCAGAAGAGAAGGAAGGGGATGGCATGGCATGCACAGCGGCAGCACACAGGCTGTGTGTGGGCAGTGCCCAGGAAGGAGGTGCGTCAATACAACAAGGGTTGACACCAAGTGCAGTGCAGTTGAAAGCCACAATGTAATTATCCACCCAGGAAAAGAGGGTCCCCTCCCATGGGACTGCCATCCATGTGAAGAGAAGGAAAATAAACTCATTCAAGGTCAATTTAAAGGTTAAATGGAGGTCAACCGGGGGGAACTGAGACCATCCCTGTCAATGGGAGCAGTCTTGGCCACTTACTTAGGACTTTAACCTTTGGCTTTAACATTCATCTGAAAAAAAAAAAAAAAGTGAAGCAGATAAGTGGGTATTAGTAGACATACCATTTTAGCCATCTTAGAAAATAAAAAATAAGAGTGATCGTGGATCCAGTGGCAGTTACTTTAGAAAGATAGTAATGTGTAATTCCCAGTTTCTCAGACTGTAACTTCTGCACTTACCACTAATTTCTCCACTGCTCCAATTGCAGTGTATACATTTAGTTTACAATTTATCATCACCGTTTGTGTATATTACGCCAGCAGCATAATCCATCCTCATGAAGCTAATGCTCAGCATTAGGAAAATGGACTCCGTATGGAGCCTGCCAGACTCTGGCCTCAACACAGACCGAGTTGCAGGTTCCTGGGCCCCCACTCCCCCCACCCCAGAGTATATGTGGCGTTATGTTTTGTGCACTCTCTCCAAATGGCACGGTCTGATTTCTGCAAGTTGCTGGTGTCCATTGTCTGTGGATGTAAAAATCAATGACCTACATACGATTTTGATTTTGCACTGGGAATTGAGAGAGAGAGAGAAAGAAACATTGAGAGAGAGAGAGAGAGAGAGAGAAATGAGATGAGACGCAAACGGAAAATAATGAAACAGTCATGTTAAGAAATATATTAGCATGTTGGACTCAAAAAATATATTTCCAAGAGGATATCCTTTTTTTTTCTTCCAACAGGAACATATTTAATTTCATGGTCATTTGATTAAAACAGTTAATTGTATTAATGTGTTATTGAGCTGAAAGTGCTGGTCATTCCGGGATGGACGCTCACTCGGGCGCAGAGAACAAAACCTCGTAATTCCAGGGCTCTTTGGGAGCTGGTGGAACTAGGACCTGCTATTGAAACCTCTCAGTGGATATTCAATCCTTGTTTTTATTTTCTTAAAAGAGAGAGAGAGAAAAAAAAGCCTCAAACTGCTGATTTCTGCAGAAAAATCTGCAAATGAACTGTTCTATTAGCACAAACATACCAAAGTCTTTAGAACCCCTCTCTTCAAAAGCATAATTAGGTATTTATTTCAGACATACTAACATCTTTGCAGTAGCTAATAAGATGCAGCCCATTTGAATATTAATATAATAAATGATTAAATTAAACAGCAAGATTCAGACTCAGAAATAGCCTTTATAGGTCCCAGGGGGTCACTAAAACTGTTTCCATTTCTTCCTACAGTTAACATAGTGCAAGGGACAGGAATGCATAGAGCAATATTTGTCTTATGAAATGCGGAGTTTTATATGGTGCTATTCAGTTTTATTACTCCACAGTTTGAATCTGGGGCCCAGAGTGAAGTCACCATGCTGTGGTCTGACAGCCCCTCTTCCTGTCTCACTGCTTGCTGGCATTCCAGAGACGCTCCACTGCTTGGCAAAGAGTCCTCTCTGATAGTCTCCATACCAATAGGTACTCATGGAGCTGGGCACAAGGTAAACTCACAATATGATTAAAGGAAACAAAGGCAAAACCCCAAAACCAACTGACGCTGCATACCAAACTGCCCAGGGTTTATTTTGTGTGTCTACGTGGGTGTGTTTCTCGATTCCACTGAGCTCAGTGTGTGTGTGTGTGTGTGTGTGTCGGGGGGTGGGTAGCGGGGCAGGCTGAAAGGCCACACCCAAAGCTGGGGTGTGGGCTGAAGCCAGATGCACCAGGATGTGGGCAGGCTCTTCATCTCTCAACTAGGAGGGACCCCCGCCCACCCACTTCACGCGCACAAAAAAGAATAGGCAAAGTCCACAATTATAATTGGCGATTATTCCAATAAAGGTATAAAGGTGTTTCCCTTTTTAAATTAGTTCATGAAAACTGCACAGTCTCCAAATCCCATGAACCTGAGATGTGTTAATAAACATCTGGCCATGGTTTTTGCTTAATTAGCATTCTCTAGTTTGGACGGAAGTCTGTTTATATAAAACAAAACACACACACACACACATACACAGATTCTGTTTTGTAAGCCACAGCCCCTCAGAAATCCAAAACGAGCCTCCCCTAATGATCGGAGAGAGATTTGGGTCTTTCCATACTCCTATTTGTCAACTGAGCAGCAGAAGAGAAAAGATACTTGGATCTGCATGTCTAATTTTATTATGCAAGTCTCAGATCCAATATCTAATAACTTGATATAGTCATGCTGTTTGAAAATATTCACATTTTTGGAATAGAAGATATTGAAGCTTGCAGGTCAGCTTGCATTAAATAGAAAACAACACAAACCAACCTCAAGCATGTCCACGGTCCACATTATTATTATCCACAGCCAAAAATCTCCCCGCCCTATCTCTCTAAGGAGCAGCGTCGGCAGGGAGGTAATGGATAAACCATAACCCGGCTTGCAAGGCTTTACTGTCTAAATTAGATAAAAGAAAAGTAGGAAGAAAACTCAAAGATAAGTGGTACAAAGTAAATCAAAACAAATCATCTTACCAAACTTTATTCACATCTGATACCATTTTTAGAAATTAAGGTCAGTTTTGTGGAACTAATAGGAAGTTATACCTATATATCTTGGACACCATGACAATGCCGGGGTGGAAGATTTATACACCATGGTTGCAGATGCAGAAGAAAGATATGAGAGATCAAATGGAAGTGCATGATAACAAATGAAAAATGGTCCCCACAGCCCATAAATTAATTGAGAAAAGAAGGTTGTCATTATTTGAACATGCTTTAAAATAAGGTATGGAGTCCAGATGGCTGAGGATAGATAGGCCCACAAAGTTTGAGTAATTGATGACTTAAAAATAAAACAAGATCTTAAAGAAATGAATCACGTTGGGCAAGTTAGAGGAGGAATATTATAAGAGAAAAGATGAGATTTAAAAAAAGCACACAAAGCAAAAATGAACCCCACATCTCTGGAACCATTAAAGCCCAATGAAAGCATAAAAGAAAAAGTGAGTTCAGGGGGATTCAAAAATGGGGGAGAGGGCAAGAAGGTGGGCAGGTCAGAGGCAAAACTCTAATATGGCTATGTTTCAGATGCTATTTCATTAACCTATTCAGCTTTGTTTTGGCTTTTCTGTTGCAAACATATGCCTTTTCCTTTTTTTTTTTTTAATGGTATCTAAATAGGGCTACCCTAAGGTGGGCCACCAAGGTTGCAAATAATAGTTTTCTGCTGCTGCCTCTTAAGCTAATCCCCCACTAGAAAATTCAAAAACAATTTGCCTCTGGGATACCTCTGTTGCAGGGTGTGGGGTAGCTGGCAGCTTGAGAATTTTCTTGGGGAGTTGGGGTTTGCCAAAAGCGCAAACTCAATTGATTTTCCACAGCCAGAGTAGACCAGAACCTTCCCCAAGGAGAGGATATCATCACCTAGATAAGCCCATCTCCTTTCCTGCCCCCTGCCAATGGGAAGAAGGCGCTTGTCTTCAGTACCTTCTCCTGGAAATGGTATTTCTGCTGTATCCAGATGCAAAATGAGTTCTAAAGGAACAGCAAATGCTCCCTCCCTCCTTCCTTCCCTTTTTCCTTTCTTCCTTTCTTCTTTCCTTTCTCCCTCCTTCCCTTCCTTCTTTGCCCCTTCCCTCTCTTCTTCCTTCCTTCATCTCTTCCTCCCTCTCTCCTTTTTCCTTCTTCTCTTTCTCCCTCCTTCCTTCCTCCCTCCTTTCTCCACTCCGTCCTTCCTTTCCCACTTCTTCCTCACTCTCTCCTTCCTTCCTCCCTCCCTTCTTCCCTTCCTTCCTGCCTTCCCTCTTTTTTTCCTGGCTTTTTTTCTGTTTCTTTCTTTTTCTTCTTCTTTTTTCCCCAGAATCTCTTCTTTTTTCTTTTTTGACACTTCTTTCTCCATCTTTCTAATCACTACTTGTGCCACCATCTGTAATTTCCCCCATATCCCTGAAATACAGGAAATGGAAGCAGCGGTGCAGCGTATTCCATATTTATGACTTCTCAGTACATTAGAGCATCCACTGGCGCTGGAGAGCCCCCGTCTGAGTGCAGCTCGGTGGAAATGCTCTCTGTGCAGCCAAAAGAGGCCGGCTGGGGCAGGGGAAGCCTCGGAAGTATGCTAATCATGCCTCTCAAAGGCTTCCCATGAGGGCTCTACTTGGTCCTTGTTTTGAAAATGTATTTTTCCCTCTGCTTCTCTCCTTTACACGCATATATATTTTTGCCCTCAAAGCCAGATATTTGCTGTTCACACTAAGAGAGTATTATGAATATTCTGAATGCAAAGATAGCTCTGGGATAGGACATCAGGCACGGAGGTCGGCATGGGTGTACACAGCCCCTTTATTTACCCAGTGAGGAGGCAGGCTGCATTATCACAATGCTCTCCTCCACATCATACCCCGATCCCTCACATTAAACTCCTTGGCAACTGATTACTGATGACAAAAAATATATATACAGCTGTACAATTCCACTGGCTGCTAGGAATGTACAACCACAGACTACCTTTCCATGCTAAGGAACATGCAAGTGTGTGATGCATGTGTGTGCACATGTGTGCACATGAATTTGTGTGAGTGTGAATGTGCATGCATGTGTGTGCATATGTGTTTGTGTGAGTGTGAGTGTGTGTGTGTTGGAGCAAAATACTTGCTATTGTGGCAGTATAAAGGCAAAGTTTAAAAAGTGTCTCATCACAGTTCACTCTCGTGTTATTAAGGTGCATTAATCTCCAAAGTGAGACACACACAGGATAAACCAAAATATGACCCTAAGTGCTGAAGGCAAGCCAACGGACTTGGAAATAATCTGAAGACAGAAATATATAGGCAGCAAACATTTCAAGAGAAGGAGACTTGCCAGGAGGATTGATTTGAATACTCTGCCTGGAGATTTATTTTGCCTTATTGTCACAAAAGGCAATGCCCTGCCCCCAGCCACCCGCCCCCCGCTTCAGGCAGTGAAGGAGATGGCATAAAAACCTCTTTGACCGCGTGGCGATGGCTATGTCTTAGTAGAGGCTAAAAATGGATGAGAAGTATCGGAGAAATGAACTTCTGCGGTTTTCAAAAAACGGTTCAGAATAGATGAGCCAACTCCTTTACATGTTCAAAAGAAAGAGGGAACAATTTTGTGAAATGCTAAGGCAGTGCAAAGTGAATGTTAAATAGTTTTTATCCACCAAAAAAAAAAATAGACTTATTCAAATGCATGTCTTGCTTGTCTTTAACTAAAGTGAAATTTCTTAAATCCAGCTGTAGTCTTATGGGTGGTGGGAGGTGGCGGGGGTGGGGGACAGCAGAAGCACAGAACGTCTTCCTTGAACTGAACATCATGTCATTTTAAAAGCAGAGGCACACACGCTATTGATTTTTTTTTAATACAAATTTGGCAGATTTCACATGATCCATTACATTTCTCAGGACGGTTAAGATGCAGCTTGCATGATTTATTCAGAATAAGGTCCATTTTTAGCTATATTTAAGTCTCCTATTTGTTATTTAACATGTGTTTAATGTTTTCTGCCCCTGCTGTGCACAGCTGCAAGCTGCTATTTTTTGGCAATTTTTGTGACTGGGAAGTGATTTGTGTCTTTGCATCTCACCTTTCTATTCTGTGGGCCTGCTGTTTTGATTTTTTCCTAAACTTTGAAAAATAAGTTGCTCTGTGTCGCGACCTCTGCTTCACTTTGCTGGGCAAACAGGAAAGCTTAAAGAGTACAACCAACCATGACAGACCTCTTACAGAGTTTTTAGAACAACATCACTGGGAACTGAAATTTCAGGAAATTTATATTTTAAAAAATGCCAAGTTTTCCCATCCCAGCCCCTCAGAACGGATTGAAGCTAGCAATTTGGAAGAACGTCCGTCCTCCAGTGAGAATGTCTGTGGTGATTTAAGTTGATGCTGACATGATTCTGCAGGGCTTAGCCAGGTAGGAACCAATGTGGTACCTATCACCTATCGAGGGGAAAAGGCAGCTCCCCCCCATCCCCCACAACTGTTTTAGAAAACATACTCCAGGATTCTGGAGGCACGTGCCTCAGCAACATGCTTACTGTAACTGTCTCTCTGAATCCATTCTTCCCTGAAGGAGGGTATGCCACTCAGGGCTGTCTGTCCAGTGCCAGGTCAAAGATGCCCCTGAACCCTTCTCTTCCCCTGCACACCTGCCCAGACCAACACAGGAAGTCAGCAACAGACACACATTGCAAAGAACAGAGCATCAGGCTTGGACAAAGAGTAGTCCAACCAGCCTAGTTTGGACCTATCATATATAAGTAAAAAGTCTGTAAGTGTTTACCTGATTCCATCAGACACGACGATGGCACTGAGTGGCCCGGTGATTTATTTTTCCAAAGCCCAAACGATCCTGCTTAATATTGCTTGATATGTGCTAACCTTCCCTTTGCAGGGCCTGCAATTGAAAGCCATGCAGCAGTGGTTTAATCCTGGCCTCTTACTTATCTAAAACACACTCTCTGACTGTGCTGTGAAAATTGAATCTTTTCCCCACAATCTTACTGACATGAAAAATATATAATACAGTAAATGATTAATGCAGTTATAAACTATACCTGAGATAAGATTTAAGTATTCATATTTCTATCATGTTAATACAACACGATAAACCCATGAAGCAAACTTGACCGGGGCATTTGTTATTCTGTCCAGTGTTCAATTATTCTTTGTCCAAATACAATTTAGGGGCTTGCTGTAATGCAGTCACTTGGTGAACACATTATGTGCTTCTGGGAGATAATAAGCTACATCGATGGTCAGCCGAGGAGATCTGCTCCACAGAGACCCCTACCAAACACCAGGGAATATGAAGACAGATCGCATGGGCCCTGGGCCCGGGGACAGGCCCCCTGAAAAGATCATTTGCACCAGTATGCCAGCCTCGTTTCAGCCACCCTTCCTCCCTTTTATAAGAGAGTCTCCCGTTAAAGGCAAACTTATTTGCCGTAATCAAAAGGAAGCTTAACAATAAGTGAAACTGCTTAAAAGCTGCCTTCGCCTAACGCTGAATATGGTTTTTTTATCTGTGACTGTAGAGAAGCCATTTCTTTGTTGGCTCTAAATGGCCCCCATTCCTTCGTTGTGCAAATTGCTCACACGCGCCAATGTGCCATTTACCACCCACCTCATTATTTTTATACTTCCGATGATGTCGATTTTGATTTTCAAATGCCAGCCATTTATAGCTCATTCTAAAACACACACACAAAAATTAAGTGATTCACAATCTCTGCCATTAGCTGGGCTTTGGGGGCCTCTAAGTTGAGGACAAGCAGTATAGCACAGTGGCCACACACCTGCGTGTGGTGTCCCAGATCTGTCCCTCATTAGCTAAGAGACCCTGAAGAAGTTTCTTCACCTCTGTAAGTCTTAGTTTCCTGCTTAGGAAGGTAGAATCGTGCTTTCTACCTCTTAGGTTTGAAGGGCAATCACTAACAGTATGTGGCATGTAATACATCCTCAACAATTGTTAATAATCACTGTATGGTCATTATTTCCTGGGTCTCACTGCAACAAGTGAGCTGTCCGTGGACAACAGGCTCATTCTCAAAGCTATCTGCTCAAAGCTGGACAGGGACCCATGGTGCCACATCTTGCTCCATGGACTCTAGAAATTGCTGCTGCTTTGAGAGATGCTTTCTGCCCTTGGTATTCTGAATTCAGTGCCTGGGAGGAGAAGCACTTTTAAGGTCCTTGGGGACAGGCAAGGCAGAAGACATTTTGTAGGAGGCTCACTCAGTACCCTGCACAAGTGGATCTCAGTGTGGATGTGAACTCTAAGATATAGGGGCATTGGAAATGCAAATAGGTGTGATACAGTGTGTACACAATCTTCCTGGGAGTGTCTGCACACAGGTCCTATGATCCTCTTTAATTTATTTTATTTCTTTTTATTTTTTGAATTTTTCTCTTTTTAGAGACAGGGTCTTGCTCTATCGCCCAGGTTGGAGTGCACTGGTGCAATCACAGATCACTGCAGCTTTGACCTCCAGGGCTCAAGTGATCCTCCCACCTAAGCTTACTGAGTACCTGGGTCTACAGGTGTACAACACCACACCCAGCTAATTTTTAAAATTTTTATAGAGATAGGCTCTCACTATGTTGCCCAGGTTGATCTCGAACTCCTGGCTCAAACGATCCTCCAACCTCTGCCTCCCAACTTTCTGGGATTATAGGTGTGAGCCACCATGCTAAGCCTAAATCACTTTTAATTATGACCCGTCTGTAACAAAGCCAAGTCCCCAAGTACTGACAGAGAGCTCACCTGAGTGGGCCCTCAATGTTCTTCAAAATTAATACCAGGAGCATGGAAAACTCACGTTTTTTTGAATCTCTCTCCAAAGTCCAGCCCTCTGTGGTGGGAAATGGGGAATCCACCCCTCAGATTTGCCACGCAGTAGACAAGTTGTAAGGAGAAAGGGACCTCTGCGTTTGTTTGGGGCCAGGATGAGATGGGCCATTGGACTGGCTCCTGGTGGCCAGAGAGAAACAAGAAATCAGCCAGTCTCCTGGTCTACGGACAGGAAGAGACCTCGGGAGAGAAGTCAAGAAGGTTATTTGATAGATTGAATGAGCCCTCTCGGTGCTGGACTGCAATTACCTTAGGGTGGAGATTGTGAGGTGGAGGCTGTCTTCATGCCTACTCTATAGAAACTGACATATTAATGCTTCCCTTGTAGAGCTTCATGAAATCAGGTATTTCCACAACTGCCTTTCTAGAACAAAACAGCTTTACACACAGAGCCCTAGATCCTGATGGATGCTCTCAGTGAATACTAGCTTTTGTCAGAGTGAATTTCTTTCTTTCAATTGCAGGATCAGAAATATGTACTTTGGAAATATTGGGAATGACATGCTTGGCATCACCCTTGAATGTTCAGTATTAAGGAGGGCCCTACAGGGAAGGGTGCATTCAAGGCCCAGAGCCCAGCCCTCATCCAGCTGCTCGCTCACTGCTCCTTCAGGCTAGCAACCTGCATATCGCCCTTCGTCTGGGATTCTCTTTTCTTTTCCCAGACCTGGGAAGGAACATGCCTGTGTTTTCGTTCTATGAGACTCTGCCTATTCCCATAGGAGGGCTGGCCTTGATGTGGGCTGCTGGCTTGGACAAGAGGGTCCTCCATCCCCCCAAATCTCCCCTTTCTGCTCTTAGGTTTTGAAACATTTTTAACAAGGAAAGATATGTCTTGCTTCGTTGGTGAGATACTTTTAAAGTGATGTTAGTTTTGAAAAGGGTTCATTCACCAAAACTGAAAGGAGATTTTCTTCTAAGACTGTTCTTAGCAGGAGAAAGAGGAAGGCTAGAAATCCCAGGAAGGGTGCCATATTCCCAGCATCAGTAAATATTTGCTTAATAAATGAATAAATGACTCTGGGTGTCTGGCAAGGATGGATACCACAGGTCCTGAAAAGGACCTTCCCAGAGGCATTTGTTTCCTCTCCAGTAATGGGGAGAGTGCTAGGCATGGAAGAGGAATTCCATAAATGTTTGCTGAACTGAACTGAAGAAAAGGAGAGTCTAGCATGGATAAGTCCACTCTGCTGACTTCAAAAATTGATGCAGGTCTCTTGATGTCAGCCCCCCAAATACTTTCCCATCCTTCGACACACTGGCTCTGCCTTCATGCAGTGGCCACGATATTGTCCCTGCCCCTTTCTGGTTCTGACTCTTCCGACATTGTCAGCCTTGCTGTCAAGATCCTTCTCATGTCCATTGATTCCTGTGACTCTCATTGCATCCTCTCCTCAGTCCCTCAGTTGATAACTTTTAAACCTAATATCCATATTTCCCATGGTCATCCCATGGACACAGGCTGGGACCGCTCCCCAAAGCCATCTAGAAAGACCCCCTTTTCTCCCTTCTCCATCTTGACAGCAAACCATCAACCCAATGTTAAGGAAAGGCACAACCATCAGAACATTTTAGCAAATAACATAGGTGTAAAATTGTTTTGTGATCCAACCACCCTGGCTTGCCCATGACTGTCCCAGTTTAGCACTGGAAGTCCCATGTCCCTGGAAAACCGTTGGCTCTAGACAAACCTGGAGGGTTGGTCTGCCTGCCCAGCAATACCACAGCCAGAGTCTACTCCAAAAAAATAGACATAGATGTGTATCAAGACTTAACCAAGGCGCTTTTGCCAGAGCATTATTTTAAACATGAAAACACTGCAAATGGGCTAAATGTCCAACAACAAAGCAGCAGCTAATAACTATTATGTCTTTGCCATACAGTAAGCCACTCTGGTGCCATGACAAAGGACGTGCTGGAGGAAGGCTGGGAGATGTGGGGAATATGAAGAGGGATGTATAATATTGAAGCATAAATGATGCAGACTCAGGTGAAGGTGCATGTATTCTACATACAAAGAGTATACTTAGCACTTTGGGCCCTGGAGCCAATCCAGCTAATTAAATCATGGCTTTGCCCTTTACTAGCTATGTAATAGAGGGTAAATTACTTAATTCTTCCATGCCTTGGTTTCTTCATCTGTGAATGTGGTTAACAACAGCACCTACCTTATCAGGCAGTAGTGAGGATTTCATGGGTTCCTATACATAAAGCACTGGGAACAAAGACCAGCTGATAGAGTTTGGATATTTGTTGCTGCCTGTATTAGTATTCTCTCACGCCGCTCTAAAGAAATACCTGGGACTGAGTAATTTATAAGGAAAAAAGGGTTAAATTGGCTCACGGTTCCGCAGGCTCGACAGGAAGCATGATGCTGGCATCTGCTCAGCTTCTGGGGAGGTCTCAGGAAATTTACATTTATGGTGGAAGGGAAGAGGGGAGTGAGCACTTCACATGGCTGGGGCAGGAGGAAGAGAGAGAAAGGGAGGAAGCCCTACACACTTTTAGACAACCAGATCTCACAAGAACTCATGGGTGCAATGACAACACTGAGGGGGATGGTAATAAACCATTCATGAGAAACCCCCACCATGCAGGTGGTGGATCACCTGAGGTCAAGAGTTCGAGACCAGCCTGGCCATCATGGCGAAACCCCGTCTCTACTAGAAATACTAAATTAGCTGGGCATGGTGGCACATGCCTCTGATCGCAGCTACTCGGGAGGCTGAGGCAGGAGAATCTCTTGAACCTGCGAGGCGGAGGTTGCAGTGAGCCAAGATCATGCCATTGCACTCTAGCCTAGACAAAAAGAGCAAGACTCCGTCTCAAAAAAAAAAAAAAAAGAAACCCCTGCCATGATCCAATCACCTCCCACTAAGCCCCACCTCCAGCATTGGGGATTACAACTGAACATGAGATTTGGGCAGGGACACAGATCCAAACCATATCACTGTCCAAATGACAGTGCTGGAGTTGGGGCCTGGTGGGAGGTATTTGGATTATGGAGGCGGATCTCTCATAAATGGCTTTGGCCATCCTCTTGATGGTGAGTGAGCTCTTACTCTGAGTTCACAGGTGAACTTACACCTCCCCTACACACACACTCTTTCTCTCACTCCTGCTCTTGCATATGAGACACCTGCTCCCCCTTCACCTTCCACCATGAGTAAGAGCTTCCTGAGGCCTCACCAGAAACTGAGCAGATGCTGGCATCATGCTTGTACAAACTACAGAACCATGAGCCAATTAAACATATTTTCTTTATAAATTACCCAGACTCGGGTATTCCTTTAAAGCAATGCAAGAACAGCCTATCAAACTGGCACAGAATAGGCACTCAACAGACAGTTGCTGCTGCTACTGGTGGTGGTGGCAGTGGAGGAGGAAATGGTTATTGAGCCTGTGCCACATGTCAGGCTCAAAGCTAAACCCTTGTTGTGACTTTCTTCATTTAATCCTCATGGAGTCCCCATAATCCAGTTTAAGGAGTTGCCAAAGCTCCCCCACTGGTAAATTGTGAGCCATGATTCAAGCACAGGCCCTTAAAGTCATTACTGAGAACACCCGGCAGGGCACTGGCGAGTAACGTGTGATAGTGTTGCCATCCTCCATGCCCAGGCTAACTTAACCTTGGACAGGAGCATAACTGCTTGTCAGAATCTCATCCCTGCTGACAGTCATTAACTTTAAGGCAGCACAGAAGAGAGCATGTTAAGTTAAACTCAGACCTGTGCTTGTCAATTACAATGCCTTTAGAAAGATGCTACCATGATTCACGATGGACTCAACATGTTCATGTCGACAAGGAAGACTGGATGTCACACGCTGGACAAAGGTGGTGTAAACTGCCAGATTCCCAGTGATAGGCCAAGGAATTCCAAAGTTAGGAGAGCTCCAGGTGTCAAACTCATGAAGGACTTTCTCTCAGGTATTGAACATCTATCTGCCTAAAGCCTCCAACTGCCTTTCAAGAGAAGACCCTTATCTTCAAAGAAGACATGACTGAATTAAGGGGAAAAAGGTTACTCAAAAGTTTAATCAAATAGGAAATGCAGACCAATACCTAATATTCTTTGATGTGCTTCAAAGATAGGCAGTCAATCATGAAAGTGTTTGAAGAAATCGCAATCAAGATTACCAATGTGGGATTTGAAGAGGCAGCAGCTCCCGGGAAGTGGGGCATCACTGCTCATGGCCAAGAGTAATTGGACATAAAGAACGCATAGATTCAACTTTTGATAACTTCAATTGTGATTTAGAAGAACAAATCAGAATGAAATTGAATGGATAAATGAACATCTTATTGCGGGCTGAAACATTTTTCTGTTCAATTCATTAGTGCCACCCCATTCCCAAATAAAGAAGCTCTGATGTTTCTTATGACTAATGGTGTTGTAATATTTAGGAAAGAAGGAAAGAAGTGATGTGTTTGTGTGTGTGTGTGTGTGTGTGTGTGTGTGTGTGTATGATATATATTACCATATTGTGTTACATATTTATTAATTATATATTATTCTATTATATATCTCTCAAAAGATTATAATAATGATAATTATATTTGGGCAGTGAGATCATAGATGTCTTCAAATTTTTCCTTGTATCCTTCGTCTGAATTTTCTGCATTATCCTCACTGACAATGCCCAATTTCAGTAATAAGAAAACTCACACCGAAGAATGCAAAAATATCTGAAGCCAAACCTATGTAGTCCAAAGCTGTCTGCTTTCTAGTTTCTATGCTAAGCCCAACTTGCACATTCAAAACACCATTCCCGTTACATGCATGCAGTAATGTTTCATCAAAATTGCATCTGGAGTCATGTCCCTGGACACTGGGCTGTCAGGGATTAAGATGGGTGCCTCTAAATTCTGGGGGACGGGCTACCTATTGAGCCGTAGGTAGTGCCTGCATTTTGTTACCCATGGTGACAGCTGCCAATGTGTGAGTGAATGTGAAATGTCAAGTTCTTTGGCACCATTCCTGGAAGAATCTGTAATTTACTGGCTTCCTCATGTCACTGTCTGAAGTATTGCCTGGGAGACAGGCTATGACCCACCCTGGATCTTGGCCCAGCTTTCTTTAGGGTTCTCTGAAGGCCACTTTCCCATGAGGGTCCTTTGGTGGGAGCCCTTCCCATTCATTTTCCTCTTGCTTCGAATTTCTCCTGGGGAAGGGAATGGGGTCTCTGGCAACTTATTTTTTTTTCCTGCTTGTATTTCTGGGTGAAATCCCATGGAGGCACAAAGTGTGGAGCGGGGGATGCTGCTCGCCCCATCTTATTTTAAACCATGATAAGGTGGCAGGAGCCTTCAGCGATCAGGAAGGAAGAGACAACCGGAGAGTGGCAGGAGTGAGCAGAAATGACTCCAAAACGGCTTTGGTATTTGCTGGAGGCCTCACAGAGAGGATGCCTGCCAGTTTCGTTTTTATTTTTTATTTTTTAATACCAATTCAGTCAACACAAGCTAGGCAGTGTGTGGATCACTTTTTTTAATTGCTGCAAATGAAATGCATAATTAAATGCCATAAATTAAAAACTGACACTGGATGATCTCACTATGTCTGATCCAACAAAACAACTCACCCCAAAATGTGGAGAAAGCAGAAGCCTTCCTTCACTGATGTGCATTCTAGCCTCTGTTGAGGACATGCACTCCTGCAAACCTATAGATCCAGGAAAGGTCCTCAGACCTACCACCCCTGAAAATAGTGATGCACTGACCTCCTGTGTGCTCTGTGGCCAGTGGTGTGCACGTAGGAAAATTGCATGCTACAGATATTCTCCTCCCAAGCAAAGATTCAACCTGGTCAGACAAAAGTGACTGGTCAACTTGGTCAAACAACAAGACAATGAAATGACAGAAGAATGGAAGATAGACGTGGGCATGGAATAAGTTGTGAATCTAAAGTCTAGGCAGGCAGACACCCGAGTCTGAATCCATGGGATTAATACCAATTTGTGCAGTTCCATTTTGAATAATTGGCTAAGCCAAAAGTGTCCAGACTCATCTCATTATTAAATAGAACCTGAAGCAACATCAGCCCTGTTCTCTCTCTTAAACACCAAACTCAAAGTTCTATCAGTTGCATCCCTTTCTTTGCATGCTCAGGCAACACCTTAGTCAACATGGTCATGACCAAGCTCATTGGTTTCTGGCTTGGTTGATGGAAGAAAGAAAGCACGGTGTCTCCCTGAGCCCTCTGGTATCTACCCACCCCTAACACAAGTACACTACAAGTCCATGCCATTCATGGCACTCAATGGGCCTGCTGTCGTCTGCTCTTTTCACCTTCCTGCCTCTGGTGTTTCTCCTTTCCAGTGTGCCCTCCGCCATGATACCACCAGAGGTGGCTTTCTAAATGTGGGTTGGCACATTCCACCTTCTTCCTTGGAAATGCTTATTAACTCTCCCCTGGCTGTAGGATAAATCCAAAACCTGTCAATGTGCCCTTCGGGACTTTCTTGATCCTTCGACCTAGTAATAGTCAAGCCTGGAGGCTACAGCACCTTCCAGAGACCTGACCCCAGCCAGGAGAGAGAATTTGCCTTTGAACGGGCCATGTTCCTGGGCCTCGAGTGACCCCCCCGGGCAAAGGTATAAATGCAGGTGAAGTGCCCTTCCCTGGCACTCTTCACCCATCACAATCTTGTTCTTTGAAGGCTCAGCTCCCGTTAACAGACCTTCAGTTGGGCCAAGTCCTGGAACTACTACACCATGGGAGAATCACCCTCTGCAGCTGGCTTATTACCTGGTGGGACTGAACTCCCTGAGGACAGGGATCATTTTTAACTCATTTTTTTTCATCTTGTCATCATCCAGCATACAAATCCGGGAGACTCAAGAAATGTTTGTTGAATACACAAAACTCTGAAATAATCATAGTCGTACATTGCTTAATGACAAGGATATATACTTTCTGAAGAATGTGTTGTTAGGCAATTTCATCATTATGCAAGCATCATAAAGTGGACTTACGCAAACCAAGATGGCAAAGCCTACTCCACACCTAGGCTGTGCGGTATAGTCTATTGCTCCTAGGCTACAAATCTGTACAGCATGTTACTGTACCAAGTACTGCAGGCAATTGTAACACAATGGGAAGCATTTGTGTACCTAAACATATCTAAACATAGAAAACATACATTAAAAATATGGTATACAAGATAAAAAATGGTACACTTATATAGGGCACTTCCCACTAATGGAGCTTGCAGGACTGGAAGTTGCTCTGGGTGAGTGAGTGAGTGAGTGGTGAGTGAATGTGAAGGCCTAGGACATTACTGTACTGTACTGTAGACTTTATAAACCTGTACACTCAGGCTACACTAAATTTATATTTTAAAATGTCCTTCAATAATAAATGAACTTTAGCTTACTACAACTTCTTTACTTTATAAACTTTAAAATTTTTTTAACCATCTTTTTTTCTTTCTTTCTTCTTTCTTTCTTTCTTTCTTTCTTTCTTTCTTTCTTTCTTTCTTTCTTTCTTTCTTTCTTTCTTTCTTTCCCTACTTTCCTTTCTTTCCTTTCCTTTCCTCTTTCTTTCTTCCTTTCTTTCTTTCTTTCTTTCTTTCTTTCTTTCTTTCTTTCTTTCTTTCCTTCTTTCCTTCCTTCCTTCCTTCCTTCCTTCTTTTTTTTTTGATAGAGTCTTGCTCTGTCGCCCAGGCTGGAGTGCAGTGGCACAATCTTGACTCAATGCAACATCTGCCTTCTAGGTTCAAGCGATTCTCATGCCTCAGCCTCCTGAGTAGCTGGGATTACAGGCAGACACCACCATGCCCAGCTAATTTTTGTATTTTTAGTAGAGATGGGGTTTCACAATGTTGGCCAGGCTGGTCTCCAACTCCTGACCTCAGGTGATCTGCCCACCTCAACCTCCTAAAGTGCTGGGATTACAGGTAAGAGCCATTGTGCCTGGCCTAACTTTCTGACTCTTGTAATAACACTTAGCTTAAGACACAAACACATTGTACAGCTATACAAAAATATTTTCTTTCTTTATATCCTTACCCTGTAAGCTTTTTTCTATTTTTAACTTTTTTTAATTTTTTATTCTTTACTTTTTAAACTTTTTTGTTAAAAACAAAGATACAAACACACACATTAGCCTAGGCCTACACAGGGTCAGGATCATCAGTATCACTCTCTTCCACCTCCGCATCCTACCCCACTGGAAGATCTTCAGGGGCAATAACATGCATAGAGCTGTCACCTCTTGCAATACCTGTGGTAGCAATGTCTTCTTCTGGAATCCTTCCGGAAGGACCTGCCTGAGGTTGTTTTACAGTTAACTTTTTTTTATAAGTAGAAGGAGTACATCCTAAAATAACGATGACAATTATTGTATGGTAAATCTGAAAACCAGTAACACAGTCATTCATTATCATTGTATTATGTCCTGCATATAATTATATGTGCTACACTTTAACACGACTGGCAGTGCAGTAGGTATATTCACACCAGCATGGCCACAAACACAAGTGATGCTTTGCTACGACTTAAGGATGGCTACGATGTCACCAGGAGACAGGAATTTTTCAGCCCCACTATGATCTTTTGAGAACACTGTGGTACATGCTGTCTATCTTTGACCGAAACATTGCTATGCTATGCAAAACATTGCTAAAGTATAGAACATAATTATATGTGCTAGACTTTCATACAACTGGCAGTGAAGTAAGCTTGTTCACACCAGCATGGCCACAAATGCGAGTGATGCCTTGTGCTATGACCTTAGGATGGCTCCTGTTACCAGGAGATAGGAATTTTTCAGCCCTATTGTGATCTTATGAGACCATCGTAGTACATGCTTTCAGCACTGACCAAAACATTGCTATGTGGGGCATCAGCAACTCAGACAGGAAAAAGTTATAATTCCTGAGAGCAGTACCAGGTAACTGAGGCCATATTCTGAAATCAAAAATACCAGGAGGCCTGGGTATTTGCCTCCCCTCTCTTCCCTGCTCACCTGGACCAGACAGGCTGCTGCAAACCCTCAGTCTTCGGATGGACTTGAAGCTGTCAGTCTGTGGCTCTGTCAATCACGGGCCTTTCGAAAAGACTCAAATTCATTAGGAGGGGAAAAAAGCCTTTAAGAAAATGTTGTCAGAAAGAATCAATCAGTTTAAACATTTAAAAGTAAAATGTGCGTCAGTTAGTCTCCATGGGAAGGTTTTCATATTGCAGGGCATTCCCTCCTGGAGCCCCGCATTCTGAAGTTTCCTTCTGAGGCTCGGCTGCTCTTGAGGTGAGGGCAGGGGAGGAGGCAGCAGCAGCCTGTGAGCTGGGGGTGCTGAGGCTGAGTGAGAAGTGGCCATGTCATTCTCTAGCACTGCACATCTCACATGGATATAAAGAGATGACATGGTTTCAGGTTCTTTATCAGTCAGGGTAGAGCATAATTATTTGATCTTGTTTTCTGGCTGGCATTGGAGTATCCTATTCATTCCTCTTTTTATTTATTTATTAGAGACAGGATTTCCCTCTGTTGCCCAGGCTGGAGTGCAGTGGTGTGATCAGATCACAGCTCACTGCAGCCTTGAACTCCCTGAATCAAGGGATCCTTCCACCTCAGCCTCCTGATTAGCTGAGACTACAGGTGTGTGCCACCACACCCATCTAACATTTTTTATGTTCTATAGAGAAGAGGGTCTTACTAAGTTGCCCAGGCTGGTGTCAAACTTCTGGCCTCACGTGATACTCCTGCCTCAGCCTCCTACTGTTCTGGGATTAAAGGTGCCACTCACTGTGTCCAGTCTCTATTAATTCTTCTTGAAAAGAGAGAAGAAAAAGAGAAAGAAGGAAGGGAAGAAGAAAGGAAGGGAGGGAGGGAAGGAAGAAGGAGGGGAACAAGGCAAATAAAGCAGGATGAAAGAGAGGGAGGGAGGGAGGGAGGAAGAAAAGAGGGAGGAAGAGAGGGGAGAGGGGAGCAACCTTCATCCATTTGCACTTGATGACGATATAGGCTCCCCACTTTGTGCTCTCTGAGTGGCTCTCCCAGCTAGTTACCACTGGCTTCATTTTTGTGGTGCAGAGGTGTTAAATAACTTGCTTGAGCACATGCGGCTAGATGGAAAGCATACTCAGAATCCACTCTTTTAACACATTTTGTTTTGAAAATGCAAAAAGGTAGAAATAAAGACAAGTAAAAGTGGAAATACTCTCTTCAGCCATGAGGTATCTTTCCAGATATAATGGGGCACAACAGACCACCTTTGGAATAGAGTTTGGAGGTGGGGCTGGGGATGAAGTGGTGGGAGAAGGATTTTTTGGAGCGAAGAAGGGGGCTGAGGATTCCACCTGACACCCTTCTCACTGGGTCAGCATCCAAACAGTCCCTGGGATGGCTTTCTTGGGTGAAAATTAGTTTAAAAATCCAATTGCATACAATTTTAAGTAAAGGGACAATTTCTCGAAACATCAGAGTAAAACCCAACCAATAGAGTAAAAAACCAAACCAAACCAAACCAAACCAAAACAAAACAAAAACAAATCTTCAAGTAGTTTCTTCTATTGGTCTCTTGGAAACTCAAATCTTCACTTGTCAGCAAACCAAACAGCTGCCTACATGGGGAGCTTTCAAAAGCTTTAGCAAGTACCATGTTCTGGTTTCCCTCTCCCAGTGAATTTCCTTAAACACCTCCCCAGCCAACCAGAAATTCCACCACTGGATATGACGGTGGCCTCGACTTTTACTTTTGTTCACATGCAAACATCTTAGCAACAAACAACTTACATGTTTTCGGTCCCGACGTGCTTGTCAATGCAGGAAAGTAGCCTAGAAAGGAGAGTATAAAACATGAAAAGGAAAGGGAAGCATAAGCCAATGACATCCAAGGCTGAAAGAGAGTGGAAAGAACCAAAAACTGATCTGACATCCCTCCATCTCTCTTTCTTATATAATAAAGTACTTTCTTCATGGCTCACCACAGAGCAATCCAACATGGCACCCAGGTAAGTCATCATCAGGGACAGATACAAAGGAAAATAAAATTGTCCACAGAGAAATAGAAAAGGCCTGGACATGCCCTCCTCTCCAGCAGGCTGCCACCATTAAGAACTGCACCCTTCCCTTGGCACAGCTGGTGAGTCCAGGGGACTCCAGGCCTCCGTGGTTACTGTAGCCCCTCTTAATCTCATGAGGATGTGACACAGGGTCGGCTTGCTTTGGAAGTGAACGGGGGAGAAAAGGGACAGTCAAATATCTGTGACTGATATTTAAATTTAAAACCAATGCTATTTTATTTATTCATTCATTTGATTTCTTTAAAAAATTACCATAATAGCTAGAAATCCCATTGGCTGTCTTGTGTGTGCATGCACACGTGTTCTGGCACACGCACACACACAGGTTACATTTTTAGGGTACCCAGTTCTTTTCTAAGCATCCCGGAGGCTCTGAATTGAAAAGGAACTTAAAGCTATATAAATATTCTTCAAGGCCTATATAAAGAATAGGGTCCCCGCCAACTAGTCACTTACTCTTCGCTTGATCACTTCTAATAATAGGGAACTCACTACTTCCGCATGCAGCCATGCTTCCTGTTTAGACAGCTGACTGTTAGATTTTGACTTAATATAAAGATGAACTTTCTGTTTCTCCACTTACTGAATGCTTTTGGCATTCCAGGCACTGAGCTAAGCCTTCCACACATATCATCTTTGTCAATTATATCAACAGCCCTGTGAGACAGGGATGGTTTTACAGAGAAGGAAACTGAGGCTCAGAGAGACAATTTGCTGAAGATCTCATTGTTAGTTAGTGGTCAGGTTGGGGTTTGGTCCTAGGTCTCCTGGCTTCCAAATTCTCAGGATTGAATAGTGGGCTTAAGCTTCCATCCTATCAATGGTCCGGCATCATAGAGCCAGGCTAGTTCCCCTTCCCATGGAAAGCCCGGTAGGAGGATAAGAAAAACTCTCCCATCTTCTCTTTCTGTTCACCTCCACCCCTACCCTTCCCTGGAACCTCATCTTTCACAGGGTAAATAGCCCATTCCCCAAACCAGCAACCTTTTCCTAAGCATGTTGTAAGTGACCTTTGTGAATGTCACTGTGGAGTAAACAAATAACATTTGTATATTTTCCATGGTGGTCACTTCCTGCCTATGCTGTCCTCAGGAGCAAATGACAGAGGTGCAGTCCTCAAACAATCACCACCTCCTTAGTGTCTCGCAGCCTCTTCTCGTTGGGCCGGGAGCAGGGCCTGCAGCATATACATTTCATCTAGCTGATACCTCCTCTGTGATCTCTCCTGCCAACTGGACTCTGAGGTCCTTAAGGAAGGCTTTATTCATCTTTGTTCTGGCAACACCTGGCAGGGCTCAGGTACACAACTGAAGCTCAACACCTCTCTGCAGGAGGAAGGTATGAAAGGAGAAAGGAAGAAAGGGAGGGAGAAAGGGGAGACAGAGAGAAGGAGGAAAGGAAGAGGTAGGAAGAAAGAAATGGCGGAAGAAAGAGAGGAAGGAAGAAAGGAAATAAAGAAGGACTCAATTAGGGGTAAAATTACTTAACTTTTATGAAAGGAAAGCCATTCATATAAATAAAGTCACTTCCTCTTATAGGAAAATACAAAAAGATTTGGGATATAATCATTGGCTGATTATAGAGATAACCTAGTGATATTCTACCATTTGGAAAACTACTTTTTAGTTCTTACTGGTCAAGTAGTAAATCGGAAGTATCCAAATCACAATCATTTGTTTGTTCTTAAAAATCTAAATTAAGGCCGGGCGCGGTGGCTCATGCCTGTAATCCCAGCACTTTGGGAAACTGAGGCAGGTGTATCACCTGAGGTTAAGGGTTCGAGACTAGTCTGGCCAACATGGTGAAACCCTGTCTCTACAAAAAATACAAAAAATTAGCCGGGCGTTGTGGCGGGCACCTGTAATCCCAGCTACTCGGGAGGCTGAGGCAGGAGAATTGCTTGAACCTGGGAGGTGGAGGTTTCAGTGAGCCACTGAAGAGATCATGCCGCTGCACACCAGCCTGGGCAACAAGAGCCAAACTCCATCTCAAAAAAAAAAAAAAATCTAAATTAGGTAAATTAGAAATTTTTCAAAAAATGAAAATAAGTGTTTGAATCTCCAACTGCTTTTGAGAGGTTGGCAGTTGTGGCCAGTCATTTCTTCCTGGCAAAAGCTGGCTGAAGTTGAGCGGCACATGCTGGTATAGAAGGAGCTCCTGACCCTGGGTTCATGATGGACCCTGCCCAGACCCCCACACTTTGTGTAATTCCTGTCTGTCCAGGGAGCTGTCTGCAATGGTGGCCTCTGTCTTTCATCTGTGTGTGTTATTTTCACACTGAGTGAAAGTGAAACAAGTTCATTCATTCTTGTCCATGGATCCTTGCAAATCTCCAGCTCTGAAATCCTTTAATTCTAAGTCTTGTTCTTAAGGTGCCCAGGAACCACCAGCACTGGCCAGCCACACAGAAGGCAGTCCCTGCAACCTTGCTTAGTGACGGTGCTGAGCCCTCCACTTACCAGCTCCATTTATGAATGCTAGTATTTAAGGCCTGAGATCTTATTTTCAAATAAATTGCAGCACACCAAACTGAGTTTTGTTTTGGGAATTTGTGAGATTGTCTCAAGACTAGCCCCCTAATGTGGGGCCAAACAGCAAGGACAGAAAAAACATCAGGGTTCCACCGTCTCCCAGTCCCCCCAAAGCCCTGGACTATCTGAATGTGACAAAACTAACTTGTATTCTCAAATGTCCATCCTACACATCCCCAGCCCCTGTCTCACCTGTCAGTCTCTCTCAGTTAGTTTGCAAGGAACACAAAATTGTATATAGAGTCTGAAAGTGAATAGACTATGCCTTCATGGCATGGCCTTATTGGTGAAACCCCAAGGTCAAGAGGCAGGAGAACCCACAGCACCTCTGCAGGCAGGGATGCCTTCCTGAGGCTCAGTTTTGGAGACAGGCAGGCGCTTTATGGGGCCTGTTAGTGGGCACCATATACATCAGATGACTCAGTCCGCTGTGTTCCTCTTGATGCCGCTGAACTGCTTGCAAGACGATTTCTTTGAGCTTCCTTCCTCCCTTCGTCGAGCAGAGGGGGTAAGTCAGGGAACGCTTTTATGTGGCTGCTGCGTTTCCAAATGTTCCTCTATGATTGACAGCTCTGCATTCAGCTTCCCATTATGGCACCTGCAGATAATGAGATATCTTGAAACCGGAATTTCCAGCGCCTGAGCCTGCCAGGAATATTATCATCAGTGTTCTAGAAAGCCATTCCCGCTGCACACATGACCTCTACAAATTTGAAATGTCAAAACACAGCCAGGAGCTGAAACCAAGGCCACTCCAGTCCAAGTGGCTATTGGCTCTTGAATATACAGGAAGGAGTCCTCTATCTTGGGAGAATTATGGATTACCAGAAAATAGTGATCTTTTCATTAACCTATATGTATTTAGAATGTAGATAATGTCTGTCTTTTATCATTCGCATAGCCTGTGTGTGGGGGGACCTGAGAAATGAAGGCCTGGGCATTCCCCAGAGAATCCAGGACTCTTTGGGGGCTAACTCAGGCCATCAAATCTCCTCATCCTCAGTGGCAATCTGGGGCTTAATTTTGTAGACGTTATAGCCACCTAGACCTTGTTGTGTTATCAAAGAGGATAAAGGTAGAGGAAACTCAGTCCTACCTTTGGAATTGGAAGTTTAATCTTCTACTTGTTCATTTTCTTCTGTCTCTTTCACTTGGGCTACAAGCTTAGAGTCCTCAGCACAAGGGGGTTATGGGCTCACCTGTCTACTCAACTGAGCTTCTGGTCTGTGCCATTCACTATGTTGTGTGCTTAATATGAATTAGATATTTTAGGAGCTTGCTATATACAGACGGTGGCACTTGGTGAAGGATTTTGTTATCACCCTCAACAGGGAGAAGCAGAGGGTCAGGTGACTGATGGGGGGTAGAAGGAGGAAAAGGGTATTTGGAGAGCCTGCTCTTGGAGCTGGGCTACAAGGTTGGGTGGGATTTTCTTACAGGCATAAACTGATGAGAGTGAGGGTCATGGATTGACAGGTTTTACATGCAGATGGTTGCTCATGAACAAAGTCCTGTAGGTCTAGAAGTACATGGCACATCTTGGGGGCAGCAAGAGGTTGGGAGGGCCTGGATCACAGAGGGGCTGCACACAATGGGAGACCTGGCTAAAGAGGGCAAACAGGCCCTCCCAACAAAGGCCCGAGAGCCAGCAGGGCTGGGCCATTTCCCCAAAGTCTGAAGACTCGGAGTCTGTAGAAATGGCTCTTACAACCTTTATCTCTTTCTTCCTTTCCATGTTGTTGATAGGCCAGTCTTCCCTCCCTCTCCCCAGTTCTCCATCCACGGCAGAGTTGACCCTATAGCTAGGTTCTAAGGGCAGACACAGAAGCCACATGCGGCCACCTTCAAGAGCTCTTCATCGTTCCATCAGAGCGACTGGTTCAGGATGAACTATGACCCAAATTGGGCCACTGAGAATCAGCCTTGAGATTTTAGCTGGTGTCTTCATGAGCCAGGTCTGCTATTTCCACAGAGATTTCTAGGCAGGCAAAATAGAAGCTTGGCACTGCTGGTGGTCATCTTGCACTGCCTGGAGAAAGATGAGCTATGGATGTGCCAGTGTGGAGGAACGCAGAGCAGAGATGGGAAAGGTGGAGTTCTCCTGGTGTCATTCAGCACCTGACTTCAGCCATTTCTGAAGCCAGCTTCCATCCCTGGATTGTACCCTGGGAGATGATACATTTTTATTTATGTATTACTTGAAACAAGTTTTAGTTGAACTTCTGTCTCTTGAAACCACAAATAATCATAGTATGTGTAACAGCACGCATTGGCATAGCAAGTAGTCCTGTTCTCACCACAATGGCTTTGGGGATAACGCATTGGTACCTGATTGGATATTGAGATGAGGTATTGCACAAACAGTTGAAGGCTATGCATGCACATTTTTCTAGACACTTCACTACTTTTCTACTCACTTGGTCTCTCTCTAAGACCTCAGACCCTGCTGACAGGTGCAAAGACATCCACTCCATTCCCTCAGTGCAGATCTTCTAGGTGTCCACAAGAGAAGCCCATTAGGACCCCAAAACTCAGAGCTAGCAAAGCAGAAAACTCAGACCAGTTACTCCAAGTGGAGCTACACACTCAGGAGATCTCCGTGGACAGGTTCAGAATCCCACTGAAGACCCGGTCTAGCCCAGGTCAGCATGGGCAGACTCAGGAGTGGGAGCCTGCTCTGGGTGGAAGCCCAAGTGGTCCAGAGGTGTCCCCTGCAGGGGGGCCTCTAGCTAAACTGGGTGGGACCTCTTCCTCCTTCCTCTTGGAGGCTTTGGCTACATGGGGGAGTGAGCAATGGGCCTCCTGCTCCTCCGGGAAGCAGATATGGCTGAGGCCTGCCCTCCTCCAATGGGGCCTGGACAGCAGGCTTTTCTCAGCACATGAAGACAAATTCAGCCCAGAGGGTTTCTCTCCTGGTTAAGCTAAGGATATGAAGTTGGTCAGGGAGGACGAACCACATTCTTAAAAGGCATCCTGAATAAAATGGCTCAATAACCACAGAAGATTGGAAAATCATATTCCAGTGCCTCAGAACCCCCACCACACATGCACACATATATACACAGGCACACATACATATATGCACACACATGCACACATACATACACACATAGGCGCAAACATAGACATATATACACCTATAGACACATGTTCACACATACACACATGCACACACATATATGCATGCATACACATGAACATATAGACACACACATACACATGTAGACATAAACATAGACATACAGACACATATAGACACATATGCATGTACACGTATACAAACACACATGCATACGTGCACAAAGACACAGTGCACACACAGACACATACATAGACACATCTACACATATAGACACACACAAATATACACATAGACACATATACACATAGACAAACACACATATAGACACATATACACACATAGAAACAGACATACACACTGAGACACACATATACACACATACACACATAGACACACATACATTCATAGACACACACTTACACATATAGACACATCTATACACATACAGACACCACAAATATACACATAGACGCTATCCACACATAGACATGTAAACATACACACATAGACACACACAATACAAAGATACACACATACACATACTCACATAAAAACACACATGCATACACAAAGGCACAGAGACACACAGACACACACATAGACACACATACGGACACATACACACAGATACACAAACACACATATACACATGCACACAAACATACACAGAGACACGCACACACACACAGCCACACACAGAAACACATATAGACACAGGCACATAAAACACAAGTACACACAGATACACACTAACACCAATATCACACACACACATACACACACACTACTTTCTAAAGACTCGAAGGAGTCCTATCAGGGAAAATGCACACGACTTGTCTGTCAGGCCAGCTGGCCCTAACAATGGAGGCGTGTGTCCCCACTGAATAATTGACCTTACCCCAGGATCCCCAGAAAGCTTTTTTTTTTTTTTTTTTTTTTGTTTTTCTTTTCCTCCCAATAGCATCTGAGGACAAAGAGACACTTGCAGTAGCGGAACAGGCCTCTCCGGGTAAAATTAGAACTGTCTCTAGAAAGGTGCACGCATGTGCTCCAACATACAGCAAATAATTTATTGTCAGGTGCAATTCCCCTGCTTGAAGATCGGGTGGCTCTCTGGCCATCCACGCCAGACTGGAAAGCAGTGTCCCTAGTCCCCGGATCCTGTCCAGCTGAGCGTAGACGGCAGTAGCCAGGGACTGGCAGCACAGGCTGTGTGACCGGGGCAGGGCTGGGAGAGAAAATGGCCGCCCTGTCGCCAGGTCCTTCTGTGTGTGGCCCTGTCAGGAAGGAGCCGGAGCTCCGGCCGGGGCTGGCTGGCTCCCGCTAAGTACTAACGCCACGGTGGCGGTGGGGGACAGGAGATGAGAGACAGAACAGGGCAGCTGCAAATGGAAATCACCCTAGGGAAGGTTACAACTAGATAAAGTTTTCGACAATAAGATTCCAGAGACTGCTGACGGGAGCAAAGCTCCGTATTTTAGTCTCAGTACAAATTTGCTTCAATCTTATACAACTCCCATGCAGCATTGCCCACAGCTGCATGCTGTAAACAACAAACAAATCTATTTCCATCAGCCCTGCTGATGCCAGGAGAAAAGTGCCTGAGCAGAAGACATGCACAGATGCAAACCCTCACCTGAGCCTGGCGCTGCCCTCCATTTGGCCTCTCTAACTTAATATCGTTGTTACAAAGCTATTGGTCTCCTGGTAGCTAGCTGGCTCAACGCAGTGCCTCTTCTTCCAGCTAATCTGACAACTCCGATCCAAGAAGCATCAAGGGCCCAATTAAGAAGACACATCTTATCAAGGAGCTTATTTTGCATAACAGAATACAAATGACGAATAAAAATTTAATGTTTAATAACTTAGTACAAAGAGGGCTGTTGATATAGAATGCCTGGAATTTTTATGGAGGCTGTCAGACTTGTGATAAAACTGTTATATAGGAACACTTGGCAAAAAACAGCGTAGAATTTTTCAGTAATGGTGTGTGCATGATATTGCATTAATTCTTGATAGGGAACTAACTGTAAGCCAGTTTGAGTTTCAGTGTAAGATGGTGTGTGTGTGTGCGTGCGTGTGTGTGTGTGCATGCGCGTGTGTGTGTCGTGCTCTATCCAGAATGCTCTGAGGGTGTGGCTGGACATGCACCCATGCCTTTATGGAGGAGAATCAAAGTGCATTTTATTGAGGACTTTGCAGAGAAGTTGCTCAGTCCTGCATAAGACATCTGGGTGTGTCTTATCTAGAACAGAAATGGCAGGAAATGAGTGGGGTCACTTTCTGTAGTAACTATCCTGACACCAAGAGTTGGGCAGGATTCTTAAGGGTTGCTTGGGAGCATTGGAAATTCTCCATGACCTCTGTATGAGGGTGAGTGTGTGACACGGAGGAACAGTGTGTGGGAGGGTGCCTCGCTAGTCTCTGGTCTCCGAAATTTGATCCCTGGAAGCAGCTAATAGAGATATGCACAAAAATTCATGCCTGAGCTGGATACTTATCGACTCCGCAGAGCTTTCCTATTGCTTTAGCCATGAGGACATCTTTCAATGATGCTTTCATTCAAATATTTACTGACACCCTAAACTTGGCTCAGCTCTGGAAGGAAAGCCACAGTTCTTCCAGGCCCCTCTAGAAAGCGGGTCTGTGGCCACAGGATTGACTCTTGTCTCTGCCACGCACTACCTGCAAGATACTTGAACAAGTTACCCGACTTCTCCAAACTTCCATTTCTTCAATGTAAATCGAATTATGAATGGTACCTACCTCTCTGACTTAAAGTGATCACCCAGCCTTGGCATTTAGCACGGAGTCGGGAGCACAGGAAACTCTGGATGTATATCAGCCTTCTATCACGTTATCGATGCATTTCAGAGCAATTGCATCTCCCAAGCTTTGGCCCAGAGGAGCATTGGTGTCCACACTCTGAATGGCTTTAGGCTGATTGGAAAAATTCTTGACATTATGGCTGTGTCTCCACAAAATTCCAAATGTCTGTCGAGAGAAATTGAGCCTTCATCTCTAGTAATGCTTTATTTTTAAAGTGGCCATTAACTAGGGCTAAACTCCTGCTGAATTAGAGAGGAACCCTTTCAGATAGATGTACATATCACATCTATATGAATGCAAGATGAATTTCATACTCATCCTGTCCTATTGCATTAGTGTTATTACATTGAATACTAAATGAATTTCTAATGATTGGACACTCAGAGGAAAATGTGACCCTTCACAGTAGTCGTCAAACTCTATAGGTGGATTGGAAATTGTCCGGTGGGGGCTTATCCTACTGGCAAAAAGAACACACGACCCAAAACACAACCTTAAACATTATTGTGTGGGCTACTGGAAAGCATAATTTACTTGATGAGGCTAATATTCAAATGCAAACTTATATTAGAATTAACACTACAGGAGGGGCTTTTACATGGAGGATTTGTTACAGAAATAAAATCTATCGGTAACACTTTCATTGTTCCATCATTATGATCTCATTTGGTATTCACTGTAATGGCACCGATCATAATGAATTTGTTTGATATTCATGTGGTTCTCCCACACATTAACAGAGTTTCTGTTATAATTCACCATCCAATAAGCATTAGTTAATGCAGACTTTAGACCAATAAAGATGGTCTATCCCACCCCTAGAGTTGCCTGGAGCTGTCTAAGAGTTCAGGGACATTTTGATATTGAATGATCCTCCTGCTTCCTCCTGGTTCCCATGCCATCCCTCAAGCTGGAGAGGGCTTTCTGAATCCCAAACTGGACATAAACAAGAATGGTCTCCATTTAGTTTTTGGAGCCCAGAGGAGCAGTTGGAGCTGCACCCTTTGATGCCACCAGTTCAACCCTCACAGATGTGGACTGTAGAATTACCCTCCTTTCTCCCTGTCTCACTGGGACTCCATGGGGGCCCAGCTAAACAATGCTCCCAGCAAAATGCTACTCATGCCAGAGTATATAAGCCAGTCCACTCTCCAAAATAACTTCCTACAAAAAATTTCAGGGCTGTGCTTTGGCGTTTGGACAAATGTTTACTCTGCCTTGGATCCCTCAGCCAGGGAGTGAAGCCAGTTTCTCAGCAGCTCTGACTCGTTGGCAATCAAGTACCCCAACCCCAGAGAAAATAAAATCTGACTGATACTGGCCCAGTTACTTCATCACTTGTCAGGGCACTGGGTGAGAGCTCTCTATTAAACTCTCTGGTAATTAAACTTGTGAAATGTCCCTATGATGCTTCTTAGTAATGGGTTTACCTGAGTGCACTGTCCAGGAGGGACTTGCCTTGCCATGCCACTGGGAGGGATGGTTCCATCCCTAACCACCACTCTTTCTGTTTCAATTGCCCAAATATTTATTACAAGGAATGGCAAAACCGCAATTGCTTTTGCACCAAACTAATAATACTCATCCAGTACTTCTAGAAAACTTGTGAGCCAGCATCAATTTTCAAGAGCAAGGTGCTGCCCACGATTATCTTGAAAATAATGTCTGATCAGTTTCTTAGTACTTGGAGAACTCTGACCTCCAGGCTAAGGGCATGATGTGCAAATCCACACTCCTTAAATCTTCAGTGCCTTTTGCAAAGACACACTCTAACCCCAGGCCTGAGGTAAGAGGACAGGGAAGCAGGTCTTCTAGTGCCTTTGTAAGGGATGCCGGTATGGTGAGCAAGCATGTACACAATCCAAAGAGGTGGGGCTTCCTGTCCTCCCAGAAAGAAGTGAATCCTCAGGAGGATTTCTCCCCTGGCTATCTGAGCGTCTTTGGACAAGTTGCTTGCCCACTGGCAATCAAATGAATTAAATGGCCCAGTGATCCTCAAAATAAACTTTTCCATCTGTAAAATGAAGATAATATAATAGTTGCAAAGATTAAGGAACCTAAGGTATGTAGAAATAGCACTCATCCAAGCTCTAACATAAAGTCTGGACTCAAACTGCACTAGAATTCAAGATTATTGCATCAAACAGCACGTTAGCATCTTAGCTGGAAACAGATGTTCCTGCTCCAGGCTGCCCCCACAAGTCAGGTTTGCTGGGCCTCTTTCATTGTCTCTGCAATGTGGAGTTTCTTTTGCTTCAGAGTTATCCTCACGGCTGTGATTCTCCAGCATCTGTAGCTAGAAAGGAGCAATGCAGAATCCTGGGAGGTGGATGGAAGCTGCCTCCCTCTGCAGTGTTAGGTAGAAGTTCCTTGGATTGCTTGGGTAAATGCAATGATTTCCTTCTGCCTTAGTCTTTTGTTGTTGCTGTTGTTTTTCTCTCCAATGTAGCAATGATTTCCCATTTTAAAATATTAAGCCACTAAGCTGTAAGAGAAACAAACTCCTTTGGGCATTTTTAACATTACCTCAGCAGAGGAAGAAATGTCACATGGTCCTATACCGCACTGTCCTCAAAGGGAATGTATGCCTGGCCCCAAACATAGCTTCCTCCTTAGCAGGACACAAACAAAGCAGCTAAAGATGGAGGTTAAGGCCAGTCGACTGCTTCCAGGTAAGCCGCCCTTGTAGTCCCTGGGATGAAATAGGGCAGGCACCAGAGGCCCTGGGCTGGTCTGCCCTAGTTTTGTGGGTTCCTGTCAGGTCCTCAGAGTTATTTAGCATAGTTTTGGGTGAGATCAGTTCACATAGAGTGCAGTATAAATACCATCCCCAATGTGCCAAGAAGCAGTTCACGAGGTGTGCCCTCACCACCAGCCCACAAGTCACGCTGATGAGCTCCGCGTAACCTCACCTTGAATTAGTGAACTGCGACTTGAAAACCATCCTTCAAGTGTGTACAATTTTTTTCATTTTTTTATTTTGAAGAGACACCTACTTGAGAGAATTCCTCTCTGGAATTTAAGAAATAATGAATGTGGACCTCACCAGCCCCTGGCCTTTTCGTAGTTCATAATGAAAACAAATGTTCATTTTTCCTTTAAAACTGTCTTGAGCTAAATGATACTGACGCTTTCAATTTTTAACATCATAATCAATAAAGGCTGCTTATGCACACTTTGCAAAACCATCAGTTTAGAAGTTTGAAAAAAAAATCTGCATATGGCTGCAGCTTGCTGGCTGGAACGCTCTCGCACTAAATCTTCTGAGTTAAAGTTTTACTGGTGTGTTATGAGTAAAAATGCCTTGTCAGCCATCTGCCAGTTTTTCTCCTAACATCCATATTTCCAACCCTTGCTAAACATTGGGAGCATGCGGCCACAAGAGGCCACCTCTACAATTAAACAGCCAAGCGCAGCAGCAGAAGCAAGGGCATGTCATGAGAGAACTGTCTAGTATTAATTTTAAAAGTCCATAAAGACTAGCTCCGACCCGTCCAGGATGATAGACGGGCTGTGAAATGTATTAGAAACTGTTAACCCCAGGAGAGTAAGAAGAGGGCAGAAAAGCAAAAAGGGAGAGAGGAAAAAAAGGAAAGAAAGAAGGAACAGAAACAATCACAAACAATGCGCCAGTGTCAAAAGCTTCAATAAGTGCTAATCATGGCTGATTAATCAGTCTCTAATTCCACTGATCCAAAAAGGTTACAGAGTCAATTGTGTAAAATTAGCTCCTTCTCATGTGTCCCTCTGCATTTCGAGCCTCTGTCTGTTCATTTGCATCTTTTGCCAATGTTTACTAAGAATTCAGTTCATTAGCTCTTGAGCATAAAGTCAGAAATTGGAGGGGACTCTGCATTTTCTTGCTGAGAGTAGTGCTTAAAACAAATAGCATCACTTCCTCAAACATTTATAGATTAAACTAAATGGCATTAATTACCGTAAATCTCCTATTTGTGAGGAGAAAGAGGGGGGAAAGAAAAAAAATCCTCTTTCTCCATACCCACAGTTTCATGGCAGGATTGTTCCATTCTCATCTAATGTCTCATACAGTTGGGGGCAAAATGTTTAATCACAGAATTAACAGGAAGCGAATGGCAAGGGAAGCTAACAAGGCGTGCTGCAAGGAGGCTAGCTAACTTTTTATAGAGCCGTGTTTTGCAAAGCTCAGAAGCAGAAGGTTGCTTTTGAAAGCCCTTATTAAAAAGAGATCCCTGCCACATATGTAGAAGCTATCTTGGGAAATACCTGTTTTACCCGTGTTTGAAAATCTTGAAACCTGCCAAAGGGAGGTGGAGGAGCCAGCATGGGGCCTGGCTCAGGAAGTCTGCCCAGGGCCTCACAGAGGAAGCTGGGGATTGACATGGGAGAGGGGGAGCTCCTGCGTGTTTTCCAAAAGTGCATCTTGTGTGTTTCAGAGGAGAGAATGTGCAAGTCAAACAAGCGGAATGGTTTGTAGAGCAAGGGGGTAATCTTGCAAGAAGCCACACACCTTTCTGGGAAATGTGCAGAATTCTTGGTCCTTGGAAAGGACAAGACGCCACCTGTTCAGACTTCATTTACACCAAGGGTGTCGCACCTGCTCCTCTTTAGGAGACGTGGGAATGGAGCAGGAGTAACACCCCAGAGAGTCGTGTTGGCCTGGGAGGGACTAGAGCCTTCCGGAGCTCCCTGCTGTGTGCACAGCCAAGTATATTTTAAACAATGTGCTGGTGCTGATCAAACCCAGGGGGGCTGCTTGCAGAAGGCTGGCCACAGGCATTCACTCTGGATCTCTGGGTGCTCTCCCCTCCTCTAGCTTAAGTATATTCACATAGTCTGGTCCCTATGCCTCTGCTTCTATTTTCCTACATATTTTCTGCCTGAAATGCCTCTCATCCTACCCCCTGCCGACCTCTTCTTTCCCCAAATCTTAGCAAAGCATCAACGATGGAGGAATAGGTATTCCAAGTGGAAACCCTTAGACATTGGCCCCACCCTCCCAGAGCTCACATGGAGCAAGGGAATTCTAGATACATAAGGAAGTAATAACAATCAGATTACATGATGACAGCATCACCTCCTCCAGGGAGCCTCCTCTGATTTCCTCAGGCTGCATTCCTGTTTCTCTATCCTGTGTGTCTCTTAGCAAGGGACTTCCTGTTTTCCAATTATGGTTTCTGTTTCTATCTTACCTTCTGAGTGTGAGCCTCTTTAAAATTTTTTTTGTTTTGTTTTGTTTTGTTTTGTTTTTGAGACAGGATCTCTCTGTCACTCAGGCTGGAGTGCCATGGCAAAATCATGGCTAACTGCAACTTCAACTTCCTGGGCTCAAATGATCCTCCCAATGCAGCCTCCTGGGTAGCTGGAACTACAGGCATGAGCCACCATGCCTGGATAATTGCTTAAATTTTTTGTAGAGACAGGATGTCACTATGTTCGCCAGGCTGGTCTTGAACACCTGGGCTCAAGTGATCCTCCCTTCTCAGCCTCCCAAAGTGCTGAGATTACAGGTGTGAGCCATTATACCCAGTGATGAGCCTCTTAGGGATAGGACAATATCCCAAGACCAAGTTCATCCCCAGACCAAGTTCAGCGCTAGGACAAAATAGGTGTTCAATACACACTTGTTGAATGAATGTACCTCAGCAACCAGACCCTCATTTTGCAATGTGCTGTACAGACACTGGTCCTTTCCTTCTAGCTGTAAAATGTCATGACTCAGGACTGGGCCTCTGACCCCTCTGGTCCCAGGAATTAACAGGTTTGCAGAAGGTGTGGGGTATGTATTAATAAGATGTGTAGCTATTAATCCAGCGCAAGATGAGATGATTAAAGTGAAACCCACAGCAAGGTCCAGATTTGGGGAATAATGTGATGGAAAGTTATTTATTACCTCTATCTTCCTTTATGTCTGTGTATCTGCCCATTGCTAAATACAAGCATCTTGAGGGCAGGACTATCTTGTTTTCTTCCTGACCCTAAAATCCAGGACAAGCCTGACTTGCAGTAGATACCTACAAAGTATTTGCAACGGAATCAGTGGGTAGGCTTGGGGCCTAAAGCACAAAGCCCCTTTCTTATATTACAGCAAATCAAGGATCAGAGTGTCTAAGCCTCCTGGTGCTTCTGTGCCCATGTAAACATACCTGTATATCCGAAGGTGAAAGTCATTTATGTCAAAGTTATGCGTGGAAATCCCTTAGGATGGTATTTTGTTCGAGACCCACAGTGGCCTCCCAGTTGGGTGAGCAAGCCATTTTTCCCTCCCGTGTAGGGTACACCGTTGAATCTCGGGAGGAATATTAGAAGTACTAGCTTGCCTTTATGATCCTCGTTGTATTTTTAAAAATATGTCTTTTATTTTGTAAAATGTAATGCAATGTAGTGAGACATTCCCATCATGGGACTGAGAACAACTGAGGGTGTAACTCCAAGGTCACATCACCCATCATCCTCACCCTGGGTGAGGTGAATGTCAGCATCCAAAGTCCCTGCACTGCTAAAGCAGGGTCTCCTATAGTGTCAGTAAATCTCCTCTGACTGCCCAGCACTCACTTACTCAGAGAAACCACAGAGGCTCAGGTCAGCATTAAGGACTCAAGTGGGTGGCTTCTGAGCCCAGCCTGCTGTTTCTAGACCCTCCTTAGGCTCACACCAGGTGGGTGCCCGGGCAGAGCTAGGGTGGGCTGGCACCCGAGAAGGAAGGGCGGGAGGCTCCTTAGAGTGAGCTCCTCGGCTCGCCTCTGCTTCCTGATTCATCATGTTTTTTTATTAGCTCTCTTTTCTCTGATAAACCTTTGCAGAAGAGGCGCTCTTGGAAACAGCTGGAGCAAGTCCCTTCAGCAGGTGGAGTTTGGCAGACAGGTTCCCAGATCCAGCCACCAAATCGCTCAAGCTCCCACTTCAATGAGGGGAAAAGAGAGCTGCAACATAAAGCAGGCTCTGCTTTCCCACCTCCTTGTTTAACTCACCCAAGAATAAACGCAACAAGCTGAGCGTGGAGAGGCTTCTGCTCTTCAACAATGCAGTGGGTCCCAGACACCCCGTTTCTACCAAGGAGATTATTGTATTTATTTTATTTTATTTTATTATTTATTTATTTACTTTTGGCAAAAATTCTTCTTGAGCTATCTCTTACTTTCTTTTTTTCTTTTCTTTTCTTTCTTTTTTTTTTTTTTTTTTTTTTGAGACGGAGTCTTGCTCCATCGCCCAGGCTGGTGGAGTGCAATGGCGCAATCTCAGCTCACTGCAGCCTCCACTTCATGGGTTCGAGTGATTCTCCCGCCTCAGCCTCCCTAGTAGCTGGAATTACAGGCACTTGCCACCTTGTCCAGCTAATTTTTTATTATTAGTAGAGACGGGGGTCTCACCATGTTGGTCAGGCTGGTCTCGAACTCCTGATCTCAGGTGATCTGCCCACCTCGGCCTCCCAAAGTGCTGGGATTACAACCATGAGCCACAGCGCCCAGCCCTCTGTCTTTCTTTCTTTGCTGTCTTTTTTATGTTTTGTCTATTCAATGAGGGAGTGCAGAGAAGGCTTTGCTTGGAGCAGACACCTCTATGCATTCTCCTTTCTTGCCTGAACTTTCTCCCGCTTTCTGCACTCACTCTGTCCTCCTTCTCATTGGCTTCAACCTGCAATCCAATGCAAAAGAAAATGGGAAAATCAAGGGCTTTCTTTTCCATTATTTAATGTCTTGTTTTTAGATTTTTAAAATTCTGACCTGAAATTTGAAAAGACATTGATACAGCACCAGTCATATTCTGTTTTAAATTCTCATCAGAATTTGTACTCATGTCGGGGCAAAGCTATGAGGAGATGGCCAAGGAGAAGTGCTCAATGCCCCCAACCCCAGCTTTTCTTCCCCAAGACAAAGTTTGGGCTCCATTTCCTTATTTCTTTCCATTTGTGTTTTTGCTTTTACATGATGATTGTGGGAAGTGGCTACAATCAGTGACAACCAGCAAGGTAGGATGCTGCTGCCCAAAGCCACAGCTGACCCAGAAAGACACTCCCAGATTATTGGCAGCAGCGGTATTTTAAGAATTTATAGAGTGGAGGTAAAAAGGGCTTTCTACACTATGAAGTGGGCGAGTTGGTCTCACTCTGGGCGGGAAAATTTATTTCAATTTGCATGCCAATTGTGATGGATTGGTAGTAATGGCCTGGAATGCTGAATTCAGGAGGGTTCACTGGCTATGCCTGTGCTGAGCAGAACAGTGGCCTCCCAGGGCCAGTGACTTTGGCCACTGAGCTAATGGGAAGGAAGGTCCCTACCTATTTTCCTTCTGGGGCTAGAATCTCCGAGCTCATTTTCAAATCTAGGCAAGGCATTCCAAAATCAAGAAACACTCCATAAGTCCATACCAGATACAGTAATCAACTTATTTAGCTTTCTCTGAGCCATCGTTTTGGCAAATTGAATACTCTATGGAAATTGGTTTTTTTCATGGGACTTCACTGCCTCCCTCCCTCACCCCCTTGCACTATTGCTGTAAAGGATGCTGAGATATCAGAGTCAAGCATTCAGTTGTTTCAGTTTCTTTGATGGTGATTAGCAAAATAGAATATGTGTATCCTTCAAGGGGAGATACAATTCCATGAATGACGATAGTTGCATTTTCTTTGACATCTTTGTAGCTGCCATATCCATTTGCACCACAACCTGTATACACATTTAAAAAAAGACAAAAGGAAAAAGGTAAACGATCATGAGATGTATTTCCTGTAATATTTAATAATCACATTGAAACACTGACATGCATTGCGCTGCATTTACAAACCTCTGTTTCCTTTGAAAATTACACCCTAGCATTTAATTCACCAAAATAACTCATTTTATACAGCACAACAATGTAGTAAAATAACTCATCTCGAATATGTGGATATGAATAGATTTAACACATCTGCATTGAACAAAATGAATTAATCTAAAAGCCGAGAAACTGCTGTTCTCTTTCGAGAGTTACCGATTATTTTACCATTCCCTTCAGTTTACTTGTTTGTTTTTGTTAAATTACTTTTGGAATTAGGAAATGAGGAAAGCAGAAACACTAGTTAGGTTTTTCTCTACTTGGAATGGAGAAACGGGACATAAATAATCATTTGCATTATACCTTATTTCTTTAAAAATTATATTTACAATTGTGCAGAGACCAAGGAGAGGCCTCTGTTCACTGTGGGCTTCTGTTTAATCTTTGGAAAATACTGTATTTCCATTACAACCCTCTCCCAAAAGAAGTCTAGATATTAAAATTATTTTTTGAAGCTGACTGTAAAGTGCTAAAAACAAATCAGAGTTCAAGTGCATTTCAGGGCTCCCCCCTGGGAGGATATTCACTTGTAGACGTGGAGCCCGTCTCCCGAAAGAGGAGATGCATATGTGTTCACTGCATCTGAATTCTCGCACACGGGGCTGTGGGCTCCACAGTGCAGCATTCCCAAGGCTCAGTGGTTATTTCTGGCCCTGGCCGTCTGGGCAGGCACAGGCATCACGAGGAGAAGAGCCCATCTGTGCTGATGGTTTGGGATGGAGTGTGGTGACCCAAACCCACAGCTGGAAAGATAAACCCAAGCACACTCTTCATGTGGGGCACAGGTGCCACAATCTGGGTGGCTCTGACAGTTCCTGGGTCCTGGAGGGCCTCTCTGATGCAATTAACTTTGAGGGCAACCGGCAGGATCTACTGGGCCCCATTCCTACTAACTCTACAGCAAATGCAGCCAGAAGGTCTCCCTTCCATGAGCTGGGACAGAAATGGAGACCACCTTTGTGCGGAGGGATATAAAAAGGCAGAGTCCCCAAATCTTCAGATGCAGAGCCTTCAGGTCAGAGTTTGCAAATGGATCCTATGTCCCCTTTCTTGCAGAAACCACATTGGGATGTAGCACCCACCACTTCCAGTTTCAGGCTCTGCAAAATGGAGACAGTTTGTGCAGTCACTTAAGTGCAGAATCTTTATCTTCACGATTTCTTGCCTCAGACATATACTCTACTATACTACTATAGCTTCCCTTGTAGGAACTTTTATCAGTACTCCGGTCTCTCTGGAGTCTTTCCAAAGCCTTCAACTTAGTTTTCATAGGGAAAAAAAAATCTAATTTTTCACCTCTTATTTGATCAATGTGCACAATTTATTAAATTGCATAATGACAATTACAACTAAAGCAGGTTTGGGAATAAACTCATCTGATTCCTGGGAAATATTCAGCTCACCCAGTGCACCCCCCCTCCTACCCCAACCTTGAGCACTCAGGACACTATGGGCCTCATCATCCAGGGCATCTTCTAGAAGGAATGGTGGCTCTGGCTACCTCTGAGTTGGTCAAGAGAGGGCTGGTTAGGGGAGTTTCTAAGATCGACCAGATATGATCTAGGAGATATTCAGGCTATGGGTAGGCAAGGTGGGGACCATGTGACGGGCTTTCCTACTAAGGAGTTTAGAGATTCTCCTGGCAGTAATAAGGAACTGCTTATCGTTTCTGGGAGAGAAGGAAGCAATTTCATCCAATTTGCCGTCTGGAAAGCTCACTGGGTTGCAGTAGGGAATGGACTGGATTATTGTTTCTTAGCCTTTCTCCCGCCCTTGTAATGGGATTTTACACCCATAGCTTTCGTGAGGTGTGTGCCTTTGCCATCTCTCCCAGTAGAGTAGGTGGCTCTTTGTCTTTGGACTTAGGCATGTGGCTGCTTTGGTCAATGGATGTTGGGGGGACATGAGGGAACCACAGGCTTTGCCTGTGTCTGGGGGACTTGGCTGTCACTCTATCACTCCTGCAGTCTGCCAGGAAAGGAACATGCCCAAGGTGGTCACGTTCCCTTCAGCCTGAGCCTTGGAATGAGAGGTAAAGGAGCAGACCTGAATCTGACTTGCAGCCTGGAGCAAAGTTGCCGTATCCGACCCACAGGCCCAGTGAGAAATGCCCGTTTGCTGTGAGCTTTGTAACAAACAACCCTCAGCCCTCAATGAGGATGTGGGTTGCAATTGAGCCATATTGCAGATGGCTGATTAATACAGAACTGGACAAGACTGAGTGGGATGGGAAGCAGGAAACCCATCACTCTCTCTCACCCAGTTGGGTGACTTCAGGATAGTCCGCGTCCCTCTCCAGGACCCATTTTCTTGTTGGCAAAGTAAGGAAGTCATAGTAGGTGATCTCTACGGGCCTTGCCACCTCTCAGGGGCCATAACGGAGCAGAAGAGGAGATAGAGCATCACCTTGCCCTGGCTGGGGTACAGTTTCTACAGGAGGGATGATTTCCGTCACTTTCACCAGGAAAGGGTCTTGGTCTTCACGTCGTTTGCAGTCCACAGGATGCCAAGACCCATTTGGCAGTACAAAAGGACATCCTGAAACAGCACATCCCAATGTCCCCAAAGTCACTGCAAGTCATTCCCATCACCCCGTCCCGTCCCCCGGGCTCCACTCACACAAGGTGAAATCTTGCATGCATGTATCCTAAATTCCTTGCCCTAGCTCCCTTCTCTGGTGCTGGGGGCAGAGCATTCCTAGAGAAGGTCTTAGGGTCTGTGGGGGGCTCCTTACCAGGCAGGAGACTTTCTGCCAGGAGCCAGGCCTGCAGGGAGCAGCTTTGGGGTGGGATTTTCGAGGAAGAGTGATTATCAGGGCATCGGTAATAAGGGGGGTGGGAAGAGCATGAGAAGAACAATGGAGAGGCCTCCCCGGTGCAGTCACTCTAAGGTATGTCACCTTCTCCGATGCCAGGGCCACTGTCAGAAAGGCAACTTCATCTAACTAATTAGCAGGGTTTGCCACTTTACAAATCTGCCGCGGCTTTCTTGGCACGAAACAGCCGCGGAGGCAAAGAGCTGTAGGAACCCATTAAAAATCACAGGGCTGAAAGAAAAGGAGGGCAAGGGGGAAATTTGAGATAAGAGGTGGGGGAAGGAAGGAAATTTCCCTGTACCAGGCCAGCTGCCGGCTCCCCTCTCTCTGTCCACATGCAAGCAGGAAGTGGTTAAAGTGATGGGAAGGGGAACCCACCCTCCTCTTGAGCTGGGCCTCTGATCTCTGCATCTGGTTTTTCCTCTTGAAGCACTCTCTGGTTTTAAAGTGGCTTTGAAGGAAGACTCTCCTGTGGACTGCAACCTGTCACTGCACCCTGTCATCCATCCAGTAATTAAAATCTGACTGATTTACTGACTGGTACCGACCATCATAGCTCTGGAGTTAGCTGATGTTCATCTTTCCCAAGGCTAAAGTTACTTGGTGAAAAGAGACCGCTTGCTCCCAAGCTAAGCTGTCATACAGCTGCAGTGGAGACCATAAAGATAGCTAACAGAGCCCTCACCAGCCATCTTTAGTTTATTTTATTCTAATATTTATCACCTCCCAGCAAATGAACATAATACAGACAAGTTAGGGAGAGGTGTGCAGGCTGATTTGTGGGTCCGGTGTGGCAGGCCATCTAAACACTGGACGGGCCACACTGAAGAGCAGGGCATCTCCCCGAAGGGCTGGCCAACCTACAAAGACTTGTGGGTTGGGGAAGAGTCTTGAGCTCTGAAAAGTGAGGCTAGCTGTGTGCATGGGAAAGGGTAAAGGAATCAGGGTCCCATCCAGGGGTGCTGAGTTTCCTGAGCCACCCAGCAGCCTGTGGGGTGACCTATCTTCTCCATCCTGTCCTTGCATAGTCTTGACTTTGCTATCACAGTTCCGGGACGTGGCCCATCCTGGCCCTTCTTGTGTAAGGTTACACCAGAGCTCCTGTGGGAGGCAGCCTCTCCCCACATCTCCAGAGCTGCTAGACCTGGGCTCTGCCCCCATGAACTCCCTGCCAGCCGGCTCCTTTTCTCCTCTTCTCTCAGGATCACTTATTCATTCATTTTGTGAGCGTCTGCATGGGGCCAAGTTCCACGCTAAGCACAGGGGTGAATTTGTATAGAACAGAACAGGCCTGATCCAGGCTTTGTGGGACTCACAGTTCGGTGGAAAGATGGAAGCATTAGACACATAAAGGCACAAAGAAGTGCATATTAATAGTGGAGGCAAGGGCTCTGAAGAAGCAGAGTGAGGGGAAGAGAGACAAGAGTCCACAGACGGAGCACCATGCAAACTGAGGAAAGAGTGTGGAGCTGCTCTCTGGGCAGGGCACAGACTAGAGAGAGGCAATGGGGTGCCCGGAGAGCAAATTGCAAAGAGACTTTGCACTCAGGGACCAGCACATGCAGGGCTGCAGCTGAGAGTGGGTGCCCCCTTCAATTTTCATTCTGGGAAGCTCACCCACCTCAGTCTATCTTGGCACAAATTGGATAATTGTATGTCTCTCTCTCTCTCCCTCTCTCTCTCTCTCTCTCTCACTCTCTCTCTCTTTCTTTTGGAGACACAGGGTCTTGCTCTGTTGCCCAGGCTGGAGTGCAGCGGTGCAATCATAGCTCACTGCAGCCTTGAACTCCTGGGCTCAAGCGATCCTCCTACCTCAGCATCCCAGGTAGCTGAGACTACAAGCATGCACACCACCACACCCAGCTAATCAAAATATATATATTAGGTAGAGACAGGGGTCTCCCTATCTGGGAGTTGCCCAGTCTGGTCTCAAACTCCTGGCCTCAAGTCATCTTCCTGTCCCGGTCTCCCAAAGTGCTGGGATTATAGCCGTGAGCACTGGGCATGGCCCACTTCTCATTTTTGCTGAAGCAAAGAGGGCTCCAGTACTCTCTGCAGGTCACTGCGTCTCCCAGCTGACAGCCATCAGCTCGCATGTCTTATAAATCACGAAACCACACAGTGATGCACTCATACAACTCCCTGGGCTGTGGGTATTAATTGTGCATGATGATGTTTACAGAACAAACCAAAAATCCATATAACATTACATATATATATGTATCATTTTTTAAACAAACATCATTATAACGTTACATGTCATATATATGTATGTGTGCATGCATGTATATACTTTTTAAAACAAACACAATGGCTGTTTTGTCAAGAAAATTAAGTGGGGGGATGTAGGGAGAAACATGGGGAGAACGTACAAGAGATAAGGAGTTTCCGGGGTCTTTGTTCCCCTTGCCCTCTCTGCTTGGGGAGGACTTCTGTCCTGCTGTTTCTGGGACAAGCAGTCTTTGGAGGATGGAACTGGGGTTGGGAATACCTTCAGGGCTTGGAGTTGGATCAGATAAATCCAGATGAGATAAACTAATATGAGATATTACAGACCATCTGGAAGGACTAGGAAGGGTCACAGAGCAAGTCCACAGAGAGCAGACAATGAGAAGGAGCAGGTTTTCTGACCCTTCCCGGGGCTCTCCTCACCACCCTCCAAAACTAAGGGTTCATTTCTATTGTGTTTGCTTCCTGTTGTCCTTAAGTCAGAGCAGTGATTCTAGGTCCTCGTGAAACCCAGAACATTACGCCTCCTAAGCTAGACATCAATAGGAAGGACACCTAAAAACTGGAGACCACAGTACTTCTCCACCACCAAATATGCAGCCTTCACAGTCCCAACTACCTCCTTACATGCTGGTGCAAATCGGGCGTTCCACTCAGGTCTGAGGGTGCCACCAGCCACCTGCACACCTGCGCATGCTCAGTGGAGCTCAGTGGAGCTCACCGGAGCAGTCGTGTCTGCCAGACAAAAGCTATGGCTCTTGGGAAGAGAGGGAAGATAGCGACACAGATCCAGTTACTAGCAGGAAGCCCAGTTTGTTCTCCCGATTCAGTCCCAAGCATCCCAAAGGACTTCAACTTCTGGGGAGCAAAGGGCCTCCTTCACCTGGTTAGAAAACCTCGAGGGAAGAAGAACAGCGGGTGAGAAGAGTGGAAGGTGGTGTTTTTATTTTGAGTAAATCAATTGGCTAATCAGGGTGGGATTTTCCATCTGGGAGTTGAAAGGGCAAAAGGAGAACAGTTAATTTTTCAAAACTTCACTTTAAAATACAAGCCCCCTGTTTGTGAGCTACATTTGATGCAGAGTCTAGGCGGGACATCAAGAAGTGGCGTCAGGGCCAGAACTAGCATAGTTTAAAAGAACAGCAAGTAAATTAAGACAATTAGGCATTCTTAATGCCCAGGGATTTTTTTTGTGTGTGTGTGTACATTTTTCTTCCAAAAGAGCCTGCTTGCAAGACAGAATTTCTTCTTATTTTCTTTCTTTCATTTCTTCTTTTTTTTGCATTCACACTCTGGATTTTTCCTTGTATTTCTCTTGGGGAATGCATAGTTTGGTCCTGACTAGGGTGGGTACCAGGCTGTCGCTGGTAGGGAGCCTGTCCTGTCCTAAATGGCTCTCAAATGGAGTGGAAGGGGGAAGGGGGAAGGGGAGGACTTTTTAAAGGTACAAATTCCACCAACTCCTGGAGACCCCAGGTAGAGGTCAGTAAGGTTAAGTGAGATAAAAAAGTGAAAGCATTTCTGGAAATTCTTAGGAAGAAAGGTGCTAGATAAATTCTAGCTACATTTATGACTATTTTTATGGCTTGGCTTGTAACACTGTGGGTGGTCCCTGGACACGGGGCTCATTCATTCAGCTCACAGGAATCATGAGGTTGAGATCTGCAAACAGATCTGGCTCTGGAATGGTGGATGGGATGGGGAGATGGCTCCAGCAGACACCTCACTAAGGGGGCAGGAGGTCACTGTAAAACAGGAAGATCAGCTGTCCAATGATGGAAGGCACATTTCTCAAATGTTTCTGACCGTTACCCATCTAGACTCAGGCACACATTCACCCTCCCATTCCCATTCTTCTGTGGTGAGAGATCTGGTGATAACAAATGGAGAATAACAAAATCAGCCAGTTGCTAGTAACACACATAAACTGTGTATTATTTACTCTATGAGAGATGAAGATAAGCATATACACATTTGGTTTTATTTTATAAAACAATGCCTCATAAAGTAAACACTAGCCCAGCAATTTTATTGCATTTACCTTGATAATATGTTGCAAGCCATTTAAAGAGAACAAATTCACTGACAGACCATCACCCATGAAGTATGGCTATACAAGCACAACAGTTTGGGGATAAAGTATAAATTGGTTTTAGCATTAGGAGCAAAGATGATTCATACGGAAATCACAATGCAAACAGGTCTTCAACTTAAATAACAAATTTTAATTTAGAGGTCGATAATACTTTTAGCCAAAAATGTGTTCCTGTCTACATTGTAGGGTTGAGGAACAAACTGCAGCAAACTGGTAAGGATGCAAAGTTTAATGTAATTTGTAAATTGTAAAAGCAAGATCGGCAGCTTTGAAATATCACGATCTACTCAAGAGACCAGTCATAGAATGACCTTCCAGAAAGTCCTATACTCTGTATGGGGCCAGGTGCACCAGAAACTCTGCCCTGCTGCCATCCAGACTTGGTAGAAGAGTTCTCCACATACTCTAGTATATTCTTAATTTTTATTTATGAATTCTTCATTACATTAACCCAAGAACCTTCCTAATGGATTACTAATAAGTAGCTCTAGGTAACATGTGAATCTAAAAGTGGTTGTAATTCACCTGTAATTCACCAGCCCAGGACAGGATTCATCCCCTCATGTGGATAGTGGTGGCCTTAGGGCAAAAGTAACAATTACCGAAAAGAAAGTGTAAACTAAGGGTTATAGGAGTTTGGAGGAAAGAGGATACTTTTGGCTGGGTGGAAGATGGGGAGCAGGGGATAACAGGGATAATAGCTTAGGGGAAGGGCCCTCCAGGAAAACAGACCCCCAGGAGCAAAGTCTTGGGGTGAGAAATGAACAAGGGGAGAATGAGTGACCCTGAGTGGCTGGAGAGGGGTGTGTACAAGAGGAAATCATGGGCTGGAGGACTGGTCATTATCTAATGGATGATGCTCTGTCTATGGAAATCCAGCCAGGCACAGAGGCTCATGCCTAAAACCTCAGCACTCTGGGAGGCCAAGGTGGGAGGATGGCTTGAGGCCAAGAGTTCAAGATCAGCCTGGACAACATAGCCAGACACTGTCTCTACAGAAAATAAATGAATAAATAAATATAGTTAGCCAGACATGGTCATACATGCCTGTGGTTTTAGCTACTCAGGAGGCTGAGGCAGGAGAATCACTTGAGCTGGGGAGGTCAGGCTGCAGTGAGCCATGATTGTACCACTGCACTCCAGCTTGGGCAACAGAGCAAGACCTTGTCTCAAAAAGAAAAAAAAAAAAAGAAGAAGAAAGAAAGAAAAGAAAAGGAAAACACAAACTAGAAATCCAACTAAGTGGTATATTTGCAACATAAACTCTTCTGATTCTGACACCAGGAACCACGTTCATGCAGAAAGCTTTGCTTAGTTACTGCCGCACCCCAAGAATAACCTGGGCACAACTGCAAGTGGACATGCACAGTCCAGAGATACAGTGAAGATTTAGTTTCCCAAAGTGATAGACTTTCCTGTCCAGAAAACCTGCAGCAAGATCCCAGTATAAGGATCGATAGGGACTATAGCTTAGGAAAACCTCTTTAAGGAATATAAGGACTTTAAAATCTCATTAAAAGGATTACACCTTAGGAAACCCCACCCCCTAACTCAGGGCCCAGGGGAACTTCTTGGAAAGAGTTTTGTAGAAGCAATTACTTTGGGGGCTTCAGCTCCTTCCAGTCACACAGCAGATTAGGGGTGGACACAGAGTTGGAAAAGAGAAAAATCAAATAAATGAGTGGGAATTAGAGGGTTTTTTTTCTTTCTTTTTTTTTTTTTTTTGACATGGAGTTTCGCTCTTGTTGCCAAGGCTGGAGTGCAATGGTGCCATCTCGACTCACTGCAACCTCCACCTCCCGGTTCAACTGATTCTCCTGCCTCGGGCTCCCAAATAGCTGGGGATTACAGGCATGTGCCACCAGGCCCGGATAATTTTGTGTATTTTTAGTAGAGATCGGGTTTCACCCTATTAGCAAGGATGGTCTCGATCTCCCGACCTCAGGTGATCCCCCCGCCTTGGCCTCCCAAAATGTAGAGCTCTTCTTTAAAGTCTTGTTCAATATATTGAAATTTTTCCTGTATCAAACCAGGAACCTTGGAATAAAGAACTCTGAGTGAATCCAGTCTCTACCAAGTACTGGCTGCATACAGTTGGGAAAGATAGCAACACCATCGGTACTTTGTTCTCTTTCCTACAAAATGGGAGGGATGGCAACCACCCTATAGGGTTCCAGAGAAAAGCAAAGGGACTAAGGGGTGAGGAGGTCTTCAGTACACTCAAAGCCTAATGCAAATGATGGGTGTGCTCATGCCTATGTCAGTACACCTCTCAACAAAGAGAAAGAAGAATACTCCAGGGCCTTTTAAGCACACACTGGATCCTTGTCCTGGACTTAGAGAACAAGGCAGGGTAGAGGTAAGACCTGAAACCACAGTCCCCATTATGAGCTCGCCTCCTAAGGACATGCTGTTGCTTCCCCAGAATACACAAAGACACAGCTGACTTATGATGCCTTGATTTATTTTTAAAATTTATTTCTATTTTATTAATTTTTATTTTATTTTGAGATAAGTTCTGACTCTGTTGCCCAGGCTGGAGTGTAGTTGTGTGATCATGGCTCAATGTAGCCTCTACCTCTTGGGCTCAAGAGATCTTTCTACCTCAGCCACATGACTTGCTGAGACCACAGGCATGAACCACCATGGCTGGGTAATTTTAATTTTTTTTTTAAATTTTCGTGGAGACAGTCTCTACCAAGTACTGGCTGCATACATTAGGGAAAGATACCAGGGTCTGGCTATGTTGCTGGTCTTGAACTCCTGGCCTCAAGCAATCCTTCCACCTCAGCCTCCCAAAGTCCTGCAATGACAGGCACTGGCCTAGTTATTTATGTATTTATTTATTTTTTTTTTTTAAGAGAAAGGCCACAACAGAAGGGCTGTGTTTTCAACCTTATTAAAAAGCAGGCAAGGGACATGAACAGACACTTTTCAAAAGAAGACATACATGTGGCCAGCAATCATATGAAAAAAAAAAAAAAGCTAAGCATCACTAATCATTAGAGAATTGCAAATCAAAACCACAATGAGATACCACCTCACATCAGTAAGAATGGCTATTATTAAAAAGTCAAAAATAACAGATGCTGGAGAGGCTGTGGGGAAACAGGAACATTTACACACTGTTGGTGGGGTGTAAATTAATTAAACTATTGTGGAAAGCACTGTTGTGATTCCTCAAAGACCTAAAACCAACTATCATTTGATCCAGCAATCCCATTGCTGGGTATATACCCCAAAGAATATAAATCATTCTGTTATAAAGACACATGCACACAAATGTACACTGCAGCACTTTTCACGACAGCAAAGAAACGGAATCAACCTAAGTGTCAATCAATGGAAGACTGGATAAAGAAAATATGGTGCTTATATGCCGTGGAATACTATGTAGCCATAAAAGAGAAGATCACATCCTTTGCAGGAATATGGATGGAACTGGAGGCCATTATCCTTAGCTAAGTAACACAGGAACAGAAAACCAAATACCACATGTTCTCACTTATAAGAAGAAGCTAAGTGATGAGAACATATGGACACATAGAGGGGAACAACACACACTGAAGCCTATCAGAGGATGGAGGGTGGGAGGAGGGAGAGGATCAGAAAAAATAACTAGTGGGTACTAGACTGAATAATCTGGGTGACGGGGCCGGGTGAGGTGGCTCACACCTGTAATCCCAGCACTTTGGGAGGCCAGGGCAGGCAGATCACCTGAGGTCAGGAGTTCATGACCAGCCTGGCCAAAACAGTGAGACTCCATCTCTACTAAAAATACAAAAATTAGCTGGATGTGGTGGCACATGCCTGTAATCCCAGCTACTTATGAGGTTGAGGCAGGAGAATTGCTTGAACCCGGGAGCTAGAGGTTGCAGTGAGCCAAGATGGTGCCACTGCACTTCAGCCTGGGCCACAGAGCTAGACTCTGTCTCTAAATAAATAAATAAATAAATAAAATAATCTAGGTGATGGAATAAGATGTACAACAAACCCCCATGACACGATTTACCTATGTAACAAACCTGCACTTGTACCCTTGAACTTAAAAAAAAAAGTTAAATAGAAAATAAATAAATAAAATAAAATCTAATGGAAAATTGGATAAAAAAGAAAGAGCAGTGTTTTCAACAACACTCCCCCATGTTATCACACTGAGCATTGTTTCCAAATTGATTATGTTCTTTAATCAAACACCACACTAGCATTCTTAAAAGCACTGAGAACAAAGCACTAAAGAGTTCTCTGCCACAGTTTGGCTTTTCTTTCAATGTCTAATCAAATCTCACATATTTCCTACTGTCTCCCCAGAGGAGTTCTGGGAACTTTTCTTTATATTCTCATCACATAACCCACCCCAAGAGACAGGAAGGGAGAAAGGAGGATGGAAGAAACGAAAGGAGAGAGGAAGGGAGGAAACAGGATAAAGAAATGCAGATGGGAGAAGGTTAGAATGAAGGAGCCAGCATCACTGGACTGAATGTCCCTGCATCCCTGATCTGTTCAGTGGGACACAGGCAGCCAGGGAGGCAGCCCAGGAGCCTCAGAGACCGCTGGTAGTGGTGTCCTCCTCAGCACTTCTTCCCTGCCTCCCGCACACCTGAGGGTCAGGCCCTTGCATCTAATTGGACAGCTGGGTTGGTGAACGTGGCCTGTTCTGCCAGCCGCCTCGTCGGCCACAGTGACAGCTGTATCACTTCCCTGATGTGAGTGGGCGCTGAGAAGCGTTGACACATGATCAACTTCCCTCTAATATCCTTCAACCAACCTGACAGTTGTCCGGCAGGGGCTAGTCAGCTCGCCTGCCAGCCCTCACCGAGGCATTGTGGGACAGCTTCCTAAGGAATACAGTCAGGAGAGACTTCAAATGAGGCCTTTGTTTTCCCCTAGTGTGCTAACTGGGGAATTGATTCAAATCCTGAGGGTGATGGCTATGATAGGGGCTGCTACATAGGGCCTGGAGGAATGTAGGTAACAGCAAATGATAGCATTTGAGAGGGCCACTCCATCTTGCTCTAAGACTAGCTGGGTGGTCTCGTCGATGCAGGATGTGGTTCAGAGGAAGACTTCTATCAGGGATTTGCAGTTCCATAGCAACACACGCTTTTTTTTTTCTATTCTCACATATCTTTCCATCATGTAGTTTAAGGTGGAAGAAACACTCTCTCGTACCAGGAAAAGTTTGGAAGCCTCAAAGTTGTAAGCAGAAACGTCTCTGTCTTTCCCGATGACAGCCACAGTCTGATGGCTCTATCCTGCTGAGCATCTTGTCATCACCCCTGCCAAGTCTCTTAGCCAGGGGGCCCCTCTCTCTCGCTCACCCACTAGCAGGAAGGACAAGGCTAAGTGGGGATCCAGGAAGCATGGGTTCACTTAAGGCTCTGTCGCTATGCTAAGTGAGGCCAGAGACATCTTGCAGCATTGATGAAGAATCTGGCATCCAGTGACTGTCATTCTTTCCTCTGGTTCTGACATTCTCCAGATGTCCATGAGCAGGAGACGAGGACAGCAGCAAACTCCAGCTTAACATAAGATGGAGAGGCTGTTGGGATTTCTGAGGGACCAGAGATCTTTTGGCTGCAACTCAGAGGAGGGTAAGAAAGGAGGGCTGTTACTACCGGGATGTTGGGGTGGCTCAAGGAACACATTCGCCAGAATGCAGCTGGGCTTCAAGAACAACAGAGGCCAGACATTCCAACACCACCAGTGGCCTCTGTCTCTTATTCCTTTTTAACTCTGAATGTTTGCTTCTCAGCCCTACTCCCTGTTGTTGCCATTTAATTTTTCTTTGTGGTTAAAACAAAACAAGTTGCCAGCACCCCCTAAGCTTCAATAACTACAGTGCAACTTAAAAAGAAAATAATGGCCTCTTTCACTCAGTTTCACGTTTAAGGTTCTCAAGAAAGCACATGATTGGCTCAGCTTGATTGTGGGTCCTTTGCTGAGCCAATAAACTGTGGCCAGGGATTGTGTCATGTGGACAAACATGGCTGCTCCTTGGGAAGCAGGTAGATGGTGGGTGGTGAGAGGCGTTCCCAGAAGCACAAAGTACTGTGCTGAGGAAGCCATGGCTGACCCATGCTGGATGGCTCCTATGCCCAAGGAGGCTCTATAAGAAAGTTCACTGATGTCAGATCAAACATGGAATTTGATCTATGTAAGATTTGGTTTAAGGTTGTGATTGTGGTTAAAATGTCATTTTGCTCAGCCTGTGAGACATAATTCAGAAACATTACCCTCCAAAGAAGCCAGTGAGATAACTAAAAATTCAGCTGACACCCATGAAGAAGGAGCAGAAATGACTCTTTGGGGATCATTAAGCAAACCTGTCTCCAGACCAGCTGGGGCAAACTCAGAAGGCAAGAAGCCAAGTTCATTCTCCCTGTGGTCCTTGCCTGTTTTCCATCCTGTCTTCTGTTCTCCAAGTGGGCCCATGGAGTCAGCTGGCTTCCAGCCCCATGAGTTCCCGCAAATTGAGTAGAAGCCAGCCCTGTGGTCAATGGCTGTGGCAAGAGGCCTATGGAGGCTTCCATGACATGCTAAAAAAAAGGCTGGCTTAGTTAGCAAACATGGCCCTGGGGAGAGGACTTGTGGATTTGGGATCTCACCCTGGCTGCTCCAGTGCAGAGAGGAACTCATGGAGAGGCCGGCAGAGGAAGTGAGCAGAGCTAATGTTCAATTACGTGCAGGCAAGCTGTGATCAATGTGCAGAGAAGAGGCCAGGGGACCAGGCTGGGAGAGCTGCCAACCGCACCTGTGAAGGAATGGTCAGGAACCCTCCCACCCTGGGATGCATTCCTGGCTTTTACCAGTTATTCAGGTTCTAAAGAAGTCACCCTTGAGAACTGTTTGTGACCACTTCAAAATTACAAGCTTCCCACAAAAGTCTGATTTATGAACAATCTGTTAGATATTTGATTCAGAACACCTTTTCGGAATTAATTAATCTATCTGAAGGGGGGGAAAAAGGTGTTTTCTTTTTAAACGTCAAGTTTCTGTCGTGGCCATTTTCTATGCAGAAGAAAGAATCTTTTGATTAAAGTCAGAACTTCTCCCAATTGGGGTTACCCAGCACCCAAGGAAGGGCATCCAATCTAAGCTCTTCTGATGACGTACTTGGGCTTGGCATGTGCCTAATTACCAGACACAGGTCCTTTCATTTCTGTCTGAGTTCTGGCACGGCTGAAGAACATTAAAACACTGCTCAGAGTGTGCCTTCATCCTTTCTGTGATGGGGTGGCCACCAACCAGCCCGCCAGCACAGGACTTTGGGATGGCACATGGCAGCTTGCATTCGTCTCCACGACACACTGTTGGGCACTGTCAGGGGATCAGACTGGTAGCTGTGCAGGAGGCTGCTTGCTCCGATAATTAATTTCCTCTCCAGCCAGCCCCTTCTACCAGTTGTACTACCCAGAACTCTGCCCTAGCTTTGTTTGCCTGCAGCTCTCCCTACCATCCCACCTGCCTTCTCCAGCCTCCCCGCTCCACCCTGGCCTATCCTCCCCCCAATTCCCTGGACGCCAGCCTTCAGCCCTGGCATGTCTCCTGTCAGTCACCCTCTGAGGCCCAGGCTTCTCTTCACTTTCCTGACCCTACACCGGCAGACATTTCCTGGTGACAGCTTTGTGATTCCTCTCCACATCTCCACCGTGATGTCCTGAAAACACGGGGCTCTAAAGAGGCCTGCAGGCAGACAGCAGGAACCGAGAATCAAGCCCAGGCCCCTTGTCATTCAGTCCGATTCTGCCGGCCACTGGCAGCCCCTGGTTTGAAGTTGGAGGTTACAGTGACTGCTATTCCTCTCTCCTCTTCTCCCTCTCTCCTCCACATCCGCACTACACAGAACAGGTCTCCTTGTTTATCAGCTTGAATTGGGAATGTACATGGCACATGCCTTATCTTTATTATACATGATAACACATTTTCCAAGATAGATGATCCGCTCTTAGTCACCTCAATACGCACCTGCTACAAACTCCCAGGCTCAGATTCAATAAACATTTCCTGGGCACTGAGTGAGTTCCTTGATTCAGAGGCAGTGACCACCATGCGGTGCTTCAGAACAAAGGCACCAGCCACAAAGACCCAATTCAAATCTCAGCTTTACCACTTCCTAGCCGGATGACCTTGGGCAAGTAACTTCATCTCTTAGTGTGGTGCCTGGTCTGTAAAACAGCAATAATACCCCCTAGGCTTTCTGTAAGTGTGAAATGAGCAAATTCACAAAGCATTTCAATTAGGGCCTGGCCCATTGCAACTGCTGCCTAAGCAGCTATTATTATTTCCAATAGGTACCATGATATCTGTTTTCTCATTATTATGAGAATCTTGTAAATTATGTACTACTGTCTGCATTTGGTTTATAAAGACACCGAGGATGGAGAAGTTCAGATATTTTGCTCAAATGTGCAGTGTTAATTAGCATCAATACCAGGGCTTGAACCTGGGTCTGGGGAGAACCTGGCCAGCTCTCTTTACTCTGGCCATGAAGTGCTGGGTACTTTGCAGGTGCATATGTGCTTCATCAATATCTGTCAAATGTTGTGTAATCGTCTGTTTTCATTCATATTCACAACTCTGTGGACATAGAGTGGTTAGCCATTCAGGAAAGAGTGAGGGTGTTCTGACCTGGGGACATCAGGCTTGGTTCCCGGGCACTGGCCTTCCCTGGAAAGACCTTCTGGGAAAACTGAAGGCTAGAAAGAAGCTTCCCCATTCAAGAAGGAAAATCCTGCAATAAGTAGCCCTGGAGCTTGCATTCCTTTTAAGAAGGGGTGAAGAATCATACGAGGCACAGCACGCAGGAGTGTGGGGTGGGAAGATGGAGGTAGCAATGCCTCAGCTGGCCAGCACAAGAGGCATTTATGAAAATCAATCCAGGCCAGGCGTGGTGGCTTACCCTGTAATCCCAGCGCTTTGGGAGGCCAAGGTGGGGAGATGTCTTGAGGCCAGGAGTTCAGGACCAGCCTGGGCAACATAGCAAGCCTCTGTCTATACAAAAAATAAAACAAAATTAGTTGAGTGTGGTGGTGCACACCTGTGGTCCCAGCTACTCAGGAGGCTGAGGCAGGAGGATTGCTTGAACCCAGGAGTTCAAGTCTGCAGTGAACCGTGATCACACCATTGCACTTCAGCCTGGGTGATAGTGCAAGACCCTGTCTCAACAGCAACAACAAAAATCAATCCACAAATACACATTCGAAACTTTTCCTCTTCTCTCCCGAACCATGGCCACCGACTAGCTCAAGCCTCTAGCATCTGTCTAGAGTGTGCTCACTTCCTTACTTGCTTGCGGCGTCCGGGCCTCTCTGCCCAAGGGCAGCCAGGATGAATTCTAGAAAATGCAAATCCAGGCCAGGCATGGTGGCTCACACCTGTAATCCCAGCACTTTGGGAGGCCGAGGCGGGCAGATCACGAGGTCAGGAGATCGAGACCAGCCTGGCCAACATGGTGAAACCTCGTCTCTACTAAAAACACAAAAATTAGCTGGGTGTGGTGGCACATGCCCATAATCCCAGCTACTCAGGAGGCTGAGGCACGAGAATTGCTTGAACCTAGGAGGCAGAGGTTGCAGTGAGCTGAGATCGCGCCACTGCACTCTAGCCTGGTGACAGAGTGAGATTCTGTCTCAAAAAAAAAAAAAAAAAAAAAAGGAAAAGAAAAGAAAATGCAAATCCACTCATGTCTTGCTCCCCAGCCCGGCCCTCCAGTGTATTCCCATTGGCTCATAGTGAATCCCACCGCTTTGCTCAGTCTCACCCAGCTCTCCATTTCTTGCCCCGTCATGCTCTCCTGGTCTCTGGGCTGCAGCTGTGGGCTTCCTGCTGGACCTGACACCTGCTCCATGACCCTCTCTTGCAGCCTTTGCACCTGCTCTTCTCTCTGCCTGGAGCACCCCTTATCCCCAAACCCCCAAGGTGGCCCTTTTCTCCACTGTGGGTTGCAGAGTACATAGCACTTGCTTAAAAACATCCCTCCGGCCACCTCATTCTAAAGAGCCTTCAAGCCCCGTCTCACTACCAGATTCCTGCCTCACTGGCATTGTCGCATTTGTATCAATAGTTGAAACTGTCTTTAGAAAAAAAACTACTTACATGAGCTCCTTGCAGGCCAGAACTTGGGATTTCTTGTCTATTTCTGGCACTCAGCACCAGAATGGGTGAAGGTGCTCCATAAACACTTGTGGATGAATGAATGAAATTTCAACCCAGGCTTTATGTGCCCAGTGCTTGACTGTGTTTTATGGGGAACAGAAATACAATTGTGTCTCAAATCCTGCCCCCAGAGAGCTTCTGGTTCTGAGCAGATATATTCACCAGGGAGTGAATACTTCAGGACAGGGAGTCAAACATGTATGTCAAGAAGTCCTAGAGGGCAGAATGAGCGGGGAGTGGAATTCCTGGGAATGTCTTGGGGAGTGGGCTGCAGATGGGTTTAAAGAATGACTGGGCTGGGCACAGTGGCTCATGTCTGTAATCCCAGCGCTTTGGGAGTCTGAGGCAGGCAGATACTTGACATCAGGAGTTCGAGACCAGCTTGATGAAGCCCCGTCTTTACTAAATAAATAAATAAATAAATAATAAAAAATAAAATTACCCAGGCATGGTGAAACATGCCTATAGTCCCAGCTATTCAGGAGACTGAAGCATGAGAATTGCTTGAGCTCGGAAGTTGCAATGAGCCAAGATCTCACCACTGCACTCCAGCCTGGGTGATAGAGCCAGACTACTTCTCAAAAAAAAAAAAGAATGATGGCACTGAGAGACAAAGGGAGGAACAGGTTAGGCTTCCCAGCAGGAGAACGACCACAGCAAAGGCCTGGGTAGGGGTGGCAGGGGCCAAAGAGAGGACATCGTAGAGATTGCCTTTGAATAGAGGAGGCAGCTGTTCCATTGATGCTGAGTAAATGCTTTGCATATACTTTCTAGTTTCTCCTGCTGTTTCCCTGAGTTAGTTCCATCAACCTGTGATGGAATGCACAATATCTTGATGTCATTCTTTTTTTTTTTTTTTTTTTTTTTTTTTTAGAGTAGGGTCTTGCTCTGTCACCCAGGCTAGAGTGCAGTGGCACCATCATTGCTTACTGCAGGCTCAACCTCTTGGGCTCAAGTGATCCTCCCACCTCACCCTCCCGAGTAGCTGGGACTACAGGTGCACAACCATGCCCAGCTAATTTGTGTATTTTTAGTAGATATGGGGTCTCACTGTGTTGCCCAGGCTGGACCTCATGGCCTCAAGCAATCCTCCCATTTTGGCTTCTCAAAGTGCTGGCATTACAGGCATAAGCCACCACACCAAGCTCCTGATTTTCATTCTTATATCTCTCAGAGATTTTTAGTGTCACTTGCCAGAGGGCACCAGGGCCAGAGTCTAATGCCCAGTACTCAATGGTGAACATTTTTGCTGTGCCAAGAGAGAACCACTCGATTAGAGGTGGCTACTGCAGGCTTTGGAAGTTTTCTACGGTGGGAACCAACAATCCGTGATCCGCCATGGTCCAGTGCATGCAGCCTTGGCTTCTCTTCCCTGGACCTGGGAAGCCTGCAGATGCTGGAAGCAGCCCAGCTGTGGCCCCTCCACTGTTCTTGCCCCTTATGTGTGGGTGTGGAAAGAACTCTCATTCAGAGACATGGTGATTTTGGGATGGAGACGTTGCTTCCTCCAACCAGACTGCTTCCTTCAGTTTCCACTGCCTGGGCTCATGCATCAGTAAGTTCTCCTACTAGAAAGTTTATTTGCAAAAAGCCATGGCCATTTGCTCACAAAGCTGTGCCCACTTTTGTCTGTGTCTTTTGCCCATTTTTTTTTTTTTTTTTTTTTGCCAAATGTAGGGTTTAAAATAAAATTCCCGTGTTACTTCCCTGTAACTGTCATAACAAATTCCATGCACTTGGTGGCTAGAGACAACATAAATGTGTTCTCCCACAGGTTTGGGAACTGGAAGTCAGAAATCAGGAGTTCGAGACCAGCCTGGTGAAGCCCCATCTTTACCAAAAAAAAAAAAAAAAAGAAAGAAAGAAAATACCAAAAATGAGCCAATGTCTACAGGGCTTCGCTCCCTCTAGAGGCTTCAGGGGAGGACACTTCCTTGACTCTTCCAGCTCCTGGTGGCTTCCATGTTCCCTGGCTTGTGACTGCAGAGTTCCAACCTCTGCCTCCGTCTTTGCCGGGCCTTCTCCTCTTCTCCCACGGAGGCAGAGAAGCGTGTCCTCTCCTCTTCAGTCTCTTACAGGGACACTTGTCATTGGATTTAGGATCCACCTGGATATTCCAGAATGGTCTCATCTTGAGATCCTTAACTTTAAAGCACCTGCAAAGACTCTTTAACAAAGAAGTTACATTTGCAAGTTCTGGAACATGCTCATATCTTTTTGGAGGCCACTACTAAACCCCCTACAATTCTCTTTACATAATTTCCCAAAACTGTTTCCCAAAAAGTTGCCAGCAGTAACCAAATTCCAGAAGTGAAAGCATGACCCTGGCCCATGGTGACAAACCCGCTTTCTACCAAGTTGATCACCACCTAACTGTTGATTCTAGCCCTTCTAATCTTTAGCCTGTGGTAGCAAGCCAGGTACAATTTGGCATTAAGATCTAAGAATGGCCAAAGTCTCTCATTGCACGCAGTGCTACCCTGATGCAGTGGAAACTACACTAAACAAGCTCCGTGGGATCCTTGGGCCTTCTCCCGTCTCCATGACTCATTGGCTGGGAGACTTTGGAAAATTTTCTCTGCTTCTGTGAACTTCAGTCTCCCTATCTATAAAATGAAGACTAGATTAGAACAGGGGTTGATATGCTATAGCTTTTTTTTTTTTTTGGAGATGGAGTCTCGCTCTGTCACCCAGGCTAGAGTGCAAATAGCACAATCTCGGCTCACTAGAACCTCCACCTCCCGGGTTCAAGTGATTCTCCTGCCTCAGCCTCCTGAGTAGCTGAGATTGCAGATGCCTGCCACCACACCCGGCTAATTTTTGTATTTTTAATAGAGATGGGTTTTCACCATGTTGGCCAGGCTGGTCTTGAACTCCTGACCTCAGGTGATCCACCTGCCTCGGCCTCCCAAAGTGCTGGGATTACAGGCGTGAGCCACTGTGCCTGGCCAGCCTGCTTTTTTAAATAAAGTTTTATTGGAACCCAGCCTTGTCCATTTATTTACAGATCGTGTATGGGGGCTGTCATGCTGCAAGAGCAAAGCGGTTGCAACAGAGACAGAATGACTCAGAAAATGGAGAATATTTGCTGGCTAGCCCTTTACAGAAAAAGCTTGCCACCCCCTAGACAAGTACAGAGCTCTGTAAAGGGCCCTTCTAGCTGGGTTATTTTGTGTTACTATGGACCAGTTCCTCATTTGAGCCCTGCCTAAAATCTGATGGTGGCCTGAGGAGCTGGCTATGGAGAGGGAGCAGGACTGAAAAAAAGGCTCCATCAGCCTCACAGTACCAGCATTGCCCCTCCCCGGACATCCTTGTGTGCACCGTGCTTCCGCATTGCCTGCGCTCCCAGAATTTAGCTCCCCCAGATCTTCCACCCTGTTCTCCCCTTGGGGCTTGCCCCCTGCAACGGGCAGGAAATGCAGACAGCCAGGGGACTTGTGGGTCCCTTTAAGGCCTTGAGACCTGGGGAAATCCCCCAGTTCTCAGCCACCTAAGGACAACTCATTCTCCCAGTCTAAGGGCCGAGTCATTCTCACTTTGCTTCTATCACTGTCCAGATTCCAGCAAAATACACCCTTCCACAGTCAAACCTCTACCTCCTTCATTCTCCTCTCTTATTTGTTAAACAAATCCTGATCTGCCTTTTTAGGCTGCTCTTGAATTTTATGGCAACATATAATAAACATCTGACTGCTTTTATTTCTATTTAACTTTTATCTTGAATGTCTCTGCTGTTTCAAACCAAATATTTACAGCATCACACAGCCGCTGCAATTTCATTCCTCACCAATACTGTCACTCCCTCCTGCTTGCACTCACCAGCCCCGTAGAGAGGCCGGGAATGTTGGGGCGAATGGTCTCTTGTGCCCCCACAGCAGGGCTTCCAGACTGGATCTCTGAGTCACTGGACTCCCGGGAGAGCAGATGGCTTTCCTGGCAGCCTGGCCCTCAGCTCGGAGTCAGGCCATCTCTGGTGACTGAAGGGCTTTCTGTACTTGGTGTCTTCACACATCGGTACTAGGTTGGGTCTGGCTGTGAGAAAGACCCTCGCATGCTCCATTAAGGAGCAAACCTGGGGAATTCGAGCACCTCTGTCTTCTCAAAGGCCTCTCTTTTTCTCAGTACCCTCAGGTTTGGCCCAAGGCCTCGGAGTGCAGCTCCTTGGTCCACCTGTGCTTGTCCCTGCTTTTCTGGCCCACCAAAAAGTGCTCCTGACAGCCCTAACCACCTACTCTTCACCAAGGCTCTCTGGTCCTGTGTGGTCCAAAAGGCCGACTGCAGATGCTCTTTTGAGTCCAGGGCCCTAAAGAAAGCAGTCCTACCTGGTGGGGGATGACACTCTGGACCTGGAGTCTGAAGACCTCGTTTTCTGTCTCTGAGCTTCAGTTTTCTCATCTATGAAATGGGAATCATAACACACGCTTGATGTGACTCTCAGGGCTGCCCTAAGGATACTGAAAAATGGCGAATGACGGCGTGCTTTGTACACAGTGGGTCGTCCAAGGGGAGCCAGAGAGTGCCTCTTTCTGGCATGCCTGAGCCTCCGGAGCTGGAGAAGCCTCCTTTGGTCTCCTAGACTGCCTTTTCTCCTCCCATCTGTCTCAACCTGCACAAATCCTGCCGGGCTCTGCACATTGCTCTGTGTTGACGGATCCACCATATTAGCCTTGCCTGGCCCTTTCCTTCGTCCTTAGAAGACTCATGACTCCAGCTGAGCTTATGGGTGAACTCTTTCACAGCAGAAACTGCTTTGCCCTTCCTTCCCCATGGGCCTTGTACCTGGTCAAGCCTGCATCTTTCAGCTCTCTGGTCATCCAGAGGGAAGTCTCACATGAGTCTTGGTGAGAATCTTCAACTTGGCCGTGCAAGTTTTCTGATACTTTCAATCCAGTTCAAGATAAGATACATACAGCAGTCACACACCCTGAATCTCAGATTCTCAGAGGTAAGATAACCTCCCCGACATGTCCCACCCATGGGGTAGCTCTTTCCAACCCCACTAGAAAGTCATTGTTATGTAGACTCGATGTTACTGTACTCCCCAAATTCATATGCTGAAACCCTAACTCACTGTGGTGGTGTACTAGTCTGTTTTCATGCCACTAATAAGGACATACCCGAGACTGGGTAATTTATAAAGAAAACGAGATATAATGAACTCACAGTTCCATGTGGCTGGGGAGGCCTCACAATCATGGTGGAAGGGGAAAAGCATGTCTCACATGGTGGCAGGCAAGACAGAATGAGAGCCAAATGAAAGGGGTTTCCCCTTATAAAACCGTCAGATCTCCTGGGACTTCTTCACTACCATGAAAACAGTATGGGGGAAACCACCCCCATGATTCAATTATCTCCCACTGGGCCCCTCCCACAACACATGGGAATTATGGGAGCTACAATTCAAGATGAGATTTGGGTGGGGACACAGCAAAACCATATCAGATGGTATTAGAAAATGGGGCCTTTGGGAGATGATTAGGTCATGAGCATGGAGCCCTCATTAATGGGATTAGTGTCCTTAGAAGAGACCCTCAGAGCTTTTTTGCTGTCTTCCCACCAAATGAGGATGTAACGAGAAATGGACAGTATACAAACCGGAAAATGGCCCTCGCCAGGACCTGACCATGCTGCCACCCTGGTCTTGGACTTCAGCCTTCAGAACTGTAAGAAATAAGTTTATGGTACTGCGTTATTGCACCCCCAATGAACTAAGACAACCCACACCCTGGCTTGTCTCAGGACAACTCTGAAGGCCACTCCATCTCTAGAGCTCCCTACAGCTTTGGCTTAGACCTTCTTGAGACTACACTGCAGCCCAACTCCTCCCTCAGCTCAGCCCGCCTCCTTCCTTTCCCTACAGTGTTGATCACAAGAACATTCCCGTCTAAACATTCTGCACAATAATCTCCATCTCAGAGCCTGCTTCATGGGGATCCCAACCCATGTGACGGTAGCCAACTGTCCTTCTTTGTGCAGGAGTCCTTTATTCTGAGAGTACATCCTAGCTACCTTTAGGGTGTGAAAATGGTCTTTCTGCTATGAAATGGTGGCACAATCAGATGCGTGTTTGTGTTATTTTTCCCTGTATTTTACTTAGCACCAGGGGCCACTGGCCACCTGAGGGTGGTCCCCTGGTTTCCTTTGATGGTGTGCCAGGATGTCAGATTTAAAAATCCAAGGACCACCACAGCTTCTCAGTCGGTTCTCTGTCTCAAGAGCAACCAGATGAAGTCCACACACGTGATGCCCCGCTGCCTTCTCAGATAAACTGTGGGTCACATCCAATTTCAGAATCTAGTGGCAAGTGCATCACATGCCCTCTCAAGAAGGCATTTCCAGTGGGTGTCTGCTGTTTCTTTTTCACCTCTCCTGTATTCACTCTACTTTCTTTTGGAGAGAATGCTGCAATTTTTGGGGGGCCCCACTCCTTACCTGCTTTCAGTCCCTGTGTTTGGGAGGAACGTGCCTTCCTCTTCTCCCGACAGCAGAGTGGTGATGTGGGCGTGCAACCCATCACAGCATTTCATCCCCTAAGGCACAGTGATCGGGTTCAGAGATACATATGTCATTGGGACAGGTCAACGACAGTGCAACCAGGGATTTTGTTGGCACTGTTGAAAATAAGAAACCCATGCCTTCATCTGTTTTGTGCTGCTATAACAGTATATGAGGGACTGGGTAATTTATAAAGAACAGAAATTTATTTCTCACAGTTCTGGAGACTGGGAAGTCCAAGATCAAGGCACCAGCATCTGCTGAGGGTCATCTTACTGCATCCTCACATGGCAGAAGAGCGGAAGAGTGAACCCACTCTGCAAGCCCTTTGGATAAAGGCCCTAATCAATTTGTGAGGGAGGAGCCCTCATGGCCTAATCACCTCATGAAGACCCCACTTCTCAACACTATCACATTGGAAACATCAGAATTTTAGAGGGAACACATTCAAACCATAGCCACCCTCTGTCCAGTATGAGTGCTAACTGTGAGAACAGGGTAAGGCCAGAGCTGGCCATGAAACCAAAGCAGAGATCAGAACCAAGAGACGAAGAAAGTGGGAGACTGATCTCTGTTAATTTTGCTTTAGTATCAACCTCCAGCGCCATACCAGAAGCCATGCATGCCATTGTACTTTCCACTTATGTCAGCTGATACATTTCCTTTTCTTCCCTTGAGTCAATTGACTTAAGTTTTTGTCACTTGCATATGAAAGAGTCCTAATGGTTATGGAATTGGAGAATGTACAAGCTAAAAGGAACTTGGATTTGCTCCAATATTAAATATGAAATGAGATCATCTGTACACACTGAAACTTATAGCAAAGCTGACAACCCTAAGTCACAATTGAGAGCCATCCTTTCTGGACAAGGAGGTCCATTCATTACTGCTTAGGCCTTCCTGACTCACTGGGTCACAGTTTCTACCACCATTGGTCTACATTTCTAAGCCCAGCCCTTGATAATTGTTAGCCTAGAAAACAGGGTCAGAAAACACAGCCCACTGGCCAAATCAGATCTGCCACGTGTTTTGAGATGGCCTATGAGCTAAGAATGTTTTTTTTTACATTTTACGATGGTTGAGAGGAAAAAAAAAAAAAGAAGTTCAATATTTTATAGCATGTAAAAATTACATTAAATTCACATGTCAGTGCCCATACATAAAGTTTTATTGGAACACGACCATGCTCATTTGTTTATGTATTTATGGCTCCAAACAGCAGAGTTGAGCAGTTGTGATGGAGACTGTACAGCCTACAAAGTCTAAAATATTTACTATTTGGCTCTTTACAGGAAAAGTTTACTGACTAGTGCTGAAAGTCTCTGGAGATGTGACCTTCACAGTTTGGTATCTAGCTTTGAGACCCCGTATCACCAACAATGAAAAGCACTTCCCTTGAAATAATTTACATAGTTACCCAAGATTTAGACAGCAGACATCTCAGGATGTAGAGGATTTTTTTCAGATTGTTTCCAGGACCTAGCTTTGAGCCAAACATACAGTATTCCTGCAATAAGTCTTTGCTGTGTAAAAACAAAAATCGAATGTTAAATTAGGCCACTGACCCTTTTAAGCCCAAAGCATAAATAAATACAGAAAATGTGAATTTGCCATTATTATTATTTTTATTTTTTTGAGACAAAGGCTCACTCTGTCGCCTAGGATGGAGTGCAGTGACGTAATTTTGGTTCATCGCAACCTCCACCTCCTGGGTTCAAGCGATTCTCTTGCCTCAGCCTCCTGAGTAGCTGGGACTACAGGCACATGCCACCACACCGGCCATATATACATAATATTATATATTATTATATATACTATAGAATATATAATTATATATATAGTATAATATATAATAATATATAATATTAATAATATATTATATATTATAAACAAATATATATTTAAATATAAATTTATATATGTTATATATATATAAATATATATATTTAGTAGAGATGGGGGTTTCCCCATGTTGGCCAGGCTGGTCTCAAACTCTTGACCTCAGGTGATCCACCTGCCTTAGCCTCCCAAAGTGCTGGGATTACAAGTGTGAGCCACTTCGCCCAGCTGATTTTTAAAGAAGATCTATCCAGGTCTTCTTGGAGCAGAATTATGTAGGCATCCAGGAATGCGAGTTGTGCTGCCAAGTGACATTTCTCTTCATGTTTTCCCTCCCTGGCAGAGTCGCCACTTGATTTAGGATCTGACACCATGGGTAGATATTGGAATTCCAGTCTTAGCCTGCAAGTCACACAATGTCTTTGAGCTTCAGCTTCCAAGCCTGCAAGATGGGGCGATAAGAGTTTACCTCCTGGGAGTTAAGAGGATTAAATAAGTTAACAGTTAAGTAAAAGTACTCTGAAATGTTAGCTTTTATTTTCATCCTTCCCTCCTTGTGTAAGAAAATAATGTAAATAGCCTTTATTGCTCTTAGTTTTTCTTGTAAAAGCTGTGGGAAGGTGAAATAACCTCATTGAAATAGAGCCATTCATAAGTAGGGTAGATCATTAACCGCTATGAGATAGATGATTATATTCCATCAGGTTCCAAGCCGACAGCACCCATTTTACAGTTTGGAACTGTGAAGTATTTGTACTGTGTGATCCACAGCTCTTAAACTTTCCAAGACTTAGTCAGTCCTTAGGTTCCAGACAAACTTTCATCCCACCTACACCCCCAACCTACTCTCATCAGGGTTCCCAATGACTGCCATATTGCCAAATCTAATGATCACTTCTCTGCCTGTATCTTACTCCGTCTCTCAACAGTATTTGAAAGAATTGATGATGCCCTCCTTAAAGCTCATTCTCATGTGGCTTAGAGGACAGACCTAGCCTCCTACACCACTGGTCAATCCTGAACTTCCTTTGCTGCTTCTTCCTTTTTCTCCTACCAACCTTTTATTTTTGTTTTAATTTAATTTACTTTTTTTTTTTTAAGAGGCAGGGTCTCACTCTGTCACCCAGGCTGAAGTGCAGTGGGGTGATCACGGCTCGCTGCAGCCTCGAACTCCTGGGCTCAAGCAATCATATTGCCTCATCCTCCTGAGTAGCTGGGACTATAGCAACATACCACCATGTTTGACTGTTTTTTTAATTTTTATTTTAGTGGAGATGGGGTCTTGCTATGTTGCCTATGTTGGTCTCAAGCTTCTGGCCTCAAGTGATCCTCCTGCCTCAGCCTCCCAAAGTCCTAGGATTATAGTATGGACAACTGAACCTAGCCTCTTCCCAACCTCTTAATACTACAGGGCCACAGGGCACTCTTGTCTTTTCTTCTTCTATATGCATATTCTAAGTCACCTCATATCACTCCATAATGTTCATGTACTGGCTACTTGCAAATTTCCTGCCCAACTTCAAGCTTTCTTCTAAATATCAGATCCTGATGACCGACTACCTCTTTGGACATCTCTTAGGCATCTGAGCCTTGCCATATATAAAACCTAACTCTTGTTTTCTTTTCTCAAACCTGATCTTTCCTCAGTCTTCCCCATCTTAGCAAATGATCCTTGATGTGGGCTTAGGGGAAAAAGAAGAACCAAGGATGATCAAAGCTTTTAGCCTGAGCAACCTAGAATGTTCACATGTGATGCTCTTTTCCTAGGCCCTGTCATTACCCCCCATTAGATGAAGGTGCAAATGTGGATATGCATACACAGAGGAACATAGACTGTATATAGATTTGTTATTATCCCTCCATCTCCCCTACAAGGAAGTGAACTCCCTGAGAGCAGGACATTTATGTCAGGTCCTGAGAAACCACAGTGAACAAAATGGACTGGCACATAGTAAGAGCTCCTCAAATATGCCTTGAATGACTCCCTGACCTTGTAGAACAAAAATGCTTCCTGGGTCTACAGAATGAGAATAGGCCACAAGAGAAGCGGGAATGAAACTTGGAAACTCAAGCATGAGTGCATTTTTAAGACGAGAGTGCATTTTTAAGACACATCTCTGGGCTGAGGCAACGCATTTACACACATGTACTGTTTTTACTGAATTCTGAACCAGAGAGCTAGATGGATAGATGATAGATAATTAAATTGGTTCCAATGACAGAGAGCTAAATGGATGTTTGTTTTTATCATGCCAAATGATCATGCTTATTTTCTGAAATTTTCACTTCACAACTGCTTGTTTTGGTGTCAGGTAGATACATTTAAGTTATCAAAACTTGCCTGGGAGGAGTGAGAAAAGAGTGTGCTTCTTGTCTCTGCTATCAGCAAATATAAGCCCACCAGGTGACAAGTCCCTGCCAAGTTCCAGGACAGCATGGGGAGCTGTGTATGATGCACTCATGGAGTCTAAAATCAGGTGGGCATCCAGGTTGGAAAGAAAGAAGTAGAACTGTCTTTATTCAACAGATGATAAGATCACTGATATAGTAAATCTGATGAAATCAACAAAAAGCTAATAGAACTAATAGGTAAATTTTGCAAGAATGCAGAACACAAGACTGACATAAAAAAAGAATTGCATTTCTATATATTAGCAATGAACAATCAAAACTCATTATTTTAAACATATCTTCCACAATAGCATCAAAAACATAAAATACTTAGGAGTAAATCTGACAAAAGATGTGAAAGACATGCACACGGACAACAAAATATTGTGAGATACGTGAAAGGAGCCCTGAATAAATGGAAATATACAGACCTTGTTCACAGGTTGAAAAACTCAATGTTAATAAGATGTAAATTCTCCCAAGTTGATTTAATCCTATCTCAATCAAAATCTTAGCATGCTATGTGTAGAAATTGAAAGCTGATTCTGAAATTCTTATAGAAATACGAAAGACCTGGAATAGCCAAAACAACTCCAAAAAAGAAATGAAAGCTGGAAAGTGGATCTTACCTGATTTTAATAATGATTATAAAGCTACAGTAATCCAAACAACATGATATTGTCATAAAGGTAAACAAATAGATGAACAGAACAGAATAGAGAGTTCAGAAATAAAGCTATGCACATATAGACAACTAACTTTTACAAAGCACCAAAAGCAATGCACTGAAGGAAGAATAGTTTTTTCAACAAATTAAGTTGGAACAATTCATTTGTATTCAACTGTATACAATTGTATATTCATATACAAAAAAATACATTTGAATCCATACCTCATATCAGATGCCAAATTAATGTAAAATGCAAAACTATAACATTTCCAAAACACATAGAAGAAAAACTTTGTCCTTAGATTAAGCCTAAAGGTCTTTCATACAACAGCAAAGCACAATCCACAGAGCAAACTGATGACTTAGAGCTCTTAGAAATTTTTGTTTTTCAAAACATGCACTGTTAAGAGAATGAAAAGACAAGCCACAGGTTAATAGAAAATTTCTGCAAGACATGTATCTGATAAAAGACTTGTATTCAAAATGTATAAACAATTTTCAAAACTTTACAATAAAAAAACAAACAACCCATTAAAAATAGACAAAATATTTGAACAGACATTTCACTAGAGAGGACACATAGATGGCCAATAGGCACATGAAAAGATGCTCAACATCATTAGTCATTAGAGACATGCACAGCAAAGCCAGGAGATACTACTTCACACCCATCAGAATGACTAAAATAAACAAAGACTGAGCATACCCAAGCTGTGGAGAAACCGGAACTCTCATACACTCATGGCAGAAATGTAAAATATTCACCCACTTGGCAAAACAGCTTGGCAGTTTCTTAAGAAATTAAGCATACCTCTGCCATATGATCCAGCTGTTCCACCTGTAGGCATTATCAGCCAAGAGGAAATACAAGTCCATGCAAAGATGTATACATGAACGTGCATGGCAGCTTCATCTATAACAGCCCCATATTGGAAGCAATTCAAATGTCCACCAACAGATGAATGAATAAACAAATTACAGTAAATCTGTACAATGGAATGCTACTCAGAAATAAAGAAGAATGAACTATTGAAATATGCAACAACATGAATGACTCTTAAAATAATTATGCTGAATGAAAGAAGCTATACCAAAGGAAGGACATACTGTATATTCTGTTTATATAAAATTCTAGAAAATTCACACGAATCTAGTGATAGGATCATTGGTTGCCTGGGGATGAGGGATTGGGGAGGACTGGGAGGGAGGGATTATGAAGGGGCATGAGGAAACTTCTGGAGGTAACGATATGTTTATTTATTGATTGTGGTGGTTTCACGGATGCATATGTCAAAACTTATCAAATCATATATCTTAAATATGTATAGTTATTGTAAGCCAATTGTAACTTAATAAATTTGCACTTTTAAAAAATCCAAGCCAGACATGGTGGTCTGCCTGTAGTTACAGCTACTCAGGAGGCTGAGGCAGAATGATTGCTTGAGCTCAGGAGATAAGGCTGCAGTGAGCTTGGATTGCACCACCACACTCAAGCCTGAGCAACAGAGCAAGATCCTGACTCTAAAAAAGAAAAAAAGTCTTATGGGAAAAAAAATCAATTTCCTGGTAAAGAATGCCAACTGCTGGGAAGAAAACAAGATCTGGAGCAAGGTGAGCGTTTAGCAGTGGATGCTGCGTAGACCTCAGGTGATGCCCAAGGAAAGTCAGGCGATATTTGAATAGAACTGAAAAGTGTTTACTGTGTGAAAAGCTGGGGAAGAGGGGAGGAGGTGAGAAAGAAAGAGAAGGGTGAAGACCTTTCCTGAAGGAGGGAGCAGCTTGTAGGAAGGCTTTGAGGTCAGGTGGAGTGTGTTCCTATCAGGACTTCAGCACAGAAGGTACACAGTGATGTGTATCAACTTGATTGGGCTAAGTGATGCCCACATAGCTGATAACATATTACTTCTGGGTGTGTCTGTGAGGGTGTTTCTAAAGAGACTGGCATTTGAACCAATAGGCTAAGTTAAGTAGATTTGCATTGACCAATGTGAGCTGTCACCATCCAATCCATTGAGGGTCAGAATAGAACAAAAAGGTGGAGGACGGGTGGATTCTCTCCCTTCTCCAGCTGGGACGTCCATCGTCTTCTCCTGCTTTGTACATCTGATGTACTAGCTTCCCCTGATGCTTGCACATCAGAGCTCCTGGTTCTCAGGCCTTCTGGTTTCAGGACTTACAGTATCAGCTCTCCTGGTTCTCAGGCCTTTGGACTTGGACTGAATTACACTGGCTTTCTGGGACCTCCAGCTTGCAGACAGCAGGTGGTGGGACTTCTTGGCCTCCAGAATCATGTGAGCTGATTCCCATAATAAATCCCCTCTTAATCTATCTGTCTGTCTGTCTGTCTATCTATCTATCTATCTATCTACCTATCTATCTATCTATTATCTATCTATCTTTATTTATTTCTATTTACCTGTCTGTCTATCTGTGAATACCATTCCTTCTGTTTCTCCAAAGAGCCCTGACCAGTATAGAAGCTGTGATGGATAACACTTAACTCACTTTACTCAACTTTTTTTTTTCTTTTCAAAAAAGAGAGCTTTGGGAGATAAATGGTTCAAATTGTTCACGCTCCAAACCTGCAGGTTTTTCCACCATCAGAAGGATGACCATAAACTCACAGTTCTGGACTCCCTTAGGCCACCAAACTCCCCCTGACTTGAGCAGGCTTGTCCTCCAGCCTGAACAACCCCGGGGCCCAGTCACATCTGCTGAGTGGCTGCTCTGTGGAGGCAGCATGACTGGCCCGATGGGTACAGACACAGCCACTGGCACAAGGCCCACCTTGCTCTGCTCTGTTCAGTGGCCTCAGAACACTGCTTAAGCTCTCTGGACCTCAGGGTCCTACCTGTAGACAGTTCCTTTGGGAGAAGACCATGACAGCAGGTCTTTGGGAAAGATAAAATTGTGTGTAACTGCAAAGGGTGTTCACCAAAGGACTTTGTCTCCAGGTGTGGCCAACCGCTGTAGAGACTCTGGGACCCCACCCAGAGTCCCTTGCCAGCTAGTGTGTGCACCCATGAGGGTAGGCTGCTAAAATCTCACTCCTGCACCCTCCTCTGGAGGACTGCCCTCCTCCTTACTTACAAATGCTGGGATGATATGCCCTCCCTAAGGAGGGGTCCCCATCCAATGACTAACTAGTGGAGAGTGGCAATGGTCAGACCACTTGCCTTAAGGAAGGATGGCTCTGTGGTGTCATTCAGGTACCAGAACTCCCTGTGGAATCAGCTGAGGCCAGACTCCAGCTAGGTCCACAGCTTGGCCTGGCTTCTTTCCCACCCCTCCTTTGCTTCCTGAACAACCTCACATTCTCCCTGCGAGCACCCCCTTGATCAATCAAGGCACCAGCGTTCTAGACACTCTGATTCTGGAGAACCCTAACAGAGACTTCTGAGACCTCAACACTCTGAGATTTTTTTCTTTTTTCTTTTTTTTTTTTCAAACAGGGTCTCACTCTGTCTCAGGCTAGAGTGCAGTGGTACAGTCATGGCACTGTAGCATCAAACTCCTGGACTTAAGTAATTTGCCCACCTCAGACTCCCAAAGCACTAAGATTACAGGCGTGAGCCACCGTGCTGGCCCCACTCAGAGATTATTAACGGCAGGTGTAACATCTTTGCCATAAGCCATCCCACCTCTGCCCCACATGGAGGGTCCCACTGTCTCCCTTCCCAGACCTGCCTTGGAACACTGAGGAGCCTAGGGCCCAGGACCTGACTCACTCCTGGATGTTTTGTTCACACTCTTTTCAAAAAACACATTCTCAATAGCTTTAATTTAATCAAAACATTCTTGACTAAGATCATTAAAGCCTCTGAGAGAGGCATTTAATTCTAAATTCACCATATCCACGGCATAGCAGTTGAGTAACTGAAAAATCAACTTTATGTCATAATAGTTTGTTAGAACGTTTGTTTACTCTTCATCTGAGACATGCTAATTAAAACAAGAGGCCTTCACAAGCAATCCAGTTAGCAAACAGGATTGGTTAATAGATAAGGAATGGTTGTTAATTACAGGGAAGCCCCTCCCTGCCCACATGGATTGGGTTGTTCAATGGGGTCCACGGAATGCAACCTTTGGTTCATCTCTTCCCTCATCGAAGACACTTAGGAACATCTCTGAGAAACACTTACCTTGGTCGGGTCTCGCCTGTCACCAGATCTTTCTGAATTCATCTTGAAGGGAAGTGATTCAGGACCCTTGTGGATTTCTGTTTCCCTAGGGCGGAGCTATTCCCACTCTCCCACCACCTTGCCTGTTAGCATGTGGTCCTAACTCCTGCTGCACTGGCTCCTCACGCAGGATAAGGAGCTGTTGCAGAAAGTCCCCTGCTAACAACTGGCCCTCTGACTGCTGTAGGAGACCTGGCCAGCCCTACTACCTTCCCACAGACACACCCCCACATGTTCCAGAAGCCAGTCAATGGGGGCAGGGGGCATGCTCCTTACTATGAGTTCAGGAACATCTCCAAACATAGACACCAAGGGGCCCAGGATGCATTTGTTAAGTTTCAAAGTATCAAACCCCTTACCCTTCCAACACGGTTTCCACTCTGTCTGGCCTTTTTCTGCCTTTCTGCATAATTGCACTTTCACGGACAATTTTTCATCTGCTTCCCTCCCTCACAAGTCTAAGACCAATCACCCAATATCCTGCTTTAGTCCTGCCCAGCAACCTCTCCTTCTGGCATATTCCCCTCCCTTCAGAGCCCTGGGTATTCATGCACATCCGGCCCTCAGCCAGGACATATACTCCCTGCTCTCCCCAGCCCCCAACTCAGGAACAGGGCTCCTAACCTTCCCGTAGACTCCAAGATGTTAGAATGAAAAGACATCTTACAGACCTCATTTTAAAGTAAAGAAACTGAGGCAGAGAGGCAGTGATGGAGGCGTTGTCATATTTCTGGTTGGAAGGCGCAACCCAAGGCCACGTTGCTATTTTTAATGTCTAATCCACATTACAATGTACATAAGTCATGAGCTGATTCCAACCGTGTTACTCATTTTTGTCATCCCTGTGTTGAGTTAGTTCTCTTATGCAGAGTTTCAGCCTTCCAGAAGCTAAAAGACTAATACAGGGAGCTGTCATGACAACGACACCATGGTAGCACTTAATGAAAACTTGAGTTATGGAAATATAAAATACTGAAATAAAAATATTAATAAAGCCTCGCTTTTATGTGGAATTTGGAAATATGTGAACAGCAAAAATTTTATCACTATGAACACATTAGTCTTGAATTAGGTGCATTTTGTATTGAGGACTTGAAGAAGGTCTCCTCATTGTGATGACTGAGGTGGACGGGGACTCCAAAGGCTCTTTAAGCTTTGAAGAGCACAGATGGCATCATTTGTGCCTGCAGTCTCCCGCAGGCCTGGCACAAAGAATAGGTGTCTGGTAGGTGTTGGACAAGGAAGGGGTAAAGGAATGGATGTTCCTACTCTGAGGCCCTGCAGCCTCCAGTCCCAGAGCTCGCTTTGGGCAGAGCCCTGCAGCAGAGAACTCCTGTAACTGTGGGGACCTCTTCTGGAGGGGCTGGCGTCTCAAGGGTGATTGGCTTCCTGGCAGCAAACACAGGCTCCATGCTGGAGTGTTTGAAGGTCTACGTATCAAAAGGGAGGAAATGATTAATCATATGTAGCCAGCCTGCTGAGAGGAGGGCTAGGAAAACCAGGATGGGAATCAGAAAGAAGCGTCCTCCTGGCCAAGGACGTTTCCTGCCTTCTTACCTCCATTAGAGGCACTTTCTTCTCCGACCTCAGTCTTTTCTGTGCAGGAAATCCTGGCCTTTTTAGCTGCTGTAAGCCTTTGCTTGCTACTGGTCTCAGGAAGCTGTCCTGGACTGATGTCTGAAGGCAACTGCCACTTCATTCTCACTAGTACTTTCTGAGCGCTGAATACATCTCAGGCTCTGCCCTAAGCACTTCTTTAATTCTCCCGATAACCACATGAGGGAAGTGCCATTATTTCTTTTTCCCAAGTGAGGAAACTGAGGTTCTGAGAGGCTAAGGGTTGGAACTCACAGCTCTTCTCTAAGCAATGGAGATGACTTTGGAAACCATTTGACTACAAACCATTTACACCGTCTTCCCCTCCCAGCCTCCGCCCAGGTTGCCAGCCTCACATTGTTGTGGTTCCCCTAGTTTCCTCAAAAGTCAGGCAGCCCAGCCTGGGGGAGATCTCAGGAAACTCCAAGATCAGCTTCTACATGACTGGAGGCCACAGCTGCTACCACCACTCAAGCCTGGCAGCACCAACGCCAGGCCTTGGTGATGGATGTGTGGGCCCTGGCCATCTGCCTGGCACCAACCAGACTCCCAAATGCCCCAGGGATTCAGAGTGTGCCAGGAATCCCCCAGGCCATGCCTGTGCTAGTTTCTGCACCTTTGCTCACTTGATCTCCTCTGCCTGGAGCTTCTCTTTCCTTCTCTAGCCCAATCCAACCCCTTTTCCATGGTCGGATCCAATCCCCACATCCCCAACTCTTGGGAGTCCTGCTGGCTTCTTCCTTCCTCATGTTCCCTGTTGGGGTTTGGTGACTCACATAAATGTTGTAAATGTGCATGATATAAATAAGGAAAACAGACCTGTAATAATCCTACCGGAACTATGAGGGTCAATGGTATAGGAGGTCCAGACTTTACAAGAACTCTCCCATTTTGACGTAAATTAATTTCAACTTATAAAACACTGTCTATATAAAAGAAAGTCCATCTTTGGGTTAAATCTGAGCTATGAACCACCAGTTTGCAACTGTGTCCAAGAGTATGTGTGGTGTGTATCATCAGAGCCAGTATTCAAATCTGAATGGCCCAGCGTGAGTCCCTCAACTTCCTAATATGAGTGACTCGATTTCCCCACAAGGAAACTCCCGCCTCCTTTCCAAAGATGAGGAAGTTATGTTGATCACATTTTCCTTGATCCTCTCACTATCAGGAACCTCCAAACCAAAACTGAGCTAGGTCACAGAAATTATTTTACCCTTCATTTTCTCTTTTGTTCTTCTATTTTTATGTTTTGTGCTTTCATTATATTTCTGTGGCAAACTATTGGAGAAATTTCATGAAAGATGTAGGGAAGAATTAAACACATGAATTAAGTAGGTTTCAGGGGGATGTCTCCAAACCCTAGGAGGTCAGGAAACATTTCCTTTCCTGTCTTAACCCTGACCTTTTTCCAGGTCCAGCTGGGCACGTGTATTGCTCAGGGTTCATTGTTTGCAAGTTGCAGAAAGCAACTCGGGCTGGCATTATCACAGGGGGATTTTTTTAGAAGAAGATGGAGTAAGTCAGAAAATGTAAAGCAAAAACAAAAGAAGAAAAAGAACCAGTCGGGGAAGGATCTGAAAGCAGAGCCATGGCGGGCTGCATTGGACTCTGACTCCAGTTGCAACCTGGGATTGATGGATTCCAACTCCGCTGCCTGCTGATCGGGACTCAAATTCAGAGAAGTTGGTATTGCTTGGATAACATTTCCTCTCTTTATCAGCCTCGCCAAGACCCTTAGAAAAAGGGAGCCTGAATTCCCCGGAGGAAAATCTGGGCGAAATATAGGGAAAGAATGGATGTACTAAATGGATCTCGTTGAAGTGTATTGAACTGAGCCAGGCCTGGTAGCGTAGGAGAATCTAGTGTGGGAACGTTCATTCAATTCATTTCTCTATTTCTTGTGGATCCAATGGGAGCCATCATGGCAGGATGAATCATGACCCCAGAAAGGAGCCTTCACTTAGGAAGTTGGATAAAGAAGAAAGTGGGGTTTCCCAGAGCTTCCTTCATGGGTCTGAAATGGAGCAGGCCTACCTGAGCCTCAGAGTGGCTGCCACCCCCTGCAAAGCAACCATAAATGCCACCTTCTGTCCTGTCCTGGACTATACAGTTCTGGGCATGCTCAGTATCTTGCCACAGGGCTCAGCCCACGCGACAGTGCTCCAGCATACTCTTCTCATCCCCTGGGTTGCCAACGTTTAAGGACTCCACAGGTATTGAGGTGTAGGGGTTAAGAACTCACATCGAGAGCTGTCAAGCCCAGGATCTGAGCTCTGTCTTCTCCAGTTGTCAGGTTTTAAACCGGTCTGATTGCTTCTTTTAAAACTTCCAATTTCTCATCTGTGAAATGTGGATAATAATGCTGACCTCATAAAGGTCGTCAGGAGGATATGAAGATGTTGAATAAGATTATCTTATTCCACAAGTGGCTCCTAAGCAACTACTCCATGCTACCCTCTTACCAACCTCGGGGGTTGCAGCAGGAAAAGGACAGACAACATGCTGCCTTCCTGGAGAGAGACGGCAATCACACAAATAAATGCACATATTATTTCAAATAATAGTAAGTACAGTGAGGAAAAGTCAATAGGGCATTGCAGAGATGGAGACCCATCTTCAGCAAGGAGGGACTCGCTGCCCAACTGCAGGGAAAGTGGTTAGCTGCAGAGCAGAGCTGCCTTGACAAGGGTCTCATCCTTCCTGGGGCAGCCTCCATCTGAGAACTAAGTAAGGTGCCTGTAAACGTCTGGCCATTTTGGCTCACGGCGGGATACGCTGATGAGTGATTCTTACTCCCAAGCCACCCACGTCAGTTGCATTTCTTCCTCTGCACAATGTTTCTACCCTCTTCCCTACACAGGGGTTGATCCCTCTGAAACATCTTGCAACCAAAACTCCATCTTGGCGTCTGCTTCCTTCTGAAGAACTCAACCTGGGACACAGTAAGAGGACAGATCACCTACCTGTGAGGACCCCTGTGATTCAGGTGGGTGGTCAGGGAAAAACTCTGCAGAGGTAGCATGTAAGCAGAACCCAGAAGCAAGGGCAGGAGCAACAAGACCCTGTGGGGGAGACTGGTGCACAGAGGAGCCAAGAAATACTGCAAAGATCGTGGAGAAGGAGACAGGCAAGGCCCGTGTGGTCTGGTGGGAGTAGTAGGAGATGAGGTCAGAAAAGGAAGAGGTGATCATATGATGCTGTGAGGTCATAAAAATTGCTGCTGGCTTTTACTAGAAGTGAAATGGGAAGTCACATGAATTTTGAGCTAGCAAGTGATGTCTTATGTTTCAAATGGTGAATTCTGGCTGCTGGGTGGACAATGGCGTGAGAGGAGAGGAGAAGCAGAGTAGTAGTGTAGAAGGGTGTTTTGGTGGTCTAGGGCAAGAGATGACCACAGTTACCTGTTATATGGCAATCGTAGCAGCTGTGGTTGTAATATAGTAGTATTGTGGTAATACTAATAGTAGTTGTCACTGTAGTCGTGGTTGCTAGGTCAAGAGCAGGGAGTTTTCTTCACCCCACAGCACTGGGCTTGCCATGCAGTATTTGCAAGCAGCTCCTCTGTTCACGGTCCATCTGCATAAGGCCTCCCATGGTGCAGTGAGTGTGTGAGGCCAGACCTTTAGAGATCACAGCCTCAAGTTTTGTTTGTCTCATTCTGGCTATGCGAGAACATGCTGCACCCAAATATGCAATTTGCAAATTCTGGCCTAGGTTTGCTGCTGTTCATTTCATTTTCCAGAAAGTTTTTACATCCCTTTCAGCTGCTGTATGGTTTTCCTGTGTGGAGGACTGGTCAGAGTATGTTTTCTTCCATTCAGCGGCTGTAAATCCCACCCTGGATGTGGCCTGGGGAGGCTGGACCTCTGCCTCTCTGCACCTCCTCTTTGGACCATTCCCTTTCCCTTGGATTTCTCTTTGGTCACAGGAGGTACGATAGGTCGCTGGCCTTCTGCAACCCCACTCAGGAGAGGGATCCTGAGGCCCCGGCTTCAGAGAAAATTCCATAATCAACTAGACTGAGTGATGTGTTTAGGAGGCCAAGGCTGATACTAACTATAATTCACATTCCCCGGGCACTCTGCTCCGTAATAAAGCCTGGATGTCAGATAGCCCGGCCAAGAGCTAACATACCTGTTTGAACTAGTCTTGTGCCAATAGAAACACGTCAGAGAAGAAAAACATTTAGCCAACTGTCTGATGCAAATGGGTTCTTTTCAGCCAAATGAAGAAGGATTGCCTAGACAGGGGCATATGGGTATGTTAAATGTTAATACATAATAAAGCATCACACCTCTTTCCTTTGGTGTTCACAAGGTAACGTCCCATAAATAAATAGAGTGACGAGCTTTTAGACCCTCCCTGAGCCACCCAAAGCCAGAAGGAAACTGGGTGGGCCCCTTCTCCATCATGCTACCACACGGGGTACCCACTCCAGGATGTTTATGCACCCGGTGTCAGAATATAAAAATGTTTAGCCCTTTCCGTGTGGAATTAAGAGGTATGAATTTGTAAGTGACTCTGTTTAATCAAAACCTCCATTGAAACACCATTTAGCCCAAACCCTATCAGTGAATTTCAAAATACAGATTTTGCTGGTAAAATAGCCCCGTGTTGCCGTTTCCTCGTCAAATATGTATTTAGCCCCCCGAGAATCCTTTTTACTAAGCCGGCAGCTCCAGCATGCACAATGGTTTAATCGTATATTGTTCTCTGAGTACCAACCCTTTACAAATCATATGACATAAAAAGAAAAATAAGTAACATTGTAAAGACAGTAATGAGAACTGTTGAGCTAAAGTGCCTCTTAAAGAAATCCTAATAAATTCCAGAATTTCTAGTCTTCTGGCAAGCTTTCCATTTAGAACAAAATCAATGATCAATGGCTGCAACGAGCCAGCATTAGGCTTGCATGCCTCTGGAGCAGGGAAAACTCATAGACGAAAGATGACATTTAAGGAAAAAAAGCTGACATTGAGTCCATCACTGTCATCGCTTCTGCCATAAAGCAGCTTCAAATATTAAAACATTTTTCATCTGTGCTGCATTATTGGCACCAGAAATTGTTTTCTCTCTGTCTGGTGCGCACTTGAACTGCAGCAGCGCTCCCCGGAGACTCCGGATTGTTACTAAGGCCTCATAACATATTGGCAGTTGACGTGGTGGTGTTCATGTACACTTGCCACTCACACGGAGCCTCCCCTCCCCCGGCCTGCACGCCAAGCCGGCTGCAAGGGGACCTGGGCTCTGTGGCTCAAATGCGGGGGACAGCGGGTAGGCACATGCATGCTCTGTGATTTCTTTTTTGCAGTCTGCCTTTCCCTGGCCACGACCCCATCCTTGCCCCTGTCTGATGTCCAAGCTGCCCCTGCTGAGACAGACCTGGCCTCTTCTGGACAGCTCCAGTCACATAAGGACTCCATAGCTTGTGTGGGCTCAGAGCACTTTGGCTGCAGAGAGGAAAGTCTTTACCACTGGGCAGGTAGAAGCTGCTTTTCCTTTTGTACTCCTGGACCTAGCACTCTGCTTTATGGGCACTGTGGCCCCTGGGCTCTGTTTTATGATTCAGAGAAATAAGGATGTCTCAGCTTCTGTTCCTGTCCTTACAGGACTCACTAGTTCGTGATGAAGATGGTGACACGCCCACCTGGAGAGATGTACACGGTTTCCTTGGAGGAAGCCCACGGCCTGGAGTGAATCACTCAAGCAGAGTGTTCGCTGGGTGACTGGTGTCCCATGAGGGCACCAGGCGGATCACATTGAATATAAAAGATGCTCCTTGGGGGCCCTCTTAGCTCTTGCCACATGGAACCCTGAGAAGGGCAGGGCACCTTGGGCTGGAAGGAAGATGCTGTCAGGGCGTGCACTTGTAGAAGAGGAGAGGCGCCACCAGGCAATTCCTGGGATTGCATGGTTTGCTGAGAGAATTGGGGCCGGGGACCTCGGGAGCCGTCACGCTTGTGTGGTCCTAGACATTCTCAATCACTCCCACCCTCGCCCTAAAACTTAGTCGGGATGCCCTTTTCTCTCTACGTGGGGACCCTGCTCTAGGGAAGAAGCTGTAGGGGGCTGGTGTGGCCGGGCTGTTTCTGCCTGTCTGCATCTTACATTTTACTTCTGGCAGGCACTTTTCCCAGGGACTGGAACTTCAGCCTCACTCCCTAAATTCTCAATTCTCCCAGAATCCCCAGCAACCAACCAAGGGGAGCTCCAGGGGCTGAGGGTCAGTGAGGCACAAATGGCAGGTGGATGGCAGGATTCCTGGGTGTCCCAACCCACACCGCACCCATGTGGCCCTTGGGTCTCAGCACCTGCATACCCTGGCCAGCGTGGGGCCAGTGTGGGACCAGCATGGGGCCAGTGGGAACACAGCAGCAGGCCCAGTGCTTACTCCAACCTCAGGACTGGGCCTGGGGAGTGGCAGGTTGGACTCCTCCAGGAGGCACAGCACCTAGAACCCATGGTGCTTTCAGGGCATTGAATAAAAAATGTTTTCATCCAATTAAAACAGGAAGAGGCCAGGCCCAAAGGCCTGTAATCTCAGCATTCTGAGAGGCCAAGACAGGAGGATTGCTTGAGGCCAGGAGCTCAAGATCAGCCTGGGCAATATAGGGAGACCTCATCTTTACCAATAAATAAATAAATAAATAAAATGGGAAGAAAAAAATAAATTTTTAGAATCAAAGATGTGGTTTGTCATTACATCCATGTGGTTGTAAAATACAAGTTTGAGTTTTTGTTTTTCGGAGGAGGAAGAGGCTCACAAAGACTAAAGTGCTTAGGGCCTTGTAAGAGGGGGCACATGGCCAGGGCTCAGTGGTTGGGGTAGGGGTCTCTGGAGCCTGGAGGTGGCCTCAGAGCTAAGGGACAGGTGCCCCCATGAAACACCCCAAGCTTAATTTGACTCCAGGCCACTGTGGCTTCTGAACTGATGCCTGGGCTCTCGGCATAGAAAGGGGGACTATGAGAGGGAGATCTGGGGTCCCTGTCCCTCCTCTGGTCACTCATTTCACTCAGTGGGTGGGTGGGGGTTTAAGGGAAGGAGGAAGTTCTATTCTGCAGACCCTCCAAGTACTGTGCACACATCTCCTGGATGCTGGGTCACCCAGCCCTGAATTCTGGGGAGCTGCTGTCCAGTAAAGAGATATAAGCAGTCCATAAAAGACTGCAGTCCAGGGGGAAATGAAATGGATACATCAGAGGGACTGGGGTGAACCTGCTGGAGGCTGGAGTGATGGGGTGATCTGCAAGGAGGGGCCAGAGCAACTTATGAACCCAGGCATCCCCGACTGCCACGCCTGTCCTCCTTCCCAACACAGGAAGTCTTTGTGAGTTCGTCTGCTTGAGCCTTTGCTCTGGCCTCTCCCCCTTGGTCAGATGGCCCCTCGAAGGCCTCCGCCCTCTCAAAGAGCCCTTCCTCTAAGCCCATCTCAATGCCCCCCACTTAAAGAGTGCCCCATTATCTCTAGCAGGGTCACTGGGATTGGTTCTACCACCAATACACTGGCAATCATTTTCTGATCTCTTAAATAGAACACACAGTCCCCAGTCCCAAGTGGCTGGTATACAGTGGGTGCTTAATACACAACAGCAATCTTGAGGAAGCTTTTAGAAATTAGCAGATGTAGACCTTCATACTGAGCTACTTTCTAACAACTTCTTAAGGATTATTTTTTATTTATTATTCTTAGAGACAGGGTCTCACTCTATTGCCCAGATGAGTGCAGTGGTGCAATCGTGGCTCACTTCAGCCTTGACCTCCTGAGCTCAAGCCATCCTTCTGCCTCAGCCTTGTGAGGAGCTAGAACTATGGCTATGTGCCACCACGCCCAGCTAATTTTGTTTGTTTGTGTAGAGGTGGGTGTCTCTTTTATGTTGCCCAGGTTGGTCTTGAACTCCTGGCCTCAAGCAATCTTCCCTCCCCGATCTCCCAAAGTGCTAGGATTACAGGCACAAGCCATGGTGCCTGGCTGGAGCTACGTTTTAAGTCACTTTGCAGGGACCCTCTCTGCCCTGCCTGCTCTTGGAAGAGTGAGCAAGGGGCTTCTCCCCACCCCCAGGGCCACCTTACATTTTATTTATTGAGAGCACTTTTCCCTGGGACCAAAACTTCAGCATCACTCCCTAAACTCCTGACTGTCCCAGAATCCCCATCCAGCACCCTAGGAGCAATCCAGGAGCTCAGAATTCACTGTTATCCCGGTAGAGTGTGCATCTTTGCCTGTCAAGGTACGCCCCAACTCCAAGGTCTGCCACGCACCCCCACCCCCAGAGCAGAGCCACAGCCGGCAGGGTGGGAGGTGCAGGGAGGAGGAGCTCCTTTTCCATCTACTTCGGCCAACACACAGGGTTCAGGCAGGCCTGTGGACAAGGCGGAGGAACTCCCAGGCAGCCAGGCTGGCTTCGGCGTGTGGAGGCGGGAGGGGCACAGCCAGGTGCGAGGGAAGGCTGGCATCTGGCGCCCACTGCCTGCCCACCCGCCCGCCCGCCCGCCCAAGTAGGTCTGGGCTTCCCTGCCTTTAATAACCATCCCCACCGCAGAGGAACGGAAGCTAGAAACACACCGGCTTTGGCATTTCAGGCGAGTCGAGGGTGGATTATCAGGGCATTTAGAAGAAGGGGAAGGGAAGAAAAAGAGCGCTGGAGACCGGGAGACCACACAGGGAGACAGTGCACAGAGCTGCCGCAGCCATCTGCCGCGACTTCATATGCCGCCCCGGAAACTGACAGACACTGCTTCAGCAAGGCCCAGCCCGTCAGATGAGTCAATCAATCAAAAAAATTCTTATGAAACTTAATCATAGAGGGTCATGTTAGGGAGTGGGGAACAGATTAAATTACCACAGTATTAGATACGGGAAATGATTTCTGTCAAAACCATCTTTACTGCAATTATAATATGTTAATTATGTATTTCATTAAGTAAGTGGATTAGAGTCTGCACAGATGAAATCATGTGGAGGCTTTGAATCATTCGCCGAGCACGGTGGGAGGACTTCTGTGAATGGATCTCGTTTAATTTGGAAAACTTTTGCATGCAAAATGTGATTTTTTTCCCCTTCTTTTGTGACCCTGGCCCTCAGCCTCAGTGGAGAAAACGCCCGGGTTGCTGAGAGGAGAATCTGCTGACTGCCTCCTCCATGCTCTGAAGTCAGCCCGTGAGGCCCGTGTGCTGGGAGCCAGTCCCGGGCTCTTTCTGTCTTGCTTCTTTCAGCTTGCAGTGGGCAAAGCGATGCTGATGGCCTGCAAGGGGGATGGGCACCTCTGGGTGCCTGCTCATCTTCTAGCACAATTAGGCAAAGTCTTCATGAGGTTCAAAACCAAAGGACAACCAGTGCATCAAGAAGACAGCCAGGGTACCATATCCTGGTGCATCCACGTGTCTTCTGGCCACATCGCATGACATGCATCTGCCCTTTTCATTTGGCCTTTGGGGATACCCTGCCCACTGGGAAGACAGCTTTAAGAAGCTCAGTGGAGTCCCTTGCAAGGGAGATGGCTGCCCCACTACGGGCAGGATGGCCCACAGCGCACGGGGCAGACACAATCAGATTTTTTGCAGCACATATTTCAGGCCAGCTCTTCAATCCTCTCTGCCATTGGGCCCTGCTGTTTGGTAAAAGGGCTATTTAGCCACCTGGTTTCCAGGTATCTTTTTTTGTAGTTCTGAAGCAAGGAATGGGCGTTGGGCACACCTGTACCACCGAAGTCCCCTTGGGCCACCATGGTGTGGTCTGTCCCTCCATAGATGGACCCTAGTATCTTGTCCCTGCTCATCCTCAGAATCTAAGCTGGACATCAGGAGCCTGCCCATCTCAGCTTCAGTTCAAGGCAACAGAGGCCACCAAGGAGAAGACCTTCCATATCTCTGCAACTCTTCTATTCTTCTTGGCTTCTGAAGATCTTCTGGGATGTAAGGGGCAGTTGAGTCATAAACGAAATAAGAGTTAATAGTTATTCTTCAGAAAGAGGAGGTATCCAGTGCACATACATTTCCTGGGTCCCTAAGTATTCCATTATCAGTAATAACCACAGGGAAGTTTTGACGAAGAGGAGAAAAGAGAGGAGGCAGGCGGACAGGGCCTGCTTGGAGTGCATGGCAGTGTAAGTGACGGGAAAAGGTTGGCTGATTTGATGAAAACCCCATCAGCCTCTCTAGGGAGATATTACTTTCCTCATTATTCCACTGATTGGCCTTATTTCATCTGAAGAATGCTGTACATTCTTTACAGGCCTGGCAAGCTTCTTTAACAATATCCAGAAAAAAAAATCTATCACCTCCTTAATAGAAACAACAAAGAAATTAACATGAGCCATCTTCTTCCAGGGATCAGTAGAGAGACCTGGCCTGATCCCCTTTCTTCTGACCTAGCCACCCAGTCTTCAACCCCCAAAATTATCAAAGAAATTGTTTAAACGTTGTACACATAGGATGGTTGAGGGAGGAGCTTCTTCTACTATATGACAGCAGCTGAGGATGTTTCATAAATTCCATAAGGAGAACAAAGGCTCAAGTCTGGATCCCAGCATCCCCCTTTGCACAGAAACAAAATCTCGATGTGATTGGATGGTTCAGGAAGAACTCAGTTTTCAGGGAGAGTCTGTCTCGATGCAAGAGAATCAGTTTCGTCCCTGATGAAACATAGGGCTTCTCTTCCTAGCACAACAACAGAGAGGGAAGAACAAAAATACACTCGTGAAATTCAGGCTGAGACTGGCGTTATCAATGGCCTGGAGCTTGCAATAACTATTAATTAAGTGCATTTTTTCATTATTCTTTAGCAAAGAGGTAAGATTTAATGATGTAAGCTAACAATGGATGATAATTTAAAGTGGTGACAATAGTTTAATTATTCACACACACACAAAAGTTAACTCCATAACTTATTTCTTTGTGAGAACAAGTTCATTTAAAATATTTTGAACTGTGCATACAATTATCACTTAAACTCTTTCCTTCATGGCTTTGTAGAGACAAAGAGTCAATTCTCCCTGTAAATTTCTCACTAGACAGTTCTACAGATGAAGAATTCTGCTTAAAAAAAAAAGAAAAAGAAAAGAAAAAAAATCGCACCATTGGGTTTTGCCTAGAATGTCCTAGGTCTCAGGAATGGGATGGATGGTTCCATATTACTGTGTCTTTCCATTCCAATAAGCAGGAACCAAACTCATGCAATAACATGTGTATATGTGAGCGTGTGTGTGTGTGTGTGTGTGTGTGCATGTTTATGTGGAAGGTGCTTCTGTTTTTTGTCAGCCCATCCCAGAAAGCTCGTTTTTCCTTTTCGCTGACTATTCAGAGTTGGAGATGCTATATGTGGAAGGGGTGAGGTGGGAGGATTGCCGCTTCAGGGGTGATTAGAAAAGAAAGGAAGAAGAATAAATAAATACTGTAAGTGGAAGACATCCTCTTGAGTTCACAGCCTTTTCATGGCTTTGAGACAATATAATTGTAACATGACTGAGTATTCAAGCAGCTGGACCTCACCAAGGATGTTCAGGAGTGCCAGAGCTCTAGGGCCCTGGGAAGAGCCAGTGTCATTGCAGGGAGCTAGAGTTCCTGATTAGGGATGGAGTAGAACCTTCACGATTATCCTGTCATGGAAAAATGCAGAATTTAACCATGTCCAGTGCCCAGTCCATTCCTGATCCTAACTTCCTCTGTGCTTCCTTGCTGTGAAACACCTCCACTGTTAACAGCAGCTCCAGGGACCTTACAGAACCCAATGGAGAGGCATCTGAGGCACCATCACCAGACCCATGCCTTGAATGGAAGCAACTCAAAGTCCCAATGGACCCAAAGTCATGAAGCCATGATTAGGACCACACAGTGCAAGTATTCAGATGGATATTTTATAATATCAAATATATAAATGGATTTGTCAAGCCAACAAATACTTGAATATTGTTAAGCATTTGAATAATCCAATATAACAACTTCATTTAGGCTGTCTTTTAGATGACTCATTTCTCAGTGTAATTATCTCACTGGATGGTTTCATGGATCAGGAACTCTGGTTAGAATCATACTAATCCTGCCATTGGAGTTCAGCTGTTTACTACGGTTGGGTGTTGCATAAAGTTGATGATACCGTGTGACATAAGATACTGATGTATAAAGGCCAGTTTTCTACCATGATTACTGTTCGTCAAAAAGATGTTTAGGAAAAAATATAACATGGCACTCAGGATTCCTACTAAAAAATGTACATTCTAGACTATAAGTCTTCTAAACTCTGGTGAAACATTCTACAAAAGAGAAAGACTATGTGTAAAATTAATTCCCTCTCCTTCATCTTACTTATAGAGAAAGGAGTGGAAGGACAGTCATTTAAGCTGAGAATAAAATGGATTGCAGTTTTGGCAGAATAAGAAACTCTATGATCATCAGATGGTGATGTCTGATTGGTGTTTGATAAATATCATCCATAGTTTGTTGAACAGACATGTTCTCACTATTTAAAGGTACTCCACATACCACGTAGTTGCTATCACTTGACTTCTTGTTTTATTTTGTATTATCATAAATTAAACTTTTTGTTGTTGTTAACTTATTTATTGTCTTCCAGAGCAAGAGCTTTGTCCTTCTTGTTTGCTATGGTAATGCGGGCCTAAAACAGTGCCTGGCTCAGAGTGAGTATCTAATAAATATTTGTTGAGTAAATGACTAAATATGTGCTTAATATGGTTGTTGACTGTTAGGTAATTTTCCCTCCCTTAGTCTAGTAAGTGTGTTGACATAATTCATTTAATAAAGAGATTACAAAAATATCACCTTTGGTGGATAGAGTTATTGGCCCCAATTCTCAGCCTTAGCCCTGTGTTTAGAACTTTGCCTTATGAGTCTGTGGTTCTTCCCATTAAAGGGTGGAGCAAATTTCTTCACTCTTGTGTTTGACCAGGAGACTGACTTTGGCCAATAGCAAGAGAGGAAAGTGATGGTATCCCAGTTCTGAACTTCAGCCTTAAGAGAACTTGCATGTTTCTGCTCATTTCTTGTACTTCTGCCATCACCATGAAAAGAACATGCCTGGGCTTACCTGCAGGGCCCAGAAAGAGAGCACCAAACACTGACAGCAGAGCTACCCAGCAGAGCCCCACCCGTAGGTGCCTTGAGCCCCAGCCAGCCCACAGCCACAGGAATGACAGAAATGTTTATTGTTGTGTACCACTGACATGGTGTATTTGCTTGCAGTGCAACAATAGCAAGTCCACACATAATCTTTCTCTGACTCAACTTCATGTCATCCAGTCCCCCAGATGGATGACCCTGTACCCAAGACACTGAATTGGCCCAAATGACCAAGATAGATATTATACCCATGTCCAAGCCAGGACATCTGTCCTTCATTCCTCAGTGGACAGTAGGGAATAAAGAAGAGAACCACCTGACTAAGTGTTGTAGAAAAAAACCAGGTTCCTGTCACATGACCAGGAAAAATAAGCCATGCAGACACTTTGAAGGGCTGGGGATAATGGAGTTTATTGGGTGAAAAGGAAGAAGACTCTCAGCAAAGCAAGAGGGGTTCATGTTAACAGGCCCCAATCTCACAGATTGAATCTCAGGTCAGCTCCCAGAAACAGGAGAGACCAGACTCCTATCACCGCAAATGGCTTGAACTTCCCGAGGTTCCATCCCATCCTCCCAGTGTGCAGGTGGGCATTTTTCAGAGAGAATCAGGAAAGTGTGGGCTTCATTTGAGACCTGAAGTCTGGTTTTTTAGCCTTCAGGCTGTTTTAGGCTTGAAGGCAGGGTTTTGTGGGGGGACACTTGCTGCCTCCTGTCTCTATCATAAGGGCCAGGACCCTTACTCGGCACTTGCCATGTGTTGTCTCATTTTGTCCTCATGGCCGTGGTGTCCCAACTTCACAGGTAAAGATGCCAGGTTTGCTGAGGGGACACCCCTTGCCTCTGTTCTCCCACCTGGGAAGAGAAGTCCTGAAAGCATCTTTCAACAGTGGTTCTTGGAGATAATTCCAAAGAGAAGGACCAGCCCTGTCTGGAATCAGAGCAAATGGATGGAAAAGCAGAGCTAGCGAACCAATCACCTGCACTGTCTCCATCAGCCCCATCCTCACAGCCGCCTGAACATTGAATCTGGCCTCATCTAGACGTGATCCCATGCTCTCCCTGGGACTATGTTACTTGGACAAGGAATATTTGTCCTGGAATCCTTTGTACCCTGCTCTCTTACTTGCCTTAGATAACCCCTTCCGACAGGGAGCAGAATATTACATAAGGGATGCTGGAACTGTGCCTTCAAGATGACAGCATTTTTGAAACAAAGGCATAGCCATAAATCTAATTTGTTTCTTTGCCAGGCTTTCCAAACACAGCTTCGTTGTAGGAAAGTGACCATCCCATCAGAAAATGGAATAATTGTGACTTGCATTTTGAGGACATATCTTTCCGCAGCCTGGGCGCTAGTTCACGCATTCATGTGATAAATTTCTACTGAAGGCACACTGTGAGTCAGGCAGGCTTCTAGGGCCTCGGGGCCCAGATCATTCTCTTAAATTAGTGCCCCTTTGTTTTGGAAGCATTTTAGATTAGACGTCCTTTACCACTGCTTACCGTAGGACTTTAGATGGCTTTCAGACACACACCCAAGTTCTCGCCTTCGTCTGCCCCTGATAATTTGACTTCTATCTTGCCTTCCTAGCCTCTACCTGTTTCCACCTGAGGTTTCCCTGCCCTAAATGCTCCCCTCCATTTCCCTCTAACTTGTTTTCCAGGACACCGATCTAATGGCCTCAGAGAGCAAGGGGCCTTCCCCAACTTCCTGGAGGAGAACCTTTCACAAGTCCCTTAGTGACACCATTGGGAATAATAAATACTTTGTGACATTTGATGCACAATAAGAATATACCCTGAATAATGATCTAATGATCACATTGCTTTGCTTTTGTTATTGTTGTTAACCAATCTGGCTCAACTATTGGAATGTGTGCCTCTTTCTTCAGGTCAGGGACCGTGTTGTGAAAACCTGAGTTCCTGGGACATATTATGGAAGAAGCACAATAAAAACAGATGGGCCAATGTTAATTTGCCTATTCTGCTTATTGTTTATTGTATATGCTCTAGAATGTATGCTCCAAGAAGGCAGGACTCTGTCTGTTGTATTCAATGATGTATTATGAGTACCTGGAATAGTGTCAGGCACGTAATAGGTATTCAATAAATATTGTTAACTGAAAGAACAGTTAGGAGCAGACAGAGAAAATTTTTAGCACTTGTGTAACAATAATAATTCCAGTCTCCAAATACCTTGTCTTTTCCTAAAGGCAGTAGGTCTTCCCGATTCCGATGCCCACAGTTCTTTGTTCTCCCTATAAACAAAACAAGATATTATCAGTGGGATAAGACATCCCACTGGCACCAGTTTTTGTCGGTCGGGAGCAGGAGCAGATATCAGCCACCCAGGGCATCTATTTAAAGTGAAGAAGCTTTGACTTCTGGATCATTATCCACCTGCAGAAGCACAAAGATCTTTATGGGAGCACCATCTTTTTTGGTGATCACACCTCTGGAAATGATGTTATAAGACCAGGAAATTGATTTCCTGCATTGCAAAATCATTCCCAGGGTCATCAGTATCAAAGCCAAGTGGTTCATGGATTTTTTTTTCTTAAGATAAAGTGCAATATGCTTTGTGAGTTAAGCTTAACAAGATGTGATGAAATAAAGTTTATCCTTTGAATAAGTGTCATGGCTTAACACAGGCAGCCGATCCTGGTCCCTTCCTTAATCATGACCTACAGAATTGACTTCCTCCTAAGCAAAAAGTTACGGCACTGAGAAGGTAGCTGGGTGCATGGGGATGGGGCTGGCAGGCCACTTCTGCTGCCCAATGTGACCAGGCCCAGGAGTCCCTCATGCAGCAGCGATGAGACTGAAGGGAAAATAGGCACTTTCTTGCCTGAGAGCAGGGTGGTAAATTGATACAACCATTCCAGAGAGCAATGAGGCCCTAGGTACAGAATTGAACATATATTGACATTCTAACCTGGCATTTTTTTTTGTGGGAATTTAACTTAAAGAAACTCTTTGGCAGGTGGGTGCACAGGAAAACCAGTCCATGAAATGTGTTCTAGTGGTGCTTGTAATACAAGAAAATGATGGCAAGCTATCTACTGTCACTAGAACAGTAGATAAAACAAGTCTTGCTATATTCAAAGAGTAAAAGACTAAGTAGCAGCTAAAATGATGAACTAGAGTAGGAATCAGCAAACTGTGGCCAGCAAGCCAAATCTTGTCTGTCTCCTGTGTTTGTTAATAAAGTTGTATTAGAAGATACCCATTCATTTATTCACATATTGTCTGTGGCCACTTTTTGCTCTAAAAGGTTAGAGCTCAGTAGGTATAATAGATACTATAAGATCCACATGTAACCTAAATGCCTGGAAGTAGTTACAATCTAGCCCATTACAGAATAACTGTGCTGGTTCTTCTTAAAAGAGAGCTGCATAGATCACCAATACAAAAAAATGTTGAAGGAAAAGGGTAGATTATAACATAAAATGCCATGATGCTGTTTATGTGAATTAAACACAAACATATATGGCTATATACCTAAGTACAGGAAAGTGGCACAGATGGGCTGGAAGGTGTCAACCTATTTCATGATTCTAATCGCCTATGGGAGGGCCCAAGGAGAATGGACTGGGGCTGAAGGGAATCAAAGTCTATGCAAAGATAATGACTTATTCCTTCTGCTGCATAGACTTGAAATAAATATAACAACATTATGCTCCCAAGGGAGGTAGGCAGAGTCCGCAGGATGCAGGCCTCGATGTTTGAGGCATAGGCTGCTTCTAAGACCGCTTTTCCCAGCCCTGCCTCACCCTGTGGTCACTCTCGTGGTACAATGAACAACTTTGTCAACTGCACGTGGCAGACAACTCTGACCTGAGGGCTAAAGTTCAGGCAGAACAATGTATTTTAGACAAATAAATAATTGGGATTGAGGACAAAACTATAGATATACATATAATTTGGAATGCCCTAATTGTACTTTCCTACTGCTAACATCACCACTTAAAAATGTGAGATTTATCTAAGTCTGTGCCCTCCAAAACCATAGCTTCTAGCCACATGTGGCTACTGAACACTCGACATGTGGCTGGGACGAAAGAAAATGTACTATCAATGTAAAACACACACCGGATCTCAAGGACAATAGAGAAAAAAATATATGTATCTCATTAACAATTCATCCTATCCATGGCAGGTTAAAATGATCATGTTTGGTATACCAGTGGATTAGTCTACTATTGCAGCTGTAACAAATTACTTCAAAGTAGGTGGCTTGAAACAACTCCAATTTGTTATCTCACCATTTTGTAGGTGAGAAGTTCAATGCAGGCTTTACTGGGATAAGACTGAGATGTCATCAGGACTACATTCTTTTCTGGAGGCTCTAGAATGGTGGTCCCCAGCCTTTTTGGTACTAGGGACTGGTTTCGTGGAAGACAAGGTTTCCACGAGCCAGAGTTGGGGATGGTTTCAGGATGATTCAAAAATACTATATTTATTGTGCACTTTATTGCTATGATTGCTACATTGTAATCATATAATGAAATAATTCTACAACTCACCATAATGTAGAATCAGTGGGAGCCCTGAACTCACTTTCTTGCAACTAGGTGGCCCCATATGGGGATGATGGAAGATGGTGACAGATCATCAGGCATTAGATTCTCATAAGAAGCATGCAACTAGATCCCTCACATGCTCAGTTCACAATAGGGGTGGTGCTCCTATGAGAATCGAATGTTACTGCTGATCTGACAGGAGGTAGAGCTCAGGCAGTAATGCAAGCAATGGGGAGTGGCTGTAAATACAGATGACACTTCACTCCTTCTCCCATGGCACCACTCTCGCTTTCTCTTATGCCTCCCTCTTCTACGTTTGTTTGTTTGTTTGTTTTGAGACGGACTCTGGCTTTGTCACCCATGCTGGTGTGCAGTGGCGTGATCTCAGCTCACTGCAACCTCCGCCTCCTGGGTTCAGGCAATTCTCCTGCCTCAACCTCCTGAGTAGCTGGGATTACAGGCACCCATCACCACACCCAGCTAATTTTTGTATTTCTTGTGGAGATGGGGGTTTCACCATTTTGGCCAGGCTGGTCTTGAACTCCTGACCTCCGGTAATCCACCTGCCTTTGCTTCACAAATTGCTGGGATTACAGGCATGAGCCACCATGCCCAGCCATCCCTCTTCTACTTTTAAGGACCTTCGTGATTACAGATTATCTAGATCACATCCCTATCTTAAAATCAGCTGGCTAGCAAACTTAATTCCATCTGCAACCTCAATGCTCTTTTGCCATGAAACAAAGATTTTTGAACACCTTCGGGGAGGTCTTTATTTTGGCTATCACAATTGAGCTAAATAAAAATATTTTATTAAAATTAATTTTACCTGTCTCTTTCCACCTTTTTAATGTGGCTATAAGAAAATGTAAAGTTGTCCATGAAGCTCTCATTCTATTTCTATTGGGCATCACTGCTTCAAGATGTGAATGTGCTTCACCAACTATAAGGTACCTTGATGGTGAGGAATGTTAATTGAAAGAAAATGACTTTTTATGAAGTGACTTTTATTTTTTTTCTTTTTTTTTCAGATAGGTTCTCATTCTGTCACCCAGGCTGGAGTGCAACAATACAATCATGGCTCACTGCAGCTTCAATCTCCTGGGTTCAAGTGAACCTCTTACCTCAGCCCCCCAAGTAACTGAGACTATAGCTGCATGCCACCATGCCCAGCTAATCTTTTATTTTTCATAGAGATGGGGTCTCACTATGTTGCCCAGGCTGGTCTCAAACTCCTGACCTCAAGCAATCCTTCTGTCTCAGCCTTCCAAAGTGCCAGAATTACAGGTGTGAGCCACCACACCCCAGAATGTTGCTCTTGAAGATAGCAAAAACACACTTCCCCCTGGAGGAATAAATAATACTACGATAGCTCACATTTAGTGAGGGCTTACAATGGGCCAGGCCTTGTGTTTAAATATCAGTTGGTTTCATCTTTATATTAACCCCGAGACAGGTACTGTTGTTCTTTATGTATTGCAAGTAAAGTTGCTGAGGCACAGATAGGTTAAGTAATTTGCCAAAGTCACACAGCCAACAAGTAGGAGCACAGGCTGTGGACTCTGGAGGCCTCCCTCTAGGTGGTGTGCACGTGTTAGACATCAGTTTGCACTGTAAGATGCATGAAGGGTGCTGTTCTTAGACACAACTGGCAAAAACAACAACGCTCTGCGGTCTATCTGCCCCTCTGCCAAGAAACTACAAAAGACACCTCTTCTTTGTGCAGCTCTTCAGAGTGACAACCCTGGTATCTAACTCCCAGCCATAAAGCGAATTTCCCCTGGATACTCTGTCTTGAGGCAGCCCTCCAAATGGGTATTTGAGTCTGGCTCACTTTTTAAGCTCCACGTGTGACTAATTCCCACCAGACAGACAGCAGCAGGAGTCCAGCAGCTGCAGGGAAAGGCCTCAGCTTCTAAGGTCTTGAAGGAAAGGGATAGTTTAGCCACACACATATTCGCACACACACACAAACACACAGGCACACATACATACACACAGACACACATGCATACACACATATACACACGTATATACACATACACACACGTATACACACACACATACACAAAACTACACACACATACACACATACACATACACATTCACACACATTCACACACACATGCATATACACACAATTTAAATATCTCTATACTTATCTCTACTTAAAATATTTGTGTATGTCCAAATGAATATATATATATGCTTTAAATATCTTTTTCTGTATGCTGATATATGTATGTCTGTGTGCACATGTAAATTTGTCATGCATTTCCTTGTCTTTCTCACTTATTTTACCCAACTCTTTCTCTCTTAAATGTCTCTACAGCTCAAGATTTCCTTACATAGTTCCAAAGTTAAATTTTATTTAACATTCATTTATATATCTTTGCGTGCGTGTGTATGTGTGTGTGTATCTCACATGGAATAATTCCTGATCACCACACATATATGAATGCCTCTGTATGTGTATAAACACATAATAAAAGTACATCCATATCACCAAGAAAAACATTTTAAAAATTATTTTGGTGAGCCTAGATTCTGGATGCCTGATAGCGGTATGATTTCCTACAGTGTATTTAACCAAACCCCACTCCAGTATTAAGGAGCACACACAACTAGAATTATATTTTACTAGCAGACAACTCTGAACTAAGGACTAAAGTTAAGGCAGAACAACATATTTTAGACAAATAAATAATTGAGATTTTAAACAGAAGTACATGCATAGATATAATTTGGAATGCCCTAATTGCATTTTCCTATGCTAACATCACCAGTTTTGGAGATATGGGATTCACAGTTTTAGGGATATGAGTCCCACAGTTTCTCCTCTTTAGAATTCGCTCTTTACTTGACCTCCCTTAGGCACACACAACATTTCCTCCATAAGAGATGTTCTCTGAGTCGCATCTGCATTTCCTAATATCTGGAAACCCCTCTGGGTCACCCTTCCCCTCAGTAACTTTGGGCCACCTCCTGGGCCCTGATGTGCAGGATCCAATCAGGCAGACGTGCAGTTTGCATTTTTAGAACCGGCCTATTCTGTTCCTTTGCCATGCTGTGGCAAGCCCTTTCTGTAAAGGGCCAGATAGTAAATATTTTTGGCTCTGCAGGCCACACGGTCTCTGTTACAACTCAACTCTGCCATTGTAGGGCATGAATCGTGGGCTATATGTAAATGAAGAGGCATGGCTCTGTTCCAGTGACGCTATTTCAAAAACAGGCGATGGGCCTGGATGTGGCCCACTGGCCATATTCCTGACCCCCGCCATCCACCAACATGGGTCGTTATCTCCTGATATCTGTAGGTCACTTTCACATATGTCTAGCTGAGGTACCCGGTGAGTATTTTAGAGCCCAGGGAACTCATCAGTGGCTGTGCTCATGCATAATTAGGTGGTGAAGCCAATGTGGTGATTTGAAGCTTCGTTATTTGCTCCCCTGATTTTATTCTCCAAGGATCTGTGAGTTCCTTGCGTGTCCTATTGATCACTTTTTCCCCAGCACCCCAGCACAGTGCCTGGCCCACAGTAGGTACTCAGTACTGATGAAATACTTAAAAAAAATCTGATTATAATCTAATTATAATCAGGTAGAATTTAAAGTATAATATTCATTCAATACTTTTTCAGAAAGTGGTAACATCACTCTTGAATGGATAATGGAAATGTTGCTATTATCGGGCTGTCAGATGAAACAATAATTTATGTGAGTCTTGCAAATAGAGGAGGGGGAAATTATTTCCTGGCCCGCCCAAATTTGTTTCAGACACTTGAATGGATGAATGAGTAAATGGATGACGGCTTTTTTCCGACTTTCTTGGATTTTCCTGGGGCATGGAGAGCTGGAGTCTTGCCTCTCTTTCCTTTTCCACCTCACAGCACACGTCATTTTTTGATCATGAAATTTCTTTACCACCAAGATCAGGCAAAGCCTCAGAATCCTTGTCAACTCAGCTCCCTATGCAGGTACTCACAATCAGTCCAAGTTAACAAGTGCTGTGAAATGTCTTTGTTATCCCTAAACCAAATGTTTTCTTGAGCATCTACTATGTGCTCAGCATACATGAGGTTAGGCAAGATTAACCCAAAGTAGGGAGGTAACAAGGAACCATGGCACAGCCAGGGGTGTCAACATAAGTGCATGGGCACTCAGAGAGACCCCGAGACCTGGAAAGCGTGGGAAGTAATGGAATAATTCCAGTTCTTAGAGGACCCACTTTGTCTCAGGTCCTGTGCTACAGCTTTTATGTGCCCCACTGAATCACACAGCAGCCAATAAGCTAGGTCTCTCTCATTATCTAGAGAAGGAAACTGATGTTCTTAACATTCCTAGGAGCTGCAATTGACACCCAAGCCTTGGGACATGAAGCTGTGAAACCAGGGGAGATGAACTCAGGTGTGTTCTTAAGGATGCCAAGAGGAGGTAAACTAGTGGGCCTTACAGAAAGGATAAGCTTTGTTGGAAAAGAATGTAATCTTTGGCCTATTTCATCAGTCTGAAATATGGGTGCACATGTTTAAATGGGTAGATGGGTGGGAGGGTAGATGGATGGATGGATGGGGCCAGATAAGCTAAAGCATAGGGTTTGAGGTTGAGTTGGTAACACTAAGTCTGGAAAGATGAAATCTGATTATAAAGGGCCTTGAATGCCAATTTTTAGAACTCAGATTTATTCTGTAGTGGAGAATAGAGAGGCATGACAGTTTCAGTGGGGAGTACAATTATTGGTAAGATGCTTTAAAAGATGACTATGGTGGCTGGGCACAGTGGCTCAGGCCTGTAATCCCAGCACTTTGGGAGGCCGAGGTGGGCGGATCACTTGAGGTCAGGAGTTTGAGATCAGCCTGGCCAACACGGTGAAACCCACCTCTACTAAAAACACAAAAACTATCCAGGCCTGGTCGCGCTTGCCTGTAATCCAAGACACTTGGGAGGCTGAGGCATGAAACTCACTTGAACCTGGGACGCAGAGGTTTCAGTGAGCTGAGATGGTACCACTGCACTCCAATCTGGGTGACAGAATGGAACTGTGTCTCGAAACAAACAAAGAACAAGAAAGATGACTATGGCCCCAGTGAGGAACATGGATTAAAAGGACAGGCTGGGGCACACAGCTCAGAGAGGTGATTGGGCACCAATAATCCCATCAAGAAGAGCTGCAAGTATATACTGGGGGCTTACCCTGCACCAGGCACCCTCCTAAGTGCTTCATGGGCATTTTCTCACTCAATTTGTGCAAGATCCTAAGAAGTAAGTGCGTGTTTATCATCCCCATGTTACACTGAGGAAGCTGAGGTGCAGAGAAGCTAAGTAATGTCCCCAAGTTGGTGCTTACAGTGAGCAGGTGGTCGAGCTGGGAGTCTCACGTGAGCGGCTGGCTCCAGAGTCCAGACCCTTGACCCCGACACCTTTTTGGTGGTCAGGGACAGCCAGAGGTCTAGAGGACAGTAAAGGGGATAGGCATTGGAGCAACAGGAAAGAGAACGAGACCAGCCAGGTGGCTGTTTTAGAGCTTCTCAGGCCATCGACCCAGAACATCGCACTATTGCCCATGGAAGCTGAATGCCCCGCTGTTCCTGCACTGCGAATTCTGGGGACGCGCTGTTGACCTGGACCCCTGAGAGAAACCCAACAAGAGCCCCTGGAAGGATAGAAATCTCAGGTATGCAGGATTGCATACTTATTCATTAATAACCAAAGAAAGAAACACTAATATTTCTTTATAAACGTGAAATGTTAGACACTGTTCTAAATATTTCCCTGGCAGCCACCTACAGCCTAGCACAGTGCTTGGCACAGAGCACACACTCCATACACATTTGTTGAATAAATGAATGAATGGTGAGTGAATGAAGGAGCACTGTGCTAGGAGCCAGAGCCTCGGGTCCCAGTCTGAGCTTCTCCATCCTCCTGTTTGATAGAGCTTACACAAGTCACACCGACCTCTCTGGACCTCAGTTTTGGCAGAATGATGGGCGAGTGAGCCAGGGAATTCAAAGATTTTAAGGACGCTGCGTGCATGAAGGCTCCTGTTCCAGCAGCTCTCCCCGGGGTGAGGTGCAGCTCCCACCAAGCTCTCCTCCTTTCCCCCCTTTGTGGCTGCTGCGGTGGTTTTCCCTCTCTGCAACAGGACATCAAATGGTTAATACACCACCCATCGTCTTTGATTTATGAAGTGGCCGATTGGACCAGGAAACACAACACAGACAGCCTTCTCACTTGCAGGGGAGACCCCAGAGAGCAGTAATTCTGTGCATAAAAGCGAGCGGCAGCCTCGGGCCTCAGTGGTGGTGGAAAGCCCACCCTGCCGAGCCCGTCCCGGGGATGATGCCAGGGCCGGCGTTTGTTCCTGCTCTGTGCAGGGACAGAGGCGGCTTTGTCACCTGGCCCCTGTCGTCCACCCAGCCCCGGAATCTCCGCTGCCCAGCCTTTGCCCTGAGAACTGAAGTGCAGCCCTGCCCCGGTCACCGCTTAGCGGTTCCTTTCAGCGTCTGCCAATCTATCAAGATTCAGCTACCGCTGTGAACCCATCAACTCCATGGAAAGGAAAAAAGGAACCCTCACCACAGCAATTATTTATCCTGGCCTGAACTTCAGGTGACCTTTCCCAGGTCCACAGAAGTTGCAGATGGGAGCACCTTGGTGTGTAGGATTTTTTCCCCACTGTGTCCTTTTAAAAAACACATTTTTTTTCATGACATGAACCTCTTTTGCAAAATTTTCTTTTGCAAAAAGATCTTTGGGTGGTCTATAAGACCACAACAGGGGTGGAACATTGGCCTACCTAGAGCACAGATTGGATGTAAACGAAGTCATCCAAAGATAAAATAAACGAAGAAACAAAAACTGTGACCTCATGGGGATGGTTTCAGAGAAGACCCGAGTGCAGCTCACCCACAGGCCAGCTCAGCCCTCGGACAAAAATAAGGGGCTGTTCTGCACCAAAGGCTCTGCCCTGACCCGGGGAGATCCAATATTGTAAACTCTGTGGGTGGGTATTTGTGTGTGTCCCCGAATCAGAGAAAAATCCAGGCCATAACAAGGACTATGCAGGGTGTAACTCCCCGTGTAAATTTAAAGTGACCTAAGGGACATAATTACATAAATCTCATCATGAGACAATATACTTTTTATTTGTTTGAATTTTATTTGTATTGGTAAAACTGACCTGAAACTGACACAAGTTTATTAGAAAAAGGACTCTGTAAAAGCAAGTGGGCTGGTCTTCTTATTTAAGATGGATGTGCCGACTTCTAGTATGATTAGAGAAATGGATAACTCACTAACATCTGTGCAAACTACAATAAAAAGGGATTTAGTGTTACCCCAAGGAAGGCAAGAGAGGCTGTCTGTCCATTAAACGCTTTATTACAGCGCCAGCAGCTTTTTTCTAATTCAGTTATTCCTGCACAGCGTTCAGCACTCTGACTGCCTGTCAACCCACCAGACAGTGCTCGGGGCTGGGAGGTTTTGTGCAAGGTAGGTGACAATCAAATGAGCCACTGAGAAGAGAGGGGAGCCTGACCCTCGTGAAGGATTAACTACAGAAAGTGAGTGTGATCATGTCACACCATTACTTAGAATTTTCACAGTCAATTTCTGAAAATATGAGATAAGTTCTTAAAGAGGCAGTTGTCTCAGGAGCTAAGCAGACCCAGTGTGGTTTTGTTCCATGTGACAGGGCAGGGAGCCTGGAGAAAGAGTAGGGACTTCGAGGGAGAGGGAACAGGTGGCATCAGCACTGTGCCTATCCTCTGTAGGGCATTCTAGAGCCAGGCCTTGGAGCAACTGGCTCCCAGGAAGGCTGCAGCCAAGAAGGGAGAGGATGGAGAGATGCCTTCTGGGACCAAGATGCCATATATCCCTCCTCCACTGGATGCTGGAATCCAGCCTCTCCTGGGGTCAACTGGGCTAATGAACATGACCCTTTGGTGATCATATTAGGCTTTGGGTTCACAGGAAGCCTGTCTAGGGCAGTCAAGATGCCGGTGCTGGGATGAAATGTCCATCTTCTATCACTCCTTTTCACCCCTGCAACTGCTACAACCAATATCATCATAAGCTTCCCCAAAAGACTATATGCCCCTACGGCATGCAAAAAGATCCAGTCCCACAGGAGCTCACAAGCCACATGCTTAAGAAAAGTACTATATGCTCAACACAAATATACTTGAGATATATATTTTCAAAGCCTGGCAAAGGTAGATGACAGTACAAGGAAGCATGGCACATTTTGGGGCCAGAGATGAGTCTGTCCCTCATTTATAGATGGCAGATCTTTAACACAAAAAGGGGAAGGCTCCACCCAGAGCACACGCAATCTTTGGGAAGTGGAGCTGAGACCGGAGCCCCATGTTCCTGATCTCCTGACCAACAGAAGTTATGCTACAGGGCTTCACGCAGTAGGGCTTTTTGAGAAGATGGACTGGAAATGTGATTTCTTCCTTTGCATCTATATATTTAAATGAGAAAAGTAAACCACAAACCTCTAAGCTTGGTTCTGCTAAAGTAATTTAACATCTGCTGCCACCTGAATGTAATTGAAACAATTCATTATCAAATTTACTGATCTGCTTAATGATTTTGTATTTCTCTTTCAAAATCACCTTCCTCCTAAGCTAGCCTAGGTAAATTACCCTTTGCTTCAAATCTGAGAGATTGAAGGGACCTGGGAGAACATCCAATTCAAGCCCCCTCACTTTAAAAATGGTGTAACAGTGTTTTGTGTGTCCATGGTGAGGTTGCAGACCTTTATCGAGGTCACAGAGCAAGTCCAGCAAGAGTTGAACACAGGCTGCCAGAATTCCACCCTTGTCTCATTCCGAGATTGTGTGCTGAGGGTTTTCAACTGCATCTCTAAAGGGAAGGCCAAAGAAAGAGCAACAGGAAAGGATGGTAAAAAGGGGGTAGAAAGGAAGAAGGAAGGGAAGAAAAAAGGGAAAACAGCAAGCTCTCTTTCCAGAGCCACACATTTTTTTCTGTTTGCTCAGTGGCAGTCTGTTAAAGAAATACTTCATTGTCACTGAACACAGAGTCATTAAAGGCACCTTGGAAATTTGGACCCTTTTACTAGAATCAGGGCTTAAATAGCAACTTAATTTATGACACTTCTCGAGGCTGATGGCGTTTTTGCTCTAAGGTAAGGTCATCTCAGTATATACCCCTCCCGTCGCTTCCCTTTAGAACACGCAGAGGCGTTTCCTCTTTACTTTCAAGTTACTGATTATTCAACTGCTCAAATGTAAGTCACATATGTATGTAGGCACGTTTGAGTCCACGGTGTGTTTCTAAAAGAGAGCTCTTTTATATCTGCCTGTAAAAGAGGAGAGCTCAAAGATGGGGGAACCCACAAATAAGCAAGTGAATAATTAGATCAGAGATAGATGCCACCTTTTCTCAGTGTTAAAACTGTGAGGGGAAAAAGTACTCGTGCATAATTGACATAATTGATCTAGTATTTTTTTTTCCTTTTTGCTGCAGTAATTTTTATGCATGCCATTGTTGCTGTTATTATCCAAGATGTGATCTTGCGTGGTTGATAATACAGGCTAGATATGAATACGCGTACGCACCAGCCAATCACAAATCTATAGTGTCTATTTCTGCATCACCAGGTGCTATCTCATGGGAAATATCCTCTTTTTTGGCAGGCACACAGAGCACTGCATTATCTGTCATTTTCATTAGATTCAAGCTACAGCTGGGCCAAAAAGACTTAGTTCTAGCATATGTGCTCAAAATGGCCAAGCTGCGATTGTCCAAATTCACCCTTTCAAGATTGCATTACTGAACAACTGGAGCCAAAGCTAGAAATTGGAGAGAGCAAAGCGCCTGAATTCCACTTGGAAAATGGCAAACACCATAGGCTCTGAAGATTGAAGCGTATTATCATGACTAACTCAAAGGGTCAGAGGAGACACTGGCTTCCACCAGCAAGCTCAACGTCTTTTGGCACATCTGAGGTGGGGATGGAAGCTGCAAGAGCCTAGATTTTGACACCACTTAACAAAGAAAAGCCAATGTCTTTCATTCCCCTCTGTGCCTTTCAGTATACCTTGGCCATGTGGAATGCAATAGGTTCTGTACCCAGGTCTTGACCTGGGCCAGCTGGTCTTGAGCCCCGTAGGACGTAGTCTGTGGCCTGCTGCATACTTGGATAGTGTGGGGTGTATAAAAAGCAACTCATCCTGAGGGAGAAAAGCATCCAACTGTCATAAGCTTGAGTCTCCATGCAAGTCTCCACTATTTTATAAATTCAGTTCTTTATGTGAACATGCGAAGAAGACATATTGAAAAATTAGCCCCACAAAGAAATAAATACAAAAATCCCCACTCCAGGTTGCTGGAAATGGGAGAACCACAGGGCTGGGGAAGATGGTCACTCCACCCAGTGGACTTCATGTTATTTGAAGCAGACATTGAAAAAAAAAAGAGAGAGAGAGAGAGAGACTAGTTGTTCAAGCAGAGAAAAAGAAAGTAAAAAGGCCAGTGGGAATGTAAAATAGTGCAGCCACTGTGGAAACAGTACAGGGGTTCCTCAAAATATTAAACATAGAATAACCATATGACCCAGCAACTCCGCTATTGGGTCTATACCCTGAAGAATTGAAGAGATACTTGTACACCCATGTTCATAGCAGCATTATTCACAATAACCAAAGTGGAAGCAACTCAAGTGTTCATTGGTAGATGAATAAATGAATAAATAGGCAAAATGCCATAGAGACAAAGTAGAACAGCACTCCCAAGGGCTGAGAAGAAGGGGGAATGGAGAATTACTGTTTAATTCAGGGTTACTGGTACAGGGTTCCAGCTGGGGAAGATGAAAGGATTCTGGAGATGGATGGCAGTAATGATTATACAACAATATGAATGCACTTAATACCACTGAGTTGTACACTTAAAAATGGTTAAAATGGCAAATTTCTTATTATGTGTGTTCTACCACAATGAAAAAAAAGGAGGTTTGTGTCTGGTCCTGGAGACACAGACTCCCTGAGTCTGTGCCGCAGCAACACCGAGCAATGCTGTGATCTTCCAGAATGCCAGTAAGGGTGAGCCCTTGGCCATGTGTCCTTTGAGCGATGTGCAAAGTTCCAAAGACAGAAGGAATATCTGGGATTTGGTTATGAGGATATATGCTGCCCTAGAATTGTCCCAGGTTTTCATGCCAGGGTGGAGACCTCACACACCATGGTGGCAGGGGATTTCTGCAGGGAGAAGTCTGCTGACAAACCCATCTTATGGGTTCTGGCATCTTGGCCACAGACAGCAGTCAGCTGTTTTTCATCTGCACTGCTAATAGGGTCTAGCTGAATGGCTAACAAGCAAGGTGAAATGTAGCATGAATGTTTTGAAAGCCATGGAGCCTCACTTTGGGTTCAGGAGTAGCAAAACTAGCAAGAAGGTCACTGTTGCTGATTGGGGACAAATGTGATGAGTGTTGGGGGCTTAAACAACAGGGATGTATTTTCTCACAGTTCAGGAGGCTGCAAGTTGGAGATCAGGGTGACAGCATGATCAGGTTCGGGTGAGGGCTCTCTTCCTGACTTGCAGACAAGCACCTCCCTGGTGAGTCCTCACATAGGGATTGATGGGGGAAACAGAGCTCTGGTAGTCTCTTCCTCTCCTTATAAGGGCACTAATCTCATCATCAGGGCCCTACCCTCATTACCTTATCTAAACCTAATCGCCTCACAAAGGTCCCATTCTCCAAATTCCATCATGTTGAGGTGTAGGGCCTCAACATATGATTTGGGGGTTTGGGGGGACCTACATTCAGCCCATAACAAATGTGACTCTTACCTTCACCAAACCATTCTTCCTGCAGCTAAAGAGAGCATCCCACATCTACATGCTCTTGGGTCCTGTGGTCCATCTGTTCTCATTAGCTGTAATTCTTTGGGTTCCATATTTCTCTCATACCCTTCCAAGTCCAGCTAGACTGCAAGCATCAGTTTATGAATAGGAAATTAAAAGTAACCTACAAAACACCTGATTTTGAAAAGATGTTTCCCCACAGGGGCCCTGTTGTCTATTAATTGTAGTGCTTTAAAACAAAGTAAATATTTTTTTGTTGTTAAAAGAAATTTCTTCTTGCATTTTCTTTCCATTATCACCCCATTAATGGAGACGAGGTAAGGCAATCTGAAAACATTTGAGTCAGAGAATATACAAACAAACTTTCAAACTGTCTTTCAGCAAGTGAGGCTAAAGTTATTGAATATGCAAATTGGCTTATTAAAAGAAGAATGATGTCTTTTTCAGCAATCAGTTTAATTACAGTGGAACCCTTCAATGGAGAAATCAACTTGTTTCTTAGAGTAGAAATTCTTTAGAAAGGGAATTTAGGTATAACAGATCAAAATTAGAAAATTTACACTTGGTGGGAAAAATGGTCTCAGTAAAGAAAAATGTACACTTGGTAGAAAAAATGAGGTGGTGGGGGAAGAGGAAGAGAGATGCCAGTACCCCGCTTGGTAGCCTTGCCTGGGTCTCTGAGCCCCAGGCTATTTGTTTGCCATTGTCCTGCTCTACAGCTTGAAGGCGGTGTTACCAAAATGCCAGGGGTTTGGTCTAGATCACGTCGCTCCCTGCACAGAAAGACAATCACTGAGACAATGAGTATTGCCAGGGAAGAAGACTTTATTCAGATGATGCAGCCCAGGAGATGGGAGATGAGTCCCAAATCCATCTTCCCAACTGATTCAAATTAGGGGTTTATATAGCAGGGAAGAAATGTAACTATGTGTGGGAAAACTGAAATTAGGGAGCAGTCTGGAATCTCAGAGTTTGGATGTGGTGATACTATCTAGAAGCCAGAGAATCAGTTTCCTGAGAAAAGGACTCAGCTCATACAAAGATAAATTTCAAGCTTTAAGACAGGGAGGGTGAATTTCTATGTTTATTCAAAAAAGAAAAAAAAAAACCCATAAACCTCAGTTCTATGGGACAATTAGGCCTGTTTCAAAAGAAAAGATATAATGGCCTATAAAAGGTATTTATGCCCAATAACTAAGGCCTCATACTCCCTGTGGGGTAGGAGTGGATTTTTTTAGGGTTGGGCCCATGTGCACCAGGACCAGAATTAATGTGATGTCAGTATTGAGAAGGCCTTCCATCAGAGCCCTGTCCATTCTGCCCCAGGCCTTTCCCTTTCCCCTCAGAGGCCAGAGTTCCCTGCCCAGTGTCCCATTTCTCCAAAATCTTCTCCCCGCTCAGGTATTAGAGATCTGAGTAACCATGCAAGCCTCTCCTCAGTGAAGACCCATTTGTTCATTCCAGGCCTTATAGGTCTGTTTTAATGGAGGGTCCCGTGGTTGGGGGGATACTGGTCCTTCAAGAGACACCAAAACAACCATGACAACTGAGAAAGATCTCTGGAGAGACCTGGTCTGGAGGTACACTTCACCCATGTCCCACCCTCAGCTACCTCCATATCATAGTGCCCTTGGAAGGGCGGCCGACCAAGATTTAGGGCAGAGGTTTGAAGTCACACTTTTTGGGTTGACTCTCTGCTACTGACAGCATCAACTTAGTGACAACCAGCAAGTTGTAGATCCTCTCTATGCCTCAATGTGCTCATCTGTAAAATGGGGGCGATAACACTGTCTGTCTAATAGGATGGGTTTGAAATGTACAGAGAAAATCAGGCAAAAATTTGGTATAATATTTGTCCCACTGCAAACATTCCTTCAATAGTCATGGTGGTGGCAGCAGTACAAATCTCCCATGTACACTGCTTTGTTACCTTAGCTTTCACACAAGTCTGAAATGCAAAACATGCAATTCACACATACTCAAGAAATGCACAGGCAAGTGTTCCTTCAGTAAACTTCAAATTCTTCAGCAGAGAACACACGCCAACAGTGAACAAAACTGGGAAAACAATCCCTATACTTTAACGTTCTAGTGGAAAGACAAACAATAAATAAAAAGCATCATGAACATAAAGATCATATTTTATTTCAGAAGTATCTGCAGGGAACAGAAGAATAGAACAAAGTAAAGTGGTCAGAAGACCTGAAGCAAGCTAAGCAGTTGGCAGCGGCAATGTAAATAGGATGAACAAGATCAGGCTCATTGAGGAGAGGTTGAGCAAGGATTTTAAAATGGAGGGAGCCATGGAAATCTAGAAGAAGAGAATCTTAGGGAGAGAGGCAAAGGCCCTGGGGCAGAAGTGGGCCTGACCTGTTCCTGGCACAGCAGTAGGTCAGTGGGAATACAAGGAGGGAGTGGCAGGAGTTGGGAAAAAACACCCAAGATAGGGACAGAAGGTGATGGGGCTAGATCATGTAGGGTCTCAGAGCCACCATAAGGGCTCTAGCTCATGCTTAGATGAAATGGCAGTCCTTTGTAGGGCTCTTGAGCTGAGAAGTAGTATTAATTATCTGACTCTTATTTGAAAAGGAAGATCCAATGACCATGTGGTGGGTCACTTGGGATGGGGCACACATAGCCTGGAGGTGAGGGACCAAGCTGGTAGCAGCAGTTGTGGATGCGAGAATATTCTAAATGTGGAAATATTCTAAAGGCAATCCAACAGGCTTACCTCACAGATTAGATGTGGGGTCTGAGAGATACAGAGGAGACAAGATGACTTCCAGATTGCATTTAATTAATGCAAAGTAGTTTGTAAACAAGGAATCCCTGACTACCTTGTTTGTTGTGAAAAACAATAAATCTACATTTACTCTCAATTGCTAAGTGCTTACCTATAGTGTTTAACTCAGTACAAAAGACTATACTGCACATTTAAAAATGAGGTCACATTAAGAATATGTCATCTATGCCTCAGGTGAGGAATATGCTCAGATGAGGACATTCTGGGCATCAGGTGGTAAATGGAAAGCACTCATAAGTATTTTACTTCTGTCTGTTTCTTGAAAAAATATGTTCCCATCCCAGGGCATTTGCACATGCTATGGTTTGCACCTAAAATGTTCTTTTCTAAGAGCTTTGAACATCTGGCTGTTTCTCCTCATCAGCTCAATTATTTCCTCCAACCTGGCCACTCTCTCCCACCGGATCCTGTTGTATTAGTCAAGGTTTTCCAGAGAAACTGAACCAACAGGATACATAGATGTAAACAGATTTATTATACAGAATCAGCTCCCTGTAATCCCAGCATTTTGGGAGGCTGAAGCGGGCAGATCATTTGAGGTTAGGAGCTCGAGACCAGCTTTGCCAACATGGTGAAACCCCGTCTCTACTAAAAAGTCAAAAATGAGCTGGGCGTGGTGGTGTTCCTGTAATCCCAGCTACTCGGGAGGCTGAGGCAGGAGAATCACTTGAACCCAGGAGGTGGAGACTGCAATGAGCTGAGATCATGTCACTGCACTCCAGCCTGGGAGACAGAGCGAGACTCCGTCTCAAAAATAAAAACAAACAAACAAAAAAAAAAATTGGCTCATGTGACTATGGTGGCTTAGAAGTCCCCAGACATGCAGTCAGCAAAGGGGAAGACCCGGGAGAGCCCATGGGGTAGCTCCAGTTTGAACCCAGAGGCCTGAGGACCAGGAGAGCTAAGTGTACATTCCAGTCTGAAAGCCAGAAGGCTCGAGACCCAAGAAGAGCAGATGTTTGAGCTCAAGTCCAAAGACAGGAAAAGACCAGTGTCCCACCTCCATCAGTCCATCAGAAGGAGCTACCTGTTCCTCCTAGGAGGTCAGTCTTTTTGTTGTATTCAGGTCTTCAGTTACTGGATGACCACCCCACCTCACATTGTGGAGGGCCACCTGCTTTGCTTAGCCTAATAATTTAAATGTTAATCTAATCCAGAAACACTCTCACAGAAACACCCAGAATAACAATAATCTGGGCATCCTGTGGCCCAGATCACCTAAAATGAACCATCACACCTGGTGTGTCCCCTTTGTATTGGTATTTTGTGACTTTATCTTAGTTATTTATCTGGTTATCTATTTATGGGTTTGTCTTCTCTGTGAGAGTATCACATCCACCAGCTGTTTCTTGAATTAATGAAATACTGAATAAATGAAAACTTTCTGTGTGTGATTTGAGATCTAGGAGAGAGAGGCATGGAATTTTGCTGAGGCAAGGTGACATTGGTATGGAGGGGAGAGGGTACTTGATGAGAACCAGAAGGAGCCAGGGGGCTGAACAGGAGTGGGACCAGGAGAGAGATTGGGAAGAAAGTAGACTGGATGGGATCAAACCTTATGGGAATAAACAAAAATCCATCTCTGACAGCCAAATCCCCCCTGCATGCATTCTGGCTTTTATTTTTAATCTGGAGCAAAACATCCCCTGGCCTGACTCCTCTGACTTGGGTCCCACACAGCAAATCAAAGCCCAAACAGGGCGGGTCCCAGGCTGGGCTTTCCTGGAAAAGTGAGGAGTGGAAATGAGCCTTGTGGTCTCACCCCAGCCCTGGAAGGCCATTTGTCTGTAGGATAAAGGGGTCAGGCAATGGCCCAGTTCATCATGACTGGCAAGGCTGCCCCAAGAGGCCCAGAGCTGGATAGACACAGGTCAGTTTCCTGCACAGCCAGCCAGCCCTCGGCCGGGAATTCTTACATTGCGCTTTCCTGTTGGCACATACGGCTTTGTGTTTTGTTGATCAATTTTAATGAAAAAAAATAAAATGAAATAAAGGAGAAGCTGTCTTCAAGTGTTAAATGTTATGTGCATAAATCTTGCTAAAACTGTGAAGAGAAATACCCCTATATAGGACTTAAGCTAAAATCATCTCTCCCAAGTTGTCATGTTTTTAATTTGTTTGTGTTTTTTTTACAAATTTTAGATAGAATAATTGGTTTTAGAAGCATTGCTCTGATAAACCTTCCTCTAGGGACTCTGTGGAGAGGTTCTGGTAGAGTTGAGCCATGTGTTCAGGGTTAGATTGGGTCTCAGAGGCTGGCACAAGGGTGACATGAAGGACAAGGTTCCTCCTTGGCAGGGTCTTCAGGAAAGGGAGCACATCCTAGTGGGGAGAAGGAGGCTCTGGCTCAGGCCCTTGGTGGGTACAAAGGGGCAGGAGTGCCCAAGGCACAGGGCCTCAGATGGAACAGCTGTGTGTCTGCTCTCTGTTGCTCTGAGTGGAGGCGGCCAGTGGGGCCCTGGCCAGGAGCAGGCAGGGAGTGGTGAGCATTCTTCCCCCATCTTCCTGTCCCTGAGCACTGCAGGCCTGGCTGGCATCAGCCTTTACTTAGCCCCGCATCTCTGCCCAGTACTTGGGAAGGTTCTGGTCTGGGAATCAAGAAGATGGAGACACAGCCCTACCCTTAGGAGCCTATGATTATTACTTCTCTGTAAAATGAGAGAAGGCTCACTCAGAGACAAGGAAGGGAACCCATGAGGGGCTGCAACTTGGGTCTGAGGGGAAAGTTCTGTGTGGGCTGAAGGAGGAGGAAGCCCTCTGGGGTTGGGGGCACCTTGAGTCAGTTTTCACAGTGGTAAAAAGAGAGGGATCTCTAGGTAGGTGGTGCAGACTGAGGCAAGGCCAGGTGGTGAGAATAATCCAGCCCAGGGGACATCCAGGAGAGAGGCTTGGCTGGACCCACCAGCAGAAGTCCTGTAGATCCATCCGGACCAAAGGAGGTGAGAGGCTGTGTAGGGGAGGAGGGGTGGGCACATGTTTCAGAGTTGACAATCAAGTTTCTAACTATCACAGATGATTTTGGAATATATAGTTGGAAGAGAACTCAGATGAGTCAGTGAGAAGTGATCTGAAAGAAAAATGGAGAAAGATATGAAGAGATACTTTACAGAAGTGAATATCCAAACAACCCATGAACCTATGAAAATCTGTTCAATCTCACTAATCATCAGAGAAGTGCAAATTAAAACCACAATGAGTCCAAGCATGGTGTTTCGCTTGTAATCTCAGCACTTTGGGAGGCCAAGTGGGGAGGATCTTTTGAAGCCAGAAGTTTGAGACTGGGCAACATAGCAAGACTCCCTCTCTACAAAAATAAAAATAAATTATCCAGGCATGGTGACACACACCTATAGTCCCAGCTCCTAGGGAGGCTGAGGTGGGAGGATTGCTTGAGCTAAGGAGGTTGAGCCTGCCATGAGCTGTGATTGCACCAGTGCACTTTAGCCTGGGTGACAGAGACTCTGTCTCTTAAAAAAAGGAAATACTGAAAAACAACAACAACAACAACAAAAAACACAACGAGATACCACCACACAAACTGGCAAAATTGGAAGGACAGAAAGTACCAAGAGCTGACAAGAACCTGGAGCAAACAGGGCTCTCATGCCCTGCTGGTGGAAATGGAAACTGGTAGAATCACTTGGGAAAACTGGCAGTATCTACCATGTGTACCCTCCATCCTGGCAATGCCACTCGTAAGAATGTACCTGGCAGAAGTATGTGCATATGGGGCAATGATAGCACCTGGCCCTTGGGTTGCTGTGAGCAAAAAGAGAATATTCCTGCCCTATCCCAGCAGACTTTTCCCAGCAGCATAGTATAGAATTGCTATAAACTGGGACCTATCCAAGAATCCATCAGCAGAAGGATGCATCAATGGACCATGGCGCCTTCATACAGTGGGTTACTGTAGGCATGCTGTATTTCAAATTAAACATTTCTGAAAATGACTTGGATTTGGGAGGAGTGAGATGTGCTAAGCTCTCCTGTGCCCCCAGAAGCTGCAGGAGAGACATGATATAAGAGAATGGCCAGCCGGGTGGTGTCAGCATGGTTGCCCTCCCTCAAGGGGCCCCACGGGAATCTCCATGTAATCTCCATCCCTTGCCTTCCCAGCCTCGGGGCTGCTGGCCGTCTGCAATGTTCCTTGGCTTCCAGCCACATCCCTCCACTCTCTGTTCCATCTTCACATACCCTTCTCCTCTGCATGCCTTTGGGTCTCCTCTCTAGCTGCCTGTCTCTTACAAGGACACATGTGCTTGCATTTAGGGTAAGCTTGGAAATTCCACGATGAGCTCCTGCTTTCAGCATCCCTCACTTAAATCCCAGTGTTTGCTGTAAAATGTAACAGTCATAAGTTCTGCGCGCTGGGAAGCAAATAGATCTTTGGGGGTTGCTTTTTTTCCCCATTTGTCTGCTGACCACATCTAGAATATAATAACTTGACATCTCAGGGCAGGAATATTCTCTTTTGAAGCTCACAGCAACCCAAGGACAAGGTGCTATCATTGCCCCATTTTATAGCACTGCGCAGAGAGGGGAGGCGGGGACAGAGCAGTGACATGAACCTGATGTTCACAATGAGAATAAGACAAATGTTTAGAGGCTCCTGTAGTCCACTTTCTGGCTTCCCCTCATCTACTTTTGTAATCAAACACCACGGACTGGGCATTGGTGGCTGCAAGTGTAGACAATGGAGGCTAACAGGCCTGGGCTTAGAGCTGCCTCAATTTCCTCATCATGTCAATCTCACAGCAGGGACAGCCTGAGCATGAAAGGAAACAACATATGAAGATACTTAGCTCAGGGTTAGCAAATAGTAAGCTTCCCATTGATGATAGATATGATCGTTCTTTTTGTTTAATTGAACAAATGTTTCCCAGTCCCTCCAGCATGCTAAGCCCTGGGTGGTAGTCACAGTTTGCAGAGAGAGCTGTCAGCATCTCCTGGCTACTGGGACTAGCTGGAGTGATAATAGTATTCAGGGCAAATGTCAGTTGTTCCTCATTCGCACCCCTCCTTCATTCCTGCTTGCCACAAGGATCTATCCTTAACAGTCCATGTTAAATGTTGGCATAAAGAAGGTGCTATCGGTTGGGCATGGTGGTTCATGCCTGTAAGGGAGGCCAAGTCAGGTGGATCGCCTGAGGTCAGGAGTTCAAGACCAGCTTGGCCAACACGTTGAAACTCCATCTCTACTAAAAATACAAAAGTAGCCGGGCGTGGTGGCACATGCCTCTAATCCCAGCTACTTAGGAGGCTGAGGCAGGAGAATCACTTGAAACCGGGAGGCGGAGGTTGTAGTGAGCCAAGATCGCGCCATTGCACTCCAGCCTGGGCGACAAGAACAAAACTCCTTCTCAAGAAAAAAAGAAGATGCTAGCATCCTTGCCTCTCTCTTTGCAGGAATTCACAGGGCAAAAGGTACAGAAGGAAACTGTGCTCCAGGGTGAGACATGTCATCAGAAGGCTGTCATCTGGACCTTGGAGGAAGGACAGGTGAGTGATGCCTCCTGTAGAAGATAATGCCTGAGCTGAGTCCTGGAGGATGCAAACACCACGTGCTTCAGCTTCAGGTGTCAATATCTGAAAGTTGGCTGAAGAAATGTGCACCTGTGCCTCTGGGGAAGATGGTGGTGGAAATCAGGAAATATAGTAGTTGAAGACAGAGCAGGAGACCTGGACTGCAGAAGGCACTGATGATGATGATGATGATGATGATGATGATGATGAGCATGATGGTTGAATGGTCAGGATCCTAGTGGGAAACCCAGGACACACCCAAGGTTGACTGAAGAGCTTCCTGACAGGACTACTCACAACAATGGGGAAAGGGACTAACAGAAAACAGCAAGGGAAGATAAAACACTCCAGGGCTATCAGCAGCAGCAACCTCCATCACCTTGTGACCTGAAGGGCCAGGGAAGGAGCAGTAACCAGAACCCAGAGAGAGCTGTCCAGTGGAAGAGGTCATCTGATAACCTTTGCCAGGAGAATACAGCCACTGTCCATGGTGGCCCAGAAGAGAGAAAGACAGGGGAACAAATACTCTGACTGTCCTCTGATATCCATCTCTTGTAGTGCTCCCAATTAGCCATTCCCAACTAGAAGTCAAAGAGTAAGAGAGCCTATGGATGAAGTCCACATTGGTCAGCTTCCTGGAGTACAGAGCAGGGTGGAGGAAGATAGAAAGTAGATTTGGAGGGGGGCAAACAGAGAATCTATCCCCGTGATGAAGACAATGATGATGGTGCTGGTAACAGTGATAATTGTGGTGGTGGTGATGGTGCTGGTAAGAATGATGATGGTGGTAGTGGTGACAGTGGTGTTTGTGATGGTGGCAATGATGATGGTGGTGGTAAGAGTGATAATTGTGGTGGTGGTGATGGTGGTGGTAACAATGATGATGGTAGGTGGTGGTGGTGGTGGTGATGGTGGTGGTGATGGTGGGGGTGATGATAATGGTGGTGATGGTGGTGGTAACAATGATGATGGTGGTGGTGATGATGGAGGTGGTGGTGGTGGTGGTGGTAGTAAAGATGGTGGTGATGATGACTACCATTTATTGAGCTCATATAGTGCCACTCAGCGTTCTAAGGGCTCTCAACCTTCACACGAGCCCAGTAAGATAGGGAGGTAGAGATTCTCAGAGATTTGGGAGATCTACATACAGCCTAACTGTCAGAGCTGGCCTCTGCTCCCTTGGACCTCCCTGAAAACACAGGAATTGGTAAAGCCCCTGGTCCTGGCAATTTGTATTATAATTACATTTGAGTTTGTTTGTGTTCCTTACCCCTCTGTGAGCTCCTCTAGGTAAGTTTAGTATCTGATTATTACTGTAGACTAGGGCTTGGCAGTGTCTAGCAGGGTATCTGCTACTCAGGAATTGCTAAGCCAATGATGATTAGTGAGTGAATGAATGAATGAATGAACGAATGAATGAATGAATGAAGAGTCTGTGACTTCCAGTCCTAGATAGCAAGGTACGGGCTGTACACCTGCTTTCTACAGAGCCTGGCCCACCATAGGCACTTAGCAAATGTTGGAGATAATCCAACACAGTGGCACCGTGACATTTCTGTTTTCTCTGGTGCACGTTTCCTCACATCTAAACATGGACTGAAAGACATCCAAGCTTTTCAAAGCTATGTGGTTTCCTGAAATTTCCACAAGCCCAAACTCTGAGCTAAAAGTGAGGATGTTTGTCCTGTGTCTCAATGCTGCACATGGAAACTCACAGCCCAACATAGCTCAGAATTGCTAATCACCTTGGGATTGTTGTGTTAATAAGTGAAAATACAGAAACACAAACCTGTCTTCCTGTTAATGTTAATTTTGGTCCCAAAAAATGTTGCTAAAACATATTGACGGGCATGTCACAGATGTTCCTTCTTTCATACATGCGAGATGCTGAATGTGAGAGCTGGACGCTTTGACAGGATTTCTGTTGCTTTTATGATAACCGCCATCAGGCCATCTTCCTACCACTGGGGCCCGGCCCTTTATCTGGCCATTCTCCTGTGCAGAGGCTCACGCTGGGGCAGGCATGTAATTCTGTATCTACTACCACAACCTGCACAATAGACTGATAAAGGTAAGCAGCTTGAAAAAAGATGAGCGATGTCACCATCTTGTCAACTCACCTGCTAATTTCAGTATATGCAGAACATCTGTAACAGCCTGCTTGGTGGAGGACTAAGTTGAATCTCAGGTTGTTCATTCCCAGAGCTCATTAGGGGGAGAGATGACACAATGGCAGGGCAGGTGGCTCTCCAGTTTGACACCAAGGTTTTTAACTCATCTGGGTAGCAGAGATTTAGATCCACTTACCAGTTTTTGAAGAATCAAGCAGAACAGCACCAACTTCCCTCATCTTGCAGTGGCCATGTTTAAGCATAAGAAGGTGTCTCATGATTTAGCGTGATTACCAAAGAGGAAACCCATCCAGAATCTTCTGGCTTCATGGCCTTTTCCTTACCATGCAGGAAGCAGATTGGCAGGGACCTCAGCAAAGGGGCAGGGTAGGTTCTGGTAATATTTTAGGCCTGGTAATATTACCAGGGGTCATGTTATCTGTTTTGGAAGATGTACCATCTGAGCAGAGAGAAGAAGGGTTTTCTCCATGTCTAAGGGGTTTCTTTTAGAATCCCTCTGCAGTAGCAGTGCTCTGTGGCTGGGTCAGAGGAGAGAGAGAACCACCGTAGTGGCTTGGGGAGGGAGAACGGAGACAGTGGGGCATTAAGGAGCTAGACTTATGCCAGCTACCAGGAAGAGGCTCTATGCTAAGCAGAAAGCATGGGCATCCCCCTCCAGACCCACACCAGCAGAATTTGTGTTTTGTTGGTGTGCCCACAGGCTGACAGAAGAAATGCAACAAGGAAGAAAAATGCAATGAGGAAGTGAAGGTACAGTCCCAGGCCAGGGGACTTGGAAAGTGGCCTTCTGCTTTTTTTTGTTGTTGCTGGACATTTTTTCTTTTTGCAATATTTTCAGCCAATTTCATCAAATGAAAAATTGCCACCTCGTTGTGGATGCTTTATTCTGGCTAATTAGCACTGATGAGGAATCCTGGGTCAAGCTAAGGACACAGCTACATGCAGGACTCCAAAGAGAAGCCAGAAGGAACTGGAGTCCTGGCCAGATCCTCTAGAGTCCGTGCTCCTGCAGGCATCTCCACTGCAGGTGAATGCAGTGTCTGTCATCCCCACTGCAAACCATGATTGTTCCCATATGGATTGAGGCATCCTGAGAGCCGCATGCTCTACATAGAGATAAAGTAATTTTTACTATTCCTCCAATGTGGAATAGGAACTTGGAGAGTGAGCTCCATCAGTCTCTGCCCAGATTTGGAGAAAGAACCCAGATAGAACCACCTTTTCCAGAGGCATTGAGAGCAGGTTCAAGCTGGGGAAACATCTTCCCAAATAAACATTTCTGTACCGATGCTGTGAATCCAGCAAAAACGAAGAGTGCATGGAATTGTTGGCCAGATGCAATCTCAGAGAGCTCTTGTTCCAGGGAGAAATGAATCCCTCAGACAATAATCCTCAGCTCCTCCTAGCTGCGCCCAGCTGAAGTCTGCCTAGGGGATAGTGGAAGGCACTGTTTCACTCCACAGTTTTGGAAATGTGCATGCAACATTTCTAGGTCACACCAAAATGCACAGCCCGTGATGAAAAATCCAAATCCTAGGCAGGTCTGAGGACCGACCCTAAACTCCCAACCCAACCCAAGAACCTCATTCCAAGTGCTTCTAAGGAAAGCAGAGAGTCAAATAGAATCCCTCAAAGGAAAGGAGAAGCTAGCTGGTGTTTCTTGCAATGTCAGACACGCCTCAACTTTCCCTTTAGAATGGCTTTCCTTTGCAGATAGAAGTGTATTGCTTTAACCCATACAACACGTGTCCAATGTGTTAAAAGAAGATAAGTTTCTTAGACAAAAAAATACATATGTAAGACTCTAATTCACAGAGGACAAGTAAAGTGAGACTCATGGGCCCTAAAATAGGTATTGTGATGTTTAATTTTATGTGCTAATTTGACAAGGCCACAGTACACAGGTAACTGGTCACACACATCTGGATATTGCTGTGAAGGTATTTTTTAGATGAGACTAACATTTAAATCATTAGATTTAGAGTCAAACAGGTAAATCTCCATAATGTGGGTGGGCCTCATCTAATCAGTTGAAGGCCTTAAGAAAAAGAGAGATTTTGCCCAAGGAAAGGGGAATTCTGCTAGTAGATTGCCTTTGGATCTGAACTACAACATCAACCCTTCCCTGAGTCTCCAGCCTACCAGCCTGCCCTGCAGATTTAGGACCTGACAGCCTCTACAATCATGTGAGCCAATTCTATGAGATTCTCTCTCTCTCTCTCTCTCTCTCTCTCTCTCTCTCTCTCTCTCTCTCTTTCTCTCTCTCTCTCCATCCTTAGAGGACAAAAAGAAATTAGCCTTTGCCAGTGTAGGTGCTGTCATAATGACACTGATTCAACACATGCCTTTTCCCTGCAAAGCCTGAAGGCAGGGTGCCTCGACACCCGGCTTAGGTCTTCTCATTTTCATGAAAGATATGTTGCATGAAAAATGGCATTCTGAGGCTCGTCTTGCTCTGAGTGAAGACTACTCTGAGAATCAGAAAACGAAACACTAGCCAGACATGGCAAAAAACAAACAAACAAAAAATCTTAATTGCTCGAATTGCCACTGAAACCAACCTTCCAGAGAATTGCCTGACTCTAAAATTGGAAGGCCACAGAAAGGCAGCAAGCAGGTTGGGAACCAGGTGTGTTAGGGGGTTTTCTTTCCTGCATTTCATTGTTTTAAAGGCGTCTTGATCCATGGGTTGCAATATGGCTCAACCTGTAAGGAGGGAGAGGTGAGAGGTCAGCCACCCTCTGCTGTAGGGAGCTGATGTTTCCACCTCTTACATTTCGATGAGCAAGACATTTTGCTTCTTCATCCCCCAAAAGGAAGAGGTGAACAGGCGCTGGAGTGTTTTGACTGAAGAGTCTTTGGTGTTCCCTTTCTAATAAAGGGCCATATATTAGTGCCGAACAGTCATTTTTTTGAGCACTAAAGTAATACCAGTACTCTCATTGCTCAAGAAATTGCTGAGCAAAATCTTCCAACAATGTGTCTCCCCGGCATTCCTTAACCCTATTGATAATGATAAAGTCTCATAAATCTAGGTAAATCTTTAATTACGCCTTCAGAACGTGACGATATTATGACCGTGATATAGTCATAAAGGGCACATTCAAAATTAGCTCGGTATACATTTTATGAATATGTAAAAGGGTAGAGGTGGTGAGAGTTCAAAAGCAAAGACCAAAAAAGGATGTATTTTTTCTTTTTTGTTGCAATCATCTGTTAAGACGGGATCTTATTTTCTTTTTTAAGATAATTGTAGGAAAAAGCTCTCTTTCTTGTCTTGTATAGTTTTTATTAAAATCCAAAGCACCAACTTTGTGAAGAGCCCTATTTCATGTTACAAAAACTGCGAGATTAAATAGAGGGAGTATTTTCTTCTGTGTTGAAACACCTTTTGGCCTAAAAATTGTTCGTCCTTGTATTAAATGTGTGTGAAACATTTATGGAGAGAGGCATTTCTTTGCACTGTTTTACTGAGGCCGTAACAAAGCTTAGAGTTTGTTTCATACTCTACAATCAGGGTGATTACAGCCTCATCTGTCTCCCACCCCTGCATTTGGTTAGTAGCCCTATGCAATTTATTTTTATCTTCAGCCAATGCATATATTTTTACTTGTGTGAATAATAGGGGAAAGATTAAGTTCTTTTATTTTGCTAATTAAACTGCATTTTTCTAAATCTCATGAGGTAGTAAGTGACAGAATTAACAGGAGCACTTTGCAGAGTTTTGCTATTTTCCTGATTAGATTAGAGGTATTTGATATTGAAGTCAGAGCTGATGAAGTGGTTTCCTCGATGTGAATGAATGCATGACCCTAGTTTATCACCGCGGCTTCATAAAGAAGTCTTCCTTACTGTCAAGAAAGCCCAACCAAGAGTGAAAATGACATTAGCAAAAAGCTAAGCAAAAGGTCAGCAGAGCAGAATGAGAAGGGAGAAGGAAAAAATGCATTCCTCTGCCTCTTTATTTTTCCCCCCAAGGGGTTAAGGAAGATTGCTCAGTTACAACCTCTGTGCTGAGCAGAGCAGGGTGAGCCTCAGAACTGTACCCTCCTGAGACAGGGACACCTTTCTCAGCCTCTAGAGTTTGAAGGTAAAAATTTTATGTTAAAAAAACAAACAAGGAAACAACAACAAAAAAAAAAACACAAGGGGAATAGAAATGCAGAGCGAGGAAAGCTCCAGCTCTCCCTTCCCTTCCGCCAGTGGCCGCCATGCAGACTTATTCCCATAAGCATCTCCAGACTCCTTTGGGCTATCCTGGGCCTCCTCCGGAGCTGGGCTTAAAGCTCTTCTTCAAGGCAGCCAGGGGCCAACTGAAGGCAATAAGCAAAGGCAACTTCTCCCTCGCTTCCTCACACCTTCCCTTCCTCACACCTTCAAGCTCCCCAACCCCAGCTTCCTAGCCCCTTAGGGGAGGGAAGTAAAATGAAGGAGTGATGTCAGACAAACCAGAGGGGAAGATCAGAATAGGGGTGTGCTTTGCCAAATCCTCTATGGTGAACAGAGGAAAGACATTGCGGCAGGGATGAGGAGGAGCCTGCAGAGGGAGCTCAGTGGAGTCTGGACCATGCCCAGGACTGGGCATCTTTCAATGGTAAGTCCAGGCAAGGCCATTGTGTGTCTATTTGTTACATGATTATCCCCTTCTTCTCTTAATCCCTAATCTTGTCTTCCCCAGAGACACATTATTTTCTTTTTAATCAAGGTATAATTTGCATATAGCAAAAGACACATAAGTGTAGAGACAGATGAGTTTTGGCACATGCACAGCCACGTGCAATTCACATTCCTATTAGAATATAGGATGTTTCCATCACCCCAGGAAGTTCCATCATTATCCTTCCCAGTCAGTGCCTGCCTTCCCACCCATCCAAGCAATCACTGTTCTGGTTTCCATTTCTAACTATAAATTAGATTTTTCCTGTTCTAGAATTTTATAGAAATGGAATTCTACAGAATGAACTCTTTTGTATCTGGCTTCTCTCACCCACCACAATGTTTCTGTGGCTCTCTGTTGCGCATAACCATAGGCCACTCATTTCTACTGCTGATTTGCATTCTGTTATGTGATTCTACCACAATCTTTTCATCTGTTCTTTTAACGAATGTTGGGGTTCCTTCCGGTTTTTACCCATTATGAATCAAGTCGCGGTGACCGTTCTTGTACAAGTCTTTTGCAGACATATATTTTGATTCCTCTTGAGTAAGTGTGTAGGAGTGGAATTGCTGGGCTCTAGGGTAAAGAGTATATTTAATTCTATGAGAAACTACTGAGATGGTTTGGCTATGTCCCCACCCGAATCTCATCATGAGTTGTAGTTCCCATAATCCCCATGTGTCACGGGAAGGACCTGGTGGAAGGTAATAGAATCATGGGGGGCGGTTACCCTCATGCTGTTCTCATGATACTGAGTGAGTTCTCACAAGATCTGAATGGTTTTATAAGAGGCTTTTCCCCCTTTTGCTCAGCACTTCTTGCCACTGCAATGTGAAGAAGGACATGTTTGCTTCCCTTTCCCCCTTCTGTCATGATTGTCAAGTTTTCTGGGGCCTCCCAAGCCATGCTGAACTGTGAGTCAATTAAACCTCTTTTCTTGATAAATTACCTAGTCTTGAATATGTCTTTATTAGCAGTGTGAGAAAGAACTAGTCAACTATCAAACTGTTTTTCAATTTGGTTTCACCATTTTTCATTTAGCCAACAATGTAAGAGAGCTCTGCAACCTGTTTATTCCATATCTTCACCAACATTTAGCATTGATAGTCTTTTAAATTTTAAGTATTTCAGTGATTCTGTATAGCTTTCCAAATATGGTTTTAATTTTCATCCTCCTTCTGATCACTTTTTATATGCTTTTTATATGTCATTCAAATATCTTTGTGAAGTATTTGTTCACACGTTTTGCCTATTTTTAATGGAGTTCTCTTATTCTTACTGAGTTGTATGAATTCCTTATATATTCTGAAGACCAGTCCTTTTCCAAATGTGTATATTACAAAATCTTTTTTCTTCATCTTTAGTTGCCAACTAATATATTTTATTCTTTTATTAACATGCAGTAAATTGAGTTCTTTTGGGGTACACTTCTCTTACTTTTAACACATGTAGAGATTCATATAACCACCATTACAATCAGGACACAGAGCATTTGTGTCACCCCAAATGACTCTAACCTTTGTGGGCACATGCTCCCCACCCATAACCCCTGGGAACTAGTGATCTGTTCTCTATCACCATATTATAGTTTTTTTAAAAAATAAATAAACAGAACACCATATAAATGGAATCACACCATATGTAACCTTTTGAGGTTGACTTCTTTCACTCAGCATCTCTGAGATTTTTCCAAGCTGCTGTATGTATCAGTAGTTCATTGATTTTTATTGCTGAGCAGAATTGCATTGTACCAATTCACGTTTAATCGTGTTTTTTTTTTTAATAAGCAGAAGCTTTTAATTTGGACCAAGTCCAATTTATCAGTTTTCTCTGTTATGGTTTGCAGTTTTTTTCATTACATATAACACATTTGGCCACTGAAAGGTAGTCAAATAATATATTCTCCTGTGTTTATTTATAAGACCTTTATATATAGTTTTAGCTTTTACACTTAGGTCTATAATCTATCATAAATTAATTTTTGCATTTAGTGTTAGGTAGGGTTTAGTTTTTATTTTTTCAGTATGGGTATATCTGTTTTTTAAAGCATCATTTGCTGCAAGACTGCCCTTTTCTCATTGAATTGCCTTGCAGCTTTTGCCAAAAATCAGTTGTGTGAATTTATTTCTGGCCTCTGTATTCTGTTCACTTAATCTATTTGTCTGTTTCACACCAATGCAAACTGTCTTGATAACTTTAGTTTCACAGGCAGTCTTAAAATCAGGTAGTGTAAGTTATTTAACTTTGTTCTCTTTAATATTGCTTTGGTTATTCTAAATCCTCTAGATTTCCATAAAAATTTAAGATTCAGCTTGTCAAAGAGAAGTCTGCTGGAATTTCTATTTGGATAGCAGTGAGTTAAATTTCGGAGATAGAATATTACAGCAACATTGAATTTCAATCCATGAACATGGTATATATCTCTTCATTTATTTAGGTCTTCTTTAATTTTTCTTGGTGCATTTTGTACTTTTCAGTATAGAAGCCATACATATATTTTCTTAAGTATTTTTATTTTATTTTATATAGTATTTTAAATTTTTATTTTCTAACTTTTTTGCTAGTATATAAAAATGCAAATGATTTTCCAGAATTGATCTTATCTCTAGTAACTTTGCTAAATTCACTTATTTCTGACTATTTACAGATTCTTTTGGATTTTCTACATGTACAATTCTACATGTATAAATAATTATAGTTTTATTTCTTCCTTTCCAAACCCGATGAATTTTATATATTTTTCTGCCTATTGTACTGGCTAAACCCTCCAGTACAGTTTAGCATGGATGTGATGAAAGTGAATTTTTATTGCTTGTTTTTGATATTAGGGGAACTCTATCAGATTGAGAAATGTTCCTTCTAGTCTTCTTTCACAAAAAAGTTTTTTTATGAATAAGTGTTGAAAATTAGCAAATGCTTTTTCTGCATTTATTAAGTTCATCATATGGTTTTTTCCTTCTTTCATTCTGGTAATTCTGGTGAATTAGATTAATTTTTTAATGTTAAAACAATCTGATGTTCCATTAATAATCCATTTAGTCATGATGTATTATCCATTTTTATGTATATTTTGTTAAGAATGTTTGCATTTAAGTTCATGAGAAATACTGGCTTGTAATTTTCTTTTATTTTAATGTTCTTGTTTGGTTATTTATTAGCATTGAGCTAGGTTCATCAAAACAGGGGTGATGTGTTCCTTTCTTCTCTATTTTCTGAAACAGTTTGTGAAAAATTCGTATTTTTTGAAATTTGATAGAATTCAAAAGTGATCTAATATATGAGTGCTTTTGATAGGAAGAGTGTGATAACAAATTTAATTTATTTAACAGATACATAGCTAATCAGTTTTTATGTTCTGTGTGTTAATTTTGGTAATTTTTATCTTTCAATGTATTTTTCAACTTTAAGTTGTTAAATATTAGATATAAAGTTGTTCATAGCATTCCCTTATTTATACTTTTAATGTCTGATTTATTTCTAGTGATCATCCTTTTTATTACCAACCCTGGAAATTTGTGTTTCCCCTCTTCTGTTTTTAATTAACATAGTTAGTAATTCATCAATTTTCTTAATCTTTTAAAGCAAACAACTTCTTGTTTTATTTATTATCTTCAATGTTTGTTCAATTTCTGTTCACTGTTGCCCTTCTACTTTCATGGGTTTTATTTACTTAGTTTTTTTCTTATATTTTTAAGTTTAGTGCATTGAATTTTGGCACTTTATTTTCTAATATAAACTTTTAAGGCAATACATTTTCCTCTAAGCATTGCTTTGGCTGCATCCCCTAAAATTTAATAGGTTGTATTTTCATTGTCAATTATTTTTAAATATTTCTCATTTCCCATGGTGATTTTTTCCTTTTGATGAGTAGGTTATTTAGAAGTATGTGATTTATTCCCAGATATATGAGGATTTTCCAAATGTATTTGTCATTTTTTTTTTCCAATTTTAATTTCATATTGTCAGAGAAAAAACTCTGTTTTAAATCTTTTGAAATATATAGAGATGTGTATTTTAGTACCACTAGTTCTATCTTGGTGAATGTTCCAGATGCACTAAAAAAAATGTGTATTATAAAGTTGTTGGGTGTCACATTCTGTAAATGTCAACTAGGCCAAGTTGGTTAATATTGTTCTTAAAATCTACTTACTCTATCAATTACTGAGGAAGAAGTATTGGAATCTCCAGCCATAACTGTGAATTTATCTATTTCTCTTTTTAGTTCCTTAAGTTTCTCCTTTGTGTTTGGAAACGTTGTTGTTGTGTCAAGATATTGTTAGTATTGCTATTCTTCTTTTTAAATTACCCATTTATCATCAAAAAATGACCTTCTTAATACAAGTAATAGCCTTTTCTCTAAATCTCTGTGTCTAATATTAATAGAGCCATGCTAGATTTCTTATGCTTACAGTAAGCATAGTATAAAGGAAGAGTGTTTTTCTTGAAGTAGCATATAGTTACATTTTGCTCTGTTACCAAGTCTCACTATCTATGCCTTTTAATTGGATTAAAGTTTGGGAAAGCTTAAATGGCTGGAACTTAAAAGACAGGTCATTAAAGAGGAACTTCACAGGGAAGTAACCCAAGCAATCTACGTAGATGTTCCCTGGAGTTTTTGGCAGAATTCTAAGACAGGCATGCACATGGTATCACTTTACAAGACCTTGGAGGGGGGAAAGAAAGCTACAAGACAGAATGTGAACTGAATGACAATTCCAGAGGATATATAGCACTGGGAGTCATAGGAGATTTATTCAGCCAGGACAGAGAAACCCCTCTAAATATTCCAGGAATTCAGTTGAGACCCCATACAGGCCACATCTTCAAAGCAGTATATTTCAATCTCGGAAAAGGAACAACTTCTCTCCCACTCTAACAAAGCCTAAAAACAAATCCTAACATGATCAAACTGATTTCCCAATAATTATCTATAAATAAAACTCAACACTCTTTAGACCAAGATGGCAAAATATATTCTCAACTATGTAGCATTCATAATATTCAGCACACAGTTAAAAAAATCACTAGATATGCAAAGAAAGAATATTTTACCTTTATCCAGAAAAATAAATAAATAAAACTTTTCTGTAGAAATCGACTCTGAAATGACACAGTTATTGAACTTAGGACACAAGGACTTTATAGAAGCCATTATAAATATGTTCAAGGATTTAAAATAAATGTTTAATATAATGAGTGAATGAGTGGGAAATCTCAGCCAAGTAATAAAAGCTATTTAAAAAAAATAAATAAAAATTCTAGAATAAAAAAAATGTAATCTGAAATGAAAATTTCACTGGATGCAATTAATAGCATATTGAACAATGTGGTAGAAGGCCAGTAAATTTGAAGATAGATCAGTAGAAACTATCCCACCTGAAGCAGTAAGAAAGAAAATACCAATAAATTAGTAGAGACTCAGAGACCTAAGTAATTCAATCAAATGGTTTAACTGGGATGTCAGAAAGTGAGGAAAATTGGGAGAGAACAAATTATTTGGAAAAAAATGACTAAAATATTGCTGAACTTTATGAACAATATCAACACGGTTGACACTGAAACTCAACAAATCATAAACAGGAGAAACATAAAGATATATGTAGACACATTACAGCCAAATTGCTAAAAATATTTTTAACACAAAAAAAATCATAAAAGCAGCCATAGATAAAAATCATTTAACATACAAGAAAAAAGCAATATGAGTACTGCTAATTTCTAGTCGGAAACAATGCAAGTTATAACACAATGGAATGCCATATTTTAAATACTGAAGTAAAAATAAGTCAACCTAGAATCCTATGTCCAGTAAAACTATCCTTGAAAAATGTGGTCAAAATGAAGACATTTTCATCAGGCTTCCCTTTTGCCCCCAAAGTAATTGGCTGAAGGGAAATAACAGCAGATGTACACTTAGTCCACATGACAGAAGGAAGAGAGGGAAAAAAATGTCAATATAAAAGACATTTTTAATTTCAGCACTTTGGCAGGCTGAGGTGGGAGGTTCACTTGTGGCCAGGATTTTGAGAGCAGACTGGGCAACATAGTGAGACCCCATCCCTAGAAAAAGTTAAAAAAAATTAGCCGGGCATGGTGGCACGTGGCTGTAGTCCCAGCTATTTGGGAGGCTGAGGTGGGAGGATTGCTTGAGCCCAGGAATCTGAGGCTACTGTGAGCCATGATCGCACCACTGCACTCCAGCCTGGGAGACTGCACCCCAGCCTGGGTGACCCTGCCTCAAAAAGATAAATTTTATTTAAAAAATACATTTTTCTTCTTTTGTATCTTCTTTATAAGATATCTGACTGCTTACACTGAAATGATAACAATTTATTGGGCATATAACATATAAAGTAAGATACACAACAATAATATAATGGAGATGTGGATAGAAATGTACTATTGGAATGTTCTTCATTATACATGAAGTACATGGTTTTAGTTCATGGAGCACTGAAACAAGTTGAGAATACATAATATAATTCCTAGATCAGCTTCTAAAATAATAACCCAAAGAAGCATGGCTAAAAAGACCATGGAAGAAACAAGATGAATATTAAATATACACAATTAAACCAAAGAAGACAGGAAATAAGAAAAAGGGGAACAAAAAGCAGAAGGCACATTTAGAAGAAGAATAACAACTTAATAAAAGTGGCCTTTTGGGGGTTTCAACCACATGCCTGTGATGTTTATTAAGAACCAATTACTCTTGGGCAGAAACTGAGTAAATGGAGATCTCACCTCCAATGTATGAAAACAGATGCTTTGTAAATTTCTTCCAGTTTTATAGCTGTTTATAGTGGGAGAGTAAGTCTAATACCCTATACTCTGTCAAGGTCAGACCTGGACATTAGTGCATGATTTGCACTTAATAGATGTCTTTGCTAATCCTCTTTCACTATGTTTACTTATATTTTATTTCTGGAAAAATATAGCACTTTGGCCCTTTAAGTTCTGTTAGTATTGTAGTATATTTCTCAATGTATTTCTTATTTTTATCATCCAACATTGTTTTGGGGCCAACTTTATTTCTTTGCATTACAGTGTAATATTCCACCACCTATGTAAACTGCACTCCACTTATCCTTTTTACTTGCTCATTAGATGCCAAGCAACTCTTATGTTGACGCAAACAACACTGCAGAGGAAATCGTGAAATATATCCCTGGGGTATATAAAGTTGCACACTTTCTTTAATTGGATTTAATCGGTTAACATGACAGTTTTTAGGATGACTCCTTTTTGATGAAAACAGTAGAGAAAGTGTAAACCAAAGCCAGGGAGATGCGTGGAGAAGGTGATTAGTGGGAGAAGCCTTTGCTGTATGTCTGTCCACTACTATCACAATCTTCCAATGATGCAATAGGTACCTACAGGGGCCTCCCCTAAAATCAGAGCCCATCTGCGACCCTGGTTTTTCCCAGTGCCTGTGTGGCACAGGGAGGCCTCATGTTGCTGATGAAAGGGAGACGTGTGAAAGAGAAAGGATCTTCTCTTGTCATTGCTAAGCCTGCTCTGCCTTTTTTTTCTGAGCATTTTTTCATGACTCCAAGTCTGTACCAGACTTTCCCATACATATGACGCGACATATCTGGCCTCTGTGGCTCCAGTCTGAAATTTTCTTTCACTCAAGAATCCTTTAAACTATTTCAGTCATATTTTGCAGGAAGCAGTCTCTGTCAGTAACAAATATCCAACTCCATCACCTCCACACTCTTATTCTCCTTGGAGAAGGAAGCCCTCTGTGGCCATGTCCCCAGATGCCCACTGGATGGTGGCTGTCTTGATGGATGAGGGAACAATCTCAAAAGACTTGAATGCCACAGCCAGTAGCACTTACCAAATGCCAGGCATGTTCCAAGCAGGTCCATGAATTATGCTGGGTAGACAACGTGGCACCTAATTACCTGTGTCGCGATCCTGCATGTTATACTTACTAGTTGTGTGAGCCTGAGCAAGCTGCTTAACCTCTTTGTGCCTCACTCTTCTCATAGGTAACATTGTGAGAATCATCTTTATCCCTTAGGGTTTTTCCAGGACAGTGCGAGCCTTTGTAAAGGACTTAAAATCTGTAAAGCACACAGTCACATACATTATGATGTGGATAACTGGAGAAATGCATTATTTTCTTTGGAAAGGAGAACAAATACTGTTATCATAATGTATTTTTGTTAATTTTTTTGGCTGGAAAATTGGCAATGCAATTTTAAGGTTAGCTTAAATTCACTGGTAAGAATTAGTAGAAATTTTTTAGAAAAATAGTAATGTTTTCTGGTTCAATGAGGAGCTTGCTAGTTGCTACTCTATCTTAACAACATGTAAAAAGCTGAACAAACTGGAAAATAAACAGCTCTTCTTAGATCCCAAAGGGAAGTGAGTTCACAGGACAAATCACCGACCCCAAAATTAGAGACAGATAAGCAAATACAGAGAATCACAACTTACTAGATAGAAATTCATGAGCAGAACTTCTGAAGGAATCAGCGCCAAAGTCGGGAAATCTGAACTGTAATTGATGACTTATTGGAGTCTCAGTGTGGATAAACCTGAGAGTTAAAAACTCTAGGTGGACTAGTCATTGGGTATCCCTCACAATTAAGTGAGTTTTACCCCCTGGAGCTGGACCAGGTTCCCACACTGAATACTGGAGAAAAATCCCCTCATGCTTCTGGCAGAAGGAGGTGAAAAACATCTAAGAGTGCATCAGAGCATTCTGTTCTTCTTAACAAGGTCTGCCCTTAGGAGAAACTATTCAACCAGAGCCTAACCTGCTAGGGTTTTATCAGAACTTATCTCACCTGGAAGAAAGGAAATACCCAACTCCACACCATTGCAGCCATCCTGTCCCATCTAAGTGGCAGTGGGGTGGGGAGATTGAGAAGCACTTGAGAAGTTCACAGTCCAGAAGCAGAGGCTCATTAGAAGACTGAGACCCAATCACAGGTCTAGAGAATGCACCCCTTCTCCCTGCACCTTACTACCACTTTACTAAAGGCCTATTTACAGCATTTCTTTTTATCCAGTACATATTGACCAGCTATCAAGAGAAAAGTACAAGGCATACTAAAAAGCAAAACAGTGCAGATTGAAGAGACACAGCGAGTGTCAAAAGGAGACTCAGATATGACAGAAATGTTGGAATGATCAGATCAGGAATTGAAAACAACTATGATTAATATGCTAAGAGCTCTAATGTATAAAGTGGACACCATGCAAGAACAGACAGGCAATGTAAGCAGGGAGATGGAAATTCTAAGAAAAAAGAAACAAAAAGAAATGCTGGAGATAAAAAACACTATAATAGAAATGAATCACGCCTTTGATGGGCTTGTAGTAAATTGGACATGGCTGAAGAAAGAATCTCTGAGCTTCAAAGGTATCTCAATAGAAACCTCCAAAATTGAAAAGCAGGGAGAAAAAGAAAAAAATGGGGGGGAAGCAGAGAATAATATCTGAGAACTATAGGACAAATATAAAAGGTATAACATACACATATGGGAATACCAGACAGAGAAAAGAGGAGAAAGGTACAGAAGAAATATTTAAAACAATAATGCCCCAAAATTTCCTCTCAAATTAATGTCACACACCAACCACAGATCTAGGAAGCTCAGAGAACACCAATCAGGAAAAATGTTAAAGAAATTACACCTAGGCATATAATTCAAAATACAGAAAATCAAACATAAAGAAAAATAATTCCCCAAAGAAGCCATAGGGAAAAACACCTTACCTATAGAGAAGCAAAAATAAGAATTATCTCTGACTTCTCCTCTTAAACTATGCCAGCAAGAAGAGAGTGGACTGAAATATTTAAAGTGTTAAGAGAAAAAGAAACATCTTAAAATTCTGTACCCTGCAAAATTGCTTTTCAAAAGTGAAGGAGAAATAGACTTTTTATACAAACCAAAATGTAGGGATTCTTTTATTTATTTATTTATTTATTTTTGCCAGCAGACCTGCCTTGCAAGAAATGTTAAAAGAAGTGCTTTAGAGAGCAGGGAAATTCTATAGGTCAGACACTTGGATCTACATAAAAAAAGGAAGAAACCAAAGGAGAAATAAGTGAAGGTAAAGTAAAAATTTTATTTTTCTTACAACAAATACATTTATTCAAAATAAAAATAGCAAAAATGTATTTGATTATGTATGTGTTTTTGTATACATGCATACATAATCAATATAGTCATGTGTATACAGACACATATAATCAATATAGTTATGTGTCTCTTAACAATGAGGATACTTTTTGAGAAATGAGTCAGTAGGTGATTTTGTCATTGTGTGAACATCATAGTGTGTACTTATACAAATCTAGATAGTATAGCCTACTGTACACCTAGGCTATTTATTATAGCTTATTGCTTCTAACCTACAATTCTGTACAGCAATACAGTATTATAATATTATGGTTGACCAAAACATAAGGCATGACATTGTGTGTGTATGTGTGTGTGTGTATGTATACATGTATATATTTATATGAAATAAATGAAAACAATGACATAAGGGACGGGAAGGAAGAATTAGGAGTATTTTGTTATTAAAGTATTCACATTATCCATGAAGCAGTATAGCAGTATAGTTACACTACAGTTATTATAGTTATTTAAAAGTGGACTTGGATTAGTTGTAAAGATATATTGCAAACTCTATGGCAAAAACTATAAAAAGAAAAAGAAATATAACTGATACACTAAGAAAAGAGGGAAAATGAACTTATATAAGTTTTTCAGTTAAAATCACAAATGGCATAAAAAGACTGGGAGATAACAAGAACAAAGGGAAAGAGCAATGATTGGTAAACAGCAATGAATTTTGCAGACATTAATTAAACTACATTAATAATCACTTTGAATGCCAATGGTTAAAATATTCTCATTAAAACAGACACATTGCCAGAGTGGATCAAAAAATGAAATCCAACTATAGGTTTTCTAGCAGAAACCCACTTTAAATACAAAGACACATCTAGATTAAAAGTAAATGGATGGAGAAAGACATACCATGCTAACACTAATCAAAAGAAAGTGGGAGTAGCTATATTAATTTCAGATAGAGCAAATAAGCTATCAGGAATAAAGAATGGCATTGCATAATGATGAAGGAGTCAATTCTCCAAGAAGGCATAACAATCCTTAGTAAAGTTGTGCCTAACAGTGCATCAAAATATATGAGCTAAAAATGGGTAGAACTGAAAAGAAGAAAAAATGAATCCAATATTATACTTAGAGACTTCAACACTCTTCTATCATGAACGAACAGACCTAGCAAACAGAAAATTAGTAAGAACACAGTTGAGCTCAACACCACCATCAATCAACTGTATATAATTAATATCTATAGACAGCTTCATTTAGCAACCTCAGGATATACATTCTTCTCAAGCTCATATGGAAAATTAACCAAGATAGACCACATTCTGGGCCATAAAATACACCTTAGCAAATTAAAGAAAATAGAAATCACACATTGTCTGCTCTCAGACCACAATGCAATTAAACTACAAATCAATAGGAAGATAGGTGGAAAGCCCCCAAATACTTGGAGATTAAACAATACACTTCACAATAACACATGGTCAAAAAATAAATATCAAGAGAAATTTAAAAATATTTTGAGATAAATGAAAATGAAAACACAACTTATAAAATTTGTGAGATGCAGCAAAAGCAGTGCTTACAGGGGAATTTATATCATTAAATGCATATATTAGAATTAGAAAAAAAGAAAGAACCAAAATTAATCATCTAGGCTTCCATTAGAGAAAATTAGAAAAAGAAGAACAAATTAAGTCTGGAATAAGGAGAAGAAAAAAATGAAAATTAGAAGAGAAATCAATGAAATTGAACTCAAGAAAAAAAAAATAGAGAAAATTTATGAAACCAAAAGTATGTTTTTAGAAAATATAAGTAAAATTAAAAACCGGTGCCCCAGCTAACCAAGGAAAGACAAGACACAAATTACTAATATTAGAAATGAAAGGGGGCATCACTATCAATCCCATGGACATTCAAAGCATAATAAAGAATGATTATAAGCAATCTATGTCCACAAATTGGTAACTTAGATTAAGAACCTATTATTTGAAAGATAAAATGTACTAAAACTCATATAAGGAGAAATTGACAATTTTAATAGGCTTATATTTATTAGCAAAATTGAATCAATATTTAATAATTAAAAACAGAAAGCACCAGCTCTAGATGGCTTTACTGGTGAATTCTATCAAATATTTAAGAGAAAAATAATACCAATTCTGTAGACTCTGTTTCAAAAGTAGAAGCCCAGGAAATATTGTCTAACTCATTCTGAGCAGCCCGCATTACATTTATACTAAAACCAGACAAAAAGACATGACAATAAAAGTAAACTACAAACCAAAATTCTCATGGACATAGATGCAAAAATCCTCAGCAAATTATTAAAAAATTGAATCCAATAATGTGTGAAAATAAGTATGGACCACAGCTGACTGGGATTTATCCCTGGTATGCAAAAACAGTTCAATATTTGAAAATCAATTACTGTAATCTACCACATCAGCAAGCTAAAGAATAAAACTCACAAGACCATATCAATAGATGCATACAAAGCATTTGATCAAATCTAACATCACTTATGATAAAAACTATCAGTAAACCAGAAATAGAGGGAAACCTCATAAAGAATATTCACGAAAACTGACAGCTAATGTCATAGTTAATGGAGAGAAACTCAAAGCTTTCCCACTAAGATTAGGAACAAAGCAAGAATGTTGCCTCTCACCATTATTTTCAACATCATACTGGAAGTCCTACCTGATGCAATAAGACAAGAAAAGGAAATAAAATATATAAATGATGGGAAGGAGGAAATGAAATTGTCTTTTTCACAGTGACATGATTGCCTATCTAGAAAATAAAAAGAAGAAAAGTACTCCTGATACTAATAAATAATTATACCAAGGTTGCAGGATAAAGGTTAATACACAAAAGTCTATTGCTTTTCTAGGCAGCAGCAATGAACAAGTAGAATTTGAAAATAAAAACAAAATACCGTTTATATTAATACCCCCCAAAATGAAATACATAGATATAATAAATCTAACAAAATATGTACAAAATCTATATGAAGAAAACTATAAAACTATGTTAAACTAAATCAAGGAAGGACTAAATAAAGAGGTATTCATATTCATGGATAGAAAGATTTAATATTGTGAAGATTTCACCTATTCCCAACTTGATCTATAGACTCAGCACAATCCTAATCAAAATCCCAGAAGGTTATTTTGTAGATATTGACTAACTGATTCTCCGATTTACAGGGAGAGGTAAAAGGCCCACAATAGCCAACATAATATTGAAAAAGAAGAACAAAGTTGTGTCACTGACTTCTAGACTTACTGTAAAACTACAATAATCAAGATGATGTGGTATCGTCAAAAAATAGACAAGGCAGTGGAACAGAATAAAAACCCCAGAAATAGACCTATAAGAATATAGTCAGGGCCACGCACGGTGACTCACAGCTGTAATCCCAGCACTTTGGGAAGCCGAGGCAGGCGGATCACAAGGTCAAAAGATGGAGACCATCCTGGCCAACATGCTGAAACCTCATCTCTACTAAAAATACAAAAATTAGCTGGGCATCGTGGCGGGCGCCTGTAGTCCCAGCTACTCAGGAGGCTGACGCAGGAGAATCGCTTGAACCTGGGAGGTGGAGGTTGCAGTGAGCCAAGATTGCACCACTGCACTCCAGCCTGATGACAGAGCGAGACTCCGCCAAAAAAAAAAAAAAAAAAAAAAGAAAAGAAAAAACATAGTCCGATGGTCTTTGATAAAGTACCAAAGACCATAAAATAGTAATAAATAATCTTTTCACAAATGATGCCAAGACAACAGAACATCCACATGACCAAAAAATAAAATAAAATAAAATAAAATCTAGACACAGATCTTACATTCTTCCCCCAAATGAATTTGAAACCACTAAACTCTTAGAAGATACCACAGGAGAAAATCGAAATGACCTAGGGTTTGATGGTAACCCTTTAGATATAATGTCAAAGGGATGATCCATGAAAGAACTAATTGATAAGCTGGACTTCACTAAAATTAAAATTTTCTGTTTTGCGAAAGACAGTGTCAAGAGAATTAAATGACAACTCACAGGCTGGAAGAAAATATTTGCAAAAGACATATCTGATAGAGGATTGTTATCCAAAATAAACAAAGAACTCTTAAAACTCAATGAAAGAAAACAATGATCCAGCTGAAAAAAATGCGCCAAAGACCTTAACAGACACCTCACCAAAGAAGATATACAGATAGCAAACAGTCTATAAAAAGGTGCTCTGTTCCATATGTCATTAGGGAAATGCAAATTGGAGCAGCAATTACATACCTCTATATACCTATTCGAATGGCTAAAATGGGTAACACTGACAACACCAAATGCTGGTAAGAACATGAAGCAACAGAAACTCTCACTCATTGCTGGTGGGAATGCAAAATGAAACAGCCAATTTGGAAGATAGTTTGGGATTTTCTTACAAAACTAAACACACTCTTACCATACCATCCTGCAATCTCACTCCTTGGTATTTACCTAAAGGACTCAAAAACTTATGTCTGAAAAAAAAAACCTGCACATGGATATGTATAGCAGCTTTATTAATAATTGCCAAAACTTAAAAGCAACCAATATGTTCTTGAGTAGGTGAATGGATAAATAAACTAAAAGTCTGGTACATCTTGACTTTGGAATATCATTCAAGGCTAAAAAGAAATGAGCTACTAAGCCATAAAAAGATACATAGAAAACTTAAATGCATATCATTAAGTAAAATAAGCCAATCTGATAAGGCTACCTACTGTGTAATTTCAACTCTGACATTCTGGAAAAGGCAAAATGATGGAGACAGTAAAAAGATCAGTAGTGTCCAGTGGAGGAATGGAGGGGAGGCAGGCGAACAGACGAAGCACAAAGGATATTTAGGGGAGTGAAACAATTCTGCACAATACTACGATGTTGCATACTCATTAGGCATTTCCCTAAATCTATAGAACACGCAATACCAAGAGTGAACCCTCATGTAAAATATGGACTCTGGGTGGTGACGATGTGTTAATGTAGGTTTATCAATTGTAACAAATGCATGCACCACCACAGTGTGGGCTGTTGGTAATGGGAGGCTGTGCATGTGTGTGGGAAGGGGGGTGCATGGGAAATCTCTGTGCCTTCTGCTCAATTGTCTGTGAATCCAAAACTACTCTGAAAAATGAAGTTTATTTTGAAAAAAAAAGAATAATGATGAAGTGGGCTTTCAAATACCACATATTAAACTGTACTTTAAAGCAAGTATAATTAAAGCAGTGTGGTGTCAGGGGAAAAAAATGTAGACAAATCAGTTAAAAAGAAGAAAATCTCGAAAGGATCCCAACATTGTGACAGTGTCGTGATAGGTGCCTATTGAATATTTATGTAATAAATGAATACAGCTTAGTACAACGTTAAAAGTATCATTTCAAGACAGTAGGTAACAGAAAATTACTCTACAGGTAGGTCTGGGGCAAATTGTAATCATTTGATTTTTAATAATGGTTAAATTATTCTCTCACCCTGTACTATCGCCCAAATACACACACACATACACAGATGGATGAGAAAGTTATAAAATGACTTAAAAATATCAATCTCTTCGTGTTGATTAAATGTTCATGTTAAATCTAAAAACAAAGGGAGCCATCAAAATCAAAAAGAGAAAAAGCTTAAAAGATTTGTCTACATAAAAATAAATACATAATGAATGTCATATTGCTAAAAAAAATTCACTATGTTTGACAAGTTGATTTTCTTGATAAGTCATAGAATTTAATATGGAAATATCAATGATTTTGGGGAAAAAAACTGACTAAAGGAATAAATAAGCCACACTACAAAGAAGCAGTCTACGTGGCCATGGCATCACAGCTTATGTCTAATCCCCTTTGACTAGAGTGCAGGAGTGTGTGATTAAACTGAGCAGGAACTAATGTGGGCTTCACGAGTGGCCGCCACTGTATTCATTCAACTGCTGGGTGGAAGAGCGGCTTCCCTCTTCCTTCCTCAGAAGACCAGAGATGATGATTTAAGAAATAAAAGTTGGAAATGTCTTATTTCAAGTCAGATTACAATATTAAATGTTAGAAAGCACTGAGATCCAGTTTTTAATGGAAATATCATCTATTGCCATTATTTGCCAAATTAAAAACCCATAAAAAGTCATGGCTGGGCGCAGTGGCTCATGCCTGTAATCCCAGCACTTTGGGAGGCCCAGGTGGGTGGATCACCTGAGGATGGGAGTTTGAGACCAGCCTAACCAACGTGGCAGAACCCCATCTCTACTAAAAATATAAAAATTAGCTGAGCGTGCTGGCGGTGCCTGTAATCCCAGCTACTCGGGAGACTGAGGCAGGAGAATCGCTTGAATTCTGGAGGCGGAGGTTGCAGTGAGCTGAGATCGTGCCATTGCACTCTGGCCTGGGCAACAGAGCGAGACTCTGTCTAAAAATAAAAAAAAAAGTCATGATCTTTGAGAAAAATTAGAGAAAAAGATAAGCTAATGTAGAACAATTTACTAAAATAATTCACAAAAAAATAACAATTTAGAAATCACTAATGACAACACCAAAGCATATAAAATTGTAATTTCCCAGGAAATACATGTAGATGTCTAGATATCGCTGTATGTATATGTATATTTACATACATAATACATATATGTGTATATCAATATATGTATATTTCTTTTTTTAAATGTGATATTCCAAGCTATTTGCTGTTTTGTAATTTTTTCAATTCATATAACCATTTTCTATTTAAAAAGAGTTCTACTCCTCTGCATTTTAAATGCCAAGTAATACTCCACTGTTTGTGCAGACCATAATTTTTTATTACCCAATCATTATTGGGTAGTTAGATCACTTCCAATTTTTTATATTTGATACAACACTGACCTGCCTGTGGTTTTGCTCAACATTCATGAACACACATGAAATTTTCCAAGGGTAAACTCTTTTTTAAGCCCTTAATATATGTTGCCAAATTACCTTCTGAAACCTTCTACAATAGACTCTCACCTGAAGTGGGAGGGATATTTTTAAAGTCAGTACATATAATACAAAATGCTGGTCATCAAAATTGCCCTGGCACATCTTTTAAGAAAATAGTGTTGGAGATTGACATTCAGTAATTCATTTGTTCATGCAACAACTGAAACACTGTTTATTGAGTAACTAGTCTGTGTCAGGCATAGTGCCAGGAGATGGAGATGGGACAGACACCGAACTAGACCAATATATTCACTGTAAAAAGCTATTCTGGTGGAGAGAGAGAATGAAAATTAAGCCTAACAATCACAAAATTTCTAAAGCATTAGAAGATGATAAGTAATATAGAAAAAAAAAAGACTAGGCAGGGCTAAAAGAGAAGTATGTTTGGAGGAGGGTGCCATAGAGGTTTAGATGGTCAAAGGAAGCTCCATTGAGAAGAGGTGACTTGAAGAAAGTGAGAATTGAGCTATGCAACTAGCTGGTGGAAGGGCATTCCCAGAAGAGGAAACACCATGTATGAATGCCCTGAGAAGGAGGCACAATTGGCATGCTGAAGGAACAACAAGGAGGTCGGTGTGTCCAAAGACCAGTGTGTGGCAGGAAGAGTGAAGGATAGGAGGAGACCAGAGAGGTGAGCTAGGCAGGGCATTGGGTGGATATGGACTTTTTCCCAGAAAGGAATGGAAATTGTGGAGCATGTTTAGCAAAGGCATGACATGAGTGACTTGTTTTAAAGGATCTCTCTGGCTGCTCCTTAGAAAACAGACTGTAGGGCACAAGGTGGGGGTGGGTAGCAAGGAGAGCCATCTTTGCAGTTCTTATGCTAGGAGCTGTTAGGCTTTAGGGGACATCTGGTATGAGAATGGGTCCTTAAACATGAGTCTCAGATCCAGCCCTCGGGACGGTCACACCACACAGACCCAGTGAAGAAACAGCTCTGGGGAGAAAGCAGCAGGATCTCCCCTCAGGTGCTCACTCCTGAGCACACACACAGAGGGAAACGATGGGTGGTAAGGCAGGCTTTAGGTACATCTTCCTTCCTTCTGCCCTTCCTTCCTTCTTTCCTTTTCTCTTCCCTTTCTTCTTCCCTCTCTCCCTTCCTTTCTTTCTTCTCCCCTCTCTTCTCTCCTTCCTTCCTTCTTCCCTCCTGTATTAGCCTGTTTTCACACTGCTACAAAGAGCTTCCCAAGACTGGGTAATTTATAAAGGAAAGAGGCTTAGTGGACTCACAGTTCCGCATGGCTGGAGAGACCTCAGGAAACTTAAATCATGGCGGAAGGTGAAGGGGAAGCAAACACCTTCACATGGCTGCAAGAGAGCGAAGTGCAAGCAGGGGAAATGCCAGATGCTCACAAAACCGTCAGATCTCCTGAGAATTCACTATCACAAGAAAAGCATGGGGGAAACTGCCCCCATGATCCAATCACCTCCTTCCCTCCACATGTGGAGATTACAATTTGAGATGAGATTTGGGTGGGGACACAGAGCAAAACCATATCATCTCCCTTTCTTCCTTCCTTCTTCAATCCCTTCCTTCCTTCTTTCCTCTCTTCTTCTCTTGCTCCCTCTCTTCCTTCCTTTTTTCTTTCCTCCCTTCCTCCCTCTCTCCTTTTCTTTCTTTCCCTTTCCTCCTTCCCTCCCGTCCTTCCTCTCTTCTTCTTTCTTTCCCTTCCCTTCCTTCCTTGGTACCTCCATTCCTCCTTCCCTACCTCCCTCTCTCCTTCTTTCTTTCCCCTTTTTGGGGGAGGGGTGTGGTGGACAAATGCAGAGTTAAAATTATGTAAATTAAATTTGTCAAATATATCACTCCACTGTAGCAAATTTCATTACTGCTTGTACCTCCTTACACTTACCCCAGCCATGAGTAGAATGTTGTTGTTATTGTTGTTTTAATCTTTAGATGTGTGTAGACAGAATGTTAAGTTACTGACAATGCTATAGGCATTGCTTTGTTTGCTAGTGCAAAGGATCATTTTTTCCCAGCTTCTTGGCTGTCCATGTTTCCGTCCTGAGTTGTCTTTCCTGCACTTTGCAGGCATGGAAACCTTGTTCCACACATTGCCTGGTGCCCTGTCCAGCGCTGCAAGGTGCACTGCGTCTCCTCTGCCCAGCAAGCCACAAGCCCCTCCAGGGTGAGAGGAGAGCCTTCCCTTCCCTTGGTCCTCCCTTCGACACAGGGAGCTGGAGCTGGACAGCCCCATAGGCACTCAGTAAGCACACACCATGTAGATAAGTTAACATGTACCTTTGAAAAGGTGGATCACGGGGATTTTGTAATGATGCAGCAGCGAGGATGCTTTGAGGATGGAACTTGGGGTCTTTCAAGTTCTCAGTAGGGCTGCGATCCTTCCTGGACTCTAGTTGTATCCTGCAGAGGTGTAGGAGATGAGCCAGTGAGGTGCCATTCTGGAGAGGTTCCTTGTCGGCTGTTCATGAACACAATTGCTCTTTCACAGCTATCAGTCCCTGAGCAGCCACCCTTCACCAGGTTTGGGGCCAAGTGCCTTACACTTGTTACCTTATGCAATTCTCACCCTAAGCCTGCGATACCACAATTTTTATAATTTATCATCTACAGGTGTGAAAACCAAGGTGGAACATTTTAGGGACTCTCAGCTAGTAAGTGGAGGCTTCCTTTCCTGCCCCTTTTTTATTCCATTATGGACAGAGCTGACTGTATCTCTGCATTCACTGCAAGTCTGCGTTGCTCCCTCAATCTTTGATCCACTTCTTTCTCCTGAAGGGCACTGAAATACTGGCCGTTTATGGCTCCTGAAACTTGGGATGGGAGGACCCAGAGAGCTCTTTTCACCAAGAGTGTGACCTCAGCAGCTTTCATTCCTTCCTGGCCCCAGCTGGCTCTGGGCTGAGCCCGCTTCACCAGGGAGCACCATGTGAAGATGAGTCTCAACCTGGAGTCTGCCATTTGTTTCCAGTCCTTCACTGCCATTCCAAAGAGAGGAATGACTGCCCGACCCTCCATCTGGGGCAGACTCAGCCCAAAACAGAGGCTGTTGGCCCCTTTCCCCACCTCTCAGCTCCTTAGCACTTTGAATCCAATCCTACTCTTTGGAACTTAGCTGATAAATACAAGGCTGCCTTTTCCAAAAATGTTTCTGAATAGACAAACTAGAAACTTTATAATTTGGAAATAGTATTCAAATGGCTCTAAAGACACATCTAGGGCTATGTTCTATTCTTGGGGAAATTCTAGAGATACATGGTTGGCTGGATGGAGGGATGAATGAGTGGGTGGATGAGTAGGTGTGAGTGGATGAATAGATGGGTGGATGGATGCATGCATAGATGAATGGATGGATGAATTGATGGGTGAGTGGAAGATAAATGAATAGATGGATGGGTGAAATGGATGGATGGATGGATGGATGGATGGATGGATGGATGGATGGATGGATGGATAAATGAATGGATGGATGTGTGAATGGATAAATGGATAGATCGATGAGTGGACAGATGAATGGATGACTGGATGAATGAATAAATGGGTGGATGATTGGATGGATTAATGGACAAGTGGGTGGATTAATGGATGGATGGATGGATACGTAGATGGATGGATGGGTGAATAGATGGGTGGGTGGATGGATGGATGGATAGATGGATGAGAGAATGGGTGGATGGGTGTATGGATGAATGGATGGATAGGTGGAGAGATGGATGGACAGATTGATTTCTCTCACTGAACAAGTACCAACATAGGCAAAAGCAAAGCAAGAGACACCAAAAGCATGTTTTATTTTGGGAGAAAGGAAAGTCCTTGGAAACACAAGTCCAGGCCTGCAAAATCCTTGGGCTGCTTCACCATTCTGGGAGCAGCAACATGTCCTTCAGCTGTCTTATATTCCCTTCTCCAGCAAGGACATAAGGACACGATAAATACTTAAACTGCAGCAAGAAAATTTCAAGTTATTCTTTAAAAAAAAACTTTTGAAATAGCCATTTGATAATAGTAGACATCAGCCCCTAAGTAGAAAGAAATCTATTTTTCAGCATTTAATTCATACAAAATCTTCCATTTTCAATAAGCATTAATTTAACACAGACAAAATGGCTATAGGGTGACAGAATCTCATCTCTATATGTAGAAGATTTTTAAACAAAAAGCCACGTTTATATTTTATTGAATTCCAGGGGCCTGAAGGCAGGTAAGTTGTTGGGATAACCCCTGCAATCTGCCCCAACTTTCTAGTGTTATAGAAGAAACAATATTGAGGAAAGTCCTAGGTTTCCTTTTCTAATTTTTTTAGTCTTGCAACATTAACTAACAAGAATTTTCTTCCAAAATTGCAGAAATTTTTCTTTAAGACTAGGCGGGAAGAGTGGAAATAAAAGTCAAATCTAAAACCTGCAAACATAAACCTGGAGCAGGCGAGAGACCATTATTGCTGGTGTCTGTTCTCAGCTATAGAATCATTAACATGAAATACCTTTTAATGAATGCATTGAAAAAAGTGATTATATATTAAAGTACAAAAGTCTATTCCTGCACCATTTAAATTACTTTACAATGCTGATTAAAATAACAGAACATTATAGCTTGCTTAGCTAACCATTATATTTCCAAATCCATTTCCAATTGTTTCCCTTCAATTTGAACAATTTTTGAGCAATTTTATTGCTATTCATACCTGCTTGATTTTTTATTAGAAATTAAAATACACAGGTTTTTTATCAATGTTGTGAAGTACTGCAAAGTTTAACTCTTTTGATGCCATTCAGAACCTCAAGTCACAGGGAGAAGCAACTTTTTTTCTCTCTTAATTCCAGGGGCTTGAAGAAGATATCTAGAAATGTCAAAGCAGAAGAGCCTCGGAGATAATCTGAACTATTTCTGAGTTTATATAAGGGAAAACTGAGACTGGAGAGAACTAACATGTCTAATATTACAATGGAAACTTGTAATAAAACCACAAATTGAGTCAAGTCTCCTGATTCACTATATGAGCTTCTTTTGACTCTAAGAAACTGTCCTTCACAAAGTTCCCAAGAAAGAATGGATTGGCCAGATCGATAGAGGAATTTCTGAGGAAACTGCACTTGTGTTTTTATATACTTGGCACTTATTCATGCTAAACAGTAGTTTAGTGCAGTGGTGGAGAAAAGAATCCCTTTGAATGATACCTGATTAATGTGTGTATAAAGCACACAGGCCTATAAAATAGTGTGGAATATGGGACAAGCTATCTTGATGCCAAGCCATGGAATGGACCTGTGTGTTACCCAGGACAAGCTCCTTGTTCTAAAACCTTTATCATAAGTGCAACGAATGACTGCCTTTGCTGATTATAGAAACCTCTGTCCTGCTCGTGGCAACACCCTTAGCACCAAGCACAGAGCCTCACACAGAGAATGTGTTCAAGAACTCTTCAGTAGATAAATGAATGAATGTTCCTCCATCATATGGAGTTTTGGGGTCCCAAGCAACAAAAATAGATGCTAGTTAACGTGAGGAGGATATGAATTGGTTTAGGATATCAAAGCAAAAGCTGAATTAACAAGGGGTCCTGGAAAGTTGGGGGCTGAGCAGCTCCAGGCCTCTAGACTGAAGAAAGTAATGAGGTCTCTTTGGGCATCCTGCTGGGATAAACCCTCTTTAATAATTTCCCATCTTTGTCTTCCTCATCTTAACATTCAGGCTCCCAAGAAAGAGAGTCCAATTGGCCGAGCTTTTATCACACGCCTGTCTGTTGGCAAGAAGGGCTAGGAACCCTGCAATGTAGTTCATGAAGACTGTATACATGGAAAAGGGAAGTCAAGGTGCTAGTATTAGAAGAAACAATGAATTGTGAGCAGATAAAAACATCACATATCCACTGTACACTTGAGCTTCTCCTTCTCCTGTAGAGTGAGTGTAGCAATACCTAACTTGCAGGGTCCTTATGGGAACTGGAAATAGGATTAGAAGAGTCATAGCATAATTCCCTGGCACATAGCATGGAACCTATCACAGCTGGTTTTATGTAGGGGCAGTGAAGACATGGTTTACCACAAGTCGTGGCTTTCCCAATGCTGATTCCTGAACTGTGGCCACACTGTTCCTCTTTCAGAGGTGTTTGACAACACACTCTTCCATGTGCAGATCTTACTTACCAACGCTACCTTCATTACAACATTTCTTCAGCCCCAGCCATAAATTGAGTTGTGGAAGGCCCAAGCCATGCCAGGATTTTAGGACGGCTGGGGTTGGTATCAGGTGGAGCTGAGGCTAGGAAACCAAAATAGGATGTGAGCTGGACCTGAAGGTAGTGGAGCAGTCAGGATCCCGATGTCTGAGGTGTGTGATGAGCAGAAGGCCATGATTGAGGATCTCAAGAATGACCCCAGTTTGCCAGACGCCAGGTCCAAGGCCACTGACAGATTCCCTGGTAGATTTCAAATGGACTCAAGAGCCTAAAGACAAAGACCTTATGACTCCATGTAGAAAGCCTGGGACTGAGCTGCCCGTGGGTGCCCAGCCAGGTGCAGGGGAAAAAAAAGAATGCTAACTGAAAATTAACTGATAGTCTAAACTGAGCAATGAGTTTGGAGACTCCAATTGCAAAAGTAATGGGAACAATGAAAAGAAGAGTATTCCTTGGGACTCAGTGCAGTAACTAATAATTACTGGACACTTGCCATTTGCTGGGTCCCCTGCTAGGGAGACAGGACAGAGTAGTGATTAGGGGCACAGATCCAGGATTCAGATCATCTGGGTTTGAATTCTGGCTATTCCACTGAGTGGTTATAGGACTTCAGGCCAGTCTCATAACCCACCCTAAGTGGGGATACTAGGAGCAGTTTGTGCCTGTTGGAGCACTAAATTAGATGATTAATGTAATGTGCTAAGACCAGAGCCAGGCACTGAGAAGGTGTTCAATAAGCATTAATGATCTCATTATTGTCGTGTTCGTTGTTAAGCGTTTGGTCATGCCTTATCTCATTTAGTTCTGAGGGTCTGAGGCAGTGCTAGGAAAGCATCATGGGAGACAGGCATGGTGGGAGCTGAGCCCTGACATGAATGGGGCTAACTCAATGGCATAAGGTGTGGGAATGGTGTTTGTCAGCAGTTGGGATGAGCAGTGATGCCCCTTAGGTGCAGTGAGGGTAATCCTGACTTGAGAGATGAAATCCTCAAGGGCCCCCAACCCCTTCTCCCCATTCTGTGGCTGGGTCTCAGCCAAGGTGTGTGGAGTGGTTGGGTGGGGGGTTCAAGTCTAGGAACAAAGGGAGAGAAGGTCAGGTCAGTGAGCCATGTGGAAGCATGAACAAAAGAAGGGGAGTTGATTTTGAAGGAGGTAACAAGGCATAGAGCTTTTTAAGGACACTTCATTTGAGAGTTAGTGGTTGGTAGATGGGAGGGTGAAGGAAAGGAGACCAGAGTGGAGGAGAAAGGGAAACTTCTGGGAAGATGTACTTGGGGGGATATTCCAAGCCAGGCAAATGAGTGCAGGGGAAATGGAGGTAGGGCAGGTCCAGGGACCAAAGGTGAAGCTTGGCCTATAGAGGCACAGGCCTGGGTTGGAGGGACTCTCAAGAAAAGCAGGAATGGGAAATCTTATAGTAATGTCACCAATGACATAGGCTCAAAAGGGCTTTGCACCTGTTTTTTTCTTCTTGAAACCAAGAAGTTTCCTCTCTTCCCCACTTCTCGCCTCTGAATCACTCAGAGATCAGGGCTGGTGACAAGGGCCAGTGGCAGAGGCAGTATGTTTGAGGAGTTCAGAATGCCTCTCCCCAAAGCAGGAGGTATATCTAGAAAAATGAAGCCTCTGATCTCCTTTCTTCTGTGTCTCGGGCCTCAGGCTGCTTCCAGGAGCCCAGCCATGCCTGGAACACGTTTCATGAGTGTCTAGGGGTTAACACTTCAAGAAGAAACAGGGGAGATTTTGCTGGTGTACACTATGTCATGAGAATGGATCTAACGAGTGAGAGGAAGCTCTGATCAAGAGCTGAAAAACCTGCACGATTTTCAACTCAGGAACCCACGCGTACCACCATTTTCTTCTACGAGAAACCTCAACAGGTTACAGATACATAATTTGAAAGAAAACAACCTTAAGTAATGTGCCATTCTAGTTAGGTCTAAATTCACATTTGAAAATATTATTCAACTAATTAAAATGGAATTAAATGAATACAGTGTTAACTGTGTCTAGTGTTTAGCATAAAATGTTGTTAAATATATCATACTCTGTGTTCCAAACTGGCGGCAGATTTTAGCAATGTTTAATTGTAAGAAATAGCCATGTACTACTTAATTGCATAAGTAGGTGGAACATAAAAATCACAATTACATGAATTATATTAAGTAAAATATGTTAAAATAGTTTGTTTTTCGATGGTGGAATTTTATGGACACTATAATGAAAGTGAAGTACATTTTTAATTACCTAATTATTGCTATTTTCAAAGTCCATTTACACCATAATTGTTCCTGTTTTCATAGTCCAAAGAGTCCATGACAGAGAGACTCAGTGGGATCTAAAATAAGGATTCATTCTTCAGACAACTCCTGCTCATGGTTTCCCCCTATCTTTACAAAATCGATCTCAGATTCATTCAACATGCATTCAACAGGTAATTGTGTGTGTGAAATTGCTGGGAATGGTAGCAGGTTGCAGAGATGAGGGAGGGGTAGATTTCCAGCCCTCAAGCAACTCATAGTCTAATGACAGAGGTAAGATGGACTACAGCAGACGCAGAAGGGAAGCATGGTCAGGAGTTAGAGGGACACACCAACTTCTCTTGAGCGGATGGATGCATGACTGTGGGCTCCTGGACCCGGGGAAGAAGGCAGGACTGGGCTAGCCTGGGCTGGGGCAGGGGCAGTGGTGAGGAAGGGCATCCCAGGCTCCAGCAAGGACACAGAGGAAGGAAAAGCAGGTGGCATGAAGTGTTGTGAGGCAGACCAGCCCAGTAGCGGCAGACAGCCATGGGCAAATGGCAAAAAGAGATTCAGTGGCAAAGCCAGCCCAGGCCAGCCAGACCCTGGGAGCCGGCAGGGAGATTCCAGCAGTGAGGAGCGGGGAGTGTGGGGTTTCAATCAGTGGATTTGGGGTTCAGCATGAGCCCTTTGGCCTGGGGGTGACAAAGCAGGAGCTGCAGGACCCTGAGCACTGGAAGACAACAAGGCCAGTGACAGCAACAGAAGGATCAAGGGAAAGGTGATTTAAGTGAAAAACAATAAATTTGCTTCTGGACTGAGGCGTGTTGAGGTTATATAAAGATATCCAGGGTAGATGCTTGGAGGCATGTTTGCTCAGTAGATTGAGGCTTTTAAGCCTTTTAAACAAACAAACAAACAAATCCTTGAGAGCACTTTTAAGCTTTTCTTTCTCTCTTTTTTTTTTTCTTTTTTGATACCATAGGAAATTTTGAGATAAAACCGTGAAATGTTAGGGCAGTCCCTTACCACACATATTGAGTTAGTGTAATTTGTTAAAAAGCAAAAAAAGCAAAGGGTGGCCAGACGCCATGGCTCACACCTGTAATACCAGCAATTTGGGAGGCCAAGGCAGGAGAATTACTTGAGGTCAGGAGTTCGAGACCAGTCTGGCCAATATGGTGAAACCCTGTCTCTACTGAAAAGATGCAAAAATTAGCCGGGCGTGGTGGTGCACACCTGTAATTCCAGCTACTCGGGAGGCTGAGGCTGGAGAATCACTTGAACCTGGAAGTCGGAGGTTGCAGTGAGCCAAGATCACACCACTGCACTCCAGCCTGGGTGACAGAGTGAAACTGTGTCTCAAAAATAAAAATAAATAAAGAAAAATAAAAAGCAAAAGGCTCTCATTATGTATCATCAGGGGAATTAAAATCAAAACAACAATAAGATGCCACTACACCCCTGTTAAAATAGACAAAATCGAGAACACTGACAACTCCCAGTGCTTCCAAGAGTACTGGGGAACTCTGTTACCGGAACTCTGATTCAGTACCAATGGAAATGCAAAATGGAACAGCCACTTGGAAGACAGTTTGGTGGCTTCTTACAAAACTGAACATCCTCTTAGCATACCATCCTGCAATCCCACTCCTTGATGTTTACCCAAAGGAGATTAAAATTTATGTCTCACAAAAGGCACATGGGTGTTTATGGCAGGTTTATTCATAAGTATTAACACTTGAAAGCACCCAAGACTGCCTTCAGTAGGCAAATGGATAAATAAAATGTGGTACACCCAGACAACAGAATATTATTCAGCACTATAAAGACAGAAGCTAACAAGCCATGAAAAGACATGGGAGAATCTCAAAAGCCTATAATAAAGTGAAAGAAGCCAGTGTGAAAAGGCTATATATGGTACAATTTCAACCATACGACATTCTGGAAAAGGCAAACTATGGAGACAGTAAAAAGATTGACTGGGTGCGGTGGCTCAAGACTATAATCCTAGCACTTTGGGAGGCGGAGGCGGGTGGATTGCCTGAACTCAGGAGTTTGAGACCAGCCTGGGCAACATGGTGAAACCCCGTCTCTACTAAAATACAAAAAAATTAGCCGGGCGTGGCGTCATGCACCTGTAGTCCCAGCTACTCAGGAGGCTGAGGCAGGAGAATTGCTTGAACCTAGGAGGCAGAGGTTGCAGTGTGCCAATATCACACCACTGCACTCCAGCCTGAGCAACAGAGCGAGACTCTGTCTCAAAAAAAAAAAAAAAAAAAAAAAAAAAAAAAAAAATCAGTGGTGTCCAGGGGTAAGGAGGGAAGGATGAATAGGCAGAGCACAGAAGATTTTAGGACAGTGAAACTACTCTATAGGATACTATAATGGTGGATCCATGTCTTTGTACATTTGTGTAAACCCATAGAATGTACAACATCAAGAGTGAACACTGACATAGCTATGTACTTTGGGTGGTGATGATGGGTCAATGTAGGTTCCTCAGTTGTAACAAAGGTACCACCCTGGTGGGGGATGTTGGTAACGGGGTGATTGCATGTATGTGTAAGCAACAGGAGGTATATGGGAAATCTCTGTATCTCTTGTGAACCAAAAACTGAAATAAAGTCTATTTAAAAGAAAAAAACGCAATGGAGGAGAGGAGCAGATTACATAAAAGGAATGAGCGTGCTGGCACTTAGCGCACGTTTGGTGCCCAGTCCTCACTCTCATTCTCTTTAGAATAAGTCTACACTCTTTCTTCTGAGCCTCGAGCTGCCCCTGGAGTTTAGACAATTATCTTCCTTTGAGGATTTGAGAAAAGTTTTCAAATTGCGACAATTTAGGGGGATTTTATTTTTTATTTTATTCTTATTTCTCACTCCTTACTTCTTCCTGCACTTGGAATCGTTAACTTGTGCTGAGTGTGGCCGCCAGGCCATCACTGCTAGAAAGGACGAGAGATTCTTAGCAGTAGTCAGAGAGCACCCGTCGGGACCAGTCCTTCTAATTCTCAAACCAAATGAGGTTGAACAAACCCGGGTAAGTTTTGGCGCTTCCGGCTGGTTGTTCCAAATCTTTGAAAGCCCTCTGCGCACTCTCCGTCATTCATGTAATCATTTAAAATATGTCTTCCTGTACAGGAACTGGGTCCCAGCCGCAGGGTAACCAGAGGCTGCATGAGTCACTGTGGTTAAGACAGATCATTGAATTCTCAGCTGGCGTGACCTCATAGCTGGGAAGCCAGAGGGCCTGCGCCAGCCAAGAGGAGCTAGCTTTGCTGATGGTGTGGTGCAGGAAGTGACTCTGCCCCATACCTGAGTCCTTTCCATAGGAAGTGAGCTGAGTGGAGACAACAGCAGATTGAGAAAGCAAGAACAGAGTCTTTGATTCTTGAGTTTTATTCAGCTCAGGGAAAGACTGCATTCATACCTGGATAAGGCATTGCACCTAAGTTGACTGAGACTTATCACTTTCACATCCCAGGATTAAGTGTGGGGGTCCTGAAGACCTATTTCCTAAAGAATCAGGCAGGCCGGGCGTGGTGGCCCACGCCTGTAATCCCAGCACTTTGGGAGGCCAAGGCAGGCAGATCACGAGGCCAGGAAATCGAGACCATCCTGGCTAACACGGTGAAACCCCGTCTCTACTAAAAATACAAAAAATTAGCCGGGCGTGGTGGCGGGCGCCTGTAGTCCCAGCTACTCGGGAGGCTGAGGCAGGAGAATGGCGTGAACCCGGGAGGCGGAGCTTGCAGTGAGCGGAGATCCGGTCACTGCACTCCAGTCTGGGCGACAGAGCGAGACTCTGTCTCAGAAAAAAAAAAAAAAAAAAAAAAAGAACCGAGCATTCAACCCTCATCCATAGACCATTCCCTCTTTGCCAAAAATGTAACAAAGCAGGAGGGGATTAAAATAAAATTTTTAAAAAGTTGGCAGGTACCAAATATTGATACAAAAATGAAGATATTCGGTTGGTTGGCTATACATCTCCAGTGTAGGTGTTTCAAGCATTTCCCAGACATTAGTCATTTAGATACCACATTCAGAATTGTGGCGCTATATCATGTCAATACTACCCTGTACTCATATTTTTCTTTAATATGAGTCAGGTCTTTACTTAAATAAATTTACTCAAAAAGGAAAATTGCTGTCACTCACTGGGAAGTCAGAATCATCTGTCATAAATTGTAAATCACACAAATGAATTTAATGAAAACATTAAATTAGAAGCATCTGTCCACAGAGCACATAAAATAATCTTAAATAACATCAATGCTATACAAGTAAACAAGAAACATCAAAGAACATCAATGGTATAAGTGTATACAAGAAATATCCATGGTATAAGTGTAGACAAGAAATATCAGAAATAGGGTAAAAATGTGAGCTTTAAAAAACTAAAACTCTGAAGATAGCTGGTCCCAATTGTGTTGTTTTAACCATAAAATAAAATGATTTTTTACATTAATAGGAATATTTACAGAAAAAGGTTCTAAGCTGGGTGTGGTGGCTCACGCCTATAATCCCAGCACTTTAGGAGGCTGAGGCTGGCGGATCACGAGGTTAGGAGTTCAAGACCAGCCTGACCAACATGGTGAAACCCTGCCTCTATTACAAATAAAAAAATTAGCCGGGCATAGTGGTGTGTGCCTGTAATCCCAGCTACTTGGGAGGCTGAGGCAGGAGAATCACTTGAACCCGGGAGGCGGAGCTTGCAGTGAGCCGAGATCGTGCCCCTGCACTCCAGCCTTGGCGACAAAGCGAGACTCTGTCTCAAAAAAAAAGGTATTATAATTTTTTTCTATATATAGGATCTATAGTAGAGTTTTCCAATTGGCTTAAAAAAACTATTAAAAATTAAATTAAATTTATTATTAAATATTAAATATTAAATTAAATTAAAATTGTTAAATTTTGGAGGAAAATCACCAAATTCTCAAAGAAAAACCATACAATGCAATTACTTACAACTCACGTTCTTTATGATGGTGTATGTATATATGTATACAAGAAACATCAAAGAACATCAATGGTATAAGTGTATACAAGAAATATAATTCTTTATGATGGTGTTATGTCTGGCCATCAAATCGTTCTTAAATATTTAAACTTAGTCTGCCAGAATACTCAAGAAATTCATTTTAGGCCTTTTTGGGGGGGCTCCCAGCCCCCACCATGTCTCAAGCTGAGCACACAACTAGGACCCCTATCAGCAAGGCTCCTGGCCTCATGAAGACAGCACTTTGCTGCAAAAGGAGGGACCTAATGGCCATGCTAAGGAGACAGTAACACAAGGTAGTGTGGTACAGAGGGATGAGAGTCACCTGAGATCATCAGAAAGGCTTTCCCAGGAGGCAGCTTTTTTTTTTTTTTTTGAGACAGAGTCTCCGTCACCCAGGCTGGAGGGCAGTGGTGCAATCTCAGCTCACTGCAACCTCCACCTCCCTGGCTCAAGCAGTTCTCCTGCCTCAGCCTCCCGGGTAGCTGGGACTACAGGTATGTGCTACCACACCCAGCTAATTTTTGTATTTTTGTTTTGTTTTGTTTTGTTTTGTTTTTGAGATGGAGTCTCACTCTGCCACCCAGGCTGGAGTGCAGTGGTGCGATCTCGGCTCACTGCAAGCTCTGCCTCCCGGGTTCATGCGATTCTCCTGCCTCTCTCCCGAGTAGCTGGGACCACAGGTGCCCGCCACCACGCCTGGCCAATTTTTTTTATTTTTTATTTTTTATTTTTTATTTTTTTGTAGAGACATGGTTTCACCATGTTAGCCAGGATGGTCTCGATCTCCTGACCTTGTGATCTGCCTGCCTCAGCCTCCCAAAGTGCTGGGATTACAGGCATGAGCCACCGCGCCTGACCAATTTACCAATTTTTGTATTTTTAGTAGAGAAGGTGTTTCACCATGTTGGCCAGGCTGGTCTCGAACTCCTGACCTCAGGTGATCCACCCGCCTCAGCCTCCCAAAGTGCTGGGATTACAGGCATTAACCACCGCACCCCGCCCAGGAGGCAGCTTTTGAATGGAGACATGAAGGACTATGACACATCCAACCTGTGAAAATCTCTGTGTGCATGGCTGGGGTTAAGGGGCAGAGACAGCTAGTGGCAGAATGTTGTGGGCAGAGGAACAACAAGGACAAATGCCCAAGGTGGAACTTGTGTGCAAACCTTAAAGGAACAGAAAGAAATCCAGTGGTGCTGGAACAGGGCAACGGGGTGAACGAGGGGGAGATGGAGCAGATGAGGTCAAGGAGATGGGCAGGGCTGGTGGATGAAAGGCGAGAACTCCCTTCCAAAGGACAAACATTTATTTAAAGTGCAAAGCAAATGTTATAGATGGATTTTAAGAAAAGGGAGGTCGTAATCTAATTTACCTTTAAAAAAAAATAAACTAGACTTTATTTTAGAGCAGTTTTAGTTTTGCAGCAAAACTGAGCAGAAGGTACAGAGATTTCCCATGTGCCCCCTGCATTTGACATGCACAGCCTCCTCCATTATCGACAGCCCCCACCAGTTGGTCCTTTTGTTACAACTGATGAACTGCACTAACACATCACCATCACCCAGAATCCATAGTTTACGTAAGGGTTCGCTCTTGGTGTTGTGCATTCTACGAGTTTAGATCAATGCATAATGGCATGTATCCACCTACAAAGCAGTGTATAGAATCCTACAAAGCAGTGTCACTGCCCTGAAACTCCTCTGTGCTCTGCCTGTCATCCCTTCCTCCCCTCAACCCCTGATAACCACTGGTCTTTTCACTGTCTTTACAATTTTGCCTTTTCCAGAATGTCACACAGTTGGAATGATACAGTATGTAAAGCATGTAAAACACAAAACAATAAACTCCTTGAAGATAACATAGGAGAAAATCTAGATGGCCTAGGATTTGGTGAGGACTTTTTAGATCCAACACCAAAGGCACATTCCGTGAAAGAGAGAAATGATAAGCTGGACTTAATTAAAATTAAAAATTTCTCCTCTGTGAAAGACACTGCCAAGAGAATGAAAAGACAAGCCACAGACTGGGAGGAAATATTTGCAAAGGATATTATCTGAAAAAGGCCTGCTATCCAAAGTGTACAAGAACACTTAAAACTCAACAATCACAGAATAAACAATCCAGCTTAAAAATGGGCCAAAGACCTTAGCAGACACCTTACCAAAGAAGACAGAGATGGCAAATACCTATGTCATATGTCCTATGTCCTATGTCATATGTCATTAGGGAGATACAACTTAGAGCAACACTGAGATGCCACCACACATCTATTAGCATGGCTGAAATTGAGATCACTGACAACACTAAATGCTGGCAAGGATGTGGAGTAACAGGAACTTTCATTCATTGTTGGTAGAAATGCAAAATGGAACAGCCACTTTGGAAGACAATTTGGGGGTTTCTTATAAAACTAAATATACTCTTACCATGCCATCCTGCAGTCTCACTCCTAGATATACCCAAGAGAAGAGAAAACTTATGTCTACATAAAAACTCCCACGTGGATATGTGTAATAGGTTTATTAATAATTGCCAAAACTTTGAAGCAACCAAGTCATCCTTCAGTAGTTCAACGGATGAATAAACTGGTTCATCCAGACTATGGAATATTGTTCAGAGCTAAAAAGAAATGAGCTATCAGCCATAAAAAAGGCCTGGAGAAAACTTAAATGTATGTTACTAATTGGGGTGGGGGAAGCCAGTGTAAAAGGGCTACATGCTGTATGATTCTAACTTAAACCTTTAAATTTGTTATAACATTATTTTCTAAAGTGTCATGGCCCATTGGGAATTTCACTCCCCATGGTCTGAGGTAGTGGGATTGTAATCCGGCAGCATTGCTAATTTTTCTACTAATTTTACAGGCTTTGCCACACTGTGACTGTCAGGAGGTTCTTACTTGCAGAAGGAGATGCTTCAGGTACATGTTTGTACCAGAGCATTAGTAAGGCTGCATCACAGAGTGAGATGTGCATATCTTCAGGCTCTAAAGACTTAAGGGAAGTTCTTCGAAGCTGACAGTGAGGCCTTTATGCTTTCACCATACGTATAAAATCAGTGTTTCTGGATTGGACCCCAAAAATTCATTAGTTCTCTGCTCTCAGACAAGACACTTCTCCCAGTGGAGCTTGTTTTTCACTGCCTATGGAGAGACAGGTGAACAAAATGATTCCGTGTCTTGACCTATGACCTCTGTATCAGAGAATGACTCAGTAGCTACTGTGAATAAATAAACCCCTAAATCCAAAGGGCTCAACACAGCAGAAGTTCATTTTTCTTATCAAGTCCAATCAGTGGTAATGATGGCAGTGAGAAGTTTGCTTCAAGCAAACTTGAAGCAAACTTGTTCAGTGACTTGGCTTCTCTCTCTGTTGTGATTTTACCCTCTTCTAGAGCAGTTCTGGCCAGTAGAATATTCTATGGTGATGGAAATGTTCTATATTTCCTTGTCCAATACAATAGCCACTAAAGATGTATGGCTATGAAGCACTTGAAATGTGGCCTGTGCAATGGCAGAACTGAATTTTTAATTTTATTTAATTTTTTAAAGAAGAAAAACATTGAAGAACCTTTATTATCTCATTTCAGGACTTACTTTATGGTATTTAAATTAGGGAAAGTAATTAAGACAGTTCTATTAGCTTATGAATCAATGGAACAAACAGAATAGAGTCCAGAAGTGAATATATATGTGTATAGATATATATATGTATATATATAAAAAATATATATGTATATTCAAAATGTATACTGAATATATCTGGAATGTGTATAAGTATATAATTGAATATATATGGAATTTGATTACATTAAAATATATATATTCAATTGATCTTTGGAAAGATCAATTGATCAATTGATTATTTGATCAATTTAATCAATAGTCTTCAACTGATCTCTTGGAAAAAGATCAATTAAAGACGATTTCTCCCACTACCCATTTACCTTGTCAAGGCCAAGGTGGATGGATGGTGGAGAAAATCCTTTTCAACAAACAGTGGTAGAACAACTGGATATCTGTATGAAATAAAAATGGAGAGATAGATTTAAGAGGAACTATAACTATGCCACATTGGTGTATGTTATTTTTGTCAAACTGATTACTGAAGTGAGAAGCATCGGCTGCAACTTTAAGAGGAAGGAACAGGGGCCTGGAAACATTAAATAAAAACACAATAATCACATAGCAAGGAAATGCCAAAGGCAAGATTGAAATCCAGTTATCTGTCATCCAAAAGTTGCCCCATGATGGTATGGGAGACTTGCAGGAGAAAGGTAAAGAGATGAATAAGTGAAGGGCGACAGGTTGTAAGTTAGACAGCAACTGAGGTCTCTCACTGCCCCTTGTCTCTCTATATATGTATTTTGGGTCTCATCTAACTTCAATTTCACATTTTATTTTTATTTCATTGGGTTGGGGAAGGGAAGAAATCAAGAGTACTTGGGACTGTGATAGTTCTTTGTCTCTCATTTTTATTTCATTTAAATTAATTCAAATTTAAATAGCAACATATGATTAGTGGCTATTAGTAGCTAGAGCCTTGGCGCCCTTTCTATTCAGCTGGCAGGTAAGGAAGGATGATCACAGGGTAGGTTTTTAAAGGGCCAGTCTGAGAAGTGGTGCACTTCACTTCCTTTTCCTTTCCTCTGGCTAACACCGAGTCACATGACCACACCTCACTGCAAAGGAGGCTGGGAAATGTAGTCTAGCTGTGTGCTCAGAAAGATGAAGGAACAGATTTTGGTGAGCACATAGCAATATTTATGACTCCAGGATTGAAATTTCAATGAAGACTGAAATGTGCACCACTTCCTTTTGAAGCAGCTACAGAAAGCAACAGGCAAATCCACCAAAAGTAGTTACATAAGAACAGCATAGATGCCAAACTAGTTAAAATGCCTAATTACAAATGTTTATTATCACCAGCAGTAACAAGACTAAGATCAGAGATGTGTATGCTCAACTATGTATATTCACCCAACATCTGTCACATGCCTACTTGGTATCAGATACTATGCCAGACACAGGGGATGCCATGATGGACAAGATATTATCTGCAAAATATAATTTTAATTTAACATGGCAGGTGTAGCATTAGAGGTAAGGGTAAAGTGCAATGAAAACTCAAGAAAAGGATGCTGAATTCTTTTGGTGGTGGATAGAAAGCCAATTTGGGCCAGGGTTTCCAATAGATATGTGCATGTGTATGAGTGCAGTGATACACATACCTTGAAAGACACTTTTTTGAGACACAGGAGTGTCAAGGAATAGGTGGTGGGGTGTCTTCAAATCAAAGTCAACAGAAAACACATGTCATAACTCCAACATGGATGTGCAGTTCTCCTTATGTCAAATTGGTGGCTGACCTAAATCCACTCCCGGCCTCAGCCATGTGCCCGAGGTCATCAGATACACTCCACATTCCTTCCACAGCATCACCACGATATCATCTGAAGGTTAGCTGGGCACATTGAATAGAAACCACTGTCTCTCCTCCAACCTCCCTTGGAGTTCCTTCTTCACCTCCCCTCTCCTGTAATGCTTTCTCTTCTTCCATGTTTGGTGGTAAGTTATTTACATGTCTACTCCCTAACACAAAATGGTGGCCTGTCGCTGGGCTTCAGTGTCCATGAGTTTATTATCTTAGCATTAACACGGTATCTGGCCCACTAAATATGGTGCACTTCCTGGTGGCTTGGTGACTCATAATCCCTTCACCTTACTTTCAATAATAGCATCCTAATGTGCTTCTGAAAGGTGAAAGGTTTACCTCGCCCTCTGTCTTGGGTCTTGTAAGACTGCAAGCCAAGGTGTCAAGAATGGGACCTTTGCAACCAGCCTCTCTTCAGCCCCAGGACTTTGAATCTGGAGTACAGTGACATGAGGTCAGGAAGTGGTTGGAGCTCATGGTCCCCTGACAGTGTACGTGGTTGAGTTTGCCTGGACCCCAGCTATACCTTGGTTGCAGTCTATTTTAAGCCAGGGTCTTTACCCTTCCCATCCATTCTTTGAGCCTCATAGAGATTTCCCATGAATTTTCTTCATCTATAGCTAGACTGTAAGAATTCCAATTTGTAGAATGTACATCTGTAAGTGCATATGGAACATGTTACTAATGAACGTCACAGAAGACTAAATGTAAAATCCCTCTTTATGGGCTAGTAGAATCTGTTTTACACAGAAGCAAAATGAAACACATCCAGTATATATTGGAGTCCACAATGGGAATGGGGTCAGTCAAACGCATGTGACCAGATGTTATTTTCAATATGCTTGAAGATATTTTCACTTGACTCTTGAGATGAAAAGAGACAAGTAGGACTGAGACTTGGTACACACTTCACAACCTTCCTAGACTTGGAAAAACTTTCAAAGGCTCTAGAGTAAAGTCAAGGTTCCCATCTTCCTGTTCCCCAGTACTAATCAGAATGGATTCCTCCTTCCTTCAGGACCTCCTGTCCCTCTCCAGCTGCCATGCTCTCAGGAATATTTCACCCTTAAATGTTTCTCCCTCTGGACTGGAGCTTCAGCTTCAGTTTCTTTTCTGTATCTTCTACGGGGCTTAGCACAGGGACTTCCTTCATAGGAGGTACTCGGAAAATATTTGCTGAATTGAATGGAGTTAATTTGAATTATTGAATCCAGGTAAGTGGCCTTGGTAAGTCCATTAGCTTTGCCCTGGGAATCTCGTCTCTTGTCCTTCTCCATTTCTATTTTGCCATATAAACATGACAGAGAGTGATTCAGTAGTCTTCCCTATTCACTTCAGAGGGTTAGAAATGAGATGTGAAAATGACAGCAAGAAGACATGTCAATAATACCCATGTGGGGTCAGCGAGTCTCCCGCTGCCTGCCCAACCTTTGCAAGAAGAAAGCCATCAAGGCCACTTGAGTGGATCTCACACAATTCCCTTGACTCAAGATGACCATGAGGCTCAGGAGGTTGGCAGCTAGGATTTCTGTTGAGAGGGCATTAGAGATTCCATGTCCCTGTCACACTGATGGAAGCCCTGTTTCTCTTGGACATCTGAGCCTGTAGATTTTTCCTCTGCTCATCTCATGGAGCAGAATTTGTTTTTGGTGTACACTTAAAATATTAGGGTCAGCTAATAAAATAATAAGAATCAAAGGTTTACCAACTCATAAAATATTAAGTCTTTAAGGCTTATCTGACACTGTAGAGCCCTCTGTATTTGTGGGGCCTCATGTGTATACCTTCTCCCAGGTAGGTCTGTGAATGATGGACTCTAATTTTAGTTCTTATAACGTGTGTGTGTGTGTGTGTGTGTGTGTGTGTGTGTGTGACAGAGAGAGGGAGAACTAAATACATTATGTACATCTGAAAAGTCACCAAAGACAAGAAAAAAAAAGTAGGTATATATTTAGCTAAGTGTTCTGTGGATTTTTTTTCCTTTTGAAAAACTCCAGTACAAGTGTTCAAGCCAAGTAGAAGCCTTTCACTCCAGTTATTTATTTATTTTGCTCTCTCCTTTGGAAAGCGATGCACATGTATTATGAAAAGCAAATATTATACTCTTTATTGTCAAACAAAGTTTATAAGGTTCGTGTGTCAATGATGGGGCCAAGGACCTCACACAGAAAGTTTCCTGTCCTGGAAGAATTTTTCATGGAAGATAAAATATGGAAAGTGGGGGGAATGCTGACTGCCAGCAAATAGAATCCTCCCACTCCTAATGGCACCCGTGGGGTTGGATGAGCTCAGGCCTTGACTGTCCTAGCTGGAGCGGGGGTGGGGGTGATGGGGGTTCTTCCCTATAGACTAGCATGGGCCACTCAGTGAGGGGAAGGACCACAGTGGAAGTTGAAGGGTGTTTACTCAGAGGAGGCTACTTGCGTCCAACTCCTTGCAGCTCTAACATCCAGATGCACTCGGCAACCAGGCCTTTGGACACAGGAAGTAGAAGCAAGGTGATGAAAAATGAAAGGCATTCTTTGGCCTTGGAGCACACAGGCATGGAATCCGGTAGGAGTACAGTTACTATTTACAGGAAACTGGCACGGAGATATAACTTTTGCTAGACAGGTTGGTGCCATTGTGTTCTGGCACCATGAAAAGCATTAAATAAGGTTTACCATTTGTCTAAACCATGCTGTATGCACTCTACTTTCTGATATGTATTGCTTTCTCCAACTGGGAGTTTCACTAAAGTCCCTCCCTAGGGAGTAGAGAGCGGGAGTTATAGTCAACCATGGTTAATTTGTGCTTTGTGCTTTGTTTATCCAAACCATATGTCTAGATGGTTGTAATTCTGTGTCATTGGCTGTGTAATGCTCTCTGTGCTAAGATATCTGTAAATAGCAACAGCTCAATGCATAATCACGTTGGTATTCTGAAGGGGGAAAAGGAAGTTTCAAGTGACGTTTGCTGTGAAGACAACCACTCCAATGATGTCTCCATACATGTCTCCCAGGACATAATCTCTTAAGTATTAATCATGCAGACCTATGTGGATGGCACAGGACCTCACAGAAGCCAGACGTGGTGGGTCAATGCTACCTCCAATTCTAATACTCTAGCCTTAGGGCTTGAGGACACTCTAGATATTAAATCATATCATTGCTATTCAGCAGCCCCAGTAAGTAGTTTGTGTACCAAAGAGAAATCCTTTTATGTTGGTGCTAGAAAAAATTAAAAACAATAAAACAAGGGGAATCCACCAAAATTTTCTTTTATAATATTTTCATTTAAAAACTTTATTTGATTCACCAGCTTTCTATCAAGAAAAGACATTGTGCTCAAGAGCTGGAGGTGATAAAGTCCAATGTGAATTTCTTAAATGGCAAATTACCAGCCAGGATGAACACACAAAGGCTTCAGCTTTTATGTACGGCCTAGAAGCCCCAGGGCCCCTGTTCCCCCTGAGCACCCAAGAGCAGCTTCTGAACACTGCAATGTGCTGGCTGGAGGCCTCTGGAGAAGAGGAGGCCAGACCTGTGAATTATGGCAAATTCTACTGCACCCTGACTTCAGCAACCTCCTAAATCAGAAAAGGGGGCATTAAAAATGTTTTTCCTTCATGCAAATGCTGCCATTCATTTAGAAGTGAGGCCATGTTACTTCAGGTGCCCATAGAGCATGATCATTTGAGCATCCCGAATGGCATTATAGGAAGCCTGGCCCCAGAGTCAGCCTCAGACGGTGGAGATGTGACAATCTCTTTGAAGTCCCAGGGAATGAAAGGAGTGGTCTGCAAACAAGCCTAGGGGGATAAGCTGAATATATTTCCCCCAGCCTTGGCAGAGACGCTGCAATCCATAGCTGGCTCACATTGCCACACACATCTCAGCCTGTCACATTGCCCAACAGTCTTGGTGCATTTCGTTCACCAACCCTTTTACCACAGCAACATGTTCAACGCATCTTATGGCCTCAAACCCCAATCTTGGCATACAGCCTTGTCCTGCACTTTATGGAAAAATGAGAAGCCATCGTATAGGAACAGGAGCATCTCTTTCTTGCATGACAGAATCTATCGGCCCATCTGCACCTCCCCATCCTCCCCCACCTTCCTTCAGTTACAAAGGTGAAGTTCGCCCTTCTCCTTCCTGAGGGGCCTTTTCCCTCCTGCCTTCTGACAGTTTCCATCAACAGATATCTATTCCTTTGCTTACAGTTTCCACTAGTCTCCCAGTCTTAAAATTCATTTCCTTTGCTCTCACTCATTTTCCTCCTGCTGTTGCCTTATCTCCTTACCCTTCCCAATCTGGCTTAAAAGCGGTGTGTCAGCTGGGCACGGTGGCTCATGCCCGTAACCCCAGCACTTTGGGAAGCCAAGGTAGGTGGATTGCTTGAGGACAGGGGTTTGAGACCATCCTGGCTAACATGGTGAAACCCTGCCTTTACTAAAAATACAAAAATGAGCAGGGTGTGTTAATGGGCACCTGTAATCCCAGCTACTTGGGAAGCTGAGGCAGGAGAATCACTGGAATCGGGAGATGGAGGTTGCAGTGAGCCAACCTCATGCCACTGCACTTCACCCTGGGCAACAGAGCAAGACTCCATCTTAAAAAAAAAAAAAAAGCAATGTGTCCATATGATGCTGTCCCCAATTCCTCACCTCCTTTCAATCTTCAACCCACTCTTTCGACTCCTTCAATTCCACTTCTTCCCATACCATTTGATATGGTTTCTGTGTCCCCACCCAAATCTCATCTTGAATTGTAGCTCCTATAATTCCCACGTGTTGTGGGAGGGAACCAGTAGGAGATAACTGAATCATAAGGGTGGTTTCCCCCACACTGTTCTCATGGTAGTGAACAAGTCTCACAAGATCTGATTGTTTCATAAGGGGTTTCCTCTTTTGCTTGGTTCTCATTTTCTCTTTGCCTGCCACTATGTAAGGTGTGCCTTTTGCCTTTTGCCATGATTGTGAGGCCTCCCCAGCCACATGGAACTGTGAATCCATTAAACAACTTTTTGTTTGTAGATTACCCAGTCTCAGGTATGTCTTTATCAGCAGCGTGAAAATGGACTAATACACCATTCCATCAGAACTTCCCTGCTAACCGCTCTAAATCCTATATTCCATTCTTGCCTTCCATCTGAGCACCAACCACAAGTCAACATCTCTACTTGAACACCCTGTGTTCAAGACATAAGGTGACCATATGTCTTCATTTGCTCTGGGAAGTCTCTATTTACATGTGGTGTCCTGGCATAAGTAGTCACAGCACCCCTTTCAGACTCAAAAACATCTTAGACAATAAATTTTAAGGTCACATATATTAGCAGATATAGGCATCTGTGATTTGTCTGTCCAATCTGTTTATTTCCTTATTTTCATTTTTTGCTTTTAGAGAACTATCCCTTGCAGATACTTTTTCTTTTTTCTTTTTCTTCTCTTTCTTTCTTTCTTTCTTTTTTTTTTTTTTTTTTTGAGATGGAATTTCTCTTTGTCATCCAGGCTGGAGTGCAGTGGTGCCATCTCGGCTTACTGCAACCTCAGCCTTCCAGGTTCAAGCGATTCTTGTGCCTCAGCCTCTCAAGTAGCTGGGACTACAGGCCTGTGCCACCATGCCTGGATAACTTTTTGTATTTTTAGTAGATATGGGGTTTCACTATGTTGCCCAGGCTGGTCTCGAACCCCTGACCTCAAGCCACCCACCCGTCTCAGCCTCCCAGAGTGCTGGGATTACAGGAATGAGCCACCACGCCTAGCCCAAATACCTTTTCAAAATTGTCTGGTCATATGACAGATCTACCCAGAATCAGATTGGTATAAAGAGAGTTACTGAGTCAAAAGTGGGTCAAGACCATTCACACCCAACAAATTTTGCTGACACAATTTGAGGAGGAAAAAAACCCTATTTTCTCACTGGAATTGCTATGCTGGTAGAATAGAATAGAAGCCTGAAGAGACTGGGCCAACTCTGCCACCAAACTTAGGGAGAGCCTGCTAGAAGAGAAAGGCAGCACAGTGAAAGCACAGCTTACAGCAACAGAAGGGGGAAGAAAGAGAGGATGGGAGGGAAGAAGAGAGAGATCCCTAATGCCAATGTTGAACACCAGGGGCTGAAAATCTGTTCCACCTGTGGGCTTTATATTGCGTACCCCAAAACTCTTCTTTTTCACTCAGTAAAGTTGGAGGTAGGTTTCTCTCACTTAATGACAAGACATCCAGGATCTACACAAGCATGCCTTGAACTCAGCTCCAGGCAGTCCTATCCCTGCTGTCCCCAAATCTATTCCTACTCCACCTTTCAAATCTCAGCAACCATCCAGTTTCTTCTGCCAGAAACCTTGGAATCATCTTGGACATCTTCCCTTCTCTAGCGCCATCATGAAATCTTATTGGTTTATTTTTATGACCAACATATGTGTAAACTCTGGTTCCTTCCCTCCATCCACACGGACCCCCAACAAGTCCATAAAACCATCATCTTACCTGGGCAACTCAACAGCCTCCCAGTGGGTCTTCCCATGGCCATTCTCACTCCTAACATTCTCCGTGGAACATCTAGAGTCATCTTCTTAAACTTCAAATCTGCTTATGGTGCACAAGGCCATGCTTCACTGGGGAGCTGCAAGGAGAGTAGAGGGAGCATTGCCAAGTTAAGTTAAGAGCTTCAAGACATTATTGAAGCTCTTGTAATTCCTGAATTCACCAATACAAATTCTATTTCAGGCTGGGTGTGGTGGCTCACACCTGTAATCCCAGCACTTCTGGAGGTCAAGGTGGGCAGATTGCTTGAGCCCAGGAGTTCAAGACCAGCTTGGGCAACATAGTGAAACCCTATGTCTACAAAAATTACAAAATTTAGCTAGGCATGGTGGTGTGTGCCTGCAGTCCCAGCTACTCCAGAGGCTGAGGGGGGAGGATCACATGAGCCCCGGAGGCAGAGGTTATGGTGAGTTGAGATCACACCACTGTACTCCAGCCTGAGTGACAGAGTGAAACCCTGTCTAAAAAAAAAAAAAAAAAAATTATTAGAGACAATATTAGCATGGTTCCCAAGAATATGTGTCTTATTTTTCAATCATTATTTGCTTTATTGTGTTTCAATCAGAAGCTTAGGGTCAAACTTTCTTCCTTGAGCTGGGATATTTGAACACTGAAGGTTACTAGCACCTTCCCATGGACAGATTGCAGAGAGTGGTGTTCAGATTTTAAATAAAAATCTCTACCAATGCTGCCAGGATGTTAAGCAGAGCCTGCACAGAAGGATTGTACATGGGTCAGTGACTGCAGGGTCATTTGTAGACCCTGGTATTTGAAGTTTCCTACAGAACCTTCCTGGAAGTGAGTGTTCTCAAAGGAGGGGCATGCACTACCTCGCCACTCTAATCTTAGATCCTAACCTCTCTCCATCTCCTCCTTCCTCAAAACAGACCTGTGGGTTCCAAATTTGATTGAAACTGAGTCCAGTAATATTAGTCCTACCTGACTGGGATGCTGTCCTGACCCAGTGGTTTTAGAAGGGAGTTTTATAGAAGAAGATATGAGAAGGGTAAAATTAGAGGGGTGCATGCATGTTCCTGAAAGAGAAGACTAAACATTGTAAGGGGGCCATTGCCTCAATTTGTGTATAAGTCTATTATAATTCCAATCCAAATTTTAATAAAGTTTTCTTTGAAACCTGACAAAATGATTCTAAATGTTGTCTGGAAGAATAAATGAATAAAATAATCAAGTAAAGTTTGACCAAACAGAAAGATTAGAAACATTTGCAAGGACATTAAGATAGATTCTAAAACTACGACAATTAAAATAGAATGTTATTGGACCAAGGATGGGCAGGTAGAAAGAACATTAAGAATCTATTCCATAATAGGAGAGCTTTTTCAAGTCTCTGGGGGAAATGATGCGGGGACAACTGCGAAACACTAAAGATAAATTGATTCATCACTGCTTCACACCACATCCTAAAATAAATGTCAAGCGGATTATAAATTTAAAAATACATATACAAATGAACTAGAAGGAAATATAGGTGCATGTTTATCTGATCTTGTAATGGGAAAATCTTTTAGGTAGTGTATTACCATAAAGTAGAATCTTGATGAAATTGATCACATGTAAATTCAAATATTCTGCCATAACTATATCTAAGAGCAAATAGGAAACTGGAAAAAGAAACTTGCAATGTATGTAACAAAGGGTTTACATTCTTAAGTCTCTGAAATGTCAATGTGGACAAAAGACATGATTAGAAAATTCACAAAGGAAGTACTAACAGCAAAAATATGAAAAATGTTTAACTTTGCAAGCTGTCAAAGATGTGCAAACTGAAACAATAGTGAAACACGATTTTTCAGCTATTACACTGACATTTTCTAAAAAAGAAAAGATTATGTAGAGCCTGGGAAAATGGGCACCCACAGATTGCTAGGATGATCCTAAAGTGATACAATTGTTCTAGAGGGTAACTTGGCAAAATTCTTTAAAATATGTGTAGTTCATTTACCCAGCAATTCCTCTTCTAGGAATTTATCCTCAGAAAATAATCATAAATAACTGCAGAAATTTATTTAAAAATGTTCCCTGGAAGGTTGTTTATAAAAGCAAAAAATTAAAAACAAAATAAACGTCTGAAAATATGCAGCTGCTTAAATAAAGTATGGTGCATTATAATCCAAGGTCATAAAAAAATCATACTGAGAATTATGTAGTGACTTCAGAAAAGGTTCACAATATATAGTTAAATGGGGAAAAAAGTTGCAAACCCATCTGTACATTTCATTTTTTTGTTTTTAAAAAATGTATGTATGTAAATATATGCATAGAAAAAGACTTTAAGAGGATAACCAAAAAGTTATCAGTGATTATCTCTGGGCGGCAAAAGTGTTGGTGATTTTCATTATTCCTCAAATATTCTGCAATAAAAATGTATTACTTTTTGTAACAAGATTCTTAAAAACATTAACTTTTATTTAAATCCTGCAGAGAAGTCAGGTATCAAAAAATGGTCTTCAGGAAGCTTTTTCGGGGAAATTCTTACAGCCAAAAACTGGGGAATTGCTGGGGAAAGTGGTCAGACCTAAATGCAGCTGAGCTAGGAGAAGACAACCCACCTCTCAGGGCCACGGTCCTGGAGTCAGCAGCCCCATCACTACCCCTGCTTCCCATCACTGCTTTTTTTTTTTTTTTTTTTTTTTTTGAGACGGAGTCTTGCTCTGTTGCCCAGGCTGGAGTGCAGTGGCCCAATCTCGGCTCACTGCAAGCTCCGCCTCCCGGGTTCATGCCATTCTCCTGCCTCAGCCTCCCAAGTAGCTGGGTCTACAGGCTCCTGCCACCACGCGCGGCTAATTTTTTTTTGTATTTTTAGTAGAGACGGGGTTTCACCTTGTTAGCCAGGATGGTCTCCATCTCCTGACCTCGTGATCCTCCAGCCTCGGCCTCCCAAAGTGCTGGGATTACAGGCATGAGCCACCGCCGCTGGCCCCCATCACTGCTTGTTTTATGAGTCATGGGATGGAAAAGTGATATGGACTAAAAATAATAATAATGAGGATGATCACAATAATAATGCAGATGATAATATATTAATAGAAAACTGACATTTATTAAGCACTTGGTATTTTCCAGACCCCAAGCTAAGTGCTATACAGATAGCATCTCATTTAAAGCTCACAACAATCCATTGGCAAAAGGATTATTGCCTGGGATTCATAGAGAAAGAAAACTGAGACCAGGATGGTGGCACGATGATGTGATTCTCCCACACTTTCAGCTCTCAGGAGGCCGAGCGGAATTACAAACATACCTGAGTCTGATGCCAAAGCCCCTGGCTGATCTACATTGATTAGGTGCTTACAGGAGCATTTTTCCAAACCCACATGCCCCGATCCCGACTTCACCACCCAGGCCTCAATTTCCTTTGTGATTCAGCCTCGTATTATGTAGCCTGACTCCACTGTGAAAGATTTGTGGCAGTTGCATGATGTATGAGGTGCCATTTGTAAAAATATTATTTAGTGTAAAACATGATGTTTTTTCTCCTGATTTACAAGTTGGATTTATAAATCTGCACTTCTCACTATCTGAGTTATATATCTTGCCTCTGATTTATAAAACTTGCCTGTAAATCTTCCCAGCAAAGTTTTGATTCAGAAATCATTATTTTAAGAATTAGATTTAGTTAAAACATTCAGCTGCTTTATAGGGGAGGAAATGGATTTACATAACTCCAACCGGAGCTTACGGATCCTATAGCAGCTTCACAAGTCGTGCCTAGGAATTCCTAAGGAAAATGTTTTGATTTAAGGGCATTCACTTCACACTTTAGCTACACCTGACTGATTTATATCACCAAAGCCATACAATGATGATCCATTTTATAAAAATCCCACTTTTCTTTAATTCCAGACCCTGATTTATATGCCCTGATTGGGTATCTGTAATGCTCTCAGTCACAGGCTCCTCTGCCCTAGAGCTGGTCTTGGGGAAAAGGCCTAAGAATCAGGGATGGTCAGAATAAAGGGAAATTTCACCTCCTTCTTGGTTTATCTCCCTTATTCCAAGGGAGCCAAAGCAGGTTGCCTCCTGCCCCTGAGCTAGAGCCAGCTAACCCTGGGGGAGCGTCTGTAAGATGCCACAGCCTTCTCCAAGAATGTGGTGGGTTCTCTCCATCCCTGCTGCTCAAATGAAGAGCGGATTGCTCCCAAGTAGAAGAAATCGCCAGTCCAGAGAATCGAGGACATGTTTGATGAGTAATTGCTGGCTGAAAAAAAAGTCAATGAATAAATGAACGCTTTTTAAAGAGCAGAGGCCAACAAGCAGTGATCTGACAAATAGTATAAATGAACGAAAAGGGAGGGTGTGTGAGAGCCTTGTGAGAGGCTGCTCCAATCTGAACAGGGTGGCTGTAGCTCAGCTCCACCTGGCTGTGGTTAAGTAGGATTACTTGCCCAGTATTCCCACATGTGGCTTTCCAAGGCAATCCTGAAATTCAAATGTTTATTTTAAATGACTTATTTTAAAAATCAACATTGTGCAGGTTTAGTTTAAAATAGCAAAATACACACATTTTAAATGTACAGGTCAATGGCATTTGAACAAAGTACACACTCATGCAACCACCACCCTGAGCAAGACATAGAATGTTTCCATCTTTCCAGAAATCATCCTCTTGCCTCTTAAAGTCAGTGACCTCCATCCTACCCCCTGCTCCAGTTAACCGCTGGCCTCATTTCTATCTCTACAGATATGTATTTTTTTCTGTTTTAATATAATTGGAACTTAATATAAATTGAATCATACAGAATGCATTTGTTTCCTGTCCTGTTTCTTTCACTTAGCACGCCTGTGAGTGAGATTCATCCATGCACGTATCCAGCATTTGTTCCTTTTTATGGCTGAGTAGTATTCCGTGGTCTAAATGTATTATAGTTGTTGATTCATTTCCAGTTGGTGGACATTTGAGTTCTTTCCAGACTTAAAACTATTATGAATAAAGCTGCTAGGAACATTCCTGGACCAGTCTCTTTATGGACATATGTTTTCATTTCTCTTGGGTAAAAACAGAGGAATGGAGTTGCTGAGTCATTTGGTGAGTGTATGCTTAACTTTCCATAAAGCCGCCAGACAGTTTTCAAAAGTGATTTTGCCATTTTACACTCCCTCCCCTCCCCAGTAATATATGAAAGTTCCAGTTGCTCAACATCCTTAACAATGCTTGGTCTTGTCAGTCTGTTTAATTTTAGTCTTTTAGTCAGTTTAGTCATAATTTAAGTCATTTAGATATAAAGTGGTATTCCATTTTAATCTGCATTTTCCCAATAACTAATGGCACTGAGCATCATTTCATTCACTCATTGGCCAATTGTGTATCTTCTTTTGTGAAATGCCTATTCAGAACTTCTCTTATTTATTAGTTGTTTGCCTTCTATTATTCAGTTGTAAGAGAACTTTGTAGACTCTGGATACTAGTCTTTGCCAGATATGTGCATTGCAAATACTGTCTCCCAGTCTGTGGTTTGTTATGTCTTTTTCTTGTCAATGTCTTCGGCAGGGCAAGCAATTTTAATTTGATGATGTACAACTGGTCATTTTTCTTCTTTAGTTAGTGCTTTTTGTGTTCCTAGAAATATTTGTCTACCCCTAAATTGCAGTTTTTCTGCTATGCTACCTCCTAGAAGTTCTACAGTTGAAGGCATTATGCTCCGAACCTACGACTCATTTCAAATTAATTCTTCAAAACAACGTGAGCAAAGGATTGAGGTTCATTTTTTTTCTACACAGACACCTAGTTCTTGTAGCACCATAGAAATCAGGAAGTGTGAGTCCTCCAATTTCGTTCTTTTTAAAGATTGTTTCAGCTATGTTAGGTCTCTTGCATTTTCAGATCAGTTTAGGGTAACTTTGTTAATTCCTACCAAAAAAAAAAAAAAAAGCCTGCTGAGATTTTGTTTGGAATTTTGTTGAATCTATAAGTCAGTTTGGGTACAAAGAACATCTTAACACTATCTAGTCTTCCCATCCACTAACAGGACATGTCTTTCAGTTAATTTAGCTCTTCCTTAATTTCTTTCAAAAATGTTTTATAGCTTTCCATGTAGAAATCTTGCACAGCTTTCATCAAATTAACTCCCTTCTCATTTTGAAATTTTATTTTCTAAATACTTGTTGTTCATAATAATTAACTTCATATATTCATCTTGTATTCTGTGACGTTGCTAAATTCATTTTTAGCTCTAGTAGTTTTTTTCATAAAATCCTTAGGATTTTCTATACGGATAATGATAACATTTGTTAATACATTTTTATTTCTTCTTTTTTAAATATTTCTCTCCTTTTTAAATTCGTTTGTTTATTTATTTTGCCTTATGGCATTGGCTAGGACATCCAGTACAGTATTTATGGGAAGTAAGGAGACTGAACATCTTTGTCTTATTCCCAGTCTTAGGGGGAAAGCATTCTGGCTTTAACCATTAACAATGATGGTTGCTGTATGATTTTCATAGATGCCCACGATCAGGTTGAGAAGGTTTCCTTCTATTTGCAATTTGCTGCGTGTTTTTCATCATGAACAAGTTTTGGATTTCATCAAACTCTTTTGCTGCATCTATCTACTGGGATTATTATATGATTTTTCTACTTTATTCTATAATATGTGAAATTGCTTTGATTTAATTTTTCCATGTTGGAACATCTTTGCAATACTGAGATGCAGTCTTCATATAGTGCTGAATTCAGTTTGCTAATATTTTGTTGAGGATTTTGCTTTGTGTGTTCATAAGAGATATTGACCTGTAATTTCCTTTCCTTCCAACTGCATTGTCGGCTTTTGATATCAGGATTGTGCTAGCCTAATAACATATGTTAGGAAGCAGTCACGCCTATATTTTTGGAAAAAGTCTGTGTAATATTGATGTTATTTCTTTTGTAAATCTGTGATAGCATTCATTGGTGAACTCATCACAACACCGAATTTCTTGTATGGGAAGTTTTTTTATGATAAATTCAATTATTTTATGTTTTTCCAGCTTTACTGTGGTATACGTTACAAATAAAAATTACATATATTTAAAGTATACAATGTGATGTTTTGAGCTATGTATATATCATGAAATGATCCCCACAACCAAACTAATTAACATACCCTTCACCTCGCACAATAAAATATTTTTCATGTGTGGTGAAAACACCTAAGATTAATTCTCTTAGCAAATTTCAAGTGTATGATACAGATTAATCTACTATTGTCACCATGCTGTACATTAGCTCTCCAGGACTTATGTATCCCAAATAACTGAGCCTTTGTGGGCTGTGACCAACATTTCCCCATTTCCCCCCAACCCCAACCCCTGATAGGCACCATTCTACTCTCTGTTCCTACGAGTTCAACTGTTTTAGGTTCCACATATAAGTGAGATCATGCAGTATCTGCCTGTCTGTCTCTACCTGACTTATATCACTTAACATAATGTGCTCCAGGTTCATCCATGTTGTCACAAATGATAGAACTTCCTCCAATGTGTGTATGTGTGTGTGTGTGTGTGTATCACATTTTCTTTCCTTCTCTTTTTTCTTTCTTTTTTCTTTCTTTCTTTCTTTCCTCTTTCTTTCTTTCCTCTTTCTTTCTTTCTTTCTATTTCTTTCTATTTCTTTCTTCTTTCTTTCTTTCTTCTCCTCTTCTTCTTTTTTTTTTTTTTTTTTTTTTTTAATTTGAGACAGAATCTCACTCTGTCGCCCAGGCTGGAGTGCAGTGGCACGATCTCTACTCACTGCAACCACGGCCTCCTGGGTTTGAACAATTCTCATGCATGCCTCAGCCTCCAAAGTATCTGGGATTACAGGAATGCACCAACACACCTGGCTAATTTTTTGTATATTTAGTTGCAAAGGGGTTTCACCATGTTGGCCAGGCTGGTCTCCAGTGATCCACCCACCTCAGCTTCCCAAAGGGCTGGAATTACAGGTGAGAGCTACCGTGCCCAGCCACGTATTTGTTATTCATTCATGTGTCAACGTATGTATGCTTAGGATGATTTCATATCTTGGCTATTGTGAATAATGCTACATGGGGGTGCAGATATCTCTTCAAGATACTGATTTCATTTCCTTTGGATCTATATCCAGAAGTGAGACAGCTAGGTCATGCGACAGGTCTATTTTAGTTTCTAGTTATTTTTAGTTTTTTGAGGAAACTCTGCACTGTTTTCCACAATGGCTGTACCATTTACATTCACACCAACGGTGTACAAAAGTTACTTTTTCTCCATATCCTCATCAACATTTGTCATCTTTTGTCTTTTTGACAACAGCCATTGTAACAAAGTGTCAGGTGATATCTCATTGTGGTTTTAGTTTGCATTTCCCTGATGATTAGAGACACTGAGCACCTTTTCATACACCTGTTGGCCCTTTGTATGTCTTCTTTGGAGACATGTCCATTTAGGTCCTTAGTTCATTTTTAATCAGGTATTTGGTCTTTATTGTTAAATTGTTCGAGTTCTTTTAAAATTTTGGATATTAATCTTTTATCAGATATACAGTTTGCAAATATTTTCTTCCATTCCCTTAGGAGTGTCCTTTCACTCTGTTTATTTTTTTCCTTTGCTGTAATGAAATCGGACCCTTATCTCACACCATACACAAAAATAAACTAAAAATGAATTAAAGACTCAACTGTAAGACCTGAAACTATGAAACTCCTGGAAGAAAACATAGGGAAAAACCTTCTTGTCATTGATCTGGGCAATAAGTTCTTGGCTATGACACCAAAAGCACAGGGAATGAAGGGCAAGTAATAGGTAGAATTGAGTCAAGCAAAAAGCTTTTGTACAGCAAAAGAAACAATCAACAGGCTGGGCGTGGTGGCTCAGGCCTGTAATCCCAGCACTTTGGGAGGCCAAGGTGGGAGGATCACCTGAGCTCAGGAGTTTGAGACCAGCCTGGCCAACACGGTGAAACCCCGTCTCTACTAAAAATACAAATATTAGCCGGGCGAGGTGGCACATGCCTCTAATCCCAGCTACTTGGGAGGCTGAGGCAGGAGAATCGCTTGAACCCGGGAGCAGAGGCTGCAGTGCACAGAGATCATGCCACTGCACTCCAGACTGGGAGACAGAGCGAAACTCCGTCTAAGAAAAAACAAACAAACAAAAAACAATCAACAGAGTGAAAAGGCAATTCTTTCAATACATTGGAGACTGTTCAATTTTTTATTGCCCCTTGATTCAGTTTTGGAATACACTAGTTTTAAAGTAATTTGTCTCTTTCACCTAAACTGTTAAACTTATCAGGCTGAAGTTGATTGCAATATGTCCTTATGATAATATTCCTCATTATTTCTTACTATTATTATTGCTTCTTATTATTCTTTAAAATATGCATATATTTTAAATTCTTCTAAATATGTATTAACATTCTACAGGATATGTATTAATATCCCCACTTGCACCTCTAATACTGTTTATTTGTTTTCTTTATTTTTTCATTAATTTGTCTTCCTAGAGATTTACTAATTTTATTAAGTTTGTTTTCAAAGAACCAACTTACGGCTTTGTTAATTTTCCCCATGTGAATGTTTACCATTCATTGATGTTTGTTCTTATTTATATTAATTCTGTCCTCTCTTTGCTTTGAGCTTATTTTCTTTTTCTGTCTATAAAATAGAAACATCAATAATTGGTATTAAACCTTTTTCTTTTCTAAAATAGATATTGCAAGCTATACATTCTTTTCGAAGTATTGCTTTAGCTGTACACTGCACCCAACAAAGTTTGAAATGTTAAATTTTCATCTTCATTTGCTTCAAATATTTTAAATTTATCTTGTAATTTTCACTGGCTTCTGAGTTATTGAAAAAGCTTGTTTTATTCCAAAATGTTTAGAGATTTTCTAGATATGTCATTTATATTGATTTCTAATTTAACGCCATGTGGTCAGAAAACAACTCTATCTGACTGCAATGTTATTAATTTTGCTGATATTTATTTTATGACTAGAATATTAGCTATTTTGGTGACCATTCCATGTGCATTTGAAAATAATACATATTCTGCAGGTGTTTGTGGTAGTTCTATAATGTCAATTATATAAAAATTGTGGATATTGTTATATTAATCTTTGACATCTTCATCTATGGTTTGTATATTTTTATTAATTACCAAAAGAGAAATGTTAAAATTTTTCTATCATTGTGGCTTTGTCCATTTTTCCCTTTATTTCTGTTAATGTTTCCTTCGTGAATTTTTTTTTTTTTTTTTTGAGACAGACTCTTGCTCTGTCACCCGGACTGCAGAGCAATGGCACAATCTTGGTTCACTGCAACCTCCACCTCCCAGGTTCAAGCGATTCTCTTGCCTCTGCCTCCTGAGTAGCTGGGATTACAGGCACTCACCACTACACCTGGCTAATTTTTGCATTTTTAGTAGACATGGGGTTTCACCATGTTGGCCAGGCTGGTCTTGAACTCCTGACCTCGAGTGATCTGCCTACCTTGGCCTCCCAAATTGCTGGGATTACAGGCGTGAGCCATTGTGCCCGGCTATGAATTTTGATGCCCTATGATAAACGGTATACATATTTAAAATTGTTCTACCTTGCTAGTGAATTGTTCCTTTAATCATTGTCTAATGCCCGTATTTATCTCTTACTCTTTGTCTTGAAATCCACCTTCTCTAATACCCATATAGCCACGCCAGCTTTCTTACTCTTATTGTTTGCATTGCATGTTTTATCCATCTTTTACAGTCAATGTCTTGTTATTTATTTTTAAAATGTGTCTCCTACAGATAGCATCGAGTTGGATCTCACTTTTTTTCCTAGTCAAAAATCTCTATTTTCATTGGGATGCTTAGTATATCTGCATTTTATTATTTGATGAGTTGAGGTTTAAGTTCATCTTATAATTTGATTTCCACTTCCCTAGCATGTTTTATAAAATTATTTCTATTGCTTATTTCCTGTATTCTTTGATAAATATTTTAGATATCTAATACATCTTCTCTTTTTTGTACTTAATTTTTGTGTGCTTGATGTAGGGCTACTAAAATGTGTTTTTTAAATTATCAGTCTATTTATAGTCAATATTATACCTCTTCACATTTCACACTTCCCTTCTGATACTTTATACTTCCTGTTTTACAATAAATATTTTTCCCAGGATATGATTTTTTTACCTCCTTATATCCTTCCTACAATTGCTATCCTATTTTTTACTTATCTATATATGTTAAAGGTCACTCTACAGTGTTATTATTTATGTGATAAGTAATTAGTTTTATTATGAGTAATTTAAATAAATTATGAGAATAAAAGGGAGGCTTTTATATTTACAGACTCATTTCCAATTTCTGATGCCCTTTATTTTTTACACAGATTCTAAATTTTCATTTGCTGTTATTTCTTTCAGCCTGAATGATACTATTCACTATTTCTTTTTTGCAAGAATCCTAGTAATAAACTTCCTAACTTTCTTTGTCTGAAATTATCTTGATTTCATTCTCACTTTCAGAAGCTATTTTTGCTGGATATAGAAATCTAAATTGACAGGATTTTTTTTTCATTTACACTTTATTTTTATTCTTATTTTTTGGAGACAGAGTACTGTTCTGTCAGACTAAAGTGCAGTGGTGCAATCATAGCTCACTACAGCCTCGACATTCTGGGCTCAAGTGGTCCTGCCTCAACCTCTCAAGTAGCTGGAGACTACAGGCATGTGACAACATGCCCAGCTAATTAAAAAAAAACAAATTGTGGAGATGGGATCTCACTATGTTGTCTAGGTTTGTCTTGGACTCCTGAGTTCAAGTGATTCTCCTACCATGGCCTCCCAAACACTTGCACTTTTAAAATGTAATTAAATTGACTTTTAATAGCCTTCATTGTTTGATATGAAAAGTCAACAGTAAGTTATTTTTATCCTTTTGTTTCATGTCTGTAATGCGTGTTTCCAGTATGGCGCTTTCAGTATTTTCTTTGCAATTTGACTCTGATTATTTATTTTACATTTATCTTGCTTGGAATTGACTTAGATTTTTGGTTTTGTTTTTAATCTGAAAATTTTTTTCTTGTTTTTCATTCAATTTGTTAAGTTTTTAGTCATTGTTTTTCTAAATGCTGGTGTGCTCCTTACAATTGTTTTCTGAGACTCAAATTTCAGGTATGTAAAAGCAGTAGTTCTCATATTTTTTGGTCCCAATACTTCTTTACATTATGTAAAATTTTCAAGCACCACGAAAGCATTTGTTTATGTAGTTATATCTATCAATATTTATATTAGAAAGTAAAGCAGACAAATTGTTAAAAATATGTATTTTGACACACATAAAAACAAAAATACCATAACACATTAAAATAAAAAAGATAGACTTATTGAAAAAAATCAAAAATTCTTCGTGAGAAGAATGACACTTTCACAGAGTGCTTTTTATGGCTTAATAGAAGACAGCTACAGTCTCATATTTGTTTCCGCATTTAATCTGTTGTTATATCATTCATCTTGCAGTCTATGGAAAACTCCACTTTACACCTATGAAAAGATGGACGTGAGAAAGGCAAATAATATCTTAGTTATCATAAATATAGCTTTAGTAGTACAGATTTTATGAAATAATCTTGGGGACACTCACACTTTGAAAACTGTTATTAAGCAATTAAATATTTTCACACAGGTCCATAAGGTTCTGTTTATTTTTTTTAATTCTTTTTTTCCGTATATGTTATTGAAAAATGCTATTGATTTATAAACAAGATCCTTCTTTCTCTGCCCAGTTATAATCTTCTGTTAGGTTCATCTGGTAATTTTTTTAAAGTTTCAGTTATTATAATTTTCTGTTACTGAATTTCCATTCGGTTGATTTTTTGTATAGTTTACATTTTTCTGCTCAGATTCTTTTTCTATTCAATCATTAGGACCATATTTTTCTTTAATTCTTTGAAAATATTATACTTGTTTTAAAGTCTTTGCTAGCTCCATCATAGGAGTCATCTTACATTTAGTTTCTTGATTATATTTTCTTTATCCCTGAATCACATTTTCATGTTTTTATTTTTGTATGCCTAAGTGATATTTGATTGAACACTGCACACCACAGATTATATGTGGTAGAGAATGTGGATTCTGTTATCTTTTCATAGGAATGTGTGCACATGTTTATTAGGCAGTTCAGTTGCTTGCACATCGTCTAGTAGGCTTGGTTTTATGTTTTTTAAATAATAAATGGAAAGTCCAAGGTATTTCCCAAGCCCCTCTAATTTGACAGGACTCAAACTGCAAACTCTTGTTGGGGCTTCAATTTGGACTCTGTTGGGACAAATTAAGAATAGTTCTTATACCTTAGACACAATTTTCTGTTGTCTTGAAAGATGCTGAGATGTTAACCATATGCTCAAGAGATCTCTTCACTCTAATAAGGTTGAGAATCAAGCATCCAGCCCCACCACACTGCCTGTCCTCCGTCACTGTCAAAGCTTTAGTCTCTCTGCTCTACTTTCAATCTCCCAACAGCTTAACTCTGGTAAGCACTAGGTAATCTCCATGCACGTGCAGTCTGGTTCTCAGCCATGGACTTGCAGGGAACCACCTACACACCTCCCTTTCTCTGATGCGCCATTGTGCAGACTGCAGCCATTTGAAGTGACTCAAACTCTGACCTCATTCTCCTCAGCTCAGCATGCCCACCATCCTCTGCCCAGATATCAGCTTGCTCTGCTGTGATTGTGCTACTATTACAACCCCGGCAGGGGACTGAATGACCAGAAATCTCCTCACATGAGCTTCCCTTCTCTCTGAAATCACTGCTTTGTGTTATCTAATTGTTATTGCCCCAAATCAGTTGTCATACGTTGTGTCTAGTTTTATAGTTCTTTATGACAAGAGAACCAACTGAGCTATTCCGTAAACCTGTGAGGTTCACTGGGCCCACATACCTCACTCTGATCAGGCAATCTGCCCTGTCATACCATCTTCACTTGATGCCTAGTAGACAATTATTCAAGGGATGTAAACTATATAGATAATTAAGTGGGTAATTTCATTTCCTCAGTGGATTTTTAGGCATATTTTTGAAATGCATACTTCTCTACTTAGCCAGTGACTTTCCTCTCACATATGGCAGCCCTGGTCTTTGAATCTTCACTTAAAATTTGTCCCTTCCAGAAGACAGCTTTAGTATTAGTCAGGGTTCTTCAGAGGGACAGAACCAATAGGATGCATAGATAGATAAGTGAGAGGCTATTTATTAAGGGAATTGGCTCACATGATTATGGAGGCTGAGAAGTCCTACAACAGGCCATATGCAAGCTGGAGACCCAGGGATGCCTGCAGCATGGCTCAGTCCAAGTCCAAAAGCCTCAGAACCAGAGAAGCCAGAGGTGTAGCTTGAAGTCTGAGGCCAAAGGCCTGAAAACCTGGGGCAGGGGTTGCTGCTACACATCCTAGAGTACAAAGGCCTGAGAATCTGGAGTTCTGATGTCCAAAGGCAGCAGAAGATGGGTGCCTCGGTTCTACGTGAGAGAACCTGGAGTTCTGATGTCCAAAGGCAGCAGCAGATGGGTGTCTCAGGTCTAGAAAACAGAATCTGGAGTTCTGATGTCCAAAGGCATCAGAAGATGGGTGTCTCAGTTCTACGAGAGAGAACCTGGAGTTCTGATGTCCAAAGGCAGCAGCAGATGTATGTCTGAGGTCTAGGAGAGATAATCTGGAACTCTGATGTCCAAAAGCATCAGAAGATGGGCGTCTCAGTTCTAACAGAGAGAACCTGGAGTTCTGATGTCCACAGGCAGCAGCAGATGGGTGTCTCAGTTCTAGGAGAGAGAACCTGGAGCTCTGATGTCCAAAGTCAGCGGAAGATGGGTGCCTTAGTTCTAGGGGAGAGAAAGCACAAACTCAACTTTCCTCTGCCTTTTTGTTCTATTTGGGACCCCAGCAGATTGGATGGTGCCTGCTTACATTGAGGGTAGATCTTCCCATCTCAGTCCACCAATTCACCCTCCAATCTCCTCCAGAAATACACTCACAGATGCACCCAGAAATAATGCTCTATCAGCTATCTAGATATCCTTTAATCCAGTCAAGTTGATGCCTAAAATTAACCATCACACCCTCCTAAACCAACCTGTCTGAAGCCTTCAATGAAAGGAAAGATGCACATATATCTGTAGCTATAACTACTGACTGTTTATATGGATTAAGAGAAGTATAGTACTTCATACCTGTCATTGATGGATTTTTTTTCTCCACTGCACTTAGAAGAACTACAACCCCAAATTCCTTAGTCTGACCTTGGCACAATTCCATGCTTGGTCCCTAGTCATTTCTAATCCATGTTGGTAACTCAACCTACAATTATACTGTTACACACTTACAGACTTCACTTAAAACAAGTCTGTGGGATTTTTGCCATAGTCACTCCTAACTATCATCCATCCACTCACCCCTGTGTAGTCAGGGTCCCACTGTATCACACCAACCCATGCATGGTATCCTATATCATATAATGCCCTGAACTTTCCCGTGTCAGAGGGAGGTGAGCCCGGCAGGCTGGTATTATAGTGGTGACCGCCCTGCCGCCTGCATATGGGATGAGTCCTCTCAAATAGCAGAAGCAGAGGGGGTGGGGGCAGATGCATGTCCCACCGACACAGGATACCATCCTCGGGGGCTCCGTGCCTCCCCTGCCAAGGTCAGGGTTGTTCAGATGATATGGGGGAGCAGCGGAGTGGTGTTCATCGAGCTCTGGGAATGGGAGCTGGGTCCCCTCTCTGTGACCTTAGGAAGCTTATTTAACCTCACTGACTCTGTTTTCCTCATCTGCATTTGGAAACTTGATGTAACAATATCAAATCATGATTTCTCATGTGGAATACACTTGGAGGAGGGCGGTTTGCACTGTGGTTGCTCTACCCTGAGGGTGGTTATCAGCAAGGCCTTTTTAAAGTAGACTTGAGCTTTAGGTATTAAGAACCTAAAACATGTGCATAACTTTTGGCCTGGGATTTCTCTCCATTTTTAGGTCTGTGTTCCAAGGAAATGATCAGTGATATAGTTAAATATTTGCATTCAGGGATGTTATTTGAAACTTTATATATAACAATGACAGTGTATGATATAATTTGCATCTGTGTCTGCACCCAGATCTCATGTCAAATTGTAATGCCCAGTGTTGGAGGTGGGGCCTGGTGGGAGGTGATTGGATCTTGGGGGCGGATTTCCTCCCCATGCTGCTCTCTTGATAGTGAGTGAGTGAGTGCTCATTAGATCCGGTTGTTTAAAAGTGTGTGCACCTCCCCACTCTCTCTCTTCCTCCTGCTCTGGCCATGTAAGACATGCTGGCTTCCCCTTTGCCTTCCACCATGACTGAAAGTTTCCTGAGGCCTACTCAGCCATGCTTCCTGTACAGCCTGAGGAACTGTGACCAATTAAACCTCTGTCATTAAACAAGAAGCTACTTTTATAAGAAATTTTATAAGAAATTCTCATAAATTGCCCACTCTCAGGTATTTCTTTACAGCTGTGAGGGAACGGACTACTATAAAGTATATCAGTATAAAATTAGCCTACATCCAAATATGGAAGATTGCCCAAATTGTGATTTATCCACATAATGGGATATGTATACGGTCATTCAAAATCATTTCTTTTTTTTTAATTGAGATATGGCCTGGCTCTGTCCCCCAGGCTGGAGTGCAGAGGCATGATCTCAGCTCATTGCTGCCTCGACATCCCGGGTTCAAGTGATGCTCCCACTTCAGCCTCCCAAGTAGCTGGGACTACAGGCACATGCCACCACACTTGGCTAATTTTTGAAATTTTTGTAGAGACAGGTTTTCACCATTTTGCCCAGGCTGGTCTTGAACTCTTGGGCTCAAGACATCTGCCCACCTCAGCCTCCCAAAGTGTTAGGATTATAGGCATGAGCCACTGCTCCTTGCCTAAAATCTTATAAAGAAAATTTAATATCATTGGAAAATGCTTACAATATAAAGCAGTCAAATAAATACTCTATGTAATTTGTTATGTATGTATAAAGTATATAGGAAAATATTCACAGTGTTATTATCTCTGGATGATAGTGTTGATTGTTGGTGATTTATTATTTTTTTCTTTATTATAATATTCTATATTTTTCAATTGTTGCAAGTCAGTATACAATAAACAAAAATCTTACTTACGAAAAAATGTTGGAGTTAAAGTCTGGGGTCTGGATTTGAGTCCAGGCCCCAACATTTGCTGTGCAACCTTAAGTAGGAGAAAGCTGAAAAATGGGAAAAACTTGTCTCACCCTTCTCATTGGATAGGCAAGGAACTAAAATAAGATAATGTGCACAGGACTCATGTGGAAGGAAAATGGCAAAAAAGATAGGGGGGCTATTGCTCATATGAATCTGACTAGGAAACAAGAAGCTGCTCTTAAAAGAAATATTGATGCTTACAAGGTTTCAGGTCACCCCTATCTCCTCCAGCCTATCTTTAAAATAGACAAAATTCAAAACAAAACAACACAAAATCTCACGCAGAAGGTTCTTCTGCCTGGTAACAGAATGCTTCTGTGTAGTTAAAACACAAGCTACATCTGACAACTGCACTATCAGATGGGAGCTCTGGACATGTGAAAATCATTGCTCCTGTACTGTAAGACCTGATAGAGCCCTGGTCAGCCACCAGCCTTGCAGAGGATTACATGGGGTCTCCATACAAAGCTGGATGCTTCAAGATAGTTGCAGTCTCAAGAGTGCATTCCCTGCCTCTGACGGAGTGGTAGGGGCTGTTACAACCCATCCTGTGGTGCCCAAGAAGACACTCAGCATTCATTGCAGGTAGTGTGGCCCCCAGTGCAGCCACATTGGAATCCATTTGTAATATTTATTTAACTAGAAAATATAAACGTCCTAAGTCCCAACAATCCTACTTCTCTGCAGCAACTCTAGGGATGTATTTGCTGATGTGCATGAAATGGCTGGGCATTCCTTTTAAGTACTACATGATATTCCATAGATGAGGCATGCTAAAATAGTATTCAGACCTCAGAGACTTCTCTTATTGTTCAGCATCTCGAGTTAAGCTGCAATGAAGTGAATCGACATGTCACAACATCAAAAGTCTCCAAGAGTTTGTTTTTTTTAAATTTAAAAAAGTATGTTGCTAATCAGAATATACACTATCAAATCATTTATATAAAAATAAGTCAAAACACTACAATTCTAATTTCTGTGGGTGTATAAGGCTCAGAAAAATGTCTGGAAAGATTCATACCAAATTGATCATATTGATTAGACCTGAAGGTATGGGTGAATGTGGAGGATACAATCTTTCTTACCTGTATTTAAAATCATTTTTAAAAAGAATGTGTTCATGTATTACTTGTGCAATTCACATAAATTTGACAGTAAAAATTAAAATAGCTGACATAAAATAATTATGAATAGTCAACAACTGAACAAACAAATAAATATACTATAGTCATTCAAAGCCAGGTTTCTCATTGTTGGAGAAAGGAGTATAAAATTGGAAAGGGGAGGAGGAGACAGAATAAGCCCTAAGGTGCTGGATTGAAATTGAAGTTATAAGTAAAAACTCATGGTTTAAAAAGGGACAGAGGAAGGGAGGAAGGGAGAGAGAGTGAGGGAGGTCAGGGGAGAGAAGGAGAGAGATAAAGAAATTGTTCATATGCATACGCACAGAGGACCTGGAAGCAATGGAACTCCAATAGCAACGAGCATACTTAGCATGGAGGCGTTTCTTTCTATGTCATTCTCCTCTAAGAGAAGACAGGGCCACTTACAAAATGGTCATTGCAGGCCTGCAACCGAGAAAGCACAAGATGAGCCTGAAACTTCTGGTCCCAAAAAGTAAGGAAATGCTCAAAGAATAACAGGGACATATCAAAAGGACAAAGAAGCCAATTTGCAGAGACTCCCACTGGCCAAATATGAGGCAAATTTAGCACAAAAATAAATAATGATTGAAAATCATGATTTATTGAATGAAATAAGCATTCACCAGTTACATGGATATAAATAAATAAATGAAAAAGAAGGAAAAGCTCTTCCTTGCAGTAGAAAGACAATTAGTAAATGTAGAAGGAATACTATAATTAGAAAAATTTCCTCTTGGCAACTATCATCATCATCCTTGAATCAAACAAGAATCGTCAACGGATATTAAAACTACTGAAGGGATGTTTGAGGAATAACAGGGGATATTTACATAGTCTTGAAATATCTCCCATAAGACGCTTACTTATTTCAAAGGAAAAGGACATTTTCCTAAGAATGGAGAAAGCTGGCAACACCACTGTCACCAAGACATCCAGATTAGCAACTCTAATCATGGGACAAAGCTACATCTTGTGCCCCCTGACAGGAAGAACCAAGGAGACCAAGGCACCATTTTGGTGGTATTTCTGCCAGAAATGAGTAATGCAAACCTAATCCTCATAAAATATCAGGATTTAAAAAACCCAAATTGAGGACGATCCACACAGTAGCCAGACTCCAGCCCTCAAAAACGTCAGTGTCATGGAACACAAAGGAAGATAAAGGCATAAAAGGAGGCCAAGGAGAGATGAGCACCGAAGGCAACTCACGATCTGTGATTTCCTTCCACCACTAAGGAGAGTGTTAGGATAATCAGCCCCATCAGAACAAAATCTGTAGATGACGGGTTATCCTATCAATATTAACTTCCTGATTTTTGTGTATTTTCTAATTCCTGTGTTTATGGAAGTGCACATCTTGTTTATGGGAAATGCACGCTGAAGTATTCATGGGTGAAAGAGCATCAGGTCTGCAGTTAATTCTCCAATGGTTCAGAAAAATTAAAGTGCGTGTATACACACAATTACAGTGTGTGTGTGTGTGTGTATGTATGTATGTATTAGTCTGTTTTCACGCTGCTGATAAAGACACATCTGAGATTGGGTAATTTATAAAGGAAAAGTTGTTTAATGAACTCACAGTTCCACATGGCTGGGGAGGCCTCACAATCATGGTGGAAGGTGAAAGCTACGTCTAACAAGGCAGCAGGTAAGAGAAAATGAGAGCCAAGTGCAAGCAGAAACCCCTTATAAAACCATCAGATCTCGTGAGACTTACTCACTACCACGAGAACAGTATGGGGGAAACCTCCTGCACGATTCACTTATCTCCCACTGGGTCCTGCCTGCAACACATGGGAATTATGGGAGCTACAATTCATATGAGATTGGGTGGGGACACAGCCAAGTCATATCAGTGTGATACATAAAAAGAGAGAGGAAGAGAGAAAAGAATAAAAGCTGGTAAAATGCTAACAATTAGGGAATCTGATGAAGAGAATATGAGAATTCTCGCAACTTTTCTGTAAGCCTGAAATTACAAACTTAAAAAGAAATGGCAAGTTTAAAGGCAAAATAAAGGGGTAGACAAAACAACTTGCAGCAAGCAACCAGGGTCTCCAGCCAAGATGTCAGAGTCAACAACCTGGCCAATACTGCGGAGAAGCTGTGTATACAGAATACTCAAAACTCTGGGTCCAAGGCCGGGAGCAGTGGTCCCTGCCTGTCATCCCAGCACTTGGGCCCAGGAGTTCCAGACCAGCCCAGGCAACACAGCAAGACCTTATTTCTACCAAAAAAAAAAAAGTTTAAAAGACTAGCAAGGCATAGTGGCTTGTGCCTGTGGTCCCAGCTACTTGGGAGGCTGAGGAGGGAGGATCTCTTGAGCCTGAATGGTCGAGGCTGCAGTAGCCATGATCGCACCACTGCACTCCAGCCTGGAGAGACAGCCAGACCCTGTTTGAAAAAAAAAAAAAAAGAAGAAGAAGGAAAAAGAAAAAGAAAAAGAAAAATATCTGGATTCAGGTTCAAATGTCGGCCAAGAGAAAGGAGGACAGTAAGACCTTTCAAAACCTTCATTTCTAAAACAGGACTATTAATCCTAAATCAAAGGATGCTGGGGTGATGGAGCAGGTTTTGAGTAGTTTTGAGTGGAGAGCAGCTAGCATTGAGCCAAGCCCCTAGAACCTGCTCAAGAGATGAGAGTGTGGCTAGTCCCTCCCTGCTCGCTTGCGACCCCCAAGACCATCACTGAAATACACAGGGAGGTGAGGGCCTCAAGTACCTGAGACGCTAAGAGTAAGCACAGAGTGGGTGAGGAGCCTCTGCCTAGGGGTCAAGTCAGTGTCCCGTTGGGTTGCAGAAGCTTTTTATTGAATAAAGTTCCAGGGCTCCAGTGATCTGTCAATGCTGCACCTGCAGCCTGAGGAAGTAGGAAAAGCTAGGTGTCCGCTTATTCAGAGGGGCAGGATAGCCCACCCAACGCTTGAAACGCATGTGCCTTTCCAGCGCAGTTGGATCTAGCTTTGGAAACTTGGAAGACTGATATGAAGATGGTCCCAGGCTGCTGCAGTCCTTGGCACTAGAGGGCAGGCCAGCAGGTTCCCTGTCTGCCCGGGTCAACTGAACAGGGACCTTGGCACCGACTGCAGAGTGGCTGCTGTCTACTTAAACACACACACACATGCGCGCCCGCACACACACACACTCTCCAAAGGGAAGCTTAATATATAAAAAATATAGAATTCATAGAATCAAAGTAAAATTGAATTCCTCAGGCAGTTTAACTCTTTCCCCTTGGGCAGGAAAAGGTTCAGTTTTGACAAAACCTCGAATACGCCTCCGCTGAGACCTGCTGTCACAGCTCTGGGTTTGAGCATCCACAGTTCAGGATGGAGGGAGACCCCAGAGATAGGGCCAGACAGGCCTCCGCCCCTCCCTCTGGCAGGTCCTTCATCTCCCCAACCCCAGCTTCCTCCAAGGTGACATGTAAAGACAGCACTGTCCAGTTCCTCCTGTCATCATGGAGATAACAGATAACATGCAGCGTCCTGGAAGACACTCCGTGGTCAATAACTAGCAGCAATGACTCTGATTATCATCCACATTTGCTTCCTGGGGATACAGAAATATATCCTCCCTGGAGCCTCGGTTCTCCTGGACTCAGAGAGGGACATGAGCTGCTGCTCTGAGCTGTTCCTGGTGCAAGAGCTCCCAGGCTGCACGCGCCAGGCACACAGCACATGCCCGGGACACACCTGTCGAGTGAACACATGGACAGGCACAGCCAAATCTTTCTGACATCTTAAAAGCACTGAAGGAAATTCTAAGTCCTCTTAAAAATATATCTTTAAGCACATCTATGAGCATGACTTTCCTCACCCCTATACCTGCAAGCAGACATTGTTACCCTTGAGTCTAAATCATCTTTTCCCTTTTGCGTTGCAAAAATTTTCCCTGACAGCCAACAGAACATATTCTTCTTCTAATTGTTGGTTTACCTCTCACAAACGCTGGTGGATCTCCCCATCTCTAATCCTCACCCGCTCATTCATTAACTATCAAGTGTGGCTTTTTGGAACAATTATATTCTGTCCTGCTGTCAGCTCTATCCACACAGGTAGAGAATACATCCCAACTCCTTACATGGGATGTAAATTATTGCTGGCATACCAGTACCTGAAGAATGATTACACCCAGTGCACAGTTAAATAATGGATGCTTAGCACAGTGCATTGTAATAAGCAAAAGATATGAAATATCTACAATTCTAAGTGGAATACGCTAAGTATTTTTTTTATAATAAAACCGTTTTGGGGGAAGACAGGCTATTGAATCATGGTCTCCAGAAAAGACACCCATGTGTCAGTTCATTTGCAGAAGCCGGCTGGCGCTGTCATCTCATCTGTGAAGTGGGGACAAGAATCATATTTTTCATCAAGTAGAGGTACTGCTTAGCACTGAGCCTGACACACAGTAGGTGCTCAGTAAATGGCAGTAGCTGCTGTCATCTGAGGAATGGCTGCCCTGGCTAGGCTAGCAGTAGGCTGGGGCAGTATCTCCTCGTGGGAAGAGCAGCTGGAGTGCTCACCACCTAGATGTACCTGTGGTCAGGTTTGGTGTCTGACCACAGGGAGGGGCAGGCACACCACCCTGCCCCACCCCACCCACCTTTCCACTGGGAAGCTGAGGGTAGAGCCTGCTTTGCCACCAAACACAGTAGAAGGTTCTGGAGGGCTGGGAGGAAATGGAGTTAGGGTGGCTCTTGAAGACTTCTCTCTGCCTTGGAAGCCTTCCAGAAATAGAACCCTGGAACTCAGTGCAGTGCTCAGGCCTGAGCAGTAGGGGCCTCTTCCTGAGCCCCATGCTCTGCAGGGCCCTTCTGTGATCCTTGTCCCAGGGCAAGGAGTATGCAGATACAGGGGACATGTCTGCCTGGGACCTGCATCCTTCCCATTTCAGAGCATGCTTTAGCCCCCTTAGGAAGTCCATTTCACAGCAAAGGAAGCTGAAACCCAGAGGATACTGGTTTCCCTGCAAAGCAGAAGAGGTGGTCTTACTAATTCCAAACCAGTTGTTCCTTATTCCAAAGCTGTTCTGGCCTCACCCTGCCTCCTGCTCCCTAGTGACATGGGTGCCTGGGATATTTTGCACCTGTGCAACAGGCACCTCTTTGACCTCCTTCACAGCAAATGAAGCTGAGACCCAGAAGATAAAGGATTCCCTGGGAAGCAGAAGAGGTGGTCTTTCTAATTCTGAAGGTGTTCTAGCCCCACCCTCTCCCCACGCCTCCCAACCCTGCCGTGATATGGGTTCCTGGAACCTTTGCATCTGTCCAGTGGGCACTTCTTTGGCCACCTAGACCAGTCCATCTGGTGTTCTCAAGCCAAGGCCCCCGGAAGATGCAGCAGGCTGTGCTGAGTGGGAATGAACACTTCCTGCTCTCATTCCTGCCTGGGGAGGTGGAGTGGGACCTACCACAGAGCCAGGGCTGAGAGCAGCAGAACTATCTAGAACACTCACGCCAGCATCCTACCCACTGCAGCGCTGATGCCGGAGCAAACCGCCTCTGCTCAAGGGCTTCTCAGCAGAGCTCCCCTCTGCAGTCCCCACAGGAGGCCTGGAGCTCGGGTGGTTTCCCAGGGCTGGAAGTGCATGGTTTTCCTCTGTATCCCTAAGCACCCCTGGGCACTGAGGCACAGGACATAGTGCTGGGGTGCTGCGTAACCTGCAGATGTTTCCAACCTTCTAAGTCTCAGTGTGTAAATTCGTTTCCTGAGGCCATGACATTAAACATGGTGGCTTAAAATAACAGATATTTATTTTCTCACAGCTCTGGAAGCTGCAAGCCAGAAATCAAGGTGTCTACAGGGTCATGCTCCCTCAGGCTTCAGGGGAAAATCCGTTTCTTGACTTTTCTGGCTTTTGGTGGCCTTCCTGAGGTTGTGGCTGCATCCCTGTAATCTCTGCCTCTGTCTTCGCTCCACGGTCTCTCCCTATGCCAGCTCCCCCGTGTGTCTCTTGTAAGGACACATGTCATCAAAGTCAGGGCCCACCTGGATAACTCAGGATGATCTTCACATCTCCAGACACTTGATTCACTTATATCAGGTGATATGGTTTGGCTCCATGTCCCTAACCAAATCTCATCTTGAATTATAATCCCCACATGTCAAGCATGGGACCAGGTGGGAGTAACTGGATCCTGAGGTCAGTTTCCCCATGCTGTTCTCATGACAGTGAGTTCTCAGAAGATCTGATGGTTTTATACGCATCTGGCATTTCCTCTGCTTGCAGCTCTCTCTCCTGCTGCCATGTGAAGAAGTTGCCTGCTTCCCCTTTGCCTTCTGCCATGATTGTAAGTTCCCTAAGTCCTCCCCAGCCATGCGGAACTGAGTCCATTAAACCTCTTTCCTGTATAAATTACCCAGTCTCAGGTATTTCTTCATAGTAGTATGAGAATGGACTAATACATTGGCAAAGACCCTTTTTCCAAATAAAGTAAACATTTACAGGTTCCAGGGATCAGGATGTGGGCATATCTTTTTGGAGACCACCATTCAGCCCACTACTGTGTCCTCAGTTATAAGGCACAAATAATAATACTATTAGCCTCATAAAATTATGGTGAAGATTTAACAAGACAATGTATATTAGACAAGTGCTGAAAATATTCAGTATAGATATTTTAATTTTCTCTGCACATACATTTAGGTAAAAACAATATATAGATCTTGATAATAGAGTCCTAGTGCACGTCAAACATTTACTTGCTTAGTTAATCGAAACCATCTCTAAAGGTTATTTGCGTATTCAGGGTGAGGTATCCTCGTGCAAATCCCAAGACAAGGTGTTCCCAGGGACAGGGGTAGTTGGGGTCATTAGAGGGGCTTTAAATATCACTGATGAGTCACTTTCATTGTACTAGCAAAATAAGCAGTTCAAGTACAAGAGCTAAGGTTTCTAAGACACACATAGACTTTTCAGAGAAAAATGCAGCAAATGGATCAAGATAAGAAGAAGAAAGAACAGGATTTTTTTTAAGATTAAAAAAAGGAAAACAGTCATAGATGTCCTTGGCAGAGAAATGGCTGAACGCCCAAAGTTGCATCTCAACTGTGTGCCCCTCCACAGGGGTTAACAGAAAAGCTGAAGGGCCTGAGAAAACCAAGTCTCCAACAATATGTGCAGAATAATTATTAATTTTTTTTAATCTTTGTAGAGATGAAGTCTCGCTATGTTGCCCAGGCAGGTCTCAAACTTCTGGCCTCAAGCAATCCTCCCCCTTCAGCCTCCCAAAGTGCTGGGATTACAGGCATGAATCATTGCACCCAGCTGCAAAATGATCATATATGTAAAAAGCAATAGTCTGTGCATGCATGGGTACGCTTTCCTGTGCACATATAAGCATGGAATGATGACATACTTCTACCTCGCAACCCGGATAGAAAGGGCCAACTCCCTGTCCCCCACCCACCAGTTCACCACTGTCCCTTCAGCAAAGGGACAGGAATGAAGAGGGAGTTTTACTACTTCTGTAATGTGTGGCAATTTCTCAGCAAAGACGGCAGCAGAATTTGACAGTGCAATCTCAAAATTAAGGAAATTTCACATCCAGCTGTCAAAGGCTGTCAAAGGACAGCTGGGTGTGACTAAGGCAGAGGAGCTCCTGCTCTTGTCTGAACACTACTCTCCTCCCCACCCCCATCTACAGAACAGACCGGCTCACAGACAACCTCCCATACTAATTCTGCTGCAAGGATTTGGGTACCTTGCCAGGCAGGTCCTGGGCACCTGGCAGATTTTGAATGGGAGACTGAGTGACCTGCTGACCAGCCAGCCTCCTGAGACCCACTGGCAAATACCCTGTGGTCTTAGCATCCCCTGCTCCATCCACTTGCATGAGGACAAAATGAAGAGCTTCAAGGTCATGCCTGGTTAGGGATGCTGGGTACCCTGGGTACCAGAGTGCTGTGCCCAAGGGTGTACACGTTCTGGTCCCCAGCACGGCCGGGCCTGCAGAGGAGGCAGGAGTGAGTCACCACAAAGCTATGCTGCACAGGTGCAGTGAAACTGTGATATGCTGGGAACTGAGCCCAGGCTGGGCTGTGGGCCCTGGAGGAAAGGGGGCCGGTCAGCACCAATCCCCGGGGCTGAAATATAAAACACGCTGTGGCTCGCCCTCTCTGAGAGTGCACTGGCTTTCATATTTCTGAGGCTTTGTTTTGCCACAATGGATGCATTTCTGAGTTCCTGTCTTTGTAAACAGATACCGTTCAATGCGGCGGGTGATTTTCAGGCCATCCGCCTCTCTGCTTTCCCACATTTTGGAGGAGCAGAGTTCAAGTTCTAGTTCTTGCCCTAGCTGTGGTGTGATCCACATGGGCTGAGTCCCCATTCTGGGCTCCAACCTGCTCTGTGAAACTGCAGTCAATGGGGCTAGTGCGTGTCTAAGGACAGCGGGAAGTGGCCTGCTCTGAAGTCATCCATGAATCCTCTTAGTCATTCCCCGGGGTGCCCTGATGCTGATGGACAAGGCCACACTTAGATTCAAGTATGCAAGGAAGGACTGCAGCATCTAAAAGCTATCACCTGGCCAGCATCTGGAGAAGGTGGTGCTGGGGGCAGGTGCCTCAGCAGGAGTGGGGAAGGAAGGAAGTCACTTCAATGAATGATAATGAACTTTGCCCAACATCCTCCTAGCTAGAGGAGAGTCTGGGTTTCCTTTCCAGAGACTCTGATCAGACAAAGAATCAGCTTTTGGTTCCATGCTTTCCTGGCTCTCTGGTGACTGGAGAAGGAAAACGAAGGAGATGAGGTTTCCACTGTTGATCATCAATGGGGAATGCCAACCAAATTTTGCAGAGTGTTTTGAACTCCCCCAAAACCCCTCTGCAGTAGGCAATGGTGAATCCAAATAGCACACATCTAGGGGCAGTGAGGACGGGCTCTGCTTGCTACCCTCTGCAGGGGGACACAGTAAGCTGCTCTGAAACCCCAGCTGCTGGCTGGAGTGGGAGGCAGCCTGGATGCTCCAGAAACTCCAGGCCTGCTTCATAACTCACCATGTTGCAGGAATGTGTCATCCTCAGAACAACGTCACTAAAGGCCTGGGGGATTTGCGTCTGCCTCAAAATCATACCCGGCCTTATTTTCAAATCACTGCGCTTACCACCAAGAGTTGTGCCCTTTCTTTTATGCATGGCAGGGGCGCCGGGCTAACACGACCTGAGCTCCCTTCCCATTCAAAGCCACACCACGGACACCTGTCACTACAGCTGCTCCCCAAGCGGCTGTGTGTGGTTTTGGCCGGTGTCACAGTCACTCAAGCACCCCGGGGTTTCTGGGGGCAGGGTCAGCTTGCCCTAAGACAGGCAGAGCAGCAGCAGAGGGGTCTGCGCATGGGAATTCTGTATCCTTCTCTGCAGGGAATGGGGAATCCCTTGTCCTTAGAAATCTGGGGGCATCTCATGGCCTCTACATCTAAAAGAACCAGGTAAGCCCCCCCTTACTCAGTGCCAATCCTGTTCAAGTGTTGCTCAGGGGCTAGTGTTGGGGTGATGAGTGAGGTGTTTGCAGTCTTGGGAAGAAGCTCAATGTTCACCCTGTAACAGAAGTTGAGATTGCCCAGGACAGGAGGGGACGGTCCAGTCACTGGAAGCGGAGGGGTGTGGGGTGCAGGGGATGCAGTAGGAGAGCGCAGGGGTGGCGCCAAAACTGAGTGCATGGTCATTCTTCATCAACACAAGCATGCAGCCTTGGTCCCCATGTTCACCCTCCCCGAGGCTCACTTTCTCCCCTTCTGTGAAATGAGATTATAAAGTGACTTTCCCCTCATAGGACTGCTGCAGGATGGAGAGAGACAGGGAACACAGAGGAATCCACTCAGGGCCTGGCTCCTGCACACCCACCACGGTGGCCTTGCTTTTAGTCTTCCCTGTCTAGTGAAGAATCCCTTTACATCTCATTAGAATCCAACACACCCTCTGTGCACATGCCTGCCGCCCAGCCCCATCAGCTCTCTCTCTGCGGGGGTCCTTTTCCAGGTGCAGTAGACAGAGAGAAAGATTCAGGTCTCAGGTGCTCCCAGGCTGGGGCGAGACTCACCTGTAAGCAGATTGCAACATGAAGTAGTGACAGATGTTTGCCCAGAGGGCCTCGGGAGTGACTGTCTGTGCCTGGGGGTATTCCCCAGGGCATATGAGGCAGAGGCGCTCTGATGCTGTAACACACACAGCAAACATGTACAGAGTATGTTCATTCTTTTTTATCATATATGCCTTCATTTTCCATTCATTCATTATTTCTTGGTTATCTACCATGTGCCAGGCACAGAGAAGTTTTGCAATATGGGAACAGCCCTCCATTCAGAGGAAGTGACGGCTCCTGACGGAGGGGCTTTCCCTGCACAGGGTCACTGCCCTGCCCGCCTGTCCTCACAGTGCCACCGTGGGCCTGAGGCTGCAGCTCTCACTGAGGTTCGTGCCACTGGACAGTCTGCCTGGCTGATTCCTCTGTGTTCCCTGTCTCGATCTCCATCCCACAGCATTGTCCTACTCACAGCACCAAGGACAGGACTGGACACGCTACAGGTGACTGAAAGCAAGGCCGCCATGGTGGGTGTGCAGGAGCCAGGTCCTGAGTAGTGAGTTCCTCTGTGTTCCCTGTCCCTCTCTATCCCACAGCAGTCCTATTGGTCAGTCCTGTTGACAGCTGTGGCCTTTGGTGTGGGGAGTGCTCCAGGGCGGGTGCTCCAGAAGAGGTGTTTCCTCCCTGGCTTCAGGGAGCGCTTTGTAGGAGAGCCAGAGATGGCTGCACAGAGGCCATTAGAGAGAATGGACATTGTAAGCAGAGGGAAGGATGTAAGCCAAGGCACAGAGGGCTGCGCTACTCAGGGTGGCGAGGGAGCAGGACGGTGCCGTGGGGAACTGTGTGCTCAGAAGCTAAGCCCAGACACCAGCCCCAGAGGGCTGGCCTGGGAAAGCCAACCAGAGTGTCTGAGCGACTCTCATTCCCTTTGGTGCCTTAGCCTGAGTGTTCTGAAGGCAGAGCTGAGGCAAAACAGTATATGTGAGTAGTTTATTCCGGAACATGACCCCGTAAGCAGGGATGAGGGAAGGAGGGGCAAAAGCAGCAGATGCCCAGCCAATCGAAGGACACACCATCAAATTCACCACTGCTGTGGGCAATGGGGCTCCACCCCAGGACCCCTCTGGAGGACCCCGTGAAATGACTCCAAATTATCCACTCTGGAGAAGGAAGGCTCCTCCGCTGTTGGTCAGGCTGGCCCCAGGACCTGCTAAGTCACTGTGGTTTAAGATTGCCTGGCAGCACAGATTGGCCGGCTGCACGGGACTATGCTGCAGTCTCAGACCCTCCTGGGGAAGACGCGAGGGGCTTGTCCCTGGGCCTGACCTCCTGCCTGCTCTGGTTGCTTCTGTATGGACTAGTCACCACCTATGCAGAGTGGTCCCTATAAAAAGGCTTGAGTCTGAGAGTTCTAAGTTGGGCACGAAAGCAGATCTGACTGGGGATTTAAGGAAAAGCAAAAGCCTTCAGCCCCAGCTGTCTGACATGGGTCTTTGCCGAGGGCTAGATTTTCCCAAACTTGGAGCCAAGCATTCCAGGGCAAGTAACTGATTTGGGAAGTGCAAGGGAGACAGGGAGGGGACTGAGTGAAGGATGGCACCCAGTTAAGGGGGTGAGACTGGGGCAATTGATAAACTGGGTGACTGCAGCTTAATCCCATGAGAAGACTCCCGGAAACAAGCATCCCAGGCTTATTCCCCTCTACCAGAGGCGAGGAGCTGGGGTTCAGACCCATCCATGGTATCTTACAACACAATTGCCAATCCCTCCCCAAAGTCCCTGTCCATCATTGGTTGGGAGCAGCTCCCAAGGGTATAAGCTCCCTGGCTCTTGGGGCCTGCCATGAGGGTAGAGTGGCTTTCTCAAGTTTTGGACAAAGCTCTCAGACACAGGAACGCAGATTCCAGCTGTTCTGTCCAGTAAAGCCCTTGATCCAGGCCTCAGCCACAGGACATGGAACAGGACTGCTGCAGGCTGTCTTGATGGCCAGGAGAGGCCACTTGCAAACCCTTGCTCCAAGTCCTCAACCCGGGAAATCGCCCTTCTGTTCAACAAGCACTTCCTATGAGTCTCTCCCTGGCTCTGTTTTGGTTTTCTCCGCAGCCAGCAGCACCCTATCAGGCATGAGAGTAAATGTTTATTTGCTTCTTGGATTATGGTCTGTCTCCCCCACTGATCTGATCAGCTCTCCAAGGACAGGGATTCGGTCATACTGTTTTATCTCAAGTGCCTAACACAGTGCCTTGTCCGTGAAAGATGCTCACATATCTGTTGAATACAGGAAATAAGGGAAGGAAGAACTGATGCCTGAGATTCTCGGAGACTAGCTGTCAATCAATGTAGTCTCCCGGGGAGAAATGCAGGTCTCTTGCCACAGCTTAGCATAAGTGTCTTCCCTTGGCTTCCCCTGGGCCCTAGGGCTGGCTTCCCAAAGCTGCTGTTCAGTGGCCCATCGGGTCGATTCCTCTAGGCACCATCACAGCCATTTCCAGTACAGTGTGAGTCCTCTGTGAGTCCCGGCAGGTCTGGGATCCATGCCCCGGCCCGCCTTCTCTATCCAACCCCAGCCCCACGGTCTTGCTTACACATAGTTGGTGGTGTAAAGTCACGGCAGTATTCAAAAGGTTAAAGCAGAGTGAACTGTTAATTTTAATGCTTTCTCTAAGATTCAGTTTTAATAAGCGAAAATGATGTTCTTATTTGCAGTAAAGTGGTGTTATAAAATTCTGTCTGTCAAGATCATTTTAAAACCATGGAAATAAATGATCTGACAAAATCAGGCTATTAGACAAGTGAGGAAGAGTGATTTCCATAAAAGTAGAGGAGCTGTTCCTTAATTTCACACTTGGTAGTCTTTTGGGTCGACTAAATTTTTAAATAAGTGATAAAATTATATTAGCGCAATTGCATTTTTATAGATTTTTTTGGTCATTGTACTCTTTTTCAATCCCTTTATTTTAACTCAAACTGTTCTGCTGAAAGGTTACTCTCAACTTATGTTACCCCATAACAGTCTTCAGCCCACGACATGGCCTGAAGCTCGCAAATCCTCAGACTGTCCAGGTAGGGTCCAGTCGAAGCATGCGTCTGAGAAATGGTCGTTCCCTGCTAGGCACATGGGCTGGGGTCTGTGGTCCTGGGTGCAGAGGGAGGGCAGGGAGGCCACTGAGGGTATCCTATGGGGCTGGGAGCTCACCTGTCCCTGGGTATCTGAGCTCACTCAATTTTTGCTGGAAATAAAAAAAAAAAGAGAAATAGGAGGTCATGTTCTCCAGAAACCCTCATTCTTCCAACTCAAGATGCTGGGTGTAGACGGCAGCTGTCACTGTTTGCTGAAGGAGCTGCATTTAGGGAAGAGGAGAGAATGGTGGTTCTTTTGTGATCCATCACGTGCCCACCCTCTAAGAACCCTCAAATCATCACATCTCCAGCCCAGGCCAAGGATTTTGTCTCAGTCACTAGGAAAATCCTTAGAGAAAGCCCAAGATCCCAGGTCTCTTGTGGGACCAAAATATCACTGATGGGACAGATGTGGGCCCAGTTGCGCGGGAGAGAGGAACGCTTCCAACTTGACTTTTCATCACTAGAACAACTTCTATGATGTGCATCTTTCATACTTCCTTCTGCTCTGCCCTGTGCTGATTGTCCAGGTTAATTGTTCAGAGGGCAGACATGGGCCTCCTGCAGGCTCAGCCTCAGCCCTGAGCCATCTCCAGGGCCCAGCTCAGGACCTGGGGTCTGCATCCCTTTGCTGTTGTGATTTTGGCTAATTCTGAGACCCAGCCAGCAACTTCTACTCCCCTCTGCATCCTGAGTTCCCCTCTTGCTCTGTCCTGCCCAGTCCCCCCGCCCAGGTCTCTGTCAGATTCACCATCCTCGTCTATGTCTGGTCATCTCTTGTCCGTGGTGCCCTGCCTAACTAAGTACAGCCAGTCCGGTGATACTACATAAAGTGTACTTTGGCAAATTACCGCCCCTCCTCTTCAGTGGTCAGGTCTGGGTTCAGAATCTGAGACCTGGGGCTGTGCAGAAGCTGGGAGCTCAGCCTTGGCATCCACCTGATCTCTGGGCTCTGTCCTCCTGGCATGCACTGAGGAACTCTGGCTGACAGGCTATTCTCTGGGCTTCCCAGGGCAGCAGCTTTTTAAAACATGTACTCATTTCCAGGTAGTCTTTTTCCAGGAAAAATATGAAGCTCCTTAGTGAGAGAAAACGCACCTTTGTTGAGCATCTACTATGTGCCAGGCACAGGGCTAGGCTGGCAGAGTGCAGTCAATTTGTTTATTGGACAGGAAGGGTGTGGCGCTCACTTGGGAAGCACAGCTCTGGGAACAAAAGAACATTTTGTCCCAGTTAGAGAATGGCCTCCTCTTCCTGAAACCCAAGTACCAGGGAAAAGGAGAGGCAGGCTGTGTTAGCACTTAGGAAGGCACTGAGCTTGAACTCAAAGGTTGTGAGAATCCATTCACCACATGCATTTTTAAAATTATGAATTTAGCCCAAGTTTTCTCAGCACCTTCTGTGTGCCAAGCACTGTGCCGGCTCCTATAATATTAAATAGAAGGCCAATTTTGAATGCGGGGCGTGGTGGCCAGGGAAGGATGCCTGCATTCTCCTAGAGGACCTTTCAGGCTGCACTCTTGGCTCAAGAGTAAGAGAAGCAACCTGGAAACTTATATCCTCCTGTGCTTCAATCTCCCCATCAGTACAATGGGTGCTCAGGGTGCCCAAGGGCTCTCCCACCCCTGGCGCCCTGTAGGCAGAACATCTGTGGACATTAAGAAGCCAAGAACTGCAGGCTGGGTCTGTGTGCCCTCTGCCAGCCACTGAACACTGCTCTGATATTCAAAGGAGCATCTTCAGAACTCAGAAGTCAAAAATCACATTCTCCAGAGTCTCTGAGAGGCAATGCCTGAGCTTAGGGGAATGTTAAATTTCCAGTGTTTCCTGCAAAAGAGGAAGAAGCACCGATAGGCAAAGCCCGAGGGGTGGCCTTGGAGGGACAGGGCTGTCTCTCCCAAGGAAGGAATAAAGAAGTCCAAATTAGTCATGTTGTATTACTTCTTTTTATGGCAATGCTCTGAAAGTCTGCAAATGTCAGCATGTTAATTTACTGTCACTCAGTGATATTATTTCATCCTTTCAAAAATGTGTTTCTTGCATTTTCAGTAGCATACTCCAAGTGTTCTCCATCTCAAAGTTTCTATAGATAGTGCGACTACTTTCACTCTGACCGTTGCCAAAATGTAGAAATTCATCGTTGACTGCAGCCACATATACGTTACAAGTGGAGCTGGGACTCGGGTTTCCTGCTTACAGAAACCGGGGGAGAGGTCTGAATTTTCTCTGTGTTCTTGTTCTATCACCTCTTGTCCTCCAAAAGTACTCTGTGGTTTCTCTCTCAAGGCACGTGCAGAGATAAATTTCATAGAGAGATGTTAAGCCATCAGTCACGGCTGAGTTTGTATATGAAGTCGGAACCCTCCCTGTCTGCGAGCCCAGCCCCCTCCACCCCAATGATTCTCCTATGGTGGCAAACTTATTTCAAAAATTCTGATGAAACACTTTGTAAATTTTGTTATTCTGTGATGATAATAAATCATTATAGCCTTAAACACTTCTCTAGCTTGGAGCCTCAGTCACAAATTATCTTGTCATTCTGACCAAAACATTCTCCAAAAAAGCTTGACAAGTGCTAAAACCCAGAACATGAAACCATGTGTTGTTGTGAAAGCAAGATTCAGAAATGTCAATTAATTAGATTAAGAGGCTACTTTTAGCTTTACCCGTGTTGCCAAATAACCCTTAAAATATGCATAGCAGTGGAAATCTACCTCCGCGGTACAGTACTTCAGTGCTGAGGGAAGACAATGGCTCGGACTAATGGACAAAATTGTTGTATCTGTCAGTCAGCTGCAAAGAATGATCTAGAAGCAAATGTCTTGCTTCTTTTTCCACAATGTGATTTCACGAGCTGGGTAAATGCTACCATTTATGAATTCGAAGAGCTCCCCCCTCCCACTCCACCTCTTAAAAATCATACACAGATCAAGAAGAAAAAGTCAAGTCGTTTTCATATGTCTTTACTAGTAAGATAGGTTTTTAATGTCTTTCTGTGCTTTTTTTTAAAAAATTTGCATTTGCATTTTGAAGTTCACTTTGTAAAAAAAATATATACCGTGGAGAAATTATTTAAATGTTTTTTTATCCCTGTTTCTTGAAAATCTTATCTTTAAATAATCTATATCCTCAATTTTATTTATGCCATAAACTGTTCCTATATTTTAATGGTCTGTTTGCTTTAAAAGGGGTTGTTGGTTTTAATAGCTCAGTTGCTATCTTTGTAAACTAAACTCCTTCTGACGAAATTCGAGCAGATCATCTCTGCCTGTGAGTGGAAGGCACATTCCAACCCCTGAAAAGGAAATTTAAGCCAAATAAATGTTCTGCCCAAATTAAAATACATAAAATGAATAGTTAACTCGGACAAGAGCTGATGGACGCAACAGTTGGGCTGCGGACATGTGGGTGTTGAGAGCGCTGACTGCCAGGCAGGACCTCAGGAGAGAAAACCCAGATGAAATTAATTTCCTGTAACCCCCTTTGTCCATTCCTCAGGACTAATTGATGGCAGTGCTGGCACGGACATCTTGGGTGAGCAGAAATGACCAGGGCAGACAGCATCGTGAAGGGTGGTGTGGGTCTCTGCCCTGCCGGGGTCTGAAGATGGCTGGCTCAGAATTGCAGCCTCTGAGCCAGGACTTGGAGGTCCCGGAGGACAGGGACAGGAAACTCTCCTCCAAATTCTCAAGGCCGTTGAACCCACCTTGATTATATTAGAATCCATGTGGATTCTGGCACTAATTTTAGGACAGGTCATTTTCATGGAGGAAGGACAAAGAAATGGCAGGGGGTGGGGAGTGTGGGCACTGGATGAGAATCCTATGAAGCTTTGCAAAGCTGCATGGAGATGTGACAGCAGCCCCTCTCCTCTTGGCATTCATAACCTCGCCACCCGCTGCCCACGGCTGCCCCCCAGCAGCGAGCACGAGGAGCTGCGAAGGCATGAAGGAAAGCTGCCTTCTCCCCAGCTGGAGTGCCCCCGTCCTGCTGGTCAGGGCAAGACGTGCCCTGTGGCAAGTGGGGGACTTATTGGGGGAGGGACTTCCTGCATGGGGCCACTTCCTGCATGATGTCATTTTGTGCGGGGCCAAGAGAGGGGGGACAGTGTGCCCTGCAGCAGGCTTCCAGGTTTCCATGTCTCACAGATCCTGTGGGTCCCCCCCACTCCTCACATCCCCACCCCTCTCAGCCAGTCCCACTGTTTCTAGCTAGCAATGAGGCAATTAATGAGCTGTATAGAGGCCCTAAGTTATCTCTGGAACTAGATGGGTAATAACCACATAAATAAGTAAATAATTAAATAACTAAATAAAATAAAACGGATGAGTGAGGCACCAGAGCTCTAGTCTCCATGGAATGAGTTGTACGGGGTAGCAGAAACAGTGGGGGAGGAGGGGGAGGCCCATAGCTCCAGCCTTGGCTCTGCCACTGACATGAAGTGTGTGACCTTGGGCAAGTCACTCCTCCTTGCTGGGAGCTCTCCCACCCGACCAAAGACCCCATGTAGAATAGGTGCCAATAGGAGTGCAGTGGGGAGATGGGAGCATGAATGGTTTAAATGTAGCAGGAGGCAGGGGTATCCAAATGGCCTCACATTCCTTCATCTTCCCGGTCTGCATCTGGCCAAAACCTTCCTCCTGCAAGCCCTATGATTGTGGGGACATATTCCACCTGTGCACAGGGAAGCCACCCTCAGCCAGTGACAGGCAGGAGGTGGTGGACCATCAGCTGCCTTATCCTGGGGTGGGGCCACTCAAAGATGAGAGTTTCCTGCACAAACCTGCAGAGGTTCCTGGGGACCAAGTACCAGTGGCCTACAGTGGCAGCTTGCTCCTTAATGCATTGGGAATTAGCTTCCTTTTTTTCCCCATCTGCCTCCTCCTCCCTCCTATCTGAACGTTCCAGGCTCCCTTGTCAAATGAACTACCTGCCCTCAAATCCTCACCTCAGTCCCGCCTGTGGGAGAGCCCAGCCTACAAGACAGATAGGGAGGAGCAGGGCCCAGGGCCAGCCAGAGAGCGGATGTCCTGTCTAAAATGGGCGGCTGCTGCCCGGTTCCAGCCACCTGCTGTCATGCAGGAATGTGGCATCCGGAGATGCCAGAAATCTCACTGTTGTATGAAATCTCCCAATCTTCAAAGTTTGGCAATGAATTCAAGTTTTGTGGGTTTTTCTTTTTTTTTTTTTTTAAGCCGTGTGGCTCAAGCCAAACAAATCGGCAGGTCATATTCCATCCATGGGTCACATTTTGCAACCTGTGCCAGGTAAAATATTCATTGCGCAGTTCAGGTGCCAGAGACAGGGCCAGTCAACGAAGGTTCCTCTTTCTAGTAAATTCTGGTCTGCAGCCATAACAGGGTATAGGAAGTCATGATCAAAAGGACCAGCAGTTTTTGGGCAGAGAGGCCCACTCTGACTGTGGGGTAGGGGTCCCCAGCTATACCTTGTGGAGAGAGTGGCCAGGAGGTTCTCAAGGTCAGCATGGCCCACCCTGTACACTTCTGGCCCAAGGAGGAGGAGACACTGCCTGCCCCATTAGGAGAACCTGCTCCCAGTGGGTCACAAAAATCCCATAGCCGGCTGGGTGCAGTGGATCATGCCTGTAATCCTAGCACGTTGGGAGGCTGAGGGAGGTGGATTACCTGAGGTCAGGAGTTCGAGATCAGCCTGGCCAACATGGTGAAACCCCGTCTCTACTAAAAATATGAAAATTAGCCGGGCATGGTGGTCCATGCCTGTAATCCCAGCTACTCAGGAGGCTGAGGCAGGAGAATCACTTGAACCTGGGAGGCGGAGGTTGCAGTGAGCCAAAGTTGCGCCATTGCACTCCAGCCTGGGCAATAAGAACAAAACTCTGTCTCAAAAAAAAAAAAAAAAAAAAAAAGAAAGAAAGAAAGAAAAAGAAAAGAAAAGAAAAGAAAAGAAAATCCCATACCTTGGTTTCTCATCAGGATTCTCCCTATTGTAAATTGAAGTCCTTGAATCAGGGGTGCCACTCCTTGAGGAATTTGAGAAGGTCATACTAGGGCTCATTCCCCCTTTAGCAAACTGAGGCCAGACATTATTCGAGATGCACAGAGAATTACCTACCAGCCCTTTGCATCCCGGACTGGAACCCTAAACATATGGCTTGAACCTGACCTTCAGGCAGAGCCAGGCCTGCTGCTCTGGGCCTGAAAACAGGTGGGAACACACCTACTGTCACTATTGTGAAAGGAAGCCCCTTTCCCCTGAAGGTTGCTGAGCCACACAAGGATGGGTCACCCACAAAGGGAAAAGTGCCTGAGTCCAAGGCAGAGTCAGAGCGAGGTGGGGTGCTGAGAAGGGTGGAGGGGCAGGTTCCTGGTGACATCACTGAGCACCCATGTCCAGTTGGGCCTGAAGCCCCTTATCCTAGACTACAGTCACATGAGCCCAAATCCCTTCCTTTTCTTAAGATCCTGAGCAAATTCCTGCTGACAGCATCTTGACAAGCACCCCTGGCCCCTGAGCCTGGAGAGGAACAGGTGTCCTGTGAGTTACAGGTTCTGCAGGGCAGTGGAGAGCAGTGTTTGTTAACTGGGATCCACCACAAAGGCCTAGAGGTGGACCTCAGGGAGCCCATGTCCCCCTACACTTAAGCATCTTAAGCAACACTTAAGTGGTGCTTGCATCCACTTTCTCCTGAGGAGAGAGACTGTATCTCTCAAAGGGCCTGCAACCCCTAAAAGGTCAAGAAACTGGTATACCCAGCCTCATCAACATAACAAGACCCCGTTTCTACCAAAAAATAAAAGGATTAGCTGAGTATGGTGGTGCATGGCTGTGGTCCCAGCTACTAGGGAGGGTGAGGCAGGAGGATGACTTGAGCCCAGGAGTTCAAGGCTGCAGTAAGCTATGATTGCACCACTTGAAGTCCTTGAATCAGGGGCGCCACTCCCTGAGGAATCTGAGAAGTTCACACTGGGGCTTATTCCCCCTTTGGCAAATTGAGGCCAGAAATTATTCAAGATGCACAAAGATTCACCTACGAGCCCATTAACACGACCCTTTTCATCCCAGACCATAACCCTAAACACACGACTTGAACCTGACCTTCAGGCAGAGCCAGGAAGGCAAGAGAGCAACACCCTGTCTCCAAAAAGAAAAAAAGTTGTGGTATAAAGTTCTAATAAATCCCCATCTGAGACACACGGGAATAGAATAAAATGCATTTATCTCTAAAATGGTAATGGTGATATTTTGCTTTGGACGATTCAGAAGGCACTCCCTAGGATGTGACAAGTGACACCATGAGCCTCACCATCTCAAAGCAGGGCCAGAGGGACATCTAGGGACCAAGCCCCTGTGGTTTCCGCCAAGGAGAGGGCCAGCCCTCCAAAGCCCTCCCCTCTCTGCAAGCTCAAGTGGCATCCATCCTTCACAGTACACCTCGGGCCCTGTCCGGCCCAAGGAAGTGCTCCTGGCCGGCCCACTTCAAGTTTCAGGGTTTGAGCCTTGCAATTTCACTTTGTTTTCTGCCCAATCGTGTTCTTCATTCACTGCGTGTTGTCATTGACTTGGCATGATTGTGGACTACATACATGTCTCCTCTCTCCAGCTTGACTCCAAACTTATGAAAGGCCAAGGCAGGTCTTAGGAATTTTCTTCTTGTTCTTGATGACAACACAGGGCATGAGGGCCTTCTCTCAGCCTGCACAGATGAGATGAGAGCTCACCCTTGCCTGAGAATTGTGCAAGAGATGAGAGCTCACCCTTGCCTGAGAATTGTGCAGGGTCCAGGAGACTGACCTGGGCCCTCACATGTCTTGGGGGAAAGCTCCTCAGACCCTCTCTCAGAACAAAACCATAGGACCTCCATGTTCAAATGGGCCATGGTGGTCAAGTCCCTTGCAGGCCCTGCCCTCACTCATTCTCTAGGAGTCTGGAAGCGCCCTCAATCCCCCACCACTCCTTCCCCTACCCGTGTCCCCAGAGCCTCCATCAGGCCCAAGCACAAGGCACCATCTCCTCAGCATCTCCTTCTTTCCCCTGCCCCCACTCCATCCACCCTTCCCCCATTTCTTTCAAGGGTCTCTCTGGTGGGTGCCTCATGTCTCTGGCTTTTAGTTCCATTTAGGAGAATAAGCCCATTTTTTTTTTCCTGGACTTCAGAAGCTTTTTGTCCCCACTCGCCCTTTGGAAGGGAGTCACACAGGGGTGAGGGTAGAGGGCATTTAGAGAGCAGAGGCTGTGGCCAGGATATCAGAGCACCTTCTCCTTTGGGATCATTGCCAAGCACTATGCTGAGCTTGTTGAGAATGGGGATATTGAAAACATTTGAGAAAGCTGAGATGAGAAGCTGGAGAGAGCAGAGTGAAGGTTGGGGTCATCTGTTCAATGGTCACACCTTTGACAAGTGCAGTAAGAAGGCAGGTGATATGGTTTGGCTGTGTCCCCACCCAAATCTCATCTTGAATTGTAGCTCCCATAATCCCCACTTGCCATGAGAGGGTCCTGGTGGGAGGTAATTGAATCATGGGGGTGGGTCTTTCCCATGCTGTTCTTGTGATAGTGAATAAGTCTCACGAGATTTGATGGTTTTATAAATGGGAGTTCCCCTGCCCATGCTGTCTTGCCTGCCACCATGTAAGATGCGCCTTTGCTCTTTCTTCATCTTCCTCAATGGCCGTGAGACCTCCCCAACCATGTGGAACTGTGAGTCCATTAAACCTCTTTCCTTCATAAATTACCCAGTCTTGGGTATGTCTTTATTAGCAGTGTGCTCTCTTTCTCCCTGGGACCACCCACTGGTGCAGTACCCCCAGGAAACTCTGGGTTGGCAGGGTGCCTCTCATGAAACCAGAGCCCCAGGAGACCCAAGCCCTAGTCTCACTGAAACACAAGAGCCAAATGTCAAACTCCTTCCAGAACCATGGCCCTTTTGGAGATAGGGGCTGGGAGGGTTGGGTAAGGCTGTCACTGGGTGGATGCTCCGTGTTTCTAAAGCTTCTGAAAACAGAAGCCTGGCTGATCTTCCTGATTGACACAGTGGGGCCCAGGCCAGGCCACTGATCCCCCAATCCTCATCTATAAACAGGCATCACAGAGATTACAGCCCTCTTCCCTCCTAGGATGGCTGGGGAGAAAGACACAAAAAGAAAGTAGTGAGGTGAGCTTGTGCCACCCGAGAAGAATATCAGGACATGACTCCTTGGGTTGAAAGCAATGTGGGAGAAGGCCTCTGCTTTCTTGGGTTGCCAAAATATAAGGAAGGACCTCCTGTACAATCTTGGCTGGAAGGCTTGCTAGAGAGATGAGCTCTGAGTCTCACCTTTACGGCTGCCTCCCCGGGCAAATCCATCCATGTGCCATTTCAACACAGGGAGGGGAAAATTCCTGAGACCCCAGTTCAACAGACACAGTCTCTTGTACCCCAAGCTCAGCGCCCACTAGAGAGAGGGTGGGTTGGGCAAAGTGAGGTCCCCACAGGTGCTATCCCCAGTAACCTCAGCTGCACGGAGCAGCCCCTGCTGCCCAGCAGGTCCACACATTGCAGGAAAGCCGCCTTCCTCTATCTCCAGCCACACGCACTTCTTCCTGAGGGCTGTCATAGCAGCCCTTCAAACTCATTTGACTGGGTTGCAGCTCATCACACTGTCACCAACTCAGTTTTCATTAGGCGGCTGCTTCTCTGTTAGCCTAGCCAAGCAGAAGAACTCAAACACATGCACAAATTAAATCGACATCCAAACTCCACCAATATACAAAGCAATTTAAATGATACTCATTAGAGCAATGACAAGCCCTGATGAGGCTTTCAGGAGCCGGGTCCTTCAGCTTTTGCCGACTCGGTTTCATGGTCACTGAGGCGGAAGTCCGGCGACCGTACCTCCATTTTTTTTAAGCTAAGAAAATGACTCCTTCCCGACAGACACACCTATCTCATTCTCTCTCTTTTCCTCCCAGCTGTCTCTTGGCTCAAGTTTACCCAGCCCTGGTTTCTGGACACAGGTATGGCCACGGACAAGAGAGTCACATAAAGGAAAAAAAAAAGCAGCCACACTGACTTCTTTTTTCCATAAATGCTCCAATTAAAACAGATTTCAGTTTCTCATAATTTCATTTCACTTGGCCTGGGAGATCTCTAACTCACAATTATGACGGTCATAAATGTGTCCCTGGATTCCTGCTGTGGAAGAAAAAAATGAAAGTGAAATGTTGAAATGCAGTAATTTAAAAACTTAACCCCCCCAAATTTAAGAAGTCATTTCCAAAGTCCCATTTATGTATTTTAATTTTTAAAAAGAAAGCAGGATGGCCTCCCCCGCTGATGCCTGGGGCTTCAAAGGCCAGGACAGAGGCCTAATGGGGTCTGCAGTGGTGCCTGGGCAGGGAGTCCCAGTACCCCCGCATGGAGGCTGACAGCCACGCCAGCCACGGAGCCAAGTCTGTCTCCAAGTCATTGGGTGCAAAGAACAGCACAGGGACCGCCTGATTCATCACTGACTAAGGGCAGAGCAAGGTCACGACTACATCCATCAGATCTGTGGGCTTTGGAGTTTGCAGCCTAGATCATATCCACAGCAGGGAGAATGATCGGCAACTTCATACACCGGTGCCTGTACTTCTGTTTATAATTTTATGCTCAAGGTTAATTATGTGTGTCCTTGGCTTTGATCAGAGATAGTAGCATGTGAGAATGTTGCCTGTGCCCATATTGGCAGGATAAGGATTTTTAGAAATACCCATGAACTGGAAACACACTTACATCACTGAGATGTGAGCTCTTACCCAGGAAACTGATTTGTAAATCATGGTATAGAAAGCATTGTCCAATGTCCAGTGGAAATTTGTTGGTTTGTTTGTTTTTGAGACATCACAATCTGCAGCCTCAAACTCCTGGGCTCAAGAGATTCTCCCAGTCCTGCCTCCCAAGTACCTGGGATTACAGGTGCACGCCACCATGCTCAGCTAATTTCTATTTTTTATTTTTTGTAGAGACAGGGTCTCACTATGTGGCCCAGGTTGGTCACTATGTTGCCCCTGGCCTCAAGTGATTCTCCCACTTCAGCCTCCCAAAGGGTTGCGATTACGGGCTTGGGCCACTGTACCTGGCCTTCCAAAGGAACCTTCTATGATGATGGGAATGCTCTGTGCCTGCTGTCCAAAGAGTAGCTGCTAGTCACATGTGGTTAGTATGATTGACTGATGAACTAAATTTTAATTTAATTTAAATCTGGATAGCCATATGTGGCTAGTGTCTACTATATTGGACAGCACAGGTTAGAAGGTAAGTAAATGTATCCTACTTCCTGAGTTGGCTAATTGTGGATGTTAATCTCTGGAAAAGGATCACCTTTCTTATCACCTTAATCATCAGGAATGATTTATTAAGAATATATCAGTACCTGACATTATACAAAGGTTGCAGAAAAGCAGTGTCTCTGATCTGCTATCATTAGAATTTAATTCTTTTAAAACCTGGATTTTTGGACCAGAGGTGGGGCACTGACACCCCAATGCTGAGCCTCCAGAAGCCGTGGACTTATCTAAGTTACCCCTGGTGTCCACAGCAGTACCAAGACTGAGTCATCATTAGACTGCCTGGTACGGCTCCAGCCTTCATGGACTGTCAGGCCGCTAACCAACAATTTGGCTAATCTATTGTCTTGGCAGGGCAGGGGATATAGTTCTGAATCATCCAGCGCTTTGGGATGCAGGCCCTTGGAACCATGAAAGCCCACCAGTTCCAGGGTTCGCTGGCCTTTAAAATCCTCCTGGGGGTCGCCTCCTGTCAAATCCTTAGGGACAGAAAAATGGTGCCCGTGAGTCAAACAGCATCTCCCTCTGGCTTGTGGAAACTCAATGGAGTGTGAGAAAAATAAGCAAACTCCCTGGAAACAAAACCCTGGGTTTGATCGCTGCTCTGCAGTGACACCCGGAATCCAGCCCTCGGCTGCAACAAAGCTGCCACACGGCACGCAGGAAGGTGAGGTCGGTTCTATCACAGAGGAGCTTGTCTTCCCTGAAGCTTTATGCTAAGACAGAGCGCTGAAGCCCTACCCAAATGAGCCAGATTATTTCCAGAGCTAACTATAGTGTATTTTGCAGAGGCCGGTGAGCCCTGGCACTGAATGGAGGTCCAAGCCTGAGCACCTTTTCTGTGTTTTCTGAGGTCAGCTGAATGCTGAAAGGCATCCACCAGCACAGGGTCCCAGGGGGAAATGTATGTTCAGGCTGCCTTTGCCAAAGATTACACGTGCTCACTAATAAATCCCCAGGGAGAAAGAAGGCTCCTGTTTCCATTACCAAAAGAATAACTATCTGGCAGAGTAAAGATGGTAATTTCTCCATTAGCTAAGACGATAATAGCTATTATTTTAAAGTTAAAGTATTTATTATTAAAGAGCGGTGTTGGAGTTTGCATGTTTTCAGTGGTATGATTGCTTCCTCTAATACAAAGTGTATTATTTTCCTGCTAAATAGTCAACAGAATAAAACGCAATTGCAATTTTCCAATCTCAAAAGGACTGTGGCAGATGAATTTGAGAAAAAAAATCATTGGATTTATTTAAAAAAATTTTTTTTATTAGATGACTTGGAAATGTCTAAAGATGATAGTTTTCATCCCGGACTTGTTCGATGCAGCCTGGCTTCCCGTCAGCTCCTGTCTCTCTGCCACTCACGGGTTTCTGTCTTCAGAATTCTGCTTCCCCAAGATGGAGCTGGACGGCTTAGAGGGCCTTTTTTCCTCTATAAGTATTTTGTCACCACGTCTGTGGAACTGTAGGTGGCCAGAGGCTGGGGATCAGTGAAGTCACCTAGCTGGAATGGTCTGAACTTGAGGAAGGAACCACAGAGACTGCCGCCCTGAACTCAGCTGGGAAGGCTGTGGACACACAACCTCTGTCTGAGCGCAGGGCAGAGAAGGGCCTGTTTGGTGGTTATCAATATATATATTTTTTCCTTTTGCAGAATGAAAATAGAATAGAGATGCCAGGGAGATTGGGTCCTCATCATAACCAACCCTCTCTAACTTACATGTAAGGATTTTGGTTAATTATAGAATTCTTGCTGCCTAAAACTTAAAGATACATCACTGATATTTTTGCTAAATGTTGACTGCAGCGAATTGCTAAGATGTGGCATATTGATTTCTTGTTGTGAAGTGAGCTGTTCAAGCTCCATTTAAGATTTTCATCTTGCATGTAGCCCTGAGCACATCATAGCACCATAAATTAGTTAAATTGCACATTTATCACAAATGTTATTTTAAGATACTGCGTACATGTGATGGTCGGAAGATATACAGTAGGACTGCAGCAAGCCGGGGCTTGGGCGGGGTGAGGTCAGGGTCACCCGCGCACCTGTGATTAAAACCTCCCTCCCTTGGCAACATCCCCCCTCCTCCCTGCACCCATTTAAAGGCCTGACTTGGGCGACCAATGCCTTCCTCCATTCACTCTCTCGCAACAGCAACCGCAGAACATGAGCACTACGACAGACGCGGAGTGCGACTTTACAACTTCCTGTCTTATCTCAGGGAAACCAGGGCCATTCTGGGCTGGGGTGAAAGGTTCTTCCGGACAGTGGCCCAATCTTTAGCCAGGCAAAGGTTTGGTAACCTCAGGACAAAATGGCCCTGAATTTCCAAGTAGGGGGAGACCGTAACAAACCATATCCGCCATGCTGCCTGGTTCATGGGGTTGTTATTGTGCCACGTGAGGTTTGCATTCGTGCCTGGAGCCCTACTGCCCAATTCTGATGTTTCTCTAGAGGTAAAATTAATTCATGGACCCCCACGTATATGAGCAGTCCTTTCCTGGCTAAACGCCCAAGGTGTCAAACAAGCGAGAGAACCTGCGGCCTACCTTGGCTTGTAAATCCTCACACCAACCCCCAAATTGGAAAGCCCAGAAGATGATCCTGGGAGTGGGGTGAGGAGATGGGCAAAGTGTGTCGAGTCCTCCCAAACTGTCAAGAGCGGGGTTCCACCGTCACTCGTACAAATCCCATCTCCCTTCAAGCCACATGGGCCCTGGTGGTGATGGAAGTGTTGTCAGTTTAATCTGTTAGATGCAGGACTTTGGATTCTAATAAACCGATGCTATATTTAACCTGTGAAAAATTCAAGCGTGGAAATCTGGGCTCCAGGATGTGAAGATGCGGAAGGCACGGGAGGGAGGATGTCTCTGTCCCCTGAGACGCATTCTGTGGGGAGCTGGTCCTGGAGGGAAACATATGTGTCCTTTAGCTCCTCCCAGGTAAAGGTCAGTAGGACAAAGAACAGGCCAGAAAAGAACCAGGGCCAGCCACAGAGAAGATGGGGCCTGGCACAGGCCCTGCACCAGGAGGGGAACCTGCTTTCTTCCCTGCCTGGCCGTAAAACCCACCTGTGTGCCCACATCCCAAGGCAAGAGCTTAGCTAACACAGCACTCTCTATTTGCCAAACAACTCATTTTAAATTGTAGTGAGTTTCTCCCTAAAAACCCGGAGAAAGATGGAATGCCGAGAGAAAACAGAGTAGACAGAAAAATTTGGACTCCTCTTGAGAAAAAGGGGTGGGGATGAGCGGAAAAACCGTAGGCGTGTTGCCGAACATCTCTGAAAGGGCTTAAATTTTTAATAAAATATGTGTTTTTTTTTTTAAGTTGAGGTGTTTTATGTATTACATGGATGTAATACATCTCTCATTTGTATAATTCTAGGTTAGGAGCTATGATTCTGCATAACTGCAAGAGTAGTTTGAATATAGTAATAAAGGTATTTTACAATTTTACATGATGTTCCCAGCGTTTTGTTGGCATGATTTGCCGGGGCTAATAAAAGCTTGTGATTATCATATAAATGCTCTCCCCCTCCTCCCATGGATGGGTTCAGTCTCCTCCCACAACACCCCTGCCTGCTTATCTGTGGCTGTTTTAACACAGGAGGGAGAACCTTGGGACCCCAAAGTCTGTCTGACCCGATTGGTTCTGTTTCCCGCTGTTTGAAAATCCTGAGTCAACAGGAAGGAGTCACCCTTTCAAAGCTTTCTTTCCCATCAGCCTCCTTGACAGTGCAGGGCCCTGAACCCCGGGCATCCAGAAGAGAGATCAAACCCCAGACCCCCATGCAGGTCACCAGGTGTGACCGGAAGCTCTGATCCTGGGGGTCTGGCAATATCCCTTCTGCACTGAGCATCTAACCTTATAGGCATATCTTCCTTTCTTGTGAATGTTTATTCTCGGTGCAGATCCTATTCGAGCTGCCTCTGAGTAAGTGCTCCCTGCTCTCCAAACGCCAAAGTTCACTAAAACTCCCCCTGATTTACGCACAGCTTCCGACTGCCAGCACCTGGCAGCCGCAGCAACCAGCTCCGTCATAAACAGATCGCATACAATTTAATTTTAATGTGCTCGTTAGTCGTAGCACATTTCAGACATAATTGTGAACGCAACACAAAATTATAGCAAAAAGACAATTTTAATGCTGCCGTAGAAAAAAGGGTTATATGAAGAGTCACATAATGGTGCTTCATTGTCAACAACCAAACAGGGCACAGAGTGTGTTACGGTGTCTGTGCTGTTTACATGCCAATATTTTATACAAAGGTTCTCATATGGTGTCAGCTGTCAGTTACTTCTGCAAATTAACTGCCAAAAATGGAGAAGAACAGAATCACTTGGAGAGCCGGTAACCACGGGTTACCTTTCATAAGCCTAAAGATAAAGCTGCAGTGTGGGATCTTGGGAGAATAATTAGGAAGAACAAAACAGAAAGTTACCAATTGAAATAGAAAGGCATCCTACAATATGGAATAGCAACCAAGAGGGCTTATAAATAAGTGAAAGAGGTTGGATCACAGAATGCCTCATGACTTTTAAGCAAAGTATTACAGTACAAACATTTTAAAGGCTTTATCAATGTTTAGGAAATACAGTACAAGTTCTTTTTTTTTTTTTGTTCTTTTTTTTAACCTTTTCAAATAGACTTAACCCTTTGAGCACTGAGTTTATTTTGAGTGTTCTTTGATTTCTAATAAATACCTTTAAAAATCATGTGCAAAATAGTTCTGATGCCTGCCAGGGATGTCTTTCCCGGTCTCGTTTATTCAGACTGCTCAAAACAAATGACAATATGATGCTAATAAATATGTATAATTTAAACATGAACCTCTATCAATATAGATGTACTGTATAGCAAAACAAACTATCATACTTTGCTTTCAGATAATGTTTCTGTATACTTTATAAATGCTATCTGTGGTATCTTCTGTATAATTTACAATGTTTGCATGTAAAAAACAAAACCCATAGACCTTAAAAAAAAGAAAAAAAGAAATATACACTATACATAGGCACAGCTTATGCCCAGAGCATAGCAGGTGCATAAAACACTGTTGCTATAAATGCAAGAAAAAGGTCATTTAACCACAATCACATTTTTTTTCATAAGAGAGTCTGAAATCTATACAATATATACATCTATGTTTCAATGTGAAAATAATATTCTTTTAAATTTCAAGGCGTGTTATACCCCTGCAGACCTGCATAAATGGAGGTTCATATTATTCATTATAACTAAGCTGGTAAGGAGTTTAAAAAACAGAGCTTCATACATTATTATTATTTTATTTTATTTTTTAACCAAATTAATGCAAAAGTGCTTCAAAGTACTCAGAGGGCTAAAGATGAAAGGGTGAGAAATGCCAGCACACTCGAGTCTCGTGGAAAAGGTGTGCCTGATTCCGTTATAAATGCTTAATTAAACTGTCTGTTAATGCATGCAGCTTGAAGCATCGGGAGGATGCTCACAACTAAATCCCGTTTACACAAAGTTCCAAACACTTACCACTGCATTTTAACCTTCATATTTTACCAGTAACAACAGCTGATTATGCACCTCTATTAAACACTGTACAGTTATACAAAACAGTCCAGCCCAGAGTGATTCTCTGCAGTTAAAATAAGAACATGTGCCAAGAACAACAAGTCAGAGGGGGCCTGAAGGTGCCTTCCACAGTTTCCCTCAAAGCAAACTGCAGTCCTTTCTATCAAAAGCAAATGCTACTGCTTCTCTAACTCAGAGACATACAGAAGGTGGTCTTCCGGAGATTTCCCGTGTGTTTTGCTAAGGTGAAGTTTAACAGCGTGCTTGCTGGCAAAGGTCCGATTGCAAAGTTTGCACTGATAGGAAGTCCCCAGGTCTTCCTCGGGGGAGGACGTCACCATTTTTTCTGACGGTGACTTGGTTTGTGCTATCTGACTGTTAATCTGTTCGGTGGACAGTTTGGATAAGTCCCGTAGCCGGAAGCCTAAGTGTGACTCTAGGTGACTGATGTACGTGGAAGGAGTCCTGATTTGGGACGCACAATCGTTACAAAAGAAGACGGGGTGGCCAGTGTCCAAGTTTTTGAGGAACTTTGTTCCACCTGTCCTTCGAAGCTGGTATTTCACGTTGGCCAGCCAGTGGCTGATGGTGGTCATGGACAGCCCGGTGAACCTGGAGATATGCATCCGCTCCTGGGGGCTCAGGTCTGACATGATGTACTTCCCTTCTGAGGTCTGCCGGAGGCTGGCGGCAAACTGGGCCTGGAGGATCAGGAGGTGCTGGGGGTTCCAGTTTGACTGGCGGCCCTTCCTCTTCTGGGCGGGCGTCGACTCCTCAGCCTCCTCCAGAGTGGCCCCGTCAATGTCAGACTTCTCGGAGATGCTGGAAGGAGTGGAGGATTTTGACGTGTGGCTCTCTGTCAAGTTCTTCAGCATATCGGATATATCTGACAAGGCATTCTCGCGTAGCGGCGAGTTTGACATGAATGATACGACGGCAGATGTCTTTGCCGTTGTCACCGTGGATGAGGAGGTTGCCGGGGCTGTGGACGTGGGTGACAGAAGCACTGAACCCAAGGAGCAGCCTTTGTCACTCTTCCCTTTTGTCAAGTCTATGGGCTGGTCGTTGTTGACGTGGTAGAAATAGCGGTCGAGGTGGTCTGCCTTCTTGGACTGCAGGGGCGGCGGGGTGGCCACAGCAGCCTTCTCCGCCAGGCTGTTGCTCATCTTGAAAAGCATGCTCATGGGGTCCAGGGCAGGCAGGGAGGGCTTGGCGGCCTTGCCCAGGTGAATGTTCATGACTGACTGCAGGGCGCTCAAAGGGTTAACAAAAGGCTGTTCAGGCGGGTGGTCGGTGATGATGGCCGTGCTGCCACTCAAACTGCTGGCTAGGGGCTTCACCAGCTCCTTGCCATTCTCCACCGGCTCAGCGAGGGGGCTCCCATCCTTGCACCCATCCCGCGGGGGGCTGGGGCTGTTCTCCTGGCTGCGGAAGCCCCCATCGCTGGATGCCTCCATCTTGATGGGTTCCCCGACTTCGCTGCTACATGGGGAGGGAGTGGCCCGCTTGGGCGGGGAAAGCTTCCCATCCGGCTCCTTCATCTTCTCCTCCACTTTGGCAACTTTCTCAGTGACCTTTTTCACCAGCTCCTCCATGGCATGAAAGTTTGTCTTGGGCATGGGGGACGTCTGGCTGCTGGGTGGAGAGACCAGGGTCTGGTTTTTCGTCGGGGAGACAATCTCACTGTTGCCAAACATGGGTTTCAGGGGCGTGCTCTTCCCCGACGAGCCCAGGGACAACTTCATCATGTTGGGAAGTTGGTAGGCGGCATGGATGCTGGGATAGCCCCCCCAGCTAGGAGTGCCGTTCTGGGCCTTGTTGATTGCGGATGTCACTGTGTTTTCCAAGGATTTGAGGATATCAAGCCCCCCCTTGGGACTCTCTTCTAAGTCATTTTCAGTCAAGTAATGGTATTTGGAAGAGATGTCACACTTCTCCTCTTCTTCGCCAGGCTTGTCTTTTTGCTTAGGTTTCTCGTCAGTGACCGCTTTCTCCTTGTCGACTTCCTTCTTGACCTCCACATTCAGTTTTGGGGAGATGCTGGCAGGTGTATTGGAGGGGGACGTGAAGGTGGTGGCTGCCAGGGGCACGGACTGGACCTTCTCATCCAGCAGGGTTGTGATGGTAGGTGTGACAGGCGTCTCCACAATGGGCTTCCCCTTTTTCATAGCAGAGTTGGTGACCTTGATGAAGTGGCCAGTGACCATCATGTGGGCAGTGAGCTCCTGCAGGGTGTCATGCGAGCTCCCACACTCCATGCACTTCAGGATCTGCGACTTCCGGGCCTCAAAGTGCCATGCATAGCTGGCCCCATTCTGGTGGCCGTACCGATTATTTGGCGTGATGTAAGGGTTGGAGTTCTTCTGAAGTGCATCGTTGGTGTCTGAGATGGTGGCTTTGGGGGTTCCACCTGTGGAATCTGGGGAGCTGGGGAGCTCCAGCTCCAGGGAAGCTTTCTTCCGAGTGGCAGGGATGATTTTGGCGGCGACAGGAGTGACGGGTTCCTTCAGAGGCACTTTTTGGTAGTGTTTTGTTTTGATCATATGGACACTCAAATCCTGCAGGGACTCAAAGGAGTGGCCACAGTACATGCACTTCAGCACCTTCTGGGCGTCTTCCTTCCCTTCCATTTCCAGCAAGGAGCGTTTGCGAGGCTTGGACCAGCGCTTGGGGTTGTTGTTATCGGTCTCATGGTTGTCGTCGCGGTAATGCCCCGTCTCGTTCATGTGCACCGTCAACTCCACCAGGGTGTCGTAGGCAGCGCTGCAGTCCTTACAGCGGAACTTGCTGGCCCCCGTGAAGATGGAGCCATAGAGCTTGCTGCTCTGCCGGTACAGCTGCACGGTGCTGAAGAGGCTGGGCTCCGGGAGCATGCGGCTCTGTGACACCTGCTGCAGCGTCTTAGCCATGGCGCTCTGGTGCCAGTCGAAGCTCCCGCTGCCACAGCTGCTGCTGCTGCTACTGCTGCTGCTGCTGCTGCCGTTGTTCTTCTCCGAGGAGGGCTGGTGCAGGTTGAGGTTGAGGTTGGACCAGTAGGAGTTGGAGAGGAAGTTGTTGTACACGGCCTTCATCTGCTCCAGGCTATCCGACACAGTCGTGTCTTCCAGTGGGACCGTGACCTCCTTGGTCTCCTCTTCGTTCTTGATGGAGCCGCTTTCAAAGTCAGCCATTCGGTCACTGGTCTCACTGATGTGTGACTCGCTGTCCATTTCATGGCAGGAAAACTCGGCGGCCGGGGAGTTCTGGTAGCTGGGGCAGGCCCTGGCGAGCTCCTTCTCCGGGCACATGTACTTGGCCGAGGGCTCTCCATCTGCCGTATGCTCCTCTGGGTCTAAACCTTCGTCCACCAGGGCAGCAGCCTTTAACTCTTCGGAAACATAGGCTGCCATGATAACAGGTGGGAAAGAGAGACAGGTAGGATGGAATGAAGAGAGACAGGGAGAAGGAGAGAAAGAAAAAAAAAAGCATTAGTACTTGTTGATCTTACCTAGAATATGTTCTGGGCTCTCAGGAAAACACAGCAACCCAGATGGGTACATGTATTTGTAAAATTAAACAGTTAAAATGTGGTGTTTCTTTGGAGCAAAAAAAAAAAAAAATCTGCTCTTCAAACATAATTTGCCACCTTATTCTTCTCAAGGGGCAACAGCTTGAAATTAAAACTAAATTTGAAATTAATGAAGCACATTCTGGAGGTGGCATTCATTTCTAAAGTAATAAATTACTTGTATCAACCTCAGAGACAGCAGTTCCTGTCTGTCAATTAATATGTCTTATGCTTCTCCTACCCCTAATGCATTTCTTAACAGACAGATTCACAATTTAAATTAAGCAAGCATTTTTTACTCATTACATTTTTGAGGCTCAATCTTTAATAAATATAAAGTATAAAAACATCAATAAAATTTTTACCAAGTAAAAAGAAAAGTACGTCCATTGTAATAAGGGAAAAACAAGATTTTGTGGCTTTTTTTTTTTCTTTCTTCCTTCTGGAAAAGCAGGTCTCAGAAAAGCTTAGAGGTAGGTTTCCTGGCAGGGATAGGTGTGGGTTCGTTCCAGTTGAGAGGAAATACCCTGACCAGCTACCACCCAGCCCCCAGCCCTGTCCCCCATGTGAACACTCAGCCGTTCTCAGCCACCTGTGCACACACACTCTCCATGCAGAATTATGTCACAACAAGTTCAGGAAAATTGGTATGCGGTGCTCATTCCTGATGTATAAATATATACAAGACCTTCCAGTGGACCTTACAAATGTCAAAGTGTTTGCTCTTTAGACTACTTTGTCAATATTTACTCAGTATAAGCTTCATGGGCATCCAACAGAGATCCTGTCTTTCTGGAAGCGATGTAACTGGGATGTAAATCCAGCATGCATTCCCACGCAGGTGGAGGGCAGGCCACGCGCCTGCAGGTTCTGGAAGATGCACGTCCAGAGACACAGAGCCCAGAGAATACTTGCGTTAATGCAACAGGGTGTTTTTTTTGTTTTTGTTTTTGTTTTCATTCTCTTGCATTCGGTGACTTGGGTTATTCCTTACTAAACTGATCTGCCACTGCATACTGCATCAGGGTAGTTTTTTGGACAGTGAGGAGTGGCCAGCCCTGTGGCTAGGAACAATTTCAAGGTAAAGGAAAAGGAGAAATAAAGTGACTTTGTCCTGTCAGCTTCTAAATACTTGTTTGCTTCAAAAGGCCAGTGGGGAAGTGTGTTAAGTGGTTGGAACGTTGCAGTGCTAATTGCAAGGCTGATTTCTACAAAAAGCTCTTAAGAAAGGAAGGGAAGTTTTGTTTGTGGAATTGACTCCACCAGCTTTAAAGATTTGCCCCTGTTCCATTTCACATCAGAAAACCAACAACAACAATAAACAAACAAACAAACAAAAACAGTGAAATGAGTCCCTTGAAGTCAAGCAGATAGGCCCCCCTCATTCCTTCCAGGACAGGTGTGATTCTTTTGCTCCTAAGCCCCCTACTTTGAGTGCCAAGATTCCTAAGCCAAGACACATGGAATCCCAACACTGATGTAATGTGAACTTGGATGGGAACTGCCCCAGGTACACACATCAGCTGCAGGGAGGGGGATACTTCTGCTCATTTGCCAACTACTAAGCAAGAGTCTTGTCCAGGAGCCATGGATGTTCTTTACAAATGACCAGAAGAGAGTGCCCTGCTGCAGTCAGCTGAGTGTGAAGTGCTGTGGGGAACCTCAAGTTTAAGGCCATGCACTTTGAGATGACAAATAAAGACAGCAAAAGCTCTGTTCCTAGGGCCAAGACCAAATGCTTAGGGAAATACGGCGCTGGCCAATGGAGGCTCCTGTGCTAGCCACAGTGAAGACTGTGAATGCATGTGTTGGAAAAGAATAGGAAAAGAAAAAGAAAAGAAGACATCTCACTCTCCCTCACCTGCCCCCCGACAGACTTCCTCGGCATGCAGCACATTCTAGAAATCTGGACTCAAAACTCCAATGGAGTGGCAGGCCTGGAGGAAGAACAGCCGAGGTAGAATAACCAAGTGTCCCAATTTGCCTGGAGCTGTCCTGGTTTCAGCACTGAATGTCTTGCATCCTGGGAATTTACTCAGTCTTATGCAAACTGAAGGATGGCTTGTTACCCTAGCTGGGGCACACAGTATGACTGAGGTCAGAGCATCCAGGTGGGTCTGCAACCTCTCTTATAATCCTCTCGGGGAACAGCTGGAGCAGAGTAGGCTGGGTTTAGCTAGACACAGCCCACTGTCTGCAGAAGTGCACCGGGTGCATGCATATATGATGTTTCCATAGTACGGTTTTATTGTAAACGGGGAAAGAGGAGGAAATCCCATGGCTGGTGTCCCTCCCACTGAGACTCAAGGAAATGCCCAGGCCTGTGTAGATGGGTGAAGATATCAAAGCCCCTTCTGTCCTGGAGATGCCTCTTGGAGCCACAGTCTGCAATACAAACCCCACACCCTGGGGATTTTGCTCCTATTACAGTGGCTCCCATGAAATTAAGTCTGAGAGAGAAATGGCCCCACAGCAGCCACTACGAGAGGACACCAGCAGCCAGAAGCAGCAGAGCCAATAGTGGACATGAAAGAGTCCTCTGTGGGTGAAGGCCACCAGGTGAGAGGGAAACCCAGGGGCTCTGCCAGCCCACATTCCACCCAGGGGCAATGCATCTCCCCATGGCCAGAGCCTTCCCCACCCCCACTGCACAAGCACCAAACCAGCCCAGGCCGTCCGGAGCACCCCTCCCCAACACATGCACCATGAATGATATGACCAGCTCCTCTCCTGGGCTGGCCCACAACACGCTCTGATATGCTTTGTAAACTACACAGCAGGGTCAGAATGTCATCAGTCTGATGACTGAGGAGGAAATTAATATGGAAAGAAAAGGCCAACCTCTCAACCTCCCTGGTGGAACAAGATCCAACTCAGAGGAGAATTAAAAGGCTCTGGTGCCAAGCAGAACTGGGTCCTGGAGAGACCTGGCCTCACCGCACACCCCACTCCTGACCATGTCATGGTTTCTGAGGGTTCTTTCAAGCGCACACCCTCGTGGCTGTGACGTGGGCCTCACTCCCTGTTCAAATGACCATTTTCTTTTCCGATCTGAAGGTGAGAAGTATTTCCTTAGGTGGAGCCTAAGACTTTTACCCACTGGTTCTCCCCTCCACATTAAAATAAAGGGAAGGGCTGGGCGCAGTGGCTCATTCCTGTAATCCCAGCACTTTGGGAGGCCAAGGCAGGCAGACTGCCTGAGCTCAGGAGTTTGAGACCACCTTCGGCAACATGGTAAAACCCCATCTCTACTAAAATACAAAAAAATTAGCCAGACATGGTGGCACATGCCTGCAGTCCCAGTTACTCCAGAGGCTGAGGCAGGCGAATCACTTGAACCCGGAGGTGGAGGGTGCAAGTGAGCCATGACCCACCACTGCACTCTAGCCTGGGCAACAAAGCAAAATCCTATCTCCAAAAATAAATACATAAAAATAAAGGGAAAATTCCCATCTTCCACCATGCTTTGCAATAATTTCACTACTCTGAGAATATTTATACTCTTGATTACTGAACTTTAAAAATGTTCTAGAAAATGGAAATGGACCCAGTGGAATGAGGGAACTAAGGGATGAAAGGCACTCCACAAATACGCATCAAGCTGCCACAGGCACCAGGCAGGTTGCCGCACACTGTGCAGTGCAGAGTTTTGTTTCTCTAGGCCTCTATTTCCTTCTTTGAATGATACGGGGCACTTGGGTAATATTTGTAACGTCCTTCCTCGGCTACATGTCTATCATTTTATGGCCTTTCAGAGAAGGTAAAGAGCCGAGCTGTAAAGTCGCTTAATCTGGTTCATTCTCTGCAAACGCCAACCTCACCAACACTCAGCAAGTGGAGTAGTTCCTCTGTGCTTTCTTCTCTAGACTGAGCTTGACACGCAAAGCCCCTGGCTGGATAGAAGGAAGGGCTCTGGAAGCTGGCACAGCGAATGCCCTGGATCAGGCAAGGAGGGGAGGAAAGACTGGGTGTTCCCAGTCACTGTGCAGATGGTGAGAAGTCAACAGGGGTGTGGGGCAGGGCTGTCGAGAACCTGGTCCCCACCAGGCTGGCTTCAGTAGCCCAGGGGTAGGCACCGTCCACCGATTCGACCCAACAATGCATCACATGTGACCTTGGGAAATTCCGCTACTGTCTCCAACAGTATTTGAGAGTATTTAAATTCCTTGTTGCTACTTAACTTTCTGTGCATTCTTGCCTGAATTCTCTAAGGGAGGGAACCTTACTTCCTTAGTCTTGCATGCAGTAGCTGAGCAATGGACAGCTGCTGCCTCATTTCAAGTAGGTGAGTGGGGGGTCATGTCCAGGAGCAAGGAGTTGTAACAGCCTTTGTTAACAGGATCCCCCATTCTCTCTGCAGCCTCCCACATGGGCCCAGTCCAGCCACTAGCATCTCTCACCCCATCCCCAACCAACTCCCTGACTCCAGCCCCAGCCCCTTTAATCTCATCTCCAAGCAGAAGCTGCTGAGATTAATATAGAATATCAGGCTGGTCATATCACCTCCCCATATAACACCCTCAGTAACTTCCCACTGGGCTCGGAAGAAGATCCAAATTCCTCAAAGCAGCCCTGAAGGAAGGGAGTCCTCCACCATTTGCCCGGTTCCCCTCCAGCCCCTCTCAGCTTCTGAGATGCACCAAGATCTCTCATTCCTTACTTTCTAGCACTGCCTCCTCTGCTGGAAACCCTGGGGCAGGTGCAGTGAAGTGGAGAATGCGGGAACCCACCCTTCCCCGGGCCTCAGGGAAAAGGCTCTTGGGGATAGCAGGGTTTTGACCCCAGCTTTTGTCCCCTTATCCATGGGGATCACTTGTGTATGGCCAGATATTCCAACACATTGTCAGCTTTGTGTGGTCAGGACGAGACCCCACACACCCACACCCCAGTTATCAGCCGCAACCCTACCGTCCGGCCCAGAGTGGCCACTCAATACATGTCAATGGGACGAATGAATGAATGAATGAATATCATAGACAGCTGCTTCACACTTCCTAAATAGCTGCCAAAACATCCTGAATGGATCCTGAGTCCAGCCAGTCCCAGTGCAAAGCAGATGTGCTGGGGTGAGACCCAAAGTCCATCCTAGGCAAGTTCTGTCTGAGAGTGACTGGCACATTCAGCAATGCCACTTCGTGATTAAAGGTCTCTGGGGTAGACAGGATGACAGAACCCACCACCAAGGAAGATGGGAGGAGACACCCCAGTCGGTGGTCTCCTTGCATTGGAGCCTGCCCAAGCTGTGCCCACACTCAAATACCCTCTTCAGGAATGCATTATCGGCCAGGTGCAGTAGCTCTTGTCTGTAATCCCAGCATTTGGGAGGCCGAGGTGGAAGAAATGCTTGAGCCCAGGAATTCAAGACCAGCCTGGGCAACACAGCAAGACCTCATCTTTATAATTCTTTTAAAAATTAACCGGGCATGGTGGCCTGTGCCTGTAGTCCCAACTACTTAGGAGGCTGAGGCAGGAGCATCGCTTCAGCCCAGGAGATTGAGGCTGCAGCGAGTTAGGATCACATCATTGCACTAAAGCCTGGGTGACAGAGTGATTCTGTCTCAAAAAAAAAAAAAAGGAAAAGTAGGCCAGGCGTGGTGGCTTACACCTGTAATCCTAGCACTTTGGGAGGCCGAGGCTGGGAGATTGCCTGAGCTCAGGAGATTGAGACAACCCTGGGCAATATGGTGAAACTCCGTCTCTACTAAAAATACAAAAAATCAGCCAGGCATGGTGGCGGGTACCTGTAGTCCCAGCTACTTGAGAGGCTGAGGCACGAGAATTGCTTGAACCTGGGAGGTGGAGACTGCAGTGAGCTGTGATCGTCACTGCACTCCAGCCTGGGCAGCAGAGCAAGCCACTGTCTCAAAAAAAAAAAAAAAAAAAAAAAAAAAGGAAAAGTGAAAGTGAAAGAAAAAGAAAAGAATGCATTATCATCCCTCTATCCCTCTTTTCTCTTGAGCAAATAAGATGGGAACCTCTGCTGCCAGCTCCCATGGAGGAGGCAGCTGGACTGTGAGGGGGAGGAGGTTCTCATTCAAACCAAACCAACAGCTGCAAAGATGCAAAGAAGCACACAGAAGTGATCAGGGACTAGCAAGTGAGAGGCCGACTGGGCACCCGCATTCCACGCTTCCCCAAGTCCCTCCATTGAAAGAGTCTCTCAAGATGTGAGCCCCTGCGGAATGGCTGCACCCGCTTCCCCACACACATCTCACTTTCCTTACCCCACCAATGAAGACTGTGTGCTTAAAGCAACAAGACAGCCATCGATCTCTCAAGAGCTGAGTGCCAAGGACACATTTCCAGACAACTGCCTGAACTGAAGAACTTGGCATGCACAGAACCAAATGTGACTCCTGGGTAGAGACACACATGGATGAGAAATAAAAGCTCCCAAAGTTACAAAAGCTTTCTGCAAAGTTCTATAGCCCAACAACCTTGGAAGCCCACATGATGGAAAAACAAAAAAACACAAAGACAAAACACGGATCCTGCCTAATATGAGCATGTTTATGAGCTGTGTTCACATTCACACATTCATTGCATCTGGTCCTCTCAATGGTCAAGGAAGGTGGAAAAATCATCTCCATTTTGCAGACAAGGAAACAGGGATTCTGGCTAGTTCCACAGCACACTTGCACTGAGGAACCAGTTCTGACCCCAAGCCCTCTGCTGCAACCCCTCGGGATGAGTCACTGGAGGTAGATGGGGCATTTGCCTGAACTCCTAAGACCCACACCCGGGGTCCAGTGTCAGGGGACCACACAGGAAGTGTGGGAGGGAGCGCCCTGTCCCCGGAATGAGGAGTGGGCAGCCACGCAGAACCTTCTCAATTCCCCCATTGGGATCCACACCTACCCTTCCAGGAGGGTCCAGCATCCCCACCCTCAGCTCACCAGTGGTGTGGCTTTCACACCGTGGATGCAGGGATGACAAACGTATCATGTCCGGGGAGAGAAGAGAGCTGGCCCACCGTGGCCATCAAGGGTCTGGAGACACCAATTCGTTAATATTTATTGTCATCATTAACTAAATTCAACCTCTAGGTAAAAAGAAATTAATATGTGTCATATAAATATAAAACAGTAAGCTGGGGCATAACGGAATTCATTTCTGGGCAAGGTGGAATTACTTTCATCACACAGTTAGGAATCTCTCCCAAAAGATAAAGAGGAAGTGTTGGCTGGGACCTGCACTCTCCAACCACGGGGGCCACGGATGGGCAAGTCGTGGGTGGGAGGGGGCACTGGGTGTGGGTGGAAAGAAAGGAAAAGAAAGTATGGCTGTGTCCCGCTCCCCAATGCAATTTCCAAGTAAAATGCCCTGTGAGAGTTAGCATTTTCTGGGCTGAAATAAAGGTTCTGAAGTTATAACCCTCCGTTTCCCCTGGGAAGGTGCTTTGCTGGCTAAAACTGTTTATAGATTCCTTTTCCGCATGTCTTCTTATTACGGATAGCCCAGAAGAACACCCCTCTTTGCAATGAGTGCCTCTGGTCATCCATCCATAAGGAGCCCTGTGACTGTGATGGAGGAAAGAGTAGAGCCAGGAGGGAGAGGAAGAGGCAGGGAAAGGAGAAGAAAGGACCGAAGAGGGAAGGGGCCATCAAGTCATCCAGGGTTTGAGAAGGGGTCAGAGAGAGAGGAGGGGGCCCAGCAGAGAGAGGACAGAGGGAGAAAGAGAGATGGGAGAGGAAGAGAAGAATCCACTAGGGCTGGCGTAGGGGAGAGAGAGGCCACCAAAGGGCATGGGAGGTAGGAATGGAGAGAGAGAACACAGGTAATGGAGATTTGAGAAGAGACAAGGACAAAAGAGGTTATTTTCTGGAAAGGACTCTATGACAAAGAGGGCCTGGAGCCTGTGAGTTCTGGTACAGAAGTGGCCCTCAGGATGGCCACCAAGGTAAAAGAGGATGGACCTAGGGGAGCCGCTATGGGTCCATTCCAATGCTGGGGCCTCCGGGCCTCCTTTCCTCCTGCTTCCCTGAATACTCAGATTTTCAAATGACAGAGGGTGATTTCTTTTTCTGTTTTTTTTGAGACAGGGTTATGCTCTGTTACCCAGGCTGAAGTGCAGTGGTGCAATCACAGCTCACTGCAGCCCCGAACTCCTGGACTCAGGCCATCCTCCCACCTCAGCCTCCTGGGTAGCTAGGACTACAGGCACTAGATACCTCGCCAGGATAAGAGTGCTTTATTGTTTTTTGTTTGTTAATCCTTTTTTTTATTTAAATAATAATTTAACTAGCCGAAGGGGATGGAGGAAGGATGATGGCTTGGGAAGGTGGCTGTCAGGTGTGTTTTCCCAAGCAGGCTCTCCAGGACTCATGCACACCAGTCTCTGCAGACCCTCCTGCCCTTTCCTCAGAGCCAGAATCAACTTCAACACATGCCTAAGCCCTCAGCAGGCACGAAGTCCTCTTCTCTGCTGCAGAATGTGCTTGGACAAGGAAAAATGCCAAGAGGCTCACAAGGCATCTTGACCACTTCTCACTCCCCACTTACCTGCCTTCTTCACACTTGGGCCCACAACAGAGCAGACCCCAAGGAAATGGCAGGAGGAGACAGGAGGGGACAGTTCAAAAGCCATAGCAACCCAATGTGGAGAGCCGTCCAAGAGGGCAGTAGCTGGACTCTGGAGAGGACCTGCCGATTCTCTGCTCTGTCGCCCAGCCTGGAGTGTAGTGGTGTGATCATGGCTCACTGCAGCCTCTAACTCCTGGGCTCAAGTGATCCTCCCACCTCAGCCTCCCTAGTAGCTGGAACTACAGGTAAGCACCACCATGCTAATTAAAAACAATCTTTTTTTAGAGTTGGGGTCTTGCTGTGTTGCCCATGCTGCTCTGGAACTCCTGGCCTCAAGTGATCCTCCAGCGTCGGCCTCCCAAAGCACTGAGATTACAGGCTTGAGCCACGGAGCCAGGCAGGATCTGCTGTTTCTGCATTGGATTTTTCTCTGGGAAACAATGTGATGTTAGGCAGGGAGGCCCTGGGTCTCAGCTTCTGCCCTGCCATGGATTAGTCCTGTGGCTGTGATGACTGACTTCACATCTGTGAGCATCAGTTTCTTCATCAACAAATGGGAGGAAGGAATGGGAAGATGCAACTGGCCACATCCGCCTCCCAGGTGTTTGCAGGCAACCAAGGATTTCATAAGGAGTGGGCATAAAGGACTTTTCTAAGTTAAAGAAACTCTGCAAATAGAGGTGCACCAACTGCACAGGGGCTGTGCTCCACACAGCTCCACACAGAAGGCCTCCTGCTGTCGGGAATCTGGGAGGCACGGCCAGGGGATGACCCCTAGGCTCACCCCTCCTCTTGTAAAGGCCTCTGGGTCTCCCAGACCCTCCATGCTGACCTCATCACAAAAGGAGGAGGTGGGGGGACAAGCACCAAGCCCTGCTGGGGTGAGAGCTCCCACTGGGGCTTGGGTTCTGTCCCTCCTCACTCTGGGCAGCCTTAAAATGGGGGCTGCAGAAAAGGAAGAAAGCCAGACAGAAAAGAGAAGAAAAAGGGAGGGAAATGGAGGGCAAGGAAAGGAGGCAAGGAAGGAAGAGATGATGTCAGAAGCACGCCTGCAGCATTAGTGTTCCTGACCAAGCACAGCTCTCCTCCCCGGGCCCCAGCCCCTGGTAAAGGAATTCTAGGAAGGTAGCGGGCAGGACCATGGATTCAGTCCCGCTCCATCCCACTGCATGGATCTGACTGGAGATCCCCAGTGCCCCACTCCCAGGGGTGGGGTTCGGAGCCAGATGCCCTGCAGCACGGTTCTGGCTGGGGCGGCACCTCAGACACTGGCTCTCAGATTGGCTGCCACTGTCCCTGTAGCCCCTAGCCCCCAAGCTGGGCCGCGTTCTCCTCCAGGCTGAGCCCAGACCCCATGTCCGCTGGGCTTCTGCCTTGAATCACCTTCCTCTGTGTCAGGGAAAGAGCTCAAAGTCCCCAGAAAATTTCACCTAAATCTCAGCTTATTCTCAATACACCTGGAAAATCTGGATGAATTGATTCATTTGACAAAAGAATATCTGCTTGACAAAGGACTCATGGAAGTGCCTTACACGCTGTGCCCCCTGGGTTATGCTTATACAGGGCTCTCTGCTGTACAAACGTGCTGCACACCTTGCTATGATGAAGCAAGGGGATCCCCTTCTCAGGGGAACCACACCTGCCATATCAGCTGTGTCTGACGCCACCCGATTTAGGGCCTAGAGCTATCCCCAGATGTCCTGAGGTCCCACACAATGGGCTGCTCAGAAGCAGCTGCCCCTAGACCTGGCCCAGAGCCCTGGTGGGTGTGAGGGATAGACAGACAGGGAGGAAGCTCAGGCCTGGATTGCCACTAACCAAACACATTCCCCCTGGCCCTCAGAGAACATGACAAATCAAGATGGAGGTGCACCCTCCTGGCTCTTGACCGGGAGGGGCTCAAAGCAACAGTGTGAAGGCAGGACTTCCTTTTTGTGCAAACAGAGAGAGGAGATGGCAGGGGGAAGTGTGGGATGGAATGGAGGGGGCTTAGCTAAACACACACTGGGGGGTACCAATATGCTTGGATTGCATGTTGGGCTTCTGTCTAGTTATTAAATAAGCAGGGAGAAAAAAAGGGTTCTAGAGGACTGTTTATACCTGGTACCGAGGAGGTGACAATTCAGTGGGGAACACAAGTCTTCTCCATCTATCCACCTGGGCACCCGGAGTCACCTAGAGACGCTACCTAGGATGATGGAGGTCATGGCCTCTAGGGACAAAGAGAAAATGGCATTCTTGGATGGTACCAGGGAGACCAGGGGCCTTCCAGGCATCGCTGCTGGGCTTTGGAGCTCCCCAGAAACCAGGGGAATACCCAAGGGCCAGAGGATCCAGAAGGGCATGGTTTGGCTCTGGGGGAAGGAAAAGTGGCTGCAGCTGTAATGGCCAGGACTTCTGCAGAAGGCTGGCCATGGCGGGATGACAACCTCCCCTAGATTGATTGCTCTTCCCACTAGCAAGGTCAGGAATATTAATTTTGTACACGCTAATTTGATGTAATGTGTGAGATGAATGCTTGTTCAGTTGGGTATCCCTGTGTTAATAAAGCTGCAATGCTTTCATCCCAAGAAAAGCATGGCATTAGCTGATTGGTGAATAAAGTCAGTGTGAATAAGGAAACACCATGCTTTAGCACAGCCCGAGTGGCCAGTGGTGGCGTAAGCCAATGACAGGCTGCGGCTGCTCCTCTAGGGAACCCATGGCAACGAGGCTTCCCAGAACACCTCCTAGCTGCTGGAAGCCCCAGCCGGTTCAGAAGACTCAGAGCCCAGGATGAGTCCTGTTCCTCCAGCGGTGATGGGAAACAAGAGTCCAAGAGTTCCAGAAGCCAAACCTGGGGCTCCCAAAACTGAGTTAAGAAAGACACTGCCTGAAGCTTCTTTCTTTGAATTCTTGCTGCAATGAAAGAACCCCATTGTACCACCGTCTAGCAGCTCCTCCCCAGAACAATCTCCCTCCCTTCCCAGCACTCTTCATGAGGGGGATGGCTCAGAAAAGGAGGAGGCCAGAACGTCAGGAAGCTCTCCAAGATCAGAAAGAGAAGGCAGCTTCCCTGTCTCTACAATGACTCTCTTCCAATGCCTTCTGGGGAGCTTGCTCTGCTGCAGTTAGGGCACCAATCCCAGTACAAACAAAAATAAATGTATCAAGGAGGCATTCACAGGACAAAAACCACTGCCTCAGACAAATCTTCAGATAACAAAGAATAAATAAATACTCACTTTGGGGACCATCTGAGTCACCTACTGTCCTTGGCTTCAAGCACATTTAAACTGACTGGGCATCAAACCAATGGTGGAAGCCCGCACCTGTCTGCTGTCATGGGGAGTCCATACACTCACTCTGTGTGCCCTGGAGGAGTGCTTCACTGCTGAAATCACCTTAATCCATTTAAGCTACAGGGCAGAGTCATCATTCAGCCAGCCCGGTGCTGGGCCCATATCTGGGTTGACAGCAATCAGTTTGTCCTGGTAGCCAGCGACGGTCTATACAGTGAAACATGGCTTCCGGAGCCAGGGTGCATTTTTGCAAGACTGGTAAAGGAAGTAAGCTGCCTGTGGGTGCCGTATTCCCATTCCTCTTTGAGTTCAATACATTTCCAAGCACACTGCCCTCTCAGAATAAAGAATCCAGGGTCTGAACCTCTTCCCAATGTCCTTTTTACCTTTTATTCTACAAAAGCCATGAGGTAAATCCTGGCCTATATTGGATCCAATAAATTAGAAGAGTAACTTCATCCAAAGAAAGGATTCTCTCATCTTGGTGGAATAGGAATTGGGTAAATTATTAGGGGCAGGGGATGTGCTTGACCTTCTCAAATTGCATACATGAGCAGAGGGATTCTCAGGGGGTAGCTGATGTCTTTAACAAGGCAGTTCATTGAGGCAGTTTATGGAACCAAGGAACTCTTGCCTGCCTATACACTTGGTGATCTAAAAACCTGGGAAAAGCACAGTTGAGAATTGGGCAGCAGGCTGTGAAAATTTGGGAACAGTCCTTAAAATGGGCCTCTTCAGGTGGCTAAACATGTACAACTCAAACTGTCACTGGGACTTGCTGGCTTTCCTCCAAAATACTAAAAGAGCTATATCCAAGGGGAAGGTAAATGGATGGCTAACATGAGATGGGAGTTAAGATTTACATGGAAGACGAAGCAACTGATTCACTCAACACATCTACCCATCCACCCAGCCAACCCTCCATCCATCTACCCATCCATCCATCCATCCATTGAAAGACTTATTCATCTATCCATCCAAAAACCTATCCATCCAAAACCCATCCACCCATCCATCCATCCATCCATCCATCCATCCATCCATCCACCCACCCATTCATCCATCCAAAAACATATCCATCCATCCAAACACCCATCCATTCATCCATCCATATATCCCTCATCTGTTCATCTCATTCTTCTAGCCATCCCAAACCCATCCATTCAAAAACTCATCCATCCATCCACCCATCCATCCAACCAAAAACCCATCCATCCAACCAAAAACCCATCCATCCAACCAAAAACCCATCCATCCATCCATCCATTCAAAAATTCATCCATTCAAAAATGTATCCATCCATCCAAAAATCCATCCATCCATCCATCCATCCAAAAATGTATCCATCCATCCAAAAATCCATCCATCCATCCATCCACCCAAAAACGTACCCATCCATCCAAAAATCCATCCATCCGCCCACCCACCCATCAACAACCCAAAAACCCATCCTTTCATCCAATATGTATTAGACACTAATTATATACTCCAGATGCTTTAGGGTTAGGAATAAGTAAACAAAGTAAATAGCTCAGAATTACAGGCTATACTTTTATGTACTCAAGGTGGCCTTGGTTAAACACAGAGCACAAGGGCATTAGAGAATCATACATCTGCACAAATGTCTTAGCTCGATATTCAAAGCCCAGGTTAACCAAGCCCCACTTTACCTTCTATGTTTTATTGTCCACTGCCCCCTCCACACACAGAGATGCTAGTCTTCCCTGATAACTTTCCTTTGATCTTGCCTTGATTGATGCTGTTTCTTCCATTTTACATATCATGCTTGGTCTTTTCACATTCCCCTCCCTGTCCTCCAAGGTCCTGCTCATTCCATGTCCCCCAGGAAGTCCTTTCTCACCTGTCTCATTGAAAGTGATCTCTTTAATTTCTGTGATGAGACAATGAATGGAAAAGTCCCCTCTAAACTCTAAAGCCTACAGAAATATAAGAAATTATCAGCATCATTGTATATCTCTTCTGGCATTTATCTCTTGTAGTTTTAGAGTCGCTGATCCTGTGCATAAATTCTCTTTCCATATACACTACAGGAGCATTTCTTACCTCTGTGCCCTTTGCATGGCCTGGCATGACAACTGTACTCAGTAACTTCTGGTCCAATTCTTTTAGTTTGGATGGCGCTGCTTAGGCTAAGAACCAACAAAGACCAAGGGTCACTTCAGGTAGAAGTTTCCACCACCTTCCTCAACGGCTCTCGAATGCTGGGCTGAGAAGTCCCACGTGCTCTCTGACTTCCCATGCATCTCTTCATTCCTCATTCCCACGTCACAGAACAGAGACACTCCAGTAAGAACCAGGGCCACCAGGGTATCTCAGTTCTGGCGAAGTTCCTCATCTTATGACCACAAGGAAAACTTGGAGAGAAGATGTTCCCAGTGACCTCAGAAAAGTTTAGCCCTACCCTTTCTGCACTGAGCACCTGCATGGTAGCCACCATGACTAAGTGACCTTCTTAAGGTCTGTAGCACTGCCTGCATTGAGCCAGGACTGATCCAGCATTCAGCCAGCATTGACACAGTATTCAGCCAACACTCAGCGAATTCTCATCCAGGACTCAGCCAGCACTTAGCCAACACTCAGCTAGCACTCAGCCAGCACTGACCCAACACTCACCTAGCACTCAGCCAGGACTCAGCCAGCCCTGACCCAGCACTCAGCCAGCGGCACTCAGTCAGCACTTAGCCAGTACTCAGCACTCACTCAGCACTCAACAAGCACTCACTCAGTATTGACCCAGCTCTCAGTTAACATGCACCCAGGCCTCACTAGTGTGCATGTGAACACTGTTTGGATGGACAGTGAAAAAATCATTCTAGCCTGCTTGAAGGAACAAAGGTAATGGTCAAATGTTTCAATTTTTAAATAATTTTGACTGACATATACATGCCTACAGATTTCAACCTCATGTCTATATATTAAAACAGCTTTTCTCCAACCAATATATAATCTATTGACTGGTTGGCATCACAATATATGTTTCCTCTTAAGTATCCCATCTCACATTTTTATATTGACACTTATATAGTCTGAGTTGGGTGTTTCTTATGCTAGATCAGGAACCCTTAACACCTTACCATCCATCACAAGGAAGAGAGACAGAAAAGAGAGAGAGAAAAGAAACAATATAATAATGAGAACAGCACTCTCACTAACTGGTTCATGCCTTGCTTGCCTTCTTGTGGAGAATAATTTTGTAGTATATATCAAAATTGAAAATATCTACACTCTGACCCAGATAGCAATCTTTACTACAAAAACATTCATACATCATACATAGCCCCTCAACAATAACAAAAAAACCCCTCTATGATTAAGGGTGTTCTCATCAGTATTTCTTAGAATACCAAAGAAGTGAATAAACAAACTAAAGTATACCCATATCATGAAATACTATGCAGCAACTCACAAGGACGATAAGACAGAGATACCAGTGTCAGAGAAGATACGGAACACTGGAACTTTCCAGTACCAACTGTTACAACCATTTTGAAAATCTGTTTGTCAGTATCTACGAAAGCTACACTTACACATACTCTGTGTGACCTGGCAATTCTATTCCTAGATCTAGACCCATTAGATGTGCATATGTATTTCATCAAAAGACCTGTACGCTGATATCCTTTGATACGCTATTCACAACAGCAAAGCAACTGGAAAGGATTCAAATGTCTACCACCAGTAGAGTGAATAAATACACAGTGTCCTGTCCACATGCTAGAGTGCCATGCCACAGACAAAATCAACTGTTATTCAAAACAACATGGGAGGATCACAGCAACAAAATATTTTATGAATTCATTTATGTAAATTTCAAAATCAGGCAAAGCTCACCTGTGGTGTTAAAAGTCAGGACAGCAGTTACCCTTTGGAGGTGGTGGCTGGGGAAGGGCTGTGGAAATCCTGGAACACGAAATGTTCTGCCTCTGGACCTGGGCCCTGGAGGCACAGGTGTGTTCACCTGGGGAAAATTCCACCTACACTTATATTCGTATGCTGGCCTTTTTGTATGTTATTCTGCATAAAAAGGTTCTTTAATAATAATTTCAACTTTGGGGTTCAGGGGGTACAGGTACAGGTTTATTACATGGCCATATTGTGTGATGCTGAGGTTTGGGCTATGATGGATCCCATCACCCCAGTAGTGAGCATGATATCTAACAGGTGGTTTTTCAGCCCTTGCCCCTCGCTTTCCCCCACTCCCATCTAGTAGGCCCCAGTGTCCACTGTTCCCATCTTTATGGCCATGTGTACCCAACTGCTTACAAAGTTTAAAAATAATGATAATTCTCTAATTTCTCATATGAGGAGATCTCTAAGACATAGCAGAAGGTAGGAAAAGAAAATAAGTCTCACAAACACAAACATGGGTCTCTGTTTTCTGAGCAAGTTTGTGTGTGTGTGATTGTATGTGGGCACCCAGTGAAATAATCCTGGCCTGGATATTAGCAGCTGTCCTGCAGATGGAGGAGGCAGATACTGTTGTGGGGAATGGCATGGAGAGAGGAAGGGGAGGAAACGGGTGCCCTTCTGCACCGTCTGGAATGTTCACAAGCACACCTTCATGAAGTGCTGGAAGTGCTGTGAATTTTTTTTTTTTTTTTTTTTTTTTGAGACGAAGTTTTGCTCTTGTTGCCCAGGCTGGAGTCCAGTGGTGTGATCTCGGCTCACTGCAACCTCTGCCTCCCGGGTTCAAGCGATTCTCCTGCCTCAGCCTCCCGAGTAGCTGGGATTAAAGGTGCCCGCCACCATGCCTGGCTAATTTTTTGTATTTTTAGTAGAGACAGGGTTTCACCATGTTAGCCAGGCTGGTCTTAAACTCCTGACCTCAGGTGATCTGCCCGCCTCAGCCTCCCAAAGTGCTGGGATTACAGGCGTGGGCCACCTTGCCCAGTTAGTACTGTGTCATTTTGAAAGTTATAAAGGAATTTTTATTTGTAGCATGCACCTCCTGTGTGTCAGGCTCTATACTGGGCACCGTCAGCCTAGAAGACACAGTGCCTGGTCCCAGGGAGTGGGCATTTGGGGCTGCATGCCTGGGAGTCAGTGGAGAGTGGGTTCTGGCACTGGGGGTCAGTCACAAAGGAACAGGGGCCTCAGGTGCCAGCTCCACAGAATGCCAAAGGGCCTGGGACAGCTCTCCAGCCTCTCACCTTTGCTCTCTTCCGTGGCAGCATTCTCAGCATTCTAGGTGAAAGTGTCACCCACAGTGACAACAAACTATGGGAAAACAGAGACATAGGCAAACTATGTGCTGCAGTCCTAATTTTGACCTCAGTGGGAGCGGGAGGTGGGAGGCTGGAAGGGTGTTGGGAAATACCCAAAGCATCCAGGGGGCATAGCACCCCTAACCACAGGCAGGGTCTTGTCCCCCATTGTGGGAATCAGCGGGTTTCAGGTCTGTCCCTTCCTTTCAGGTTCAGGCTTGTTGTTCGAGGCCAACTGCCTCCTCCACTGGGCACAGTTCTCAGCTCCCCGCATCCCCTCAGAGGATCCCTCCTGCGGATCACGTCGCCAGCATTCCCAGGTCCCTGTGGTGGACTACTCGGGGTAGGCGTCTGTGTGGCAGGCAGGACAATGGAGACAGATGTGCAGTGAGACCTCTCTGGGCCCCACCCTTCTGCTGTGAAGACTGAATAAGATAACTACCAAGAGTAAGGGTAGCTTATTCCCTTCCTGTCTCTTTTTTTTGCCCATTCCTAAGAACTGCAGAAAGTTCTACAACCTCGATTTTCTAATTTTTTATTTTTTTTAAGAGACAAGGTCTTGTTCCATTGCCCACGCAGGAGTACTGTGGTGTGATCATGGCTCACCTGCAGCCTTGAACTGATCCTCGTGCCTCAGCCTCCCAAGTAGCTGGGACTACAGGTGCACACCACCACGCCTAGCTGATTTTTAATATTTTTTTTGTAGAGTCAGGGTCTAGCTATGTTGCCCAGGCTGGTCTTGAACTCCTGGCCTTCAACTCCTCAGCCCCTCAAAGCAGTGGGATTACAGGCATGAGGTGATGCACTTGGCCTGAACTTTCTGCTTCTAATGCAAGTGCTCTAGAAACACACAGGCTTGGAGAGGACACTCAAAATAAACCAGGATAGGTACAACCCCCACCCATTTCAGCTGCCACTTGCTTCCCTGGCCATCCCTGCCCTAATGCGTACTCACAGGTCCAGTGGTTATGCTCCTAAAACCCAGCTGTGAAATGCTCACCCTCTGCAGAGAGACCTGCTACTGGATCAGCAGACATTTCCTGAGAAAGGGTCAGTGGGCCACCACCTCGGGCGCAGGGATAGAGCTGTATGGAGCTCCTGCGGCCTCCTAGGTCACCTGTCACTCCTCAGGAGGTGCTCACGGACCTGTGAGATTTGTGTCTCTTGGCTTCCCTTGCACCCAGGGAAGGCCACTCTAGGGCTGCTCATGTGACCAGGAGCATTTCACCTCCCACAACCCAGCTGATGTGTCACATGACCAAGAGCTTTGCTGTCCCCGCCATCCAAAGCCCATTCTTCTCACCTCTGCATCCCCATAGCCCTGCAGAAACCCTACAGCTAGGCAGTCCCTTTTTCCCAGTGGGCTGGGTAGGCAAGGGGGTCCCAGCCCTCCCCATACAGAGCAGAGGGAGGGCTCTGCACAAGCCAGATACTCAGTCAATTTCTTTGAATTAAATCAAACTTTTAAATTAAAAGTTGACCCCATAGAAGAGCCGACTTCATGCTTGTTCTTTTTGTTTGTTTGTTTTGTTCCATTTCCTTGAGACACTTCGGCACCAAGCAGCATTTCCGTAAAGAATTAAAAGCCCAGAACCAATTGTGGATGCACAGAAGCCTCCCATCTACCTGCAGCAGTACTGTCTGGGAACGGTCCTGGCCCATTTTGTGGGGCCTTGCACTCCTGGGGGTACCTTCTGCACATGATCGCTGCCCAGCTATAAACCAGCCCGAGAAGGAGCGAGAGCCGTCCATGGGCTCCATGTCATGGATGAAGAGACTGACGCTTAGAGAGACAGAGAATAGGGGATGAGGACACAGAACGAGGACTGGAATTGGGAAAAAAAAGCAGCCAGGGCTTTTACTGCTGGATCTCACTGCCTGTCTCCAGAATACACGTTTAAAATGTACTACTTAAGAGTGAAGAAACCGAGAGAAGGTCTCCTGATTCTTTAAAAGCGTGACACACAGCTGGGCACGGTGGCTCATGCCTATAATCCCAGCACTCTGGGAGGCCGAGGTGGGTGGACCACCTGAGGTTAGGAGTTCGAGTCCAGCCTGGCCAACATGGAGAAACCCTGTCTCTACTAAAGGTACGAAAATTAGCCGGGCGTGGTAGCGGGCGCCTGTAGTCCCAGCTACTGGGGAGGCTAAGGCAGGAGAATTGCTTGAGCCCCAAGGGCGGAGGTTGCAGTAAGCCGGGATTTCACCACTGCACTCCAGCCTGGGTGACAGGGCGAGACTCCATCTCAAAAAAAAGTGTGACACACAACCGCATGGCGACTCTCTCTGACCGGAAAGGACAGTAGGCTGGAGTCCGGCCACGCCACCTTGGCAAGGTGTGCTTGGTGAGTCTGTTCATCTCTCAGCCTCAGTCTCCCCACTTGAAAAATGGGACAATATCATCACCTCCCTTGGAGGGCACGGGGAGACACAAACTATGCAAGGTAGATAAAGCAAGAAATGTCACACGTGTAGCAAGGGTGCCCAGAACCCTCTGCTGGTCGCAATTGTGGGATGCGGGTGTTTTTCTTCTTGATCAAGAGGGAAAGTCATTTTTATTTAATCTGAAAATACAAATAGAAGGGCCGCTTTCTGGATGTAGCAAAGCCTGAAAGTCCATGAACACCCTGTGACAAGGTTATGGGGTGCAGGGGAGAAGTCGGGCCCTGGGTCAGCATCCCTTGACCATCATGGATTAATCTGCCTGTGCTCCAAAGGTCCCCGTGTCCACACATAGCAAGGGGGCTCAAACGCTGCCTTACAGCTGTAAGACTCCTACTGTGCAAAGTTCTCAGGACCAAAAAGAAAAATTACTTCGGGGGTCTCTCACTGACTGGGTCCGGGACCCAAGTCTCTGAGGCTCAGGGCAGCCCTCTCTGTTGGCAGCCTCTTGGAGGGGACAGTAGGAACACTGTATCATCGCCACTGTGAACACAGAATGTCACATGAGCAAAGACACTTGTCAAATGCCTTTCCTTTACACGCACCCTCACCATGACCTGTGTTAATGAAGTTAATTGAATTTAAGATCAATAATGGTTAATTATTGCAATTTGACATTCAGAGATAAATGGCTTTAAGACAGAGAAGTATGTGTGTATGTGTGAGCACGCGAGAGAGTGTGTGTGTGTGTGTGAATTCTCTCCAAAGAAGGTGAATGCATTACAAGCCTAAGAGGGATCCCACAAGCCTTCCATTGATTCTGGTACATTGTGATCGACTTCATCCTCTGATAAATGTGGGCTTTTCAGAGCTACAGGTAAATGTTCTACGAGACTACTCTAACCCTTGTCACTGGCCAAATCTATACGTGCTGTACACCAGAAATCTATTGAGATAGATTAAAGAACTGCTGTAGAAACAAGAGCAGCTTCAATAAAGGTGAAGGTTTATTATATTGACTATTAATGTAACTTAACTGTATGCAGTTATGAATGCTTATAGATCAGGGCAGTTTAATTTGGGGCAGTTGGATATGATTATAATTGAACACAAATTTTTTTTATATCACCATAGATGAACTCAATTCAATGTGGACAAAAAGAAAAAACCAACCTAGCTTGGAAAGTAGCTAGGTTATAACCAAAGGGTGAATTCCTAGGGAGGGATGGCCCCAGGAGAGCTGGCCCAGGTCCAGGCCTCTCTAACGATGCACTCGCCGCACCACCTCCTGCTCCAGGTCCCACAGCGTGCATGGAGCTGACGCCCCAGCAGTCTACAGTGGCCCCACAAGCCTGGGGTCAGGGCTGCTAAGTGGCTCCTCTGATTTGATCCAAATTGGTAAGAAGTTTAATTTTCAGGAGAGATTCTCGGTAGGAAGTCACAGCCCCAAATGCATTAATAATGACACTCCTCCATCCACCCAGAACCAGCTAGATGACCACTTACAAGATTGATAATGACAAAGTAAATGTTGTCAGGAAGAAAGTCCTACTGATTGCGGAGCACTGACAATACCGTGCGCCTGAGGAGTTCTGTCAAAATGTAAGATTATGCAAAAACACCGTTGAGAACACTGCTAATCATCTGCTTGTGTCAATTACTTGAAGGGTCTCTGACAGCATATTTACATTAAACACATTTCAGGAGCAAAATCCTTAATGCTATATCAGAATATTTTTCATTACCATTAGCAAATCTTTAAAAATCGTTTTTTCCCCCCTCGGCTACAATAGGAGTGATGGTGAGACAGGGAAGGCTGGGTGGGGGCCTATGTGGGTGGAGTGGATTGCGGGGGATTTCAGTTCATCCCTCTGCAAAGAAGCGGGTGGTGCAGACTCAGAGATGGGGCATCCCCACCACGTCTCCCTCTCAGGGCAGATGACAGGGCCCTCTCTCATCCCAAACACCTTCCAAGCCCAGTGAACAGCAGCATTGGTTTTCTTCCTGTTGGTGTAGCCAGCCCCACACATCTAATGCCAGGCTATTTAACAGAGCAAATGACAGGTGTACAGAGGCAATTATTGAAATTAAAACTTAGATGACATCTGCTGGGGCTGTGCACTCAAACACCTCGCCCTGGTCACGCCGTCTTGTCCACAATTATGGCAACATGGACATAACCAAAATAAACAGCCCAGGGCCTGCAGTGGCTGGGCTGCCTGAGACATGCCTGCGGGAAGGCACTGGCCCTGTGCTGGGCATCGTCATAGAGCAGGAGACACCCCGGCAAAGGGATTCCGCAAGGTCCACCCTCAGGCCTCCCATGGCAGGTCAGAGAGGGTCGGGTCAGAAGGTGTCTGAGGTGCTTGGAAAAATACATCCGGATTTTTCCGGACATGTTTGCCAGACATGACAATCATACTTACCATGGTGATGATGGCAGCCAGCATGCTTCGATTTTTAAAATGTTTGAGCACTCTGCTGTACGTTTTACCTATGCTGCCTTTGGTAAGGCACACCAAAGGCCCCTCATACCCACCCCATGAGGTCCACAGGTGGAGACACTGTGTCCCAGATACACGTCTGATGAAGTGGAAAACCGGCATTTGAACTCAGGTCCCTAGGCGCCTGTTACATTCCACACCCTGGACATCTTAGTTCTAATGCTTGTGAGCTGGCCCTCCAAGATCCCAGCCCAGTCAGCACCTGAAGACATTCCTTACACTCAGAAACGCAGGCAAAGGGGCCCTTACATAAAGTTTGTAAAGCCCCAGCACCACCTTAATGTGGCAAAAGAGAGAGCCATGGTGCTGAGCCATCTGAGACTGCCACTCACAGGGCCTCTCCAGGTCTAGGGTGCACAGGAGTGACCCCTCAGTGCATGAGCTGCTGCCAACACTTCCCAAGGGCTCAGAGGCCCGGAGCTGACCCTCCGCCCTTGTGATCCGTGCCCTGGAAACATAGAGCCACAGACTCTGCCCATGTCCAGGAAGAAAGACAGCACGGTGTGTGAATGGGACATAAGACTCCACATCATCTCCAACCTACTCAATAAGAAATGCACCATACATGCAAAATCAGAAAGTACTCACACCTGTTCATAAGTGGCCAGCCCAAGGAATCCAGTACTTGTGGTCATTTTAGAAATCTGTGTAAGTTACATGAAAATTTAAAGCAAAATGCATTTCTTTTAAGAAATTCTATATTCTGAAAGTTTTGTTTTCTAAAATCTGTCTCTTGCCATTCCAAACATACAGACATTTCCTCAACTGACCTTTATAAGTGTGCTTTTACTTTTACCTTAAAATACTTAAAAACTACACACATACAAAAATAGATATGTCTATATATAAACACACACATATATATGCATTTTTCCTATCAGAGTGTGTAGGTTAAAAAATAATGCAAAGATGCCACATTCATCCTCAAATTGCACTTCCATATGGGAAGTGAGATGTATACTGAGGAGACCACAGTTCAAAACAGGAGCATCTGGAAGCCAAAGGGTCTAGCTCAATAAGGCCAAAATTTAGGGTGGATTCAGCATGGCCCATTGCTTGCTTGGTGGAAATAAGATGTCACAGGTAAACAACGTGGCTTGAGTTCATCTTTAGTTTTAATCTAGATTACATGTACATGTATGTGTAAACATATACACATCCTTATGCTTATCCATAAATGCATAAACACACGCCCATCCACATATGCACAAATGGACCTCTGAATGAATCTGATAGCCCTACAGAGTCATCTTTCAAATACGTTTGAACAAACAACTCCAAACAAAGCTACACCAAATGAATGAATATACTGGGCAAAGGTGGCCCAGGCTAATGGGTGGGGTTGACAACATCAGATTCCTAACAGCCAAGCCTTCACTCCGGCAAATCGCCCCCCATCTCTCTGGGAAGAGACTGAAGATGGTGGAGCTGCTGACCCGCAGGCCTGAGTGTTGTAAAGGGACCTTTCTCCACTACGCTAAGGAATACGCCCGGGTCTGCACTGCGACATTGGTCGTGCTGCAACACAGGACAGAGACGGCAGCCTCTGAGATGGCATAGACCTGGCTCACCGGAGACGCACTTGGTCCACATAGGCACCCACAGTCACCAAGGTGGAGGGCTCAGCTCATGATGGCATGGACCACTTGACCTGCACGGGGCCTGCACAGGGCCCATCTGGCACCTGACCATCTCGGTGGGGTGGCTGAGTGGACGGAATCACTCAAGCATGAGGCACAGAATCACTCAGGAGTCTGGTGGGTGCTGGTACAGGCTCTCATGCCCCGACCCCGCCCCATCTTCCTCTCTCCTCTGTTGGCATTTCTTCCCAGCAAGGTGTCAAGGCCTCACAGGCCAGATTTCTAAAACCCCAAAGCCCACAAGTGACAAAGGGCACTGGCAAAAAGATGGCACCCGCTGGCTGCACTGTCATGGGATGAGCCATCGGCTGGTGCCAGCAGAAGCACATGGGTCTCAGAAAGACGGATTTTTTTGCAAAGATTTTATTTTATTCAAAATAAATGCTAGCTACCATTTGGTGACATGGATCCTGACTAGGGCCAAGTGCTATTCCAGGGCCTTCCCAGCACTAACCCACACACCCTCCACAAGGACTTCATGAAGTCCTCACTCTTTTTTTTATTTTCATTTTTTTTTTTTGAGATGGAGTCTTGCTCTGTCATCCAGCCTGGAGTGCAATAGTGCCATCTTGGCTCACTGCAACCTCCGCCTCCCGGGTTCAAGTGATTGTTTTGCCTCAGCCTCCTGAGTAGCTGGGATTACAGGCGCGCACCACCACGCCCAGCTAATTTTTGTATTTTTAGTAGAGACGGGGTTTCACCATGTTGGTCAAGCTGGTCTCGAACTTCTGACCTCGTGATCTGCCTGCCTCGGCCTCCCAAAGTGTTGGGATTACAGGCTTGAGTCACGGCGCCCAGTCCGAAGTGCTCACTCTTACAATTTGCCTTTCACAGTTGAGGACTCTCAGAAACTTGCTCAAGGGGACTGGGCAAGCAGGGCCAGGACTGAGGCCTCACTGTATGCCTGTGGCCCCCACACCCATAACTCTTCCTCTCCACCTTTCTGGGGGCCCTGCCTCTCCCTCTGCATCTTCAGCTGTTTAGAAAAAGAATCTCCCTTCCCCAAACTGTCAAACTGGGACCATAACAACAACAACAACAAAAAATTAATCTTGAGTTTTTAAAATATCAAAACCTGAAAATGTATAATTAAATTAATCATCATAAATTACTTTTTAGCACCGAGAGTTGGATTTATAGTATCATTTCCAAACCTCTCTGTGAGATTTAAATATTTTATAGCATATGTGAGTTAGAGGGAAAAGTGTCTGAGGGCTTAAATATTGCTGCAGAGCAGTAGACTTTGACAAAAACTATAGCACAACTGTTTCTAAGGTAGTTTGTAAAAATTATTTATTTCCATACCAGTTAATTATGATGGGAGTCTTTGTTGAATGCACAAGCATTAAAAAAGTGCTGATATTTTATGCATCTTTAACTGGAGCGCGATTCCCCGCAGCGCACTGGTAACTCCTTGACATTTAGCATTCACTCACAGCAACTGTAATAAGGGGTTTGATTGCTTCCTTTGCAGACGCAGTAATTTAATAACTGTGATCAGTTGCATAAATTTACTATACAACCATCTTAAGTTAGCCACATTAAAATTAAGCAAAATTGTAATCTGTTGACAGATTATTGCTACTGAACAATTCTACTAAAAGCATTTCAGATTAGCAAGTGCCACGAGCATTTGTGTTTTATAAGCTTGTAAAAAAATACGGCAGCTTCCTCTTTCCACATCCCCATCTCCAGCCACCCCCTCTCCTGCCACCCCCTCCACACACACACCACAAATCTGACTATTAGGCAATTTCATGAAATTCTGTGCTTTCTGTTAAATCACCTCTGAACTGTTGATTTCGTTATTTGAAATGTGTGTGGTGAATTCTGCTGTCTGGAAAGGAAAAAAAAAAAAAGCCGCGTGTCAGTTTCTTCTTTCTTTCTTCCCAGTAATTTCCTTTATGCAACTTTACATCCATTGCCTTTGAAGGGACAGGAAACCTCCTAGCATGGACCTCTTCTGAATAAAATGATCAGTTCCCCAGAGCAAAGGAAAAGCACTAATTTCATACCTTAGATGGAGAAAGGTAAAAGGTGCCCGGCTCCCTCTGAGTGAGATCCCTGCAGCAGGCATCCTTAATTAAGGAGACAACAGAGAAGCCTTCTTGCTTAGTTGCTAAAGAACCCCTTATGGAGTTTGTGGATAGAAAGAGAAGAGGGCACAAGTTCCACAGGCAGGCTTTACCTAGAGCATGGTGATAAAGAGAGGAAAACAGCGCCCCTGCCCACTCTGTTTAGAGCAAAATGGGACCCGCATCTCCTGCCTGGTGCCCTGTGAGTTGACTTTTCAGAGCAATGTTTAGCCAAGCAGGCAAGTCAGGAATAACTGTTTCTGATACTTCCCAGCAAATATCTTTAACCATCTGTTTACACTTGCCAAATATGCTTCCAAGTTTCCAATTTTATCAGTATATAAAAAGAATATCTGTTTTTAAAAAAAATCGTAAATATCTTGTGATGCATCTTTACATAATTCAAGAGAAATTAAAAAAAAATTTCACTTGAAAGCCAGCATGATCACAGATTTGTTTAAACTTTCATTTACATAGAAGTTTGGGGTGGGAGCCACAAAAAGGGGGTAGGCGCTTTTTTGGAATGGTCAAATGTCAAAGTTGAGTGCCAGGCGGGGAGTGACGCACAGGTGTGCCCTCCCCACGAGACGACGGCACACCCACCGTGTGCGCTCATTCCCGGGGTGGCCTTGCATATGCAGCCTGTCACTTCAGATGGAGTTGCGGGGCCTCTCCCAGACAGGTGACGCGGCGGGCTGGGCTGCGAGCTTCCTTCGGAGCGAGGACCACTACTGAGTGTGACAAATTGGATGGGACTTCACTACCAAATTTCCTGCCAAGAGGCCTAACAGTCAAATGTCTATCTTCTTCTCATCACCAAGAAGTGATGCTACGACTTTGACATAGTGTCTCCGTTACTTAAAGATACAGTTAATGCAAAGTGATCGCAAAACGTGAGGTCTGTAAAACTTTTAAGAGCCAAGCAAAGGCGGCTTCCATCATTGGCTCTTTTATCTTGAGAGGGCACACGTGCACGTGCGTGGGTGCGCATGTGCACTCATGCATGGGCGTGTGTGCGTATGTATGCGTGTGTGTGTATGTGTGTGTGTAAAACCAGAATTCCTACCAGGCAGCACAGAACCTGGGTCTCTGCCATTGCCACCATTACCTGCCATTTTTTATAACATAATACACTGGAGATACCCTGGGCTAGGTTTGTTTGCTTCTAATTATAACTAATTATGCTTCTAAATATGTTCTTTAGGGTTACACGTGTATAAAAATGGAGGTAGGAAGAAAGAAAATGAATCAGGATTATTAAAAGAAAGAGAAACATACTAATTAGTTAGCTAGTATACTCATTTCAATGTTTAATAATATTTTTTAACATTCCAGCATACGCCGCAGAATTAAAAATTACCACAGCACCACCTGTGCGTCCCCTGGGACATGAAGATTTAGAGTTCTCTCCTGCAGACTTGGAGTCCTCCTTTCTAAATATTTCTTTGACTATTTCTTTGTATTCCACCTCATTCCACCCCCACAAATTAGAAGCCAAAAAAAAAAAGATAGTAAATTTTGTTCCCCACCAAAGCCTTGTAAATAACATCTCTACAAAGCCCAACTTAATTACATAACTCAAGTGCTTGAGGAAAAAAAAATGCATCTATTCCCATAATTTTGGAAGCTGCCTCTACCCGTTTCTATATGTGCAGACTGCACTGGCTGTGTAAAAAGCCAAGTGCCCGCCCTGTTCTCTCAGCCTGGGTAGGAAAGAGTGCCATTGTACCCCTTCATTTTTTTTTTCCATCTGCTTAGTGCTCCCCCTCCCCATGTTCTGGGAAGGTTCTGGGCTTTGTGTGGCCTACGATGGGGCCAACTGCATATGGCTGGGGAGACGGGAAGATGGAGCGGAGCTGAGAGTGTCAAGAAATGCAGGAGTGATGACATGAGGCCCGAACCACCCTCTCACCTGGAAACAGCCCCACCTCCTCCACCTGAGCAGCACGCGGCACGGGGCTGGTGTTCCATTAGGACCCCACAAATAAAACCGCGTGATGAATGGCAAAGCCAAGGGTGCCCCCCAAGCCTCTTGGGCTGGCTTTCCTCAAACTCCACTTCTGATTGTGGGTCAGTCGTACACAAACAAAGCCTTAACAGAAATGTTACCGAGGAAATAATAGCCATTTCCAATGATAATACACAATTTTAGCACTGACGCTTGGCTGATTTAGGTGTTCGGCCAATGTGTCAAGCAGCCTGCCTTCCTTAGGCGGGCCTTTAATGGGTAACTGGCAGGCTCTGGCAGCCTTATTTCTGTTTTAGATTTGGTTTGTCATTGGGTATCCATTACCTGCCATTCATCTTTGATCTCTTTGGACAGGCCTGATCAAAAGATGTCATTTGACCTACTCCACTTGGCAGAAACTTGTATGACTCTCATAAAGGGGCCACCCCAGCTATAAATAAAATGACATTATTATTTTTCTGTCCTATCATGTAGAAGAGACAATTATGATAATGCAGTGTCTGTCATCGGGAGCCCAGCAAATTGCTAGCTCTCACGCAACTGTTTAGCTTTCTTATTTGTTTTTTGTCTGTTTTCCTCCATTTCAAGTTGAAAATAAAGCAGAATTGAAATCCCTAATGTTCTGCCTCCCACTCCAACAGTCTCGGGGCTGCTTCCCATGGCAGTGACGTGCAGGTGTGGCCAGCAGCTTGTGTTTGTCAATGGTAGGTGGTGGCTATGGCTGTGCTCGCCAGGCATGAACAATGGGATCAAGTTTGTCCTTCATTTAATGTTTGGAAAACAAGCTAATCTCTGAAATTAGAACTGAGAGATATTACTGCAAATAGATAAAAATCATGGCAAGGGTTTATTGTGTCCTTAATCAAGTCATAATAAGGGAAAATGCGCTGGAACATTCCCCCGACAGGCAAAATAGAGACAGCTCCGGTGTCATCGCCAGGGAGCCCACAGCTTGGGGACACAAGGGTCCAATTGTTTGTCATCGTCTCCAGCGTGGACCACCACTAAGGGCTCCATTTCTAGGAGACTGGCTCTCGATCCTTTTTGGAAATGGAGGTTTCGGAGCTCTGGGGTTTGCTTCCTTCCCAGGTGTTTTAGGCTCCACAGGTACACAGGGGTAGTGTGAAGAGACTAGGGCAGCACGTTCTCCACCCACCACGTGCTGAGAACCTCCACCCAATTGATGCTCTTGTCTGGAAAGAGAGAAAAACAGGGACACACCGTCTAAGACCCCTGCTGAAATCCTGGCTGTGTCTGCTCAGATTCAGATCATCCTAGAGATAAGGAAGTGACTCCTACAGATGGGCTTCATTTGAAATGAGAGAAAATGAGGCCCCAAACAGAGGAAAGGACTGACCAGAGGCACCACGAGGCGTTCATAACAGAGCTGAGACCAGATTCCACGCCGCCTAACTTTTTGGTGGGGCCCACTCGCCATGACAGGCCACCAGCCTGCCGTCCTCCCCAAGGCCGGCCCAGGAGCTCAGTCTTCTGTGAGCCAGTGACCACCGTGCTGTTGGCCCCCAGGGCCTGCCTACAATGCCCAGCTGCCTCTGCAACATGGGCTGCCTTGAGCTTTGCTTGGTGTGAAGATGCACACCGTGGTGTTGCCCGCCACCCCTTGCAGACACAATGCCGGAAGGCATCGCTTTGTACGGGGCCCTGGGTTCAGGACTTGGGGGTCCCTATGGTCTCTCAGTGCTGCCATTTACCCACAGGATATGGGCTAACCCACCAGGGTGCGTGATGTAAGAGGGTAGGTGGTAAAAGGACAGAAGGATGAAAGAGAGAGAGGGAGTAGATTCGGAATTCCTTGCCTGAAGGAGGAACATGGCCTCTAGCAGGCGTAGATGGGTGGAGCCATATCTTCTGCAAAAAAAAAAGGACAAAATACTCTACAGGCGCAGGAACCCAAGCCAGGGCAAGTCAATCCCCGCATGGAATGGAGACATCAGCATTGAGGCTCTCTCAGTATAACATATGACACTCATTTGAGGAAGAACACATTCTCGGCATTGGGAACCATCAAGTCAGCAAGAACAAATATTCCAGATTAGCACAGGGGTCAAGAAAGGCCTGGAAACAGGCCCCGAACTAAGAAACCAAGGTAGGTAAATGAAACGTGCGGATAAAGCATGGTACTTTAGTCATCCAAACTTGCAAAGCATTAAATAATGTGGCGCAAAGAGGAATGACGGCTCCTAAGACTGTTGCAGGAATATTATTCCCTGAAGACTCAGCTGGGGCATCTCCACTTTCAGGAAGCTGTCGCCAGCTTTCTTTCACCCCCTGGGATGGCCACGGCATCCCTCTCCATGTTCCCATCCTGCTCACGGTCATTTCCATCATGGTACCCACGTCAGAATTACGTGCATCTGAGTCTCATCCTCCACACTCCAACCCCCTTGAGGACTGCCTGTCTTGGTGTCCCTGGCACCTGCCAGCACTGGCTTGAGCAGGTGCTTAATAAACATCTGCTCAAATTGTTTCAACACATACTCCAGTAGCCTGGTGCCCTCGGAGGAATTTGTGATGATGGGAAAATGCATGCAAGTATGTTTTCCTTCCTTGAGTTTGAGCGACATCTCCTTCCCATCCCTGGAACTGTGGGGCCCATTCATTATGTTGTCATGTTGCCCCATCTGCTAAGCCTCCACTCGGTGTCTCAACCTTCTCATGTCTCTTCCCTACTCTGGTCCCAGGTAATGAGCCTCTTTCCTCCAAGCTGCCTCTCAATGGACCAGAAGTGAAGATGAAGAGTCGAGTGACCCAAAGCAAAGAGTGTGGGGCAGATTAGAGGAGAAAAACCACAGTCTTCCTTCATCTTCCTAGGAAGATGTGAGGGTTTGGGGGCCATTCCACATGCATTTCCTTTTCTTTTTGGTGCAGCACCGATCCTGTGCACTGGTGTCCAGGGTGGTCTGCAAGTATCTGCTGCATGGATGAATGGATGAACTCAGGGACCCACTGCTCAGGAGAGAATCCCTTCCACCTTCTTAAAGGAGATGCAGTTCCACCAATCTATGACAAGCTGGAGGCCACATTCCTCCTTCAGGCACAGAATTCAGAATGAATGCAGGGAAAGGGGTGGGCAGAGTGCGGGCTCTGTGTGATGCATAAGTCACAATGTGAAAGGACACTAGGACCTCACAGGCCTAGGTCCATCTTCTGTTCTGTCCTGAGCCACAGCAGGACTTGAGCAAGCTACAAAACCTCTCTACGTTTCTGGTTCTTCCCTTTAAAATGAGAATGAAAGTCCTCTCTTTTAAGAATTGTTGTTAATGGAATTATGCACATAAAGCACTTAGCACCATGCCTGGCATGTGGCAAGCATTCAGTAAAGAACAGTTATTTTGGGGTTACAGAAATTAGAATTTTCCATCAGCAAGGAAGATTCCTGCAGTGACAAGGCCAGGATCTCTAGGGCGACATTTCAGCCCCTCACTGGGCCCCACCCTTGCAGCTGGAAGGATCATGCAATGTCCAGGAAACTCCTGCCTGTGCCATCAGCTCAGCCTCTTGAGACCAGGAAGGGAGGTGGTGCCACCTGGTAAGGTGGCAGCCAAAAGGCTTTCAGCCACCCAAAATTCTCTCTCCGTCTCAGGCCAAGGGTTTCACCAGTAGCAAGTCAGACAGACTCTGGGCTAAGCACTGCCCTGTTTTAGATACTCTTATAAAAAGCAGATAAACTTCAAGCAAGTTGGGATGGAGGGGTCTGAAGGCTGAAGGGGGTTATTAATCCACCTAACACTTTGGTTGTGGATTTATTCATCAGCACTTCCCCTATAGCCCACTCACCCCCAACAAATCCTAGGACAGATCAAGAGCATTCGTGTCTGGGGAGGCAGGAGAAGCTGGGAAAGAGAGAAACAAAATAGGTGCCAATGTGCTGCTGAGCTCTGGCCTGCCTCCTGTCACAGGACCTTCTTGGGGTGAGTCTCGCCTGTGGCCTCCGACTGCACAGGGTTTGTTCCTTATGGGAAGGAGACGTCTTGGTCCTACGGAGTCCTCCAGTACATGCAGAGATGAAGCAGAGGACAGAAGGTGCTGCACTGTGAAGGGAACTTGCCCCTCTGCCCAGCTCACGGGCTCCATACTGATCAATGCTCAGGGGGCATGGGTGGAACATGAGGACTGGAAGATGAGAATCCCGTTTAGGGTCCATTCACTGTTAGGGTGAGAGATCTTTGAGCAGAGCCACCCCTCTTTATTTGTTTGTTTATTTTTGAGAGAGTCTCTCTCTGTTGCCCAGGCTGGAGTGCAGTGGCACTATCTCAGCTCACTGCAGCCTCCACCTCCCGGGTTCAAGGGACTCTCCTGTCTCAGCCTCCTGAGTAGCTGGGACTGCAGGTGTGCGCCACCACGCCTGGCAAATTTTTGTATTTTTAGTAGAGATGGGGTTTCACCATATTGGTCAGGCTGGTCTCGAACTCCTGACCTCCAGTGATCCGCCCGCCTCAACCTCCCAAAGTGCTCGGATTACAGGTGTGAGCCACTGCACCCGGCCAAGCCACTCCTCTTTAAATCCTGGCTTCTCCATGTCATGGCCTTTGAGTCTCAGTTTCCCCATCTGTAAAACAGGCATGGTGACACCAATGTTTCCCAGGGTTGCTAGGAGAGGAGCACTGGACAAAAAGAGTGTTTTGCAGGCTGCTCTGTGCTGTGCACACCACTGCTGAGAAGAGGCCCATCTTCCCTCCCACGGCTGGAAACTATGAATCAGCAGATGCTGGCTTAGGTCAGAGAAATAAGCACAGAACCACAAAAGAAGGATCTAGAGCTATGCTGTCCATGGGGCTAATGACTGTGTTGTCCATGGGGCTATATATGTTTAAGTTAATTAAAATTAAACAAAATGTAAAGTTCAGATCCTCCATTGCACTCATCACACTTCCGATGGGGTAGTCCTATCGGACAGCTCAGGGCAGCAAATTCCCATCAGAGCAGGACACTCCATTGCTGGCTGGAGGGGACTTCTCCTGTTGCTTCCTGAACCCCTTGGCTTCCTAATGTCCTCTCTCTTCCTCTTTAGAAAAGACACTTTCCTACAGAAACAGTTATTAACCCTTTTGGGGCTTTCAGGGCCCCTTTGGGAAGTTAATCGAAGTCAGTGTTCGCTGAAATCCAGAATCTTTCAGAGTGTGGGAGGAGTTCCACCGGTGGTACAAGAAAATATGAGGTGGTTCATCTTGAATCACACGGTAATAAATTACTCCCTTGTCAGTTCCATCTTTTTCCCTCTGATTGCTTCAAGGAGAAAGTATCCGGTGGGTGCTATTGGTCTTTAACACCTCCCCAACACTTGCTAATCCCCCTTTTTAAAGAAGAGAGATAAGGCATTAGACTCCGGTAGGAAGGCAAGAGAATTCAGCTAGGATTTAATGACATTGTTTGATTTCACGGCGTTTATTTTTATGGTTATTTTCCCTTTATGGCAAGTGATTCTGGGTCTTCATTTATAGGAGTGACACACTTTCCTTTTAAAAATAAATTTATTTGAGTTAAAACGTGTGTAAACAGTAAGTTCAGGCAGTGCATGTGGTATGCAGAAACGTCAAACAGCATGACAGGTTTGGGACTCAGGATGCCAAACCTGCTTGGGGGCAAGGAACAGTCACAGAGGCTTCCAGAGGAGACTCTGCGGGAAGCCCCAGGTGAGGGCTTTGCTCTGCTACCAGCGTTTGCTGTTAGCATTTCCACACCCGAGATTTGGAAGGGAATTTGTCAGGTTTCTATTAAAACCTCTGAATGTCCAGTTGGAGGAGGTAGTGGTTATTAAACCTCAATGTTCATAAATATGCTAATAAAAATGTAAAATTTGCAGTGAGCCATTATCAATCACAGACAGGATGCTCCACCTTTGAACGATGGCCCCCATGCCTGGCTGCTGACCGGGAGCTGGAAGCCAAGTGTGCACCGCTGGAGGGCAGCGAGGAGTCTGAGCTACATGCCTGCCACGTGCGGATGTGGGCACCTGGCAGGGACTAGGGTGGCCACGCTCCTGGCACTGCGTACCACCTGCCTGTTGGGCTGCGGAAATGGTTCCTGTCCCCACACATATGCCAGTGCCTCTGTGAGGGTGAGGCCCATCCACCTCTCCCAGACACCCAGGAAACAGGCAGCGACATGTGACATGTGAATTCACCCTGAGTTTGGACAGATTGGTGAGAGTCCCCTGAACAACGAAATGCATGGCCGTAGCCATTCAGCAAACGAGAAGGATCCTGGGACTTGAAGGATCCCTGCTCCTTGCCCTAGAAAGGCCCCATCGGAGCCAAGCCTTTCATAGCCATGCACTACCAGAAGTGGGGTATTATCGAGAAGGGTATGGCACTGAGAGTCCGGGTACCTGCATCCTGGCACCGACACTCACTTACCAGGCTGCAACCTGCAGCACACAATTGGAAGTCTTTGCGCCACAGAATTTCACTTGTAAATCAGGTAATACCTTCATCTCGGGTAATGACGGTGAGCCTTTCTCTCTGCCTGCTTCCCAGGTCCACATTTGGGAAAGGCAGGTCAGACCCCCTCGTGCCTGCCTCTCGAGTGGCTGTTGGGCTCACCGGATGCAATTGGAAGATGCTTGGTGGATGATGATGACATGATGACACAGGGTTGCCTCCCTTGTCCCCTAGACAACCAGAAAGGATGCCTCCTTCCGGCTTCTAAGGCCAGGACTAGAGGCCTTCTTTCCCTACAGTCTGCACGAGAGATGCTGAGGCCAGGCCCCAGCCATGCCAGCCTCCTTTGCCAAGCACTGCTACATGCAGGCAAGGGTGTTTCCAGAGCCATGGGAGAGAGAGCGGGCGGCAGGGAGGCATGGTCGGCCATCACTGCAATCCTGAGAAGCCACATGGGCAGCGGCCGGAACCGTGTCTCACCTGCACGGTGGGGCTCTGCCTGCACCCCTGCTTCTGCACAAGTCCATCCCAGCTATCTGGCTGCTCACCTCCTTCTGCCCAACCTTCTCAGGGCCGGGTTTCTGATGCATTGTGAATCATTTCTAATGACAGGATTTCACATCCCCTTGTGATACTACATTCTTGTGCATAACTTGTAATTTGAGTGATTGTGAATTGTTCCGAGTGCCAGATTCGTATTTTGCAATAGATCAGGGTTTTATTCATATGTGAGTGCATAATTTTGCCTCAAGATGCGTTAGATTACATTAATTAACTTTGTAGCCAGAATGGGAGAAATTAACCGTTTGGATGAACCTTGCTCTGTAATCACCGTCATTCTCAGACCCCTTGAGTGTCCACCTCCGGGGCTGTCTGGAAGAGCAGGCAGTGAAATAAAAAGAAGGGGAAGGAATTTGGGGGCACAGCTCCAGGGGAAGGCTCAGCTCATGGCCCCTGGGAGAAGCCAGGCTCCTGAGACACTGGAGGTGCTTACCTCTATGAGAAAGGACGACGGGTCCTATATCCCTCTGTGTGTTTCTTCTAAACTCTACAGATGCGTGCTGGACAGATAGAGAGCATGGGATGTAATCCCAAGCAGGGAATCCTGCCACCAGGGGTTGCTGCACTGGACACTTCTGTCCTGGGCACAGATCAAGGGAAGAAAGCAACTCTGCCAAGAGATGTCTATCACCTATGCTCTCCCCGAGCGGCCAGCAGAAATGTATGAGCTACCTGGAACAGATGCTGAAAGGCGCATTATTTGGAATATGACCAATCCAACTTTCCTTTCATGATATTTATTTTTTGTTTCTTTTTCTTTTCTCTTTCCCCTTCTCCTTCGAGGCTCACATCAGCCATCCAATTTACTGACAGTATTGACCTCTTATAGAGGAGATTCCCCCAGCCCCGCCCTGTCCCAAAGCGTCCCCGGTCTGTTCATCACTTGGGACTGATAAGTCCATTTCTCCTCCAAAGGGTGGAGCTTGGCTGGGGGTACTCAGGAAGCTCTACTCCTGGGGGCGGGGTGCTGGATACTGCCAGGTGGCAGGACACATCATATCAGAGCCAGGCCAGGCCGCAGCAGTGGGGCCCCTCCTGCCCTCTGCCAGGGAGCTGGGTGTGTGCGCCCTAGACTTCCCTCACTCGCCACCCAGCTTGGATGGGCAAAGCACTAAAAGGTAAATATGAGAAATACAATTGGAATTATGATAAACAGAAATAAAAAGGGGCTAAAATCAGAAAGGTTTTGTGAAAAGAAAAACGGCTGGCAATAAAGCTGAAAACAGCAGTGCTCCGAGGCAATTTAGACTGCAAAACACAAACCATTAAGTTTGTGCATTATCTTTTAATTTAATCTTGAATGATTTATAATCCATCACGCAAGGCTTCAACCATATCCAATTATTCTCTGCTGCTTGATTGACAAGAAAGGTGATTTATTAAGCTAATAAAAAGTGATGTGAGCTGAGCTCATATAAAAAATAACCAGCCGGACAAAGACTTTAAAGAGACATCGACCATTTTTTTTTCCCACAGAGAAGGGTTTAGTCACTTTTACCCATTCAGCACTAATCAAGTAGCAACTTGGGAGAGAGTGGCAAGGTGTAATAATTACTGCTATATAAAACTAGACTTGCACTTCGGGTGGGTGTGTAAGGAGAAGGAAATAAATATTAAAACAGATAGAAGAAGTCTGACGCCCCTAAGAGAGTCCAAAATGCAGGAGGATCTCAAAGTCTTCAGTGATGAAAGCAGCACCAACACCAGCAGCTTTGTTTTCAGGGAGGGAGGCAGGAGTTCCCTGCTACTTAAAATGCCTTTCCCATTTTCCAGGGGGAAATCTGCCTAAATCTCCCAAAGCCTGTTTGTGAGAACTCCATTGTGTTTTCTGCAGCAGTAACACTGGAATGCTTGTATGCATGAATTAAAGGGGAAGACGGCACCTCTAAAGTCATCTCCTGTAATTGTTTACCTAATGCTGCTCGGAGACTCTGGGGAAAAGGCAGGTTTGCAAGATGAAGTGGTGTGTACGAGGCCTCTCCTCATACACAACAGGATGCCACTTTAATGTCCAAGATGCTGGCGTGTTTCAGTGAGCACAGCACTTCAGGACTAATGATGCAATCAAGCCTCTTGCAATCAAACAGCCTGGGCTGGGGAAATAGTGCTATTTGCGGCAGCCGCTGTGTCGTGTACTAAAATTTTCTGGAACAGAGAGGAAATAAGAAAGTAAAAAAGCAAAATTCTAAATTTTCATGGGGGAGAGGAGGGGCTGTTAGGGAAGGAAATGTTCAAGTGTCTGCTTTCCACCTCATGGAAAAGTGGGAAAAGCAGAGAGGGAAAGAATGGGGAGAGAGAGAGAGAAGGAGAAACAGGCAGAGAGAGACAGAAGCCAACCCCCGCCCCACCTCAGCTCACTGTACGCTGTGTCACTGAACAGTCTTTCTAGTCGTTTTCCCGTTTTATTTCTCAATTATTTGAGTCACATATGCTCCGGCCAAATATTCTCTGCTTGCTTTTATTTTCTACTGCAACCCATATTACCTACAGTATATTAAGCAATCTATAAGGGCCTGGCACCTTCTATCAATTTGAAGAAGATGATGCCAATGATTTGCAGAGGAATTACAACAAAGAAAGGACCACGGGAGTTGAAATTTAGTCGCAGGAGACTTTTTTCCAGGGACAAAATTCTCTTCTCCAGGATTTTTTTCATCCGTCAACAAAATCCAACGGGTTTTTCTTTTTACCAGCCTCCCTCCCCTCCAGCTCTCTGGGCATGCCCCCAGCCCCAGCCCCAGCCAGAGCCACAGCTGCCTAGGAGGGAAGCATTAAAACGCTGATATGCTGTAGTTTAATGCCCCAGCCATCTCTGGGCAGCTGTTCCAGCCGAGCCATGCCAGGGCCAGGGTGTGACCCACTGCAGCCACATCGGGACGATGGGGATGCTGAACAGTGCAGGCTCTTGATGGGGCAAGATGCAAAGAGCTGGGGGACCCTGGCTGCACCATACAACCCAGGACCTGCCAGGGATTCAGAAGCTCCCTGTGATGTCTCCTGGTCCTTATGTCCTCACCCCAAATTTACTGCCACACTGACCCTACTGGCCAAGCACAGCAAGGATCACAGAAGGCCTAAGGAACTCCCTGCTCAGACTCAAGACAAAGGAAGGAAACAGGCTGTGTAATTAAGGTGCACCAAGCCAGGTGTGAGGAGAACAGCAGGGTCTGGAGAGCAGGGCGCATCCCCAGACTGGCTGCAGCTGTCCCAAACGCCTGCCCCGCTGCTCCCAAGAAGGGGCGGCTTGTCATCATGCTTGGCTTTCATTAACTTTCCTTCCGGAAATCTGACCCGGACATCCGGGGTGGAAAGCATACAGAATCAAACTTCATTTATAAACTTTTCCCTCTGCATCTCTTTCACGCCTGGGTCCCAGGTGACCACGGAGCTCCTCCAGGCACCTCCCACCCCTGGTAAAAGGGCCCAGCCGTATTGACTCATTTGTGTGTGAACATTCGGCTGCAGGACTGTAAAAGCTCCCTTTACCAAAATCAATTCAAAGATTCAAAACAATCTATTGAAGAGTTTTGCAGCTAGCTTTTAAACCACTTATAAAAGACAACACACAGGAAAAATTAACCCCTGTGGCTCTATTAGGAACAGTATAATAAATATACATTTAAAAGATCTATAAACACATATTTATCTGCAAAATGTTCTTGCATAAAACTGTTATTGAAAAGGCTTTCATTTTATCTTTGTGTTATTGTAATTTTATTGAATTGCTTATTCATTCTTTGATATTGTATTTTAATGGTATTATAAATCTGTTTTATGTCTGATAGGAGCCTCATTGTAAACTGATATAACAGATAATATGGCAATTCACCATAAAAATTCTAAACCAAAAATGCAGATCGGAACGCAAAGAAGCACTTTAATTCATTCTCGGTTTCTTTTCATTTTATTTTTTAATTATTTTTCATGTGCTGGTTGCCATCTGTTGATAAAGGATGGTTGTGTGAAACTCACTGTACAACACAATAGGAACTTTTTTGTATAATTCTATTCATAAAAAATGATAACAGTATAAAAGCATTACACTTCTCTAGACTGAGGATCATTAGCAAGTTCATTGTATAAACTGATTTAAATTAGTCACTTCTGGAACAAAATCCTTTTTTTGTAAAATATCTTATTTTGGGTAATTTTTAGTATCATGAATAAAAGAACAAAAAAAACCACTTTCTAAAATGTCTCCTATTATTTTTATCCTTTTATTAAAAACAATGAAAAACAATTATGATAAAAGATGGTATCAACATGTATAGCAATTATGTCATAAGCCCAACTATGGCTCAGAAACTTCGCAGGAAGTTCATTCAATAAAAGTATCTTAACTTGCCATCTCTAAATGATGAGATTTCCATTATCAGGAACAAACGATCCGGTCACCAATACTGTGGCAAACACCTAGTCCCAAGAGCAGGGCTTTATAGCAGCTCTGGTGCCTCCTCATGGGCTCCTCCCATGGCCCAGACAATCCTACCACCCTGGTGCCATGGCTAAAAGCAGCTCATTAATCTCAGCTCTGTCTGATCAAGGATCCTCTGAGCCGGAGACCAGGGACCTGAGAAGTTGCTTTTCCTGGGTGAGTACATCTGAATATAAAAAGCAGGCGTCAAAACTGTCTCCTGTTAAAAGCCACCTAGTTCATTCCCCTATAGAGAAAAACAACAGGACTTAAGGAAAGTGTGGATCCCCACCTCACAACTTAGCAACACTGCAGAAACAAGCAGGCTATGAATAGCACCTGCCAAGACGGCTGGCTCAGCTGCAGATAAAAAGAAGAACGTTGTCAACACAAAAGCCTTCTATTACAAAATAGAGAAAAGTAGGTTTTCCTTCTTTAAGAATTTTGCACATAAATCATTGTTTCCAATAAACATTGTAAAGGTTTCATCAGTAATTTTTTTTAAAAAAAGCTACTCATATATATGAAGATCACTTGGTGAGACACAAACAATTAAGCCACACTGAAGAAGTGAAAATGGCTGAAACCCTAAGGTGAGCATATCCAGGTCTGCACAGCAAAACCCAGCCACAACCTGGGCTTCTCCCCTGAGCCCCAGCCCACCACTGAGGGAGACTGATGTCTCTGCAGGACTGAGAGGCAGGCCCTGAGGAAACCCGGGCTCACCCACCATGAGCTCATAGCCCCTCAAAGCATCACCAGGCAGAAAGTTTCTACTAGAACACTGAAGAGGGACAAATAACCACCATGACAACGGTAATCACAAAGAAAACAACAGTGTAACACCTTTTGTCGCCCTCAAAAGCACAAACATCACTGAAACAAGTTTTCTTTCTACTTAAGCTGCTTTGAAAAAAAAAGGCTGCTACTAGGGGCAGGAAGGCAGGCTTCATTAGCTGAATGACATATATGGACTCTTAAGATGCAGCCCCCCTGAGAAAGTAGCAATCGGCCCTTCCTTCCTAATTCTTTCCAACACACACGCAGTTGATAGAAGTGATGGAGAGTTTCTTGCCAAATCATCCTAAACTAGGACGTAACCGCTACAGCCTGGCTCAAAAACCAGAGCTTAGAGCTGCAGATGACCTGACGTATTAGGGAGCTCACACCCTGAAACATTTTCTCGGGTTACATCTGATCTATACAGAAACAGATGAAATATACATGTAGGTTCTTAAGTATAATAACCAAACAAATGCCTGTGAACAAGGACCCAACTTGAGAATGACAACATGACCACGGGGCTTCTCCACCGCTCAGGCAGGCGGTGGGTAAATATGACCCTGGACATGAATGCGTGACCCCCAAGCAATACTAGGCTCGTGTTTGCTTCTGTGCTTTGTAGAAAAGACGGATCCTGGACGTAGTCCTTTTTGACTTGCTTTATCTACCCATATAATATCACTAAGATCCATCCCTGCTGTTGCCCGTGGCTGCCGTTCCTTCATTTTTACTGCTCTAAAATATTCCATTGTGTGAATGTTATTTATTTAACCTTAAAGAAAATGTCTTTCTGAGACGTGACACCTGGAGTGACAGGTGTGTTCTGTGCTCTGGGCCCACCTGCGAGGGATGATAACTGCAGTTGTCCTCGGGTTGGGGGCCACATGTTTTATGATGTGTCCTTCTCGGGAGAAGGGACATGTTCAGGATGATCTGAGTAACTGACCTCTCCCTGGACCTAAGCCTTTGAAGGTTGTTGTAGTTAAGACACGGTCAGGTGCGGGTCCAAGAGACAGCACTAATGGCCACTGCGCCTGAGTCTGCAGTGCACCCAGGCTGCAGGGAGGAAGTAACCAGGAGGCTGAAGTCTCCTTGGCTCTTGGTCCCTTCCACTAAGACATCCTGGCTTCAGCTGTAGGTCTGGGTGTTCCTGGGAGAATATCTGTATCTCTGGTTGCAGGATGTCACTGAGTCCTGCGCAGTGTTCAATTCTGAGATGACTGAAGGAGAAGGAGGCAGAATTCCCTTCCCTACGGGTCCTGCTGAGATGTTAGCAGGTGTCAGGACAGGTCATCCGGCCCAGAGCCTCAAGATCCATCGTCCACAGAAGATCTGCTTCACATTTTTAAAATCATAGCTTGGCAACTGTCAATACATTGTCTCCCACTTTGCAATACATAAAGAATGTAAAACTGTGTCCTGTTGAAGGATGGCAGTGATACCATGCAAGCAAAATACAGTGCTTTATAATTTTTTTTCCAGCATCCCTTTCCACCAAGGCCTGGCCAGCTCCTTAATGTCTAAGTTCATCCTCTGAACCTGATGAATCAATCATTCCAAGGTGGAGGTGGGTAATGACAGTGCTGAGAAGGCCATGGCTCTCACTTAAGGCTGACATGGGAGACAGGCAGGGCTGGACGCTGCTCACTGGCCCGCCAATCGGAGCTCTACCTTCCAACTTCACAGTGCCCCTAGGACATGCCCGGTGGCGTCATCACATGGCTCACCACTGAAGCACTCCAGAGACCGTTCCCCGTTGTTTTTAACTGCCCACCTAGCAAGTGCATTTCTGGTTACTCTTATGAAATCTAAACATGGAGCCTACAGCTCTGCCTGAAACCTCATGGAAACACACCAAGGTGTCTGCATACGGCAGACTCACGCCAGGTTAACGCAAGGGGCCTGGCCACAATCAGGCAGCAAGGTCAAAAGCACCTGACACTAATGATGTATCCTCGTTTCCCCACAACAGCAGGCCCGACGTGGACAGCAGTACTTTCCATCCAGACTGTGTGTGAGACAGAGGGAGTGAGCCAGAGTTGAGGCCAGGAGAGAAAGAAGGTAGTGCTTAATTGTCGTTGATTACATATTTATTAAATATATATTTTTATATATATTATGTATGAGTAAACGCATTTCCTTGAAGATGTTTTTTCTTTTTCTTTTTTTTTATACTTTAAGTTCTGGGGTACATGTGCAGAACGTGCATGTTTGTTACATAGGTATACACGTACCATGGTGGTTTTCTGTACCCATCAACCCATCACCTACATTAGGTATTGCTCCTAATGCTATCCTTCTCCATTCCCCCTACCCCCAAAAAGGCCCCGGTGTGTGATGTTCCCCTCCCTGTGTCCATATGTTCTCATTGTTCAACTCCCACTTATGAGTGAGAACACGCAGTGTTTGGTTTTCTGTTCTTGTGTTAGTTTGCTAAGAATAATGGTTTTATGTTTGTTTGTTTTTTTTTGTTTTTCTCAGACGGAGTCTTGCTCTGTCACCCAGGCTGGAGTGCAGTGGCACAATCTTGGCCTATTGCAATCTCTATCTCCTGGGTTCAAACGATTTTCGTGCCTCGGCCTCCCAAGTATCTGGGATTACAGGTTCCCGGCCAACACACCTGGCAAATTTTTGTATTTTAAGTAGAGACAGGGTTTCACCATGTTGGCTGGGTTGGTCTCAAACTCCTGCCTTTGCCTCCCAAAGTGCTGGGATTACAGGCGTGAGCCCCCGTGCCTAGCCTTATGTATGTATTTTTTTTTAGAGACTAGGTCTCACTCTGACATCCAGGCTGCAATGCAGTGGTGCAATCATAGCTTACTATAGGCATGAACTCCTGGGCTCAAGGGATTCTCCCATCTCAGCCTCCCAAGTAGCTGAAACTACAGATGCATGCTACCATGCCCAGCTAACTTTTAATGTTTTGTAGAGACCAGGTCTCACTATGTTGCCCAGGCTGGTCTCGAACTGCTAGCCTCAAGCGATCCTCCTGCCTCGGCCTCCCAAAGTGCTAGGATTACAGGCATGGGCCACCATCCCCAGCCAGTACTTACTTTTTGAATGGATGAATGAGTGAAGGAATAAATTAGTGATGGACATAATAAAGGAATGAGTGAATGAATGAATGAATGAGTGACAGAACGAATGAATGACTGAATAAATGAAACTAATTATTTAGTTACCTTCTTCCCAGCCACAAAGCTCTCTGATACAAGATAACATCAACATCAAGGATTAGCAATATATGTCTATTGATGAAAATTTGGAAAATAAAGGCATATAGAAGAAAGCAGAAAAATAAAAACCCTTACATTTTGGAGTGCTTATTCCTTTTATTTTCCCTTTATAATGTGTGCATGTGTGTGAATGTGTTGGGTTGGTATTGTATTTGGCAACCTGCTTTTTTCACGCAACATTGGGTCAAGAGCATTTCTCTCACATGAAAATGTTTTAAACCAGCCTTCTGCTATCAAATGCTGAGATAACCTCAAAGGAGTGGAAGTCCATACAGCCAGACACCAAAGGCCAGGCCTCCCTCTTCCAGCCAGGAGCTGCCCAACTCACCCAGGAGCATGCTGCCACCGTAGATCCCTGAGTTCCACAGAGTAGCCTATGATCATGAACTTCACTGCATGGCATTCAGCACTCTTTACTATTCAATGGTTTGGGGGCCTTTAAAAATCAGAAAGCAAATGCTATGATCCAATGGTGAGCTCCCGTAAATAGGTTTAATTGTAAAACATCACATTTATTCCAGATGTGAAGACACATGAGTTTTGCCATTTAAGTAGAAAGACAAAGCATAATTCTATCAATGCATATTTTTCCTTTTCTTTTCTTTATCTTTGTTGTGGGTTTTGTTGTTCACCTCTACACAGCTTCATTGTCAAAGAACTCTACCAAGTGGGAGCACTGGATTTACCTCTGCTCTCAGTGATGCGGCTGGTTTACGAATACCCAGATGATTTCACATTTGTAGACCCAGGATAAACTTTAAGAAATGTCCACATCTAGACCAGGAAGAAGTTGGCTTCAGGTGCAGATACATCAGGGTAGACCCACCACAGTCTCCCACACAGTCACCCCATCCACAATCACCTTCCCACACTGCCACACACCTCAGAAAGATGTTTTCTCCCAGGTGGTAAAGACAGCAGCTGCTGCTCTTGTACTTGAACCTGGCCTCCAACACACACACACACACACACACACACACACACACACACACACACACACACACACAGTGCATTGCAGGATAGGCAGCCTAGGGCATCCCTTTGCATGTGGGGCTACCCTCATTCAAGGCATCACCGAGGGCTCAGGGATCAGAAGCCACGAGGGGCATCTTCACAACCAAAAGCAGGAGGAAAAAACGTCTCCGCAGCACCCAATTTGATGCTGGCTCTCCGCCCCTACATCAACTTGCACAGCCAAGCCCTCAAGGCTGTGCACACTGGGCCAGCCTACCATCAGTAGAGCAGGAAACCAAGCTACTAGAGAGGCAACCAAGGTTGTTTTGAAAGCGTTATTATTATCATTATGATTTTAATGTAGTAGACTTGTGAGTTTTCCATCATTATAAATCCAGTCTGAATTTTCATTTTTAACGTTTACAATTTGACTATTCAGAATGAAATCTTAAGCAGCAAAGTTTGGAACAAGATGAATACTGCCAGTTGACTTACACCTCCCGCATATAAACAATTGTGTCAAGTTAGGAAAACTAATATAATTTATGTAAATATCCTGATTTCTTTGATATCAACATAACACGATGAAGGCTTCAAATTCAGACACAAGTTTCCAACACTGCAGCATTGAGACAGCTTTCCTTCAAGCACCTTCCAAACCCAAAAGAATGGGCAAGGGGCGTGAAGCCTGAATGGGAAGTGACTTACCACTGGGTTTTAGGTTTGGAGGCCTATGGCCTCTGGTATATGGAACTTCCCTGAAATCTGCCCCACCAGCATTCTGCACCAACTCTCTGACACAACAGTCCCTCTGTCTCCACTACCATTGCTTCTAAAACAAGGGACAACCCCACTTAGAAAGGCAAAGTATCCTTGCATTATGTAGGCCAAGTCCAGAGGGGAAAACCCTTTAAAATTAGAGAATCTCTGGGTATAGTGATTCCATGGAAGCACAGTGATTTTTTTTTTATTTTTTCAATTCCGTAAGTGGAAAGTGAAGAAACCATTTTCATATGAGCATATTTTTCTCCAAGGAACAGTTAGAAAAATGCTGATGTGGTGTCTCAATACGTTTTACTACAATGCCATCAATTACATAAAAACAAAATTAAGTCACTGTTTCAAAATCCTTAAATATTATTCAGCTAAAACCCAAAAGGACATTTTCAGTATTCCTCGGTCATTATCTAAGAAGCTCCGCGCTGTAGCCAGCCACCTCCGCTGTGCTCCGTAGGAACTAAACATAGGTAGTATACGGGCACAGTGCCTCTGTGTCTTGGCCGTTGGGCTCTCTGAGCGACCTCAGGTAATGAGGATGCCTATGGAGAGGGCTTCCGCAGTCCGGCCACAGAGCCAGGCTTTACACCCTCAGTGCTTTCACTGGTCGGGACCGGCCAGGGAATGACATGTGAACTTAGGCTGGTCTCAGTTTTCCCGTCCATCCAATGAGGCTGTCCCTGCAGATGAATTTAAAAGGCTGTGATCCTATGAATTTACCTATTTGCTGTCACCCAGAGACTGAAATAAAAAAGGCAAAGATGTCTGAGATGAATACAGGGATTCATATGCTTTCATATCCGTATCCATTTTTGTTGATGCATGGAGGCTTCTGGGTGCCTGCTGAGCGAGAGAAGGGGTTGCTGACTGTGATGCTGTCCTACCTAAGCGCTGACGGCCAGAGACATCACGCGCGCACTCCCACGCAGCTGTGGGAAGCGAAATGTGTGTGATCTTTTTGGAGAACAGTTTGGATATTTATCATTTTGTTAACCTGAACATACCTTTTCAGCTAGCAATTCCGCCTGTAGGACTGCATCCCACAAGGATGTAAGTGGAAGGACATTACTATACAAAGGCGTGTGCAGAAGGATGTTCACTATGGTACTGTTTGTCAAAGAAAAGACTAGAAGCAACCAGAATGTCCATGCAGAGGGTAACTCATTCACTAGAGTCAAACGTGGCCCTTAAAAAGTATAAGGCAGCTCTGTGCAACAAAATATGGTAGGATATAGCAGCTGAAACCTAACATGATATAAGATGATGACTGAGATACATAGATTTGCCACCATTTTATTATGTACAATGTAATATACACAGCAAAGTTTAAAGAATTTTGCCTGTACACCCATCACCTAGTTTAAAACTTTAACATTCCGCTTTATTTGCTTTATCACATATATACCCATCATTCCATGTATCTTAACTTTTGGATGCATGTCAAAGTAAACTGCAGATATCCAAAGTATATTCTTAGACAAAAACAGGTACAACATGGAGTGTAAAGTGTGGATTTCTCATTTAAAATATTTAAAATATACTTTTAATTTAATGGCAAAACTGCAATTACTTTTGCACCAACATAAATATCTAGAAGACTATACTACAAACTGGTATCGGTGCTTGCCCCTAGGGAGAAGAACTGAGGAGCTGGGGTTAGAAGAAGACTCTCTTTTAACTGCATACCCTTTGATTCTCTTGAATATTGCATTATGGACATCATTTTGTTTAATTTAAAGAATGACAATGCATCCACTTTCATGAGAGAAAGCTACTGTCAAATCTTTCAGGGCTCTAGGTAGCTTCTGTAGAGCAGCCCTGCATGCTTAGAAGCCTGGCGCGTGTGTGTGCATGTGCACACGTGCCTGCGTGTGTCTGTGTGTGCATGAGCACGCGTACACACCCACACCCAGATGCTCGGAGCCTGCACAGTGAGGGTGGTGCTGACCTCCCCTCATCTATCGCTGTAAGTCACTTTCTCATGGGGCTGAAACCTCGGAGTGTGAAGCAACCATCTTCAGGAGGCTCATTATTTAATTTCCAAGTAAGCAGCTGCAAAAGACAGCATGTTTGTTGCTGTTAGGGAGAACGGAGCACATGGAAGACAGGAGGGAAAGGCAGTTCCTCTGCTCAGGGTAGCTCTGCACTGCGAGTGCCCATGTCTCAGTCTCCCTTACTGTAAACATTTGTGCAACTTCAAATAAATATCCTCCCCAAGTCTCACGCAGCCTTCGGCTCTGATGGAAACCCTATGTGTGCCCCAGTGTGCCAGTGTGCACAGGCCAGAGAAGCATGCAAATACAGGGGAGAAGTCCAGCTCCATGTGAGGAACGCCAGAGAAGGCATCCTGGAGAGAAGTGAGCAGTCCAGAATGTAGACTCTCCTTCCTTACAGCACTCAGCCAGGCTACTGAAAGGCAGCAGCTTTCTGTTTCATTAAAAAAAAAACCAGCAGAGGAGTAAAAAGCCCTTAGAAAAAACATAGAATTAAACATGATCATGAGAACAGTACTGTAAGCCAAACCTTCAAAGGAAAAAAGAATATTCCACGGCATTACTGGATGTGTTCGACCAATTCCCTTCTTCCCTGAGACCTGTAGCTCGAGGTTCTAGACTTTGAGCCTCTGGGCTACCGCTGCACATTTTTGAACAGCGATCAATTTCCTTGTGTGTTTTAAACCCTGGGAATCATATTCTACATGTGAGAGATAGTAAAATAGATTTTAAAAATTGAGGTAACTGAATATGTGGAGTTATGTCAACATGTCAGAATAAATACCTGAAATCCTTACTTTTCTACATATGAAAGGGATCTGATATCTAATGAGAGGGAAGGAAAATGCACTTTGTTAGCATTCTGCTTTATTCTTGAAAACATGCATATAAGGCTAGTTTTAAAAATCCCTCTGATAAGAATAAGACTGTGAGAACACTGATTTCCACTAGGTGATACACATATGTACCATACATATACATACATATGTAAGAATACATATATGTACACACAATACACGTATACACGCATATAAATATACAGTGTATATGTAACTGAGCCAGGCAGTATACTTAAAGGCAATAATATGATAGTATGAAGGCAATTTGTATCTTACCACATATTGAAATAAAACACCCTGCACAGCCCCTAAACCTCAAAATCCAATACACAAAATGAAACGAATTGCACTGGGAAAAAAAATAAAGAAATGAGAAAATGAACTACGATATTCTCTTATTTGTTTAGTGTTCTCTTTCTCTAGAGTTTACATGGACATTGTCTCTAGTTGCATCTGCAAACCAATACATCGGCTGTCAGATCACTAAGGCATTTGACAACATCATTCTAGAGCCTTTAGTTACTGAGATATCAATAATTAAATGCATTCAGTTCACACTTTGTTCTTGCAGATACCAGCTATTTATCTCTGTCCTCTGAAGAAGCTAATGGTATAATGGGCAAAACATCAAGAATAATTAAGAAAAACGTTGCTACAAACTCTGTCAGAAGAAATATAACTTTTGCCCAGGCCCCCAGCTAGAATTCATTTATACAAGATCCACCCAAAACCAAGGCACCTTTGCTGAAAAGCGAAGTGCTAGGCTCATGGAGCAGGGAACTCACTCACTCTGTCCACCTGAGGGGAAGACCAGTGGGCACTTCTCTGAGTGTGAGCCTTGAAAAGCCTTGGGTGTGTGCATATAGCATCAGCTATAAAACAGCGGGGACTGCGGGCCACGTTGGCACCTCTCCCACACCAGGGATGGGCTCTGGAAGGCCAGCCCAGGCTGACAAATGGCAGCAGGACTGACTTGCTTCAGTGGACTGGCCCCTGCTGATGGAGCCCAACCTTCCTGCAGGCCATTCACCTCCCAGCTGAGCCATCCATGTTTCAAAGCTTGTTTGCAGCATTAGCTGGTACCAAAACAGAAGTTCTGAGAACATCTTATTCAAGGAATGGCGGGTTAAATCTTAACAGGTCTATTTTTCTTTAGTAGAGAGTGTCTCTCTCCTTTCATATCCAATAACAAATAAGAAGAGAGAAACTGTGAGGTGTTTTCTTCTTTAGGTAAGGGTCAGGCCTAGATGGTATATAAACTCCAAACAGATTATATTTTAAGTTGGTGACAATTAATTACAATACCGTATACATACTGCAGATAACACAATTTAAGATTAAAGAATTATCTGGAGCCATAGTAATGGGAGATGACTTTGAAGAGGCAGCCTTCCAGATAAGCCATGTCACATATCTGCATATCCTTTCAAACATCTTTGTCACCTAAGCGGGAGTGGCTCCCAATCACTGTTCACCAATCTCACTTGCGGAAGAGTTGGTAGTCAACTTCCTGTACAGGGGCCGTGTGAGCTCCTGGATGTCTACCTTAAACTTCAAAGAGCCACATTTACAGAAAATGAAATGCTCACATTTCATCATTAAATTACACTAGGCTCCCAATCTTCATGCGGCACATGTATTGCACTGAAAACGGATATTTGTTATTAATGACAAAGATATGGAAAATGTGAAGTTGAAATAAGCTACCCAAACTTAAGAGAAAGAAATGTTACAGGAACTGCTTTGTCAACCCTAATTGTGTAATTACTTCTTGGCTTGGTCACCCAAGCTCCGAGCAAGAAATAAGAGACAATGGTAATTTCTTACTACTGAAATGAAGGTGTCACGCTGCCTTGTGCATTCTGTGTAAGCAGGGCTAAAGTTTACATTTATATCACGTTACCTCCATTACAATCATCCAGGCCACTGCAAGAACTTAGTGGTATAAGGTCAGCCCTGGCAATGGGCACGCTCAAGTTTACTTGCACAAACATTTAATTTAGGCAGAGTGGAGGCATCTCTGCTTTTGGTCATCATCTTACCCCTCACCTCACACCGGTGAAATTGGTGAACTGCTACTGGCAACTTGCAGACTCACAGCAATAAAATAGTGTTTTTAAATGGTGCTAATACAGTGGCTACCAATAAAAATGAACCACTAGATGGCTTTAGATTTTTCACTTCTGAATATCGGAAGATGCATTATTTATGGTGTCAAAGCTAAACCTGGGTACAGCACTTGGGAGTGGGGGTGTTTGTGGAGAGAGAGGCAGGAACACCGCCCTGTGTAACTCCATCCCTTTCTCTCTTCACTCCACAGTTCCCCTTATAGCTCGATAATTAATTACAAGGCCGCATAATTCTATCTTCAGTCCCATCAGCGTTGGGTCAACTAAGAGCAAGGATCACATGCCAAAATTGTTGTGTGTTTTTTTTCCACACCAAGTATGAACCACTCCTCATTCTAATGGAAAAAAGAGCGCAGACACACAACTAGGAAGAGAAAAAAATGAAATTCCATTATAACTGGTTTCCTCAAGCTCCAGCCTAGGATATGAGTAATCATAAAAACTGTAATATCAGCTTTTTTGTTTTCCTTAACACTGGGTTCCTACTTTATTTCCTTTCAAAGAGGGTCAAGATCCTTTTTTTTTTTTTAATTCATAAAAGCTGCTGTGTGATAACCAAAAGGTTGGTTTCTCTCTGTAATAGCTCTGCCTTCCGTGATACTTTTAAATTTGGGGGCAAAAATAAAACTCGCTAAACTCTCAACAGCTGCCCTGAGTGAACTTGAAGCCCCTCACCTGCCTGGCCCTCAGGCCTTCTGGAAACATCTAACGCCTAGCAGGGGTGGAGCAGTGAGCTGACCGGCAGGCATGGACCAGGAGCTGCTAGCACAGGCCTCGGGAGGTGGCCTCCGGGCTGCTTGGCCGTACCTTGAGGACTGGCCTGACGGCTCCCAATGCCCGAGCTCCCATGTGAAGTGCAGGGAGGAGCAGGTCAGTGGCCACAGCAGCCTGGCCTGGCCTGGGTCACACCCTCGGTCAGCATCGCCCCAATGTCACTCTCTAGTTCTGTTTTCTCCTCCCTACCCACTCCCACCTTAACCAGCCACAGGGAATGGCGGGGTGCAAAATGGAGGCTGTTGACCTGCTGTGTGATCCACACCTCCCTCTGGGCTCAAAACATCAATGTGCTTTTAACAAGGAGCCAAGTGCTGTTTAATCCTTGGGCGGGGGGAGGAAAGTCCAGAACACCTATGGGTCATGAAGCAGCCCACGCTGAGAAGGCGACCCCAGACCCCAGACGGAGGTGTCAGGAGCTTGTTTTCCCAGCACTTCCTGTTGGCAGGGTCACAGCTCTACCGAGAGAAGGTGGGCCGTACCCCAGGGCACAGGAATCAGCATTGACATGCCCAAAAACTGACATGCATGCTTGTCCCCCACAGGCACGGGCATGTCCCCAGTCACCATGGTGGCAGAAGGACAATGGGAAACGCAGGGCCTGCCAGGCAAATTCTAGCAAAGACGGGCTTCCTAAAATCTCCCTTCTACATGAGAGCTGCCCAACCCAACGGCAGAGTTATGACTCACCGAAAGGGATACCCCCTCCTTCCCTCTAAGGACTGAAGGAGGGAAACGGCGCATGTAACCCTGGCCTAAGAGAGACCCCCGGGCTGAACCAAAGCATCAGAGATTCAGAGGGCACGCGGGGAATGTGGACAGAGCGACACCAGGCCTTCCTGAGCTCACCTGTACCAGAGCCTCAGGAAACATGTCTGTAAAACCGCTCTCATAGTAAGCACTTTATTATCTACTTTTGGCGCAGTGATGAGTTAAAGGGGCATTAATTTTCTTTCATAGCCTGGAATAGCTTATTTATCATTTTTTTTGTCTTTGTCACTGATATTTCAGATCTGCTGCGAATTGCTGTTTTTTTGTTTTGTTCTGTTTTGTTACTGTTGTTTAATTAATCTGCACTCATACAACCACCAAAACAATCACGGTCCTACTGGTACCAGCAGATGTGGCCGAAATGTGCCCTGAAACTTCCCAACTGCAGCTCGACCCTGCTTGCAGTGCTGTGTCATAACGAAGGGAAGTCAACTCAAGATGCATTTTCTGGAAATGCCATGGACGCACAGAGAGAAGAAACTACAAATAGTGTTGCAAGGAAGGAGGCCAGCGGCTGCATTCACTGTGTCACTGCGGCCAAGGTTTCTGGGTACCTTATGTTCACCACCTGCCACCTACTGTGGTGTCAGAGCTGTCTGGTCCAGCCGGGACAGTCAATTGATTTTCACAGAACGTCCATTTTATGTTTCCACACCAGAGCACGCTGCACCTTCGTAAGGAGGGGTGGCTGCTTCTAAGGGCAGAGCGGCTGGGCCCCAGCCAAGCCTGCCTCCCTGACTGCAGAAGATGTCACCTCCCCCGGGCACTTTCTTCTGGGCAGGGGCAAGGAGGAGGAAGGGAGAGGAGGTACGTGAAGAAGATGTCCCCCATAAAACCAAGGGTGTTCCCTTCTCAACCTCTCCCTTTTCCCCCTCTAACTGAGTCTCCAAAAAATGCATGTTTCCATTCACAAAAAGTATGCAGAATCACTGATGGGAGCAAAAGAAGACCCTTTTTCCTATTACAGGCAAAACCTAGGCTGATTCTCTTGCTTCCTTCAGCTGTCAATGAGGTGGTGTGTTCCCGGCCTCCTGACAATATAATCATCATAAACTTTATTATTACATCTGGAATTTCATGATATGTTTAGTAATTGATTACAGAGACACAACCCAGAATGCGGCTCCCACTCGCTCTGCCACGATTCCAGTAACCTAACTGCTTAATACCCCTGGAATGTATAAACAGTGTTAACTGCTGCATTCCCCACACTGCCATGGCAGAAGGGAACCACGGAGCTGGTGGGGCTCTGAAAGCTCAAGGCCATTTTCACTTACTGAATATAATGTCATGGGATAGAAACTGAGATCACATTTTTTGGAGCCACGATGACCGACGACCCCTCATCAGATGTGATTGGGGCACAAATCCACTAAAATTATCAGCTGTATTGGGGAACGGAGATGTGCCATGAAGTTTGCACAGGGCCATCACCCATCCCTACTTAGTCTCAGTTTGGTGGGGACTCCAGTTTAGGGGACTGTGATTACTGGGGTTCTTCAAAAAAGCTGCACAACTCGCTATTTCTAATTTTATGAACACCGTGATATGAATGCAATGCAAAGCAGAGAAAAAGCCATATTGGGTCAGGCCTGCAATTACAGTGGCTAGTGCACTTACTATCTCATAGGAATAAAGGCAAAAAACAAAAACAAAACAAAACAAAACAGGGGTAGGCCAGGCACATGGCTCACACCTGTAATCCCAGCACTTTTGGAGACCGAGGAGGGTAGACTGCTTGAGCCCAGGAGTTCGAGACCAGCCTAGGCAACATGGCAAAACCCCATCCTACAAAAAATAGAAAAATTACTCAGGCATGATGGTGTGTGCCTGTGGTCCCAGCTACTCAGGAGGCTGAGGTGGGAGGACTGTCTGAGCCCAAGGAGGTCGAGGCTGCAGTGAGCCATGATCATGCCACTGCACTCCAGCCTGGGTGACAAGGGAGATCCTGTCTCACAATAAATAAATAAATAAATAAATAAATAAATAAATAAATAAATAAATCCAGGGGTGAAGGCCACACTCAAAGTGTCTGGGAGTTGGGGCCTCAGAGAGATCTACATGAACAGGGCATTTGTTCCCTCCCACTCCCACCAAGGGAGGGCGAAGAGCAATGCAGCTGCCCTCCCTAACACTACTCCAACTCAGGAGGTTATGACCAAGGACATGCGAGCCCCTCTCTGGGTGAAAATCAGCTCCATTCCCCCTGCAGAAACGCTCCCACTCAGCTCTTGTGCCTACACTCTCCCTCCTGTAACAAGTCAATTTACAAAAACCAGACCCATCTCAGCAAGGGGACCTGGATCGGCCCTTTTCACCCGCATATCATCTTGAACCCAAACAGTCCCTTGAACCAGCAAATCCTCAGCCAACCCCGTGGCATGCAGAGTGTGTTATCTCTCCAGGCAGATCCACTTTATAAACCACCAAAGAAGCCCCATGGAAGGTTCTGCTTGCAACAAAAAAAACAAACATGCTGATGTCACTCCAACCTGAGCTCTTGGGCCCCAGTGATGGGGCCCGGGGGACTTTACAGTGGGATGCTTGTCCCAGAGCTGCCTCTCCAGGCCAAGTGAGCCATCATCCTGGGACCACCTGGACCAGCCAGGCCCCCATGAAACTTGGCCAGCGCGTTCCCGTTAAAAATGGTCCTGCCATTCACCTCAGCCAGGTTCCCGCACGCACGCTAATAAGTACTTGTTTGTTGAACTGAAAAATCATTACCACAGAACACGTCAAGTAATGAAAGATGTTTTCCTTGCAGAAATGTTAAATACTCCACTTCTTTCACAAGGAGCGTGTACGTGTGTTTCCAAATAATACCTTGCTCCCTCCCCACCCACACTACATCAGAAAGTATGGAGCTCCAAGACCCAATTTGAACAGGGCTCATGTTGCACGGCTCTAAGAACCAAGAACATGCTGTTATTTTATTTATTTTCCTTTGCCCAGCTGACTACGTGTTTGTTCTATTAGTTATTCACCTAACCATCTCGGTAGGAACCTCCGTCACTGTCACGTAGGGGAGGGTCCACTCTGCCTTATGATTTTATACAGAAAAGCAAGAGAAAATAACACCACCGCAGCCTCATCTATTACACACCCATAGTATTTGCTAACTAATATATGTGAAAGAGCCATTTTACTACAACCTCAGAGCAGAAACAAAGGCAAGAAATGGAATGGGAACATTTCACCACATGAAAACCACTGATAACCCATCTTCTCCTCTGGCAAATATGAATCTCTGCCCCCTTTCAAAAGCTTTTTGTTAGGCAGATGAGTAATAACAATTGCGTCTTATGCAATGCACTGAGGTCTTTTAAGTGTTTTGGAATGTCTCTACCTACAGGGAGTCACACTGGTTAATTTCTGCTGCCTTTCCCTCTCATCCTAAGGCTTCAGGCAAAGCCAGCAGGGTGGGGGCTGAGCCTGCTTTGAGTCTATGGCAGCTGAGTTAGGAAAAACCAAAATGACTTCCAGGTAACCTTGTCTCATGGAACTCCAGGAGGCAAATACACATCACTTAGATAGAACACTCAAATATCAAGTTGATGCGGGGGTCAGTGGAGTCTTAGGTTTTCTCACCATAACATATGGCTTTGAATGTGGTGGCTCTATCCTGCCATGCCCCCTTGAGACATAAGAGACCTATGTTTATGCCTGGCTCCCATGTCAGAGAATCCATAACCTGGGGACGGAGATGCTGAAATCCTGGCCAAAATGCACACCCACAGAAGCCAAATCTCCTCTAAAGAATAAGCAATCATCATCCCTTCTTCCTGCCCTCTCTCTGTCATGTGTTCAGTGAGTCACTCAAAAAGCTGCCAGGGGTTACCTGGGGGAGCAAGAAACACAAGATCCTGACCAGGGCTCCAGGAAAAATGACCTGCGTGAACTTCTCAAAACTTAAAGACTTTCCCTCTTCTTCACCCATTGCTTGTTTTCCCATTTTTAAGAGGGAGCAAATCTCACTCTAATTTTACTAGCATTAAAGGTTGACATTTTTTATATGTGAATTCACAAATCTACCATAAATGATTCACGGGATCTTTCTTCCTTTGCCCTTCCCCGACGAACCGCCACATTTTGGAACTGCGTTGGCTGACATTAAGCAAAGCGCTTTCTCAGCAATTATTTGGAAAGGAGAGATGGCAACTACAAGAATTTCTCTCTGAGGAACAGAGGAGCTACCCTCACGGCCCACTTCCAAATGGCCAGGTCTCACGGAAGACAGGAGGGCCTCCTCCCCTGCCCGGACACTGCCATCCACCTGAAGCTCTCAAGCCCTGGTCAGGCATCTACTGGAATCTCTGGCATTCCTGCAGCACACCCCGTTGTTGGTCTAGAACAGGTACTGACTGCCCTGGAAAATACTGACCTTAAGGACCACTGCTGTGTGTTCAGAAAACTCAAGAGACTGGTTGTCTCCCACTCAGACTTGTGAGCTTAGAAGGCCACCAAGGAGATTCCGGCTCAAGAACCCAAATCGTCACCTGAAGTCGAAGCCACTCATTTCCCTAAAGGCCAAGTTCTGATAAGGAACACTTGCCCCAGCCTCCTGAACAGGTGAGACCTCTGTGAGGGTACCAGCAGGCCTGGCAGGTGCTTTTGCTTATCTGGGTCTCTCTCTACATATATTTCTCTATCCCCAAAAGGCCAGAGCTGTGTCACCCCCGTGGGCTCCAAGTGCATTCATTACAGAAGGTGGACGTCACACCATGAGGTGCAGCCACCTGAGATTCCTCTGGGACTCTTGGCAAAAAATCCCCGGTGCTGTGACAGGGAGGGAGTCAGGGACGGAGTCCCTAGTGCACTGATCTGGCGTTCCCTGAAAACGGTGTCCCAGCTCAAAAATGTGTTGCTTTCTTCCTTTTCATGAATTCTAATATTCAAGCCTTTTTTCCTCCTGCTAATTTTAGAAGTCCTGCTATTCTTTGGGAAGAGAATGGTGTGAAAATCAAGCATAGTATCCAAAAATAAAAGAGTAGATCTGTTTCAGGGTTTGCAGCATATTTCACTGAAAAGCAACTCCAGATATGCCACTTTCTATCTAGTTTTTAATACATTTTCCAATTCCTCCAGAATATTTTAGCTTCAGAAAAAGCAAGAACGAACTTCCTGAACTATGACAATTTTTTTTGAGGCTGAAAGGGGCACCCAGAATGGTCTTTAAACCATGACTGGGGGCCTTTTCAGAATGTGACGCCAGGTTATCGCTCTCTGGCTGGGACTCTGTAGTGCACTTTGTGGGACCACACGGAGACAGATTCGAAGTAGGATGGATGGATTCTCTAGGTCCTTGAGCATGTTCCAGTTAGGCAAGAGGCCAGAGGAGATGCATAGCTTACTCTGAGCATCTTGACGGTGGACCTCATGGAATGTCTTTCAAGCTTCCCATCTTCATGTTTTAAAAAATCCGGTTATCTAAGGAACGAAGTTTCAGACCCACCAGAACTGTAGAAGGGCATCGGATCCTGGTCAGCAGGGTCTCACTCCAGTTCTTCGGGGTCTGAGACTCTCTGGAAGAGCCAAGAATGTGGGCTGGGGAGTGGAGGGAACAGATGCGGGGCACCAGTGGATACCTGAAGACCCCAGCCTGTGCCTCCTCACCAGCCAGGAAAGCCAGAGATTTTTAACAAAAAGTTAGAACTTTGTGTCAAGCCCTTCAAGCAAACAATAAATATTACTTCTGTTCATAATCAGACTTCTCTCCAGCATCGTCTTTGAATGTTGAACCTTTTTCAATTAATTAAAAACTATGCACTGCAGAGTGCATATTTTATCAGCCCTCAGCTGCTTAAGTGTCTAGAAAAGACCAGGCAGTTTTTCTTTCTTTCTTCCTTTCTTTTTCTTTTTTTCTATTTTTTTTTTTTTTTTTTACAGGCAACCCAGAGCAAGTACTTGCAAGGGTCATATCTTTTTAATTATCTTTTCTCTCTTTGATTAATTATTCCGTCTGACAATAGCGTGTTTCTAATGCTATTCACCTGCCTTTGATGATTGACAACTTTTCTGTCTGATTCAGAGCAAACAGCTGCTGCCACAATCTCCTAGCAACCCGGGTGTGATGGATGAGCCCCCAAGATGGATGGCTGCAATAAATCATGTCTCCAGCCATAAAACTGAGAAAAGGGGATAAGAAGAAAAGCGAACAAAAAACAAAACAAGGTTTCTTCCCATGAGTGCACTCAGTTCCTTACCAATTATACCTGAAATGGACTTTGCACCTATTAATAGCAAAGTTTTTCTAATCAGTAAAAATGGGATGATGGCATTTGTATCAAAGGTGTTTACAATTGTTCCTGCAAATTGGCACTTGTACTCCAATCACCTTCAACACTGCCCAAGTGCAAGGGCAGATGATCAAAGTTTTGCCTTCTTCCACGAAGTCTCAGCAAGGAACAACATCACCTTTGTACCACTGGCTACAATTCCAGGCACCAACAAAGAATACCAATCTGATTCTACCCAATTTTTGGCAGCAGCTGGACAACACCAAAAGTAAATTCTAAGTCATGCTGAATGCAGTGCAAAGTGTTAGGCTGCGAATAAAGTTATTTCAAAATAAACACACACACACACACACACACACACACACACAAAGTTGCCTGGAGTTGATGAGTGAATCAGTACCATTTCCATTTCTTTCCTGTTCATGGCAGTTGCAGGCGTTTTACATGTCAGGGAAAAGTTTGTCCCAGAAGCAGCAAGATAGGAACATTCAGCCCTTTCACAAATTCTAGATTCTCATTTCTTTAGGTAGAAAAACTCTTCCGTTCTAACTTTCTATCCCATCATTCTTAAAAATTAATGTCCACACTGTAAGTCATACAACAAGCCTTTGATTTCATTAGCAACCCCAAATAAAGTCACATATTTAATAGAATCCCTGCCAATTAAATTTGCACTATCGGGGCTCTCCCAGTAGTGTAGATCCAGCAGGAAGGCCTAGAGTTTCTGCTTTCCTTTTTCCACCAGGGAAGCAGGCTGCAAGGCCTCTTGCAGCAGAAGAGGTGGAAAGGCCAGAGCTTCACCGACTCCTCAGGCAGCTGGGGGCTGTGTCAGTGAACCAGGCTGCGTCCCTGAGTACTTCCAGTAGGTGGGGGTGTCCTGGTGCACACAGCTCAAGGGTGCAAACCCAGAAGCGATTAACTGGCAGGGCTTGGGAACAGCTGTCCACATCAGGCCTGGTGGGGGTCTGCTGGGGCCCTGCAGAGGGGACAGAGCTCAGACACAAAGGGGAAGAGGCTGCTGGGAGCCCGGGCAGGGAGCCGCAAAAGATTATTTTTTATCTGAAATATTCCTGAGACGTGGAAGTCTTTACGTTTCTTCATTCTCACACTACTAACCAAGCCAACCAAAAGATTTTTTTAATAGTTATATTGTGCTAAGCTTTTCAGATACGGTGTTGGTTTTTCTTTTTTTTTTCTTTTTTTTTTTTTTTTAGCATGACACGGAGTTTAAAAAAAATCAGACAAGGGTTCTGGCTTCAGCAACTGCAGCTCTGTTTATATTTTAATGTTTTGTACGTGACTGCTTCTGTGGGGGAAGAAAAAGAGGGAGAGAGAAAGTTGCCTGTGAGCTTTAGTGTAAATCACAGATACTTCATTTTTCTCTGTGTCCTTGGAAATTATTCAAAATTAAAGCCTTCCTCCCTCCATCTTTTTTTTCTTTCTTTCTTTCTTTCTTTTTTCTTTTTTTTCCAGTGGGGGAGTCTTCTGTATTGCACATGCGAGGGTTTGTGTCTGGTCAGCTGCAATGAGAAGGCAAGGCCAATCGATAGAAACACACACACAGGCCCCTACCCTGCCCCAGCTTGTCCGACTCTCAAGTTACAGGTTTACACGGCAAGTCTAAATAATATTCAAAATGATAAATGGTACCCGAAGCCCGGCATCCACCATCAATCTTTTTTTAAGGAACATCCATCTTCAATAACGCACGTTTGAATCATGTGAAGTCAGGAGCCCTGAGATTCATTTCTACCACCCTTTGCAAGCCAGGGTGGCTTGAATGATACCTGTCAACCTTTTTCTTTTTTCTTTTTTTTTTCTCTCCCCTTGACTAATGGGGAAAAAAAAAGGCAGGGAAAAGAGAAAAGGAATGAGAAAGGGGGGAAAAAAAGTCAGAAGAGTGTCAAAGGCTGAACAGTGTGGTTTAGCAGATAATATGAATGAGCATAACCTCTCCCGTGCCTCTGCCAATCTCCCACCCGCCACGCCACGCACCCAGCCATCCAGAAGCAGGCTCTACCCCCTTCTCCCCTGCCCAGCCTCTTTCCTCCCTTTCCCTCTTGCCAAATCAGCAGAGCTCCCTCCTGCAAGCCACAGGGTACAGTACCAAGAGGAGGAAGAGACAGCCTCACATGGACCTGGGCTTCCCTCCCCTCCCCGTAGTCTGGCTGGGGCCCATATGATAAATGACATATGTCATTCTGTCAGGAGGGAAGGGTGGGTCAGTGATGTATGACTCTGCTGAAAAGGAAATCGACTGTTTGGCATGGTGCAGCTCTTCTCCACCAGGATTTAGTTTCAGAACTCTGAAATGAATTCTCCGACGTTTCAAGTGCATACTTAGGGCAGGGTGATGGGAGGCCTGGGAAATCGTACTCCATCCTCCCACTGCCCTTCCCATGGCAAAAAGGAAAAAAAAAAGGGGGGGGCGTTCTGCTGCTGATACCTGCAAAAGGCCACGCACGTGTCGAAGTCCCTAGCTGTCGCAACACCGTGGGTTATTTAAAAAAATTGACTTTAAAAAAAAAAAAAGAAAGAAAAGAAATCAAGTGGAGTCAGGTTAGCCCTTTTATTTATTTATTTTTTAATGGCAAAGGGCTGACACAAAAGCAAGATAAAAATTAGCATGTTTGAAGTAATCGTCCCGCAGCTTGACATCTGCATAGTAAATTTTAAAGGAAAAAAATGTGTCAGACAGCCATGAGCCGCCTCGCCCTCCCCCTTTCATTAGCTCACTGCCAGGGTGGCACTGCTGAACCTCATTATGGCGAGAGGATTTATGAAGCTGAACCCAATGGCAAAGAAAAGGCATCTGTCAATAATTGTAGGGAGCTGCACTCACAGCTTTGAAATCTCATTAAGTATGCAGTTATCAGGCATAAAGATCAAAAACATTACTCAACTCCGACAGAATCTTATGGAGGAACATTAATTAGCAACAGGCCTACAGTACAAAAAAAAAAAAAAAAAAAAAAAAAACCACAGACTTCCTCTCACACCTGCCCAACCCACAAACCTAAAGCAACACTCCCCCTCCCGCCTGAAAAAAAATAATTCCCAGCATCTGAAACTGATCAAGAACATGAAACAAGAGAGACGCACACAGAAAAGGGGAAAGGGAGGGAAGGGGTGGGCGGCGGGCAGGGAGGAGGGGAGAGGGAGGGCGGGGAAATTCAGTTGAGAAAGCCTTGGCGGTGAGGAGAGAAAAGGAAGAAGCTGTCAAACTTGAGAAGGATGTCAGTGCGGGCCCTGATTACTGGGGCCTATGGAGTTCTCAGACCTTTTATCATCATCACCATCAAAACCAGTCTAGGAGTCACTACCGGGAGGACTGGGGGCTGCAGGTTTGCAGCCCAGGCCCAGGGCCCAGACCCCAGGACCCTCTCCTCCAGCCCCTGCTTACCTGGCAGGCAGGAGGCTGCAGGGCCAAGACCCAGGAGGCAGGCCCCGCTTTCCCCAGCCAGTCTGCACCCAGCCAGCTAAAGCTGGCAGCAAGACCTGCCTTCACAGGCTCTGGACACAGGCCAGGGAACCACTGCGTTCACCTTCCATCTCTCAACCACTGTAACACACCTTTTTCTTCCTCCAAAGAGACTGCAGCATCCCCTTCTCACACAGGCACCTTCTGTTATTTGATTTCTGTGTGCAATCCCTTACTGAAAAATACAATATAGATGGGGGAAGGCACGTGGAAACTGCCAAGCTGACCCTGAGTCCCGAGGCCTCCAGACCTCTGTAACACTTGGGACAAGGTGCAGCTCATTACGGGTGTCCAGCAGATCCACACACTAGTTTGACTCTAGGATCTCCAGGAAGGTAAAATTAAATGGCAAGTTTCCTACCCCACCACATTCTAGCCTCTTGCAAGATGCATTGGCAAAGAGTAATGTACATAATGTACATGTGTTTCAGAAGCATCCCACAAGTATTGCGCACTTGGGGTCTCAGGCAAACTTCCCTGATGTCCTGTGGTGGTCTGGATCCAGGGTAGGTGCACAGAGGCCTGATGGGGTGGGAGTGTGTCTCAAATACCACACAGGTTTCAGTCCAACAGGCAACATCAGCCACTCCCGGACATGTCATGCAACAGTGAGGCACCATCTGTAGCCCCCACCCCCATGAAAGGTGTAGGAAAATAATAAAGTAGATATCCTGCATGTTATTTCCCTTATTGCACTGTTATAGAAAGGTGGCCTTCTCTGTTCACCTGCTAGCATGCACTCACTCTCTCTCTCTCTCTCTCTGACACACACACACACACACACACACACACACACACACACACAGCACTTCCCACAGTCCCACACCATAAGAAAACCTACAGAACAGCTCCTTTGATCCGAATCCTCTGCTAGCATTCTCCTGGCTCCTCACTCACTCCTAGGCCACATTCTTCCCTGGTTCCACGGCTACTTCTGAAGTGTTTACCTCTCTGGTCTACTCAGAAGACAATGGTCACCTTTTCATAATTAGCCACATCTTTAAGAAAACGGGCATTAAGATTCCTAGGCAACCAGCTTGGAGATCCCTCCAAACCAAGGCCCATCTTTTCCAATAAATGCCTCTCCTTTAGAATATCAATGAACACAGCTCGAATAAACTGTCACCTATGACCAAAAATAGGAACACTTGTCTATAAACCAGACTTGATGAGAAGGCATTTTAGCAGGAGTATTACAATAAGGTGTTTACATTTTTTATGTACTTACCATATTACCTTTATTATGTGTAACATCAAAGTGATTATAGCAATTACATCTAACAGAATTAATTACAGAACTTCGTATCATTCCAGGATACATAATGCATTAGAGGTAAGCCAAAGAAAGAAAACATCTTGATTGTGGTAACTATTGTTGGGGTGTATTTTCTCTAGCAGCAATGCCACACCAACGGCAGCTTTCTGAGCAATGGAAACTGAGGGGTTTAACAGGGAAAAAGCTGTATTCTCTTAAAATTGAACTCATGCTTTTTGCTTAATAGTACGTTGGTGATAGTGGACATATAAAATCAATTTAATTTTTTAAGTGTAAATCTTTAAAAGGTGCTGGTTAATCCACCCAACCAATGTTAATACATAAAGGAGAAAGCACATGGGTGAAAGACTTACAAGTCTTTACGTATGCAAAATAAATTCACTCAAGGCTTCATTAATATTAATTTAAATTCAAAACCCATTTACATTAAATTGTTCATTAAAAATTGCCTATTTTATGCAACATGCATTTCTCAAAGAACTCAGAGGAAACTGAATACATAGGACTAGATTTAATGATGGGAATGGAAAATCAAAAGTAAATGAATTGGAGTCATTTCACGTATATTACCAAACAGCCCTTTGCTCTCCATTAAGGATGGGTTCCACTTTGGGAAACAAATATATTTTCTGAATATTGTGTTTTCCATTGCTATAAACTTGTAAACATGACCTTCTGGCCTACCACAGAGGAAAAAGAAGAAACACAGAGAAACTGGTGGAAGGGAGAGGGCAGCCAATCCAAAACCTGGCTAACATTAAAACAGGGATGGTTTGCCTTCGGATCTCACCTGGATTCACAGTGCATTGAGAGTTAGGCTTGCGTTTTTAAAAATGTACGTAAGTTAGCATCTGCCAGTGCCCATCTTGATCTAGAACTAACAGTGTCTCTCTCCCCTACACTCTACCCTTTACAATCCTTTATTCTCTTAGCGAGGTGACCAGGAATGCGATGACAAGGAGTTGGTAAGTTCCTTGTGCCCTCCCTCCCGACAACAATCTGAACTTACCCTGTTTCCCCAACAGCTGTTCTGGATGAAGAAAACACAGTCATAATTAATAACATGTGTCCTGACAGTATGAATTAATAATTTATCATTAAGCCCAAACAAATTTAAATTATTCTTCAAGAGCCACACCTTTGCATATCTGAGAAAATAAGGTAAGGAGATGGTTAAAATGTCCAGGTAACGTGACCTTCAGTGAACTACTCGCCCCCACCCCCCGGACTGTATCTCTTGGACTATTCTTGTTGAAATGCTAAAATAATTTACAGAATTGAAAGTAATTAAACCCAAGAATCTAAATGCTGATCAAACTAAGTGCATGTGCTAGAAATGTCTTCTTTTTTAAATGGGGCTTATAAAATATTCAATATTTGGTCAAGGACACTCTGTAATCTTTCTAATAAAGATTCCTAAACCTAGAGTATGACAGTTGTTCAGGCAAGTGGTCATAAGAAGATTATGTTCTATTACTGTCTTTTTTTTTTTACTTCCAAAAATGCATAGCGTTATTCTGGTCACAAACAGTGACCTGAATTTTTAAGTCCATTTCTAAGCGTAAATTTCTACAAATGGTGAAAAATTAAGAAAAGCTACCAAGTCTATGTCTCCAGTCCTTACAATTCAGGTTTTTTTTTTGTTTTTTTTTTAAAGAAAATCCAGAAACAGGGGAAAAATATTGATAGCCATTGTTTAGTGGGATTTAAAAATTTAGTGACTAATTGCAAATACTGGAAACTGGAATTAATCTGTCTGGATTTTTTTAAAAAGGCTTACAGACATTTAAATGCATGTATCGGGACACTTTATCAACCTAACATAAAATTGTCATCTTATCTTATTATATGACTATTTTATGCATGTGTCAAAGAATTTAAAAATGACTGCCTGTCTATTGAGTCTAATTACAACTGCACATTATCTGTCTGGATGTACCAGTCCATATCATTGTTACTAAATACAATATATTGTATTCACCTTTCATTTGTAACTTCAGACAGAGAAACCACAATTTAGAGCATAACTAAAACACAGACACAGACACACACACGCACACACAGAGTGAACACCTGCAAGGGTTTGGGATACTGGATACCACTGTTCCCTTCTGTCCTTTTCCCCTCCATGGGCTTTGAGGGTGATGCTACAGGGGTGTGATAAAGCAGCTGATTTGAAAGATCCAACTACCTACCTGGGCTGGACACTAACACAGAAGGGTAGACACACACACCCTACTTTATTTCATTTTTATTAATTGTTTTACGACATGACCAAAGCTATTTTTACCCTCTGCCCAGTGACAGGCAGGGATGAAAATGGGGCAGGAGGAAAGCCTTACAAACTGCACTTGGGATAACTGTGAACTGCTGCCACTCTTGGATTAAACATGGCTGTGTGCACCAGGACCGGGCACTTCCTAATCCTTTCCTCTCTGCCTCCCCGCGGGCCTGCCTGCCTGCCTGCCGCAGCCCTGGCCCCAGCCTGACTCTGGCAGGACACGTGTAAAAGAGAAAGCACCACAAGAGGTCCAGGCACTCTGCCTTCAAGAAGGTAGGTCCTTTCTCTTTCCAGAAATCCCAGGAGTGGAGGGCGGCGGTAAAGGAATGGTTTTAATTCTCTCAACTCACCTGGGTTTCACGGTATTTCCCACAGCCCTGAGCAGTCGCCTTTCATTCTAATCACTTGACAAAACAATCTTTAGCAAAAAGAGGGGAAAAGGCAGACGTGTGAGGCAATTTAGGGAATCGCTGCTGAGGCATCAGTTATTGACTATCTGGCTCCTGTTTATGAGCGCGCTCAAGGCAAAACTGAGAACAAAATGACAACATCAACAGCTCACAATCAAGTGTGGCCCTGGAGAGCACTGAAGCCCTAACTGACAGCTGTCAAGATAATGGGGGCACCGCAGCTGATTCTGGAAGGTTCTCTTCCCCACGTGGACATCCAAGGGAATAGCCTTGCCTCCCACCTCCTTTGTTTTTCTCCTTCGTCTTCTTGGCTTTCCTTTTTAGAATTTGCATTGTTGCTCTCATTTCGTAGGAAATGGGGGAAGAAAAAAATCATAGAACGGTCAAAACCAGTCGCTCTGCCACCTTGCTACAGAGTAGAATACCTGTCCAAGGAGAAATACGTGGCAGGTATGAGACGAAAAAAATTCCCAAAGCTAAGGCCGAAATGCCCTTCTGAATGCTCCATGTGCTTCCAAGAGAGAACGGAAAAGCTCCTTCCTGGAGCTGCCCGATGTGTGGACCAGACTTAGGAAGGTGTCATCTGGACACCACCAGGTGGGCCACCTCTTAGGCATGCCCATGTCTACTGGCAACATGGAACCCCCTCTGGCTGTTCCAGGGGGATCCACAGTGTTCTGTGGCACCAGCAGACCCTAGGGGGTCCAAGTCACTTTCACAAAAGTCAAGATGCTTGAAGATTTACCCTTGCCTTGTTTTTACCACCTAAGAACTCCACGGAACATTACCCCCTTTCAAAGAATATAGCTTGCTGGCAAATTGTGGTTCGATGGTTTCTTTTTGTTTTTTGTTTGGTTTTTTTTTCTTTTGGAAGCATAAGAAATGGTCTTTTATGATTTCACATTTGCCTCCAGAAAATTAATATAAGTAAAATATCTGCTATTAAGTATTACACTAAAATTTTTCTGGCATTTTCAGAAATGTTTTTTAAAAACCACTCTGAACAGGAGAAAATCATGCTTTAAGCAGGGGATAATGGTCATTTTGCCTGAAGGACACTGTCCTTCCCTAACCCCACTCCTCTGAGCTTCTAAAAGCAGCAACATCTGTCCAGCACAAATGCACACCCCCTGGAAATTACAGGTCTCAAGGAAGCAAACTCCCGCCCAGGTTTCTCTTTGGCAGGTAAAGAAACCTCTCTTTCTCTTTGAGAAAAGACCCTAAGCCATACATAGTTTCTATCAAAACATCAAAAAATCCTAAAGTACAGAAATATGTATTTTCAGGGATTCTTGGAGCCTGCTTCGGCCTTCGGGAAAGCAATGATACATTGGCCTAGATATGAAGACCGTGTGTACCTGTGTGCCACGTCTGCTCGCCCTACCCAGCTCTTGGCCTTTTGTGGTTGTTATTCTACCCTAGACCATTAAAAGGGCCCTAATTCCTATGACATGATTATCCAGGTACCAAAGCCCATTTGTCACCTGCAGCAGAAAATTGAGTTAATGCACAACTAAAGGCAGCCAGGACTGTGTAATATCAACTTGATTACATCAAACTAGCTGCAAACCTAATTCTGCTGGATGACACTGCGTCGAGCTTGTCATCTCCAATCATTAAAGCTGTCAGGAATCCATCAGGTTTACAGCTAATTAGGTGAACACTAATGAAGCTGGCAAAACAACTTTTCTTTTTTTATGGCTGAGCGGACCTTTCAGTTTGGAGGGGAAAAAAATTCTCGAGTATTCTCAAGGTTGCTGGGGACTGGATTTCCAGTTACCAATCAGCAGACATCTTTCTTTTCCCCACTCTCTCTCTCTATCAGTACAAAGCAATCAATTTGTCATCACTCCCAGTATGCCACAAAAGCTGGCATGAACCTTATAACTTGCAGCTGGGAAAACTAAAAAAGAGGAGAAAAAAATGGGAAGTTTCTGGTCCATCCAAACAAACAAACCACCCCCAAAAAAAAAACCTCTGTGCATACTTATCACCAGCCTAAATGTGGAGTTTTTTTTTTTTCTCTCCACTCTTCTTAAATAAGTAGCTCTTCAGTCCGCCTCCACCCCCTCCTCCACATGTCCATTAGGCAGAGGCATTCTGATAAAGTAAATCCAAAACCCGAGTATGGGAAAGAAATAAAGCACTCATGCTGCCAGCTTCTGATTGACCATTAAGCTATTGATGAATGTGCCTGTCAGGAGAGAGACAATTAAATCAAATATGAAACAAAGTCGTTTTGACGGGTCATTTTGATAGAGCAAAACCATTCTTCCATCTCCTATTAGTCCTGCAGTCAAGTTTTTTATATAATGAATTTTTCTTAACTGACCTGAGATTTCCTGGCTGGCTTTCTTTAAAAAAAAAAAAAAAGTGTGAAAAGGTTAGTGAACAGGTTGCTCTAAAAATAAATAAATAAATAAATAAATAAAGCCAACAGCAGGTTCCCTCCTCCTCTGATATTTTTCTGGAGGAAGCTATCAAATACGAGTCTCAGATTGGCAGGGTGCAACCGAAGAGATGAACTAGAGAGAGAGTTCTGAACCAAATGTAAAGATGTAATCACATATGGTTCATTGGATGGAGGCACACACATACCTTAAAATGTGTATCCAAAAAGGAAAGAAAAAAAAAATTTCAAAGACTGGAAGAAGCCCAAGACATTCCTACTACTCAACTTTGTGAAGGATTCCTCCAAAGTTTCAGAGTTTATTTTGGGTAGATAAGCTCATTGCTTGAGCCTGGAATTTAAAGTAGAAGGTGGGACGGGCAAGAAGCAAGCTCCAGGAGGTTAACTAGGGAGGCGGCAAGCTCCCTACAATCACTCCTGGAATTTTCAAACTTTCTAAATTTGGGCAACACCGAGGACAGAGAGCAAAACCTGCATCCTAAGCCCCAAACCAACCCTGTTTTCTTCTGAGATTTTCTGAAGACACTGGCAGGCAAGTACATTTCTGGGAGAAGAGAGAATTATCATTCCTTCTCTGTGACCCCGTGTAAGGGGTCTGGAGTGCAGAGTGCAGCCAACGTGTGAGGTCCCCTGGCAGTGCCGGCTGGCATGATGGAAATTATGGGCACTCAGGGCACCATGGCTACAACGCCTTCCTCCAAGATGGGCACCAGCCAATGCCCTGACCCTACTCTCTGCCCTTCCCTCTTAACATCAAAAGAGAAGTAAAAGAAAGGAAGAGAAAAGAAAAGAAAGGAAGCCCCACTTAACCCTCCCCTTCAGGGAGCATCTGAACCTCTGCACATCTGAGTGTTACTCATATCAAAATACATCACGTCCATATGTGGTCCTCTCGGCAATCCGCCCCAAATCCCAAAGTTGCACTGACAGGGCCCTCCTGACGTCACAGAGCTTGGCCTCACTATTGCAAGTGATTTATTGATGTTTATTGGGAATGAATAGATCAAAGGCAGCAGCATGACGGGCGATCAATCAGTCATCAAATCAAGGATGGCAACGGGCCAGAAACCCTTCTTCCAGGCAACATGCCCCCAACCGACATTATTGCAAAATAATGTTATGTGTGTGGTTTTTGTTTTGTTTTCAATGATGCGTTTTCCAGAAAAGAAAAGAAAAAAATCGGCTCAGTCTTAACAGGAGTTGACACTCCCGGTTAAAGAAGAAGAAAAAAAAAAAAAAAGGAGGAACAAAAAAGTACTCAGACACGTCCCAGAACTAAGTGCTATGCGGAGATGAGGGTGGGAGCAGCAGTACAAGGAGGGGGTGGGGGCGAGGAAACACAAACAGGGGAGAAGGAAACGCCAGCATCTAACATGGACTTGACAGTCATCTGACAATACCCAGACCCTGTGCGCTCCGGGTTCCACCGCTGTGCCCAGTTTGGGCCCAAGAAATGAGGAATCAATCGTGTTAGTACTAAGGTGGCCGAGGGGACCGGCTCGCTCACTCGTTCGCGCTCCCTGGCTCGGCGGACACCAGGCAGTCCCCCGGCGGTCGGCCGCTCGGAGGACGCGGAAGATGTCCCGGGGAACTCAGGTGACCCCGCCCGCCACCCACAGAAAGAGCCAGGCCGGGGTTGCTTCCCATTCCCTCTGCAGCCGGAGAGCTGAGGAGGTAGGGACCTGGCGCGGCTCAGCGCGCTCCGCGAGCGGCTCCCCAAATGGGTGCGAGAGGGAAGAGGGCAGAGCGCGGCGGGGCGTCCGGGGGGCGCCCGGTACCCGAGGCGGGCGCACGCACCCAAACAGGAGAGCGGCGCCCGGAGTTACTCAGTGCGGGCAGAAGAGCGGGGCGAGGAGCGGGGTCGCGCCCGCTGGAGGCGCGGGGCGAGCGGAGGAAGAGGAGGAGGAGAGCAGAAGGAAGGGGAAGCGGCTCGTACCTGCTGCGCGCCGGGGCGCCTGCTGCTTCCTCCTCGGCATGATGCTTCTCCGGCGACTGCCACTGCCGCCGCCGCCGCCGCTGCCGGGCTGAGGACAGGGAGGGAGGGGGCGGCGGGCCCGCGGGGGGGCGAGGCGGGCCTGCTCTCAGCCTCCCCCCCGGAGAGCGGCCGCCCGCAGGATGCTGCTGCGCCCAGGCTCTCCGCGTCCCCCCCGCGCCGCGCTCCGCCGCGAACCCCGAACGTGCGGAGGGAAGAAGGAGGGCGGGCGAGGGAGGCTCGGGGAGGGAGGAGCACGGGGGGGAGGAGGAGGCAGAGGAGGAGGAGGTGGAGGAGGAGGAGGAGGACCGCGCTGCCGGCGGAATGGGAAGTTTGACAAATCGCTCCAGAGGCCAGAGGAGGAGGGGGCGGGGAGGAGCGGCGGCCCTGCCCCCCCCCGCCCCGTCCCCAGACGAGGTGCGCGGGGTTCGGGGCTGGGGGGCGGGGAGAGGGCGGGCAGAGCGGTGGGAGGAGGAGCGCGGGAGCGGCCCGGACCGGTACTGCCCCGGCCCCCGCCCCTAGGCCGGGGGTCACGGCATCCGGGGGGACGCGCAGCCGCCGCCGCGGCCCGGGGCTCGGCGGTCCAGTCTTCTGCCCGTGGCGCGGCTGGAGCGGCGGCGTCGGCAACAGGCAAGCTTAAAGGAAAAGGAGATGATCGTGTCAATCGCCCGCCCGCGGGGGCGCCGCGCCCCCGCCCCCGGCCCCAGGCCCGCGTGGGACCCCCGCCCCGCCAGCGAAAGGGGTGCCGCCCCTCCGCCTCCGCCCCGTGCGCACACGCGGGGGCGCGGCGCCAGCCCCGCCGAGCCCGTCCCGGGGCGCTCGTTACCCCCCACCCCTATTCCCACCCAGCGTTCGTCCCCAGCCACCCCCCAGCTGCCCCACCCGGCTCGCACTCCTCTCCACCCGCCGACTCCGGAGCCCCCAGCGTGGTCCCCGGGCCGGGGCTGGCGTCCCCCGGGGAAGCCAGAGCCCACGGGCAGGCCCCCTCCAGGGAGGAGGCGGGCGCGGGCCGGGGCGGGTGGGGGCAGCCCTCAGACCCCGCGCCACCCAGCTCCTCCCCCAGGACCCGCCGTAGCCACTTCCCCCAATTTTTTTTCCCCGGACAAACTTTCCTGGGCCCGTCCCGGGGGTCGGTGTGGGAGGGGGTTCCTTCAAGTTTCCTCTCCTGACTTTGGGATGATCAGGGTCCCTCCACCCCGCCCCTCGCCCCCGGGAGCCGGGCCGCGCCCCCCATCCACGGCGCGGGCCGATCCTAGGGCGGGACGGGGGCGGGAGAAGGAAACCGGGCTCCCCTGCCCATCCCCCGCCAGGGGCTCCCCCCGAGAGCCTAGGGGGCCGCCGCGCCGTGTCCCGCGCCCGGCCTGCCGGGGCTGCTGGACTAGAGGGATTGATTATTGATTGGTGATCGGGGTCGCTGAGGCTCCGGGCCGGCCCGGCCGACTGGCCGCGGCAAGAAGGAGCTGGCTGGGCGGCGTGGGCGGCGGGGCGACGCGGGCTCACTTACGGGCGGCGGTGAGGGCGCGGGTGGGCCGGAGCTCATGCGGGCGACCCCCGGGCGGCGGCGGCTGAGCGGGAGCCGGAGCCCGAGCGGCGCGGGCGGCGGCGCATCGATGCGCTGCGGGCTCGATTGCGTCTCCCTGGGCCAGCTCTCAGGCCGGGAATGGGGCGGCCGCGCCGGGGCCGGCTCCGGGCGCTGCCGGGCGGCGGCTGCTGGAGCGCGGGGGCGGCCTCCGGGCCCACTATCCCCGAGGCGGCCCTGCGCCCGGGCGCGCCGGCTGGGGCTCTGGCGCTCTCGCAGGCCCCGAGGCCGACAGTCCCGGCGAGGGCGGGCGCCCCGCGCTCCAGCACCGGCTGCCTGAGCGCTCCTGGAGCAGCAAACCCCAGACTTCTTCCTCCTTCTCTCCTTCCTTCCTTCCCCCTCCCCTTATCTTTTTCTTTTTTTAGTCTCTTTCTCCCTCTTTTTCTGCCCTGTGTCCTTTTTATTTTTTCTCTACGACTGTTTTTGCAAGTTTGTTTCAAAAGTTCACAGCATGCTTTCTTTTCTTTTAGACCGGGAGACAGTGATCTCACCCACACGGTAAGATCAAAAGTCTCCGCTCGCCCAGCCTGCGGGCTTGGGCTGGGTCCAGACGTCTCCCAGGATGCAGATGCGCCGCCGCTGGCCTCCCCGGCTATAAAGCCGCCTCCAGCGCCTTTCCGCGCGCAGGAGCGCTCGGAGTTGTGGGGTACGGACCCCAGGCGGGGCAGGGAGTCCGAGGCGGGCTGCGGCGGGGCTCTCGGGCTGGCGGACTCGGGGGCTGAGGCGCCGTGCGCGTTGGGTGCCCGCGGCCGCAGAGGCCAGAACCGCTACTCCTCCAGGCCGGGGAGACGCGGCCGTGGAGCGTGAAACGCTTCTTGCAAGCGAGGAAACGGTGAGTTGGCCGACACCGCCGGCGGCCTCACCATTCTGGTGGCCGCGCTGAGCTCCTGTCGCCTGGAGGCGGGTTGCGCCGCACGGGGTCAGCTCCCGCCGGCTCCCAGCTCACCTTCGAAGCTCCCACTTAGGCGCGCCCGGTGCGGCGTGTGCACAGCGCGGGGCGCCGCACACGGAAGCGTGTAGTTCTCCCTGGTCGCGCTTTTCTCCTCCTTTCCATCCCCTCGCTGTTCTTGCAAACCTCTGTTCCTTCGGCCCCCTCCCACTGCGGGCCGCGGCCTGAACTCGGGTCTCCGCGTAGCCGGCCGCCGCCGCTGGGTCGCTGCCTGGCCCTCCCCCGCTCAGGCGCCGAGCGCTGTGCGATCCGCCCTAACATCTGTCCGTCCAACCATTGGCGCATCCATCAGTGTCAATGGGCTGCACATTGCAGCGACAGCCCGCCACGCACAACACGGGCTATGCGGAGTGCACGCAGCAACCATACTGCCATGTCGGGACACGCAAAAAGGCCCCCGGCCTGGCTTGGCACAGCCTGAAGGCCTAATCTGTGTTCTTTCAGCCACATGTACCCACCCCCACTTAATATCTGGACCCCCAAACATGAATAGTTTTGCAGACCATTGTAGGGATGGAATTGAAGGAAGAGGGGCAGTGTCGCCCGAGTCATTATTTTCCACCAGGTTTTCTCTGCCCTTGTGTGGGCTGGGTGTGGCTAGGAGAGAAGGAAGGGAGACTTCCCAAATCCGCACCAAGCACACTGCAGAACCGGAAGCTACCTGGATGCAAGGGCTTAAACCCCCTTCACCTGGGCCTAGGATGTGTTGTCGAGGTCGCTGGCCAGGTTTTAGCCAGGAGGTCTCGCGCTAAAACTTTTTGGCCCCGCCTGGCTGCTGTGTGTGACATGGCCTGATGGAGAGGAGCTGGAGAGCGGAGGAAAACGTGGATCCCAGTGAGAACTAAGGGCCAGATTTAGGGAGAAATAGTGTCTGGATGGCAGTAAGTCTGTAATTCACATTTTGTTTACAAAGGGAGAAAGGGCAGGGCTGTAGGTTTGAGAAGCCAGAGGTTTGCGCGGAGTTCCGTGTGCCCATTCCCCGAGAGTGCCGCTCTTGGCTGTAGTTGTTTGTTCTACCTGATTTTGCCTCTTGCCTTCAACTCCCCCATAACCCCTCCCCAAATGTCCAGAGGGCAAACATATGCGCATACCTCCCTGATCAATCCAGCCAGACCAAAGGGCCTTCCCTGTCCTCCCCCTAAGAACTTAATGGGAAGAGTGTACGGGGGACCTACTCTTGGGACATCTGCAGGGCGGCTGTACCAGGCGTTTTACCTGACTTTATTCTTACCGCAAAGATTTCCGTCTCGGTACCTGGTGCCCCCTCAGAGTCCACTACACAAACGGGTAAAATCCCGCGCGGCTATTCATTTCGCCATTCGCGAGTAAGAAGGGGAAAAGGAGCCGCTTCTAGGAGAGCACTGAGGTATGCTCGGTTCGGTTCCCGAGGAGGCCAGAAGCGGCCGCGGCGGCGCGGGCTGGAGCTCCCTCCTGCAGGGAGACACCGCGCTCTAGGGTGCGGGCTTCGCCGCCCACATCCAGTGGTCGAACTGTTTTCACGCTAGACTAGAGGGCGGAAAAGTCTGCGCCCGCGGAGAAACTAGAATTCTGTAGAATGTACACTGTGTAGAAATCTTTTCACCCCACTCTTCAGAGTTGCAGATTATCTTTGAAAAACAACAGGCTCTGGCCCTGCCAGCCCTAGTAACTTCTACCCGCCTGAGTCACTCTGAAAAGTAAGCCCCTAGGCCAGTGAGATGTCCCCACCTTTGGGAGGTGCCGCCTTTCCGGGAACATTAAAAAAAAAACCCTAAAAATAGAAGGAGGAAAAATGAGCAAAGGCGGTGGGACGACTCACCGAAACACCGAGGTGCAAATGTCCATTGGAGAAACTGGCAGTCGCATGGCAGCCAGCTGGCTCACCCAATAGCTGGGTGGTAACCTTGTGATCCCCAAACATCCCCCAGGGCCATGAAGGCAGTGCTGACCCCCACGATTGCACCTCAGGCCCGGTGGAATCCCGCTCCTCCTCCATAGTGGTGCTATGTAATCAGTAGAAAATCAGTAGAAAAGCTCCCAAATGAAGCTGCTTCAGGTCAGGGGTTAGAAATCTGCCTCAGACTTTTTGAACTCAAGGAAATCGGGACATCTGTCCCCAGAGCTACCTGTGCCCCACCCCAGGATCATTCATGACCTTAGCTACCGGGAGCTCTGCCCGGATAAGTTTTTAAAAGAGAGAGAGAAAGAAAAAAGTCACATGCAGGCAAGGCTAGGAACAGGTGTGTGCTGTGGGGACGGGCACTTGGCTCGCAACACACCACACAAAGTCACGAAGTCTGTGCCAGAAAGGAGTAGCCAAACCACCGCCGGGAGGCAGCCGAGGTTGTGTTTAAGGTGGCGATTGAGGGCAGTAGGTGACAACTCGACCCAAAGAAGGCCAAGTCTTGTCCTTATCTGGGGTGGCCACTGAGGGAAAAGACTTAAGGGAAAGAAGTTGTCTTCAAAGCTACCATTACAAGATGAGGAGCTAGAGTGGGCTCAGGTCCCAGGCACCCAGGGCTTAAGCCTTGATGTTGGAGAGGTTCTCGGAGGGAGGCTTGGGCCACCTGGAGGGACTGGGCACTCTGAGTAGTACCCTCTGGGAGGCTGTACCCCCTTTCAAAGTGTGAGGGCATTTGCCCAAGGTGTAGGCTTTTAGGGAGCCCAGGGCTGGGCAGCACCAGGGGAGAGAGGCACCAGGTGGGTGCCCTCCTGCCTGCACTCACCTGGAATGCTGGCATATGGGTTTTTCGCCTTCCTCACGCCTCCCCACACCACATTCTGGGCTAGGCAGTGTCGAGGAGGTGCCTTGGGTTCAGGGAAGCTTGCCACCTGCACACCTGAACCAGGAATTGGGCCCCGGAATCTCAGCCCCTGCCCAAGCAGGAAGGATAGGGACCCTGGCCCTCGCCAGGTGGTAAATTGTTTGCTAAAAGTGCATTTACACGGCGGCGAAGTTTGTTTCTCTTTTACCGGTAGCTTTGTTTTAACGAACCAGATGTTTTGTCTGTAAATTCTCCCAAGAACTTTTCCAGTTTTGACGTGAAATAAACCTTCGAAAATCAGAAGAGTATATTAATACCACTTCTGTGGGGCCTCAGGAGAGCTGAGTCAGGTGTGCCTGGATGGGAGCTGGGGGTGGGAGTACAATCTTTGGAGAGAAGTAGGGGGCTTCTCTTGGCCCAAGGTCAAGAATTGGTTTGGGGGAGGTGAAGTGCCTCCCCGACTCCCAAAACAGGCGCACACACACGCATTGTCACACCAGAGTACGCACTCCCAGCCCTCCTCCAACCAGGCATAGCTTGCTACTTCGTAAATTTCTTGTGGCTTGGGGCACAGAGATGTAGCTCAACTTTGCAGACTGTGTCCACTGCATGCCGCTGCCGTTTTCCACGAGGACCGCCTGACTGAAAGGCAAAGGGGCCTTCGATCTTCTTCCCGGGGCAGCTTTGATGCCTGAGTGTGCGGGGCCGGGGCCGGGGCCAGGGCAGAGCAGGGTGGAAGCTGGTGCCCCTGTCTGGCCCACCCTTAACTCCTGGGCACCACTCGATTCGGGAGAACTTGGGGTGGAAGCCGACCTGGTCTAGGAAGCCACAGCCTGCAGGTCCCCCTCTCCAATGCCTCATTTTTTCCGATTTAGGATTTCCAGGCAGTTATAAACACCTTAAAAAAAAAGACCCACTTAACAATACACCTAAAAGAGGGAGGGAAGGAAGGAAGGAGTACGGTTATCACAGGCGTGTGGGGAGAGGGAAACCAGGTCTGCCTAGAAACCCACCTTCTGGTCCTGTGAGTCATAGCGGCCACTTTCTCGGGTTTCCCAAGACAGGAGATGGCGATTTTCTGCTCCCTCCCCTCTCCCCAAGCTTTCCAGTGCTCTGAGTCTCACATCTTCAGATACCTCTTTCTTCCTTCATTCTCTTTCGTTCAATCATCTACGGAACTTTCAAAAACTTTTTTTTTAGGAGAGCGAAGATTAAATAAAGAAAATAAAACGTCTTTGTATTTCAGTCTAAGGAGGACAGATGCACATTAAACTCAGTTTGGAGCGCTTAACTCCAGGCGAAATGCCCTTTTATCAAATCCCACGCGTCGACTTGGGTTGCGCTGGGAATTTCACGAATTCCTCGCTGCAGCGTGGCGTGGTTTACCCCCACCCCCACCGCCACCCCACTTTGGGTGAAATGGATTTTTGGAAACCATTTAAGCAGAGCTAAAAATAAGGGTGGGGGGATCCCTACACTAGAGATAGCTGCAGCCACCTAGGGGCTCACCCCTGGTCGGGAGCGAGCAGCTATTTGCTAGTTGTAGCTCAGGGGTGCCCAACTCTTCCCGTGTGGTTGCGCCAGCTGCCCCGCACTGCAGGTATCTGAATCATTACGTGGGCAACCTGATGCGGCTCTGAACCCCAGCTCTTTGAATGCTGGAATCCTGAAGGAGGAGGATTCCACCAGGTCTTAGCCGACCAGATAGCCCAGCTTTCTGAGGCTGGTGACCTCATTAACTGGCCAGGGAATTTGCAAGACCAGGAATAATCACGTTTCCCAGTTCTTCTTTCCTACATTGCTTTTCTCCTCTGTCTTCAACGTTAGGGTTTTGTGTTTGTCCCTAAATTTACAATTTACAAACGGGGAAGACGGAGCCTAAGTTTCTGCAGGGCAGGTACAAAAGAGAGGGACAACACTCTGGGGGCCTCATTCTTTCACGTTTTTGTTTCTTGAAATTTGATGGATATCACCTTAGTTCGGCAATAGGAGGGCCAGGGTGACTGGGGACATGGTGGCCCGAAGGGTTAGATAATATAGCATGCAGGTAGTCTCTGATCTCCAGGGCTTTGATAACACCAAGATTTTCCTCCTTTGCAGAGCAGTCCTAAATTCTGCCTTCTCCCTTTTCTGCCGCCTCTTCTCTTTTCCCCATTTCTTTCTTCGTTTCTTTTTCTGTTTTCTTTTTGTGTGCCTCTCTTCCAACAGTCCCTCCTCCACCTTTATAAGACTTCTCAAAGGTTATTTATTTAAGGTCTACCAAGTGCTAGCCCCAAACAGGTCCAGTCCTTCTACCTGTGGCAAGACGGAGGCTGTTACCGCGTGCAAATAGTGAGGGAACAAAGTAGTTTGGAGTTTTTTGCAGCTTTTTTAGGTGAGGGGAAGGGAGGGAGGTCAGAAATAGGTTGACACTTGGTTTGAAATAAAAGAGCATGTTAAGAAGTTTCGAAGCTGCCAATAAAACCCTTTAAGTGGCTTGTGATTCAGTGCCTGGAGTTGCGGGGATGGCATTGGTAAATGACTCTAATGCCCAAAGAAAAATATTACAAATGCCGCTGTCTCGGCCACCAATCGGGCGCCGCTTTCCTGCGCGGGCGATGGCTCCTCTCTGGCGCGGAGGGCACCCACATTTGCATGATAAATTGACCAGACTGGCGGCAGCCAATGAAATATTCAAATTAGGCTGGGTGGCGGTAGTAGGGGTGGAGTCCCTGGGGCTGCCCCTTGGCGCGGCGGCGGGAGCGGGCGCTACCACCTCTCCGTCAGCGCCCTCTGGAGGCGGGACAGCGCGGGCGGCCGCTCTGGCCCAAAAGACGAGATGGGGGGTTGGGGGTTTGGGATGCAAGGGGGTTTGGGAGGGGTGATGGTGGGGTCTGGGTGGTGCTTCGCGGCCCCAGGAGGCTTTCCGGCTGGCCTCGTTGACTAGGCGTACAGCAGCGTCTCCGCATGCCTCTTGCCCTTAAAAGTGTTGATGGATTGCAGAAGTGGATGGTGACCCCAAGGAGGGGTTTCAGAAAGGCTCCAGCCTCCTTCGCCCAACCACCTTCTCTAGGTTCCCCTAACAAACCCATCACTTAAGTTAAAAACGTGTATTTGCTCTTGTTGACTTAGCTTTAAGACAAGATTCTTGCCCACCGCAGACCACATGGCCAGCTTTCCCAAAGGCCCTCTGATAATGAAATGGTGGAGCAGATATATCAAACTTTCCATCTTGCCCTGAGCCAACGACCCTGCACCCTCACAGGCCAGGGCACTCTGGAGGGCACCCTGCCTGGAGCCCCAAACCTTGGGTAAGCTGTGGGAGCCTAGGCAGGGGCAGGCAGTGCCTGGAGGCTGGCTTCAGACGGCAGAACTTCTCACCTGGGAAAATGCTTTCTGGAAGAAGCACCCAGGCCTCAAGGCAGCTCCAGTGAGGGGGCAAAAAGGGATATACATAAGGCATAAGGCGCTGGCCATGGTTAGGTAGGTGCTCAGCCAGGAAGATAGGGCAGATTCACATGGGGGAGATTGGCTCGGTGATGAGACCACTTCTGACTCCACCAGAACCAGGCCCAGCTCTTCCTGGAGGTCCTGACTCAACGGGGACTTTTGCATGGGAGCCAAAGAACAGTGGATGTCTCTTGTCCGCTGATCATCTCTTCCCTTCCCCCACCCCATATTCCATCCCATGCCAGATCCCTAGGCTGTGCCTGTTAGAGCTACTGTAGCACCACATGGACTTGCCTTTAAAGCAGAATTTTTAGAAGTGCAGTTGCTTTTCTTTACTCTGCTGTGGGATGCTGAACACCTTGTTCTTTCTCCAGCTCAGCAGGGCTTGGAGTTGGTTCCTAGCTATCTCTGGGAATGCTCGATCCCCATCTCTGTTACCAGCCAAAAGGGTCTGCGGGAGGTGGTCGGCACTCCAGTCAGCAGCCCTCTCAGTACCTCTTCCCCAGACATAGTCAAAGCAAGTCATTCATCTGCAGCCAGTCTCCCCTGCCCATTCACCAAGGAGAACCTGGGGATAGGACCACTCAGAGCCTGGCCCAGGCTGGCTCACTAACTGTGTGTAAATACACACAGCGGAAAGAGTAGGTGCTGAACACACATGTGTGAGAGAGTGAATTTTTACTCTCAATCACCTTATATATATTATCAATAGTTTCAAAGTATGTTGCCCAAAGGATGTTAATTCCTAAGAAGGCTTTTATATCGTTTGGAGTTTTGAGGAGTGTGTTGGCTGAAGAGAAGAGGGTCTGGCCCCAGTCTTGATGGGAATGCATGGGGTAAACAGCTGGTGGCAGAGGTACAAAAGGGGCCTCTCTACTTTCTAAGAGAATCTTCCATCCTGGCTGATTTTAGGACCTGGGGTGGGGTTCCCATCAGGAGGAGGCCTAAGGAAGGAGTAGGACCCTTCCTAGATGGCTGAGTCAACTTATACGACAGGGCAGGGAAACCTATCTTGGAAACCCGGGAGCCCTCCTTCCTCCTCCCCATCCTCAGGCCTCACCTGAGACTTGAAAATGGACCAGAGTCTTCCTCCAACAGTGAAATTCGTTAAAGAGTCACTCCTGTCTAGAATGTGCAGAAATGCAAGCCTCTCTCTTTCTCTCTCTCTCTCTTTCTCCACCTTGAGGATGCTGTATCTAGAGCCCATATAGGGACAAGAAGGTAAGCAGTGAAAGCAGGAAAGAAGTAGAAGGCTGGCTGTCATCCAGCTGTGCATACAGTCCTATCTCAGCTGAACTGTGCACGGTGAATGAGGAAGTAAATGACAGGTGAAGGACCAAGAGAGTGAAGCTAGTCAGTTTATCTGAGGAGATAGGTATCAGTGAGTAACTGTAAGGATCACACCCACAGTGGGTGTGCCCCGCAGATGGATATATGTGCAGCAAGCGGTACCTTGCGGGGGAATGCAAGCTCCAACTGTGGTGCTGAGCCTCTGGCCCATAAGTAACCCAGTGAGCCTGAGCAGGTCACTCCCTCTCTTTGAACCTTGTCTCCATCTCTAAAACAGGACAGCTTTCTCCATCTTAAACACCAAGTAGGAATTCATTGTGGAAACCTTCCATCAAAATTGGAGATGCCTTGGATGGACCCTGTGGTGGCTCATGCCTGTAATCCCAGCACTTTGGGAGGCTGCGGCAGGCAGATCACTTGAGTCCAGGAGTTTGAGACCAGCCTGGGTGACATGACAAAACCCTCTCTCCACAAAAAATACAAAAATTAGCTGGGCATGGTGGCATGCACCTGTAATCTCAGCTACTTGGGAGGCTGAGGCAGGAGGATCGCTTGAGCCTGGGAGGTTGAGGCTGTAGTGAGCCGAGATAGTGCCACTGCACTCCAGTCTGGGCAACAGAGTGAGACCCTGTCTCAAAAAAACAAAAAATAGAGAAATAGAGATGCCCCTTGAACCCATGGGTTTTTGGGACTACATTCTGGAAGCTTTCAGAGTCAGACCAGAGTTTGAAAGAGGCATTGTGTCACTAGCCGTGTGCCCGTGGGCAAGTCACAGTAGAGTCTACTTCCCACGGCACTTGTGAGACTCATCTGGGATTATGTGTGTCCATGCCTTGGCAGAGAGCTTGGTGAAGAATGTTAGTTGTCCAATAAATGGTACCCCATTAAGTTGGTGTGCAGGGTGGCCACAGGGCCAGACCACCCTGAAAATAAAGGCTTATATTTGGGCTGAGCCTGGATGCACCTGAGATTACAAGCAGGTGCTTAGAATGTGGTGAAAAAGAAAGACAGGAGAGAATGGCTGAAGGCAGCATGCAGTCCACCTGACTTTCTGGGAAGATTGGGCATTTGCAGGGCTGATAAGTCAGGTTCTTCCGGGCCTTTCTGTGAGCTCATTAGAGGAAGGGGTCTGGTGACTGATATTTCTATTTTCCCTGTTAGTAGCGACTGGAATTTGCACCATCCAGGTCAGATGGAAAATAGAAGGCGGGAAAATCTGACAGTCTCATTGATTTGCTCTCTTTGCCATCACCACTCTTGAGAGGAAGAAATGTGACTTCAAACTTGCAATTAGGAACCAGCCTGCTAAGGAGTCCTCTCGTGAGCTCCTGTGCTATGCGGAGCACAGGCCCATCTCATCTCATTTCCTAAGGAGGTAGGTTCATTCATGGTTTCAGCAGGAGCAGGCAGTGCAAACGTGTGACACCCGCCCGCAAATAACTGCCAGAAAGGCCGTCCAATGCTTCCTTCACATTTTTGGTCAGATCTCTGAAAAGATGGCCATTCTCCCAATGTTTTAAAAGTATTAACTTCCTTTCAAACATCCTTTAACCTTTAATGTTTTGTAACTTGATGAAAAGGTCATTTTGTGCTGAGGATGCAGTTGTTCCGGAATTGTTCAGCTAACGGGGTGAATTCCAACCAAATCCAGAATTATTTAATGGGATCCAACGCCCCGGCCACACGCACAATAAGTGAATATTTTCCCATATATGTCTGTGTACAGGTACATGTACTTGTGCATATGTATTTACATATTTGTATCTATGCATGCACATATACTCATTGGGACTTGGATTCAATGGACATTTTTAGCCTTCTCACAAAATGACTTATCCTTTGCAGGAAAATAGATATTAAACTTACTCTTTTGAACACATTTTGCTAAATATTTGATGGCAATTATTTATGGTGCACTGTACTTATTCCTGATTTCTTACAGAAGGGGTTGGGTCAATTTCTAATTCAACATTTCATTGCTGTCTCTACAATAAATGCCTCCAGAAGCTTAGGAGAATTGAGAGGTTTTTTTCCTCTCTCTTCTTTCACAGTGTGAGCTTTTTAACTGTCACTGGCTAGAGCAGTCCTTCTTCACTTTTACCTTCCTTAGCTGATGTATTCTTGGAAACAGATGGCTGAGCATGTTAGATTTATATTTAAAATAAGAGTAGAGTTAATAGGCTCAAATAAGAGCAGGAAGGTATTTTCTACAAGGAAACTGCATGAAGTTTATGCCTGGACTCTGGAAGATGTGTTAATACTTTTACTTATTCAAGAGGCATTGGGTTGTGGTCTGCTATGTTTCTTGCTCTGATGACTGAGTTTTTAAGATAAAGGCTCTCCGGGCAAATAAGGAACAGTTGGATAGAGTAGCTCACCTTAAGTCTCTATAGACTCATGTAGAGAACAAATCTGATCTAAACTGTGTAAAAAAATGAGTAAGAGAACTCTATAAGATTAACACTCTTATTAAACTTAAAAGAGAAAATTGGTACTTTTTTTTTTTTTCTTAGACAGAGACTTGCTCTGCTGCTCAGGGTGAAGCACAGTGGCACAATGTCGGCTCACTGCACTCACCTCTGCCTCCTGGGTTCAAGCGTTTCTTCTGCCTCAGCTTCCCGAATAGCTGGGATTGCAGGCATGCACCACCACACCCAGCTAATTTTTGTACTTTTAGTACAGACAGGGTTTCAACAGGTTGGCCAGGATGGTCTCGAACTCCTAACTTCAAGTGATCCACCTGCCTCAGCTTCCCAAAGTTCTGGGATTACAGGGCACCAAAAATTGGCACTTTTAAAAGGAGACAAGTTTTACTTAAAAGCAAAAGCCTTTAACAGGCCTTTGGCTGGATTAAATGATAATGAAGCGAAGCAAAGCTTGTGACCACTCTGTAGAGCCATCCAGATAGTCTCTCTTTGGGGCCAGATCCTCTAGAATGCATGATTTAGGGTCATTCATTGCACATTCCTGGCTTCAGACTGGTTTTCTGAATTTCCCTGCAATCTGATTTTTGTCTTCCTACATTTCTGTGTGTGAGATACATCAAAAGGTAAAAGAATGTGTGAATCATATAGGTACGGTTTAAATAATACCTGCATACACAACACTCAGTCACCTGAAACCCCCCGACACCTCCCAATTCCAGTCCCCTCTCCTGGAGGCCACCTCTATTTTTAATTTTTGTAATGATCACTTCCTTGCCTTACTTTGTAGTTTTAATATTTAGATGTGTATACCTGGTCATGTTCATAAATGAAATCATGTTGTATGAATTATTTTGTGTCTTGTTTCTCTTACTCAGCATTGTTTTTCGGACTTAACCATGTGGATTTGTGTTGCTGGTTCATGGTCAAGGTTCTAGACTATGAAAACATTAGTTTCATGAAAACATTAGGATTTTTTCCCCCCAATTGTTTGGATATCATGAAGAATGCCGCTGCGAACATGTTTGTTCCTATGCCATAACTCACATGGGGAATATCTCCTATTTATATATAGTTAGGGGTGGGATTGCTTGGTCAGAGTTTGCATATCTGCAGCTCTAACTGTTTTCCAAGATGATTGTGTCAATTTTCACTCCCACAAGCAGTTTTTAAAGTTCCCATTGTTCTACATCCTTGCCAGCCTATGATATTGTTAGCAATGTTTCTTCGTATTTGTAATGTTTCCTAATCTAGCGGCTGTGGTTGCTGTCTCACTGTGTTTAATTTGCATTTCCATGATTACTAATGAGTTTGAGCACCTTTTTTATATCTGCGTGGTGATCGGGAATGCCTTATTTGTGAGATGCCTGTTCAAGTCCTGCCATTATCCGTTGCATATATGTTTCACATTATTTCACCCAAGTTCTCTGTTGCCCAGGTTTGTTTCAGATTGGTTTGGGACAGTGGATCAGATCAGAAATGTTTCAGTGACATCTCTCACTATATTTCCTAGGATGCTTTTATCTGTGAGAAATACGACCCCCTGCTCACACTGGCTTAAGGAAATTGGCAAGAGGTAGATTATGGCTCCATTATATTAACAGGAAGCCAGTTTGCTCTGCCTTCTTACTCTTCGCTTCGTTTTCGGCATAATCTCATCCTCAAGGTGTTTTATCTTATGATTTCAAGAGGACCACAAATGGCGAGTGGAACTAATTGCTTCTTTGTCCACATTCCACAAGGAAGAGAATAATAGAAAACTTTTCATTGACCCATGTAATCTAAGTCATACCCTTCAGTTTCCAGGGGCCACGTCCATGAAGCAGGAGGCATCTGCAGTGAATGCCATGCCCTGACGCCTTACTGAGCACTCCTAGTAGGACAAAATGAGTACTGTATGGGGAGGAGGCAACCTCAAACAACCACCATGCTTACTGCCAAGCCTATAGGATATTTTTAAATTCATTTTTTAATTTGCATATAATAAAATGCATTTTTTTGGGATGCAGTTTTCTGAGTTTTGCCAAATGCACAAAATCACATAACTACCACTGCCATCAAGATTTGGAACAGTGGCTAGGTGTGGTGGTGGCTTACACCTGTAATCCCAGCACATTGGGAGGCTGAGGCAGGAGCATCGCTTGAGCCCAGGACTTCAAGATCAGCTTGAGCAACATAGTGAGACCCCATCTTTACAAAAAACTTTTTAAAAATTAGCTGGGCATGGTGGCATGTGCCTGTAGCCCCAGCTACTTGGAAGGCTAAGGCAGGAGGATCACTTGAACCTGGGAGGTTGAGGCTGCAGTGTGCTGTGATTGCACCGCTGTACTCCAGCCTGGGTGACAGAGGAAAACCCCATCTCAAAAATTTTTTTTAAAAGATTTAGAGTCGTTTTCTTTTTTTTCTTTTTTTTTTTTGGACAGAGTTTGGCTCTTGTCGCCGGGGCTGGAATGCAATAGTACAATCTTGGCTCACTGCAACCTCCACCTCCCAGGTTCAAGTGATTCTTCTGCCTCAGCCTCCCGAGTGGCTGGGACTACAGGTGCCCAGCACCACACCTGGCTTTTTTTTTTTTTTTTTTTTTTTTTTTTTTTTTTTTTTTTAGTAGAGGCAGGGTTTCACCATGTTGACAGGCTGGTCTCGAACTCCTAACCTCAGGTGATCCACCCTTTTTGACCTCCCAAAGTGCTGTGATTATAGGCATGAGCCACCGTGCCTGGCCTAGAATAGTTTTCTTACTCCCCCAAAACTGCTTTATGCTGCCTTTTTGTAGTCAAACTATCTGCCTGCCCTTAACCCCAGCTCCCCCGCATTAGAAACCACTGAACCTCTGATCTGTTCTTCACCTTAAAGCTTTCCCTTTTCCAGGGTGTAGCGTATGTGGAATTATAGAGTATGTCACCTTTCAAGTCTGGCTTCTTTCATCTAGTGTAATGCATTTGAGATTTATCTATGTTGTCGGATGTATCAGTAAGTTTGTGTCTTAGCAGTGCTGAGAAGTATTCCTTTGCATGGATGTACCCAGATCTGTTTATCCATTCATCAGTTAGAGGACAACTGGGTTGTTTCCAGTTTGGGGTGATTACAAATAAAGCCACGATGTACAAGCACCTCTAGGTTTTGGGTGAACATAAGTTTTCATTTCTCTTAAGTTTCAATACCTAGGAGAATGATTGCTAGGTCAATGGTAAGAGCGTGTATAATGCTACAAGAAAGTGCTAAACTGTTTTCCAAAGTGAGTGTAGCATTTTGTATCCCCGCTAGCAATGAAATGAGAGCTCCGCTTGCTCTGTAAGAGGCATTAGTGAATATGAAAGTGCTTTGTAAAGACTAAGGGTGTCTCACAGTGTGCCCAGGCGGGAGGATTCAGAGGGGGCATTTCTAAACTCTAAACTCCTGTGGGCTCCTAGCCCATCCTTCTGAATGGGGACAGAATACTTCCATTTCCAGGTTACTTGCTTCTCCAAAAGGGAGACAGGGAAGTATCCTTCTCTTTTTGCAAATGAGGGCACAGCACTGCCTCTCGTGGTTGAGCCAGTCATTATTCAGTAGGAACAGCAGTGAGATTCTCCAGCCTTCTATTTTATTCCTGGGGTCACAGAGTAAAATGCAGCGTGATCATTTGGAGCATTCTTATGCTTTGTGACAAGAACAAAGCCAGTGGAAACAGCCATGTGTCCAATCAGAATGTCAGAGCTGGCAGGGACCTTAGCAATTGTCACTTTACAGATGATAACCTATTACATCCCCAGGTCCCCAGAATCCCAGCCCAGGACTCACTCCCTCAGCCTTCCTGGATTGTCCTGGGTGGAACAAGATCAGCTCATTTAGCACATAGTCTTCCAGAACACAAGGCAGTGTCCCACCAAGGTTGGATGGGACCAGCTTCTCTATCCACAGTAGCTGTGCACACAGAGACAGAAATGAAGCCGTACTGCCGGGTGCACCGTGGCCAGAGATCCTCCTTCCTGGTATATACTCCCGGAGCCATTGCTTCTTTCATTTCAGTGCCCATTTCTGAGGCACCTTCACATTTCAAACGTCCTGAGAATATGTTTAATTAGAACTTGGCCATACAGCCTTTTAAAACAAAACAGAAGGGACCAGCTAATTATATCACTCAGCATTCTGTGGCAAACATATATTTTTTAATAAAACACTTTCCTAACCAGAGTAATCCCTGGAGATGCAAATCCTCATTTATAAGAAGTTTCCCAAAGGGAGTTAAAGAGAAGATGCCTTATAAAGAAAAGAGACAAAGAGAGTGGGGAAGTGTTTTCAAAGAGCTTTTAAAAGATACACTCATTCTGAGGTTGAATTACAGATATTTTAAGGGTACCAAATTTTATTTCAGATGTAATCCTTTCCTGTGTTTTTGATCATGTATTTCCGTTTTTTCCCTTTTTGATCATTGCCACAAATGCCCATATTTCTCTTTCTGGTGTCTTTCATAAGTGCAATATTTAAATAAACAAGGGATTTTCCCAAAATGCACCTCATCTCCTACTCTTTGTCATTTCCTTGTCTTGCTCTGTAAATAACCGTGTGTCTCACAGCAGAGCTTACACAGAATGGATGTGGGGCAGTCTGTGGTCCTGGGGAGGGCCTTCCCTGTAATCTCTGCAGCCCAGGACAGGGAGAGGGAAGATTTAGATCCTGCTGCGGCATGTCTTCAGGAGTGGAGGTCAGCTTGGGACATTTACGTTCATGAGGCAGCCGCAGAGGGTCAGAGCAATAATTGTGCCAGCTGATGTTTGCTGCGGGGTTTACTCCAAGCCAGGCCACACGCTAAGAAATTAGGTATCGTACCTCATTTAATCCTCACAATCCTCACAAAATGTAGTTGTTTTGCTCCATTTTGCAGATGAAGAAGACGAGGCTTGAGAGACGAAGGAATGAATGAAGGGTCTCACAGCTGTTAGAAGGGTTAGATCTTGTATTTGGACTCAGGTCTGCCTGCCCTGGAACTTGACTCTCCCACACCTGGTGCTGGGCACACTAGGAGACGTCACAAGGCTCAGAGATGCCACCCTTCCTAGAACGGGCGCCGTGCCTCTCTTCTCCACACACTGCAGGGGAGACAGGCACTGTGTTTTCAGATAAGTTCCATGTGCATCAGGGGCTCGGTGGGAAAGGGAGGACACACTCAGATTAGGATTATTCATGGAGGATTCTCCAAAGAGGCTATTTGGAAAGACGGAGGGAATGGTGAAGGAAAGCACAAGAGAAAATGGACAGAACCGTTACTTCCTCACGCCTGAAGGGGATGGGTTACTGGAAGCCAGGAGGAGAGTGTGATAAGAGCCACTTTTAGAGGAGCTTTCACCTTCAGGAGAAAGTCAGGGCCCAAGAAGACCCACAGGGAGGTGACCAGGGAATGGCATACTTGGACTACCCTCTCTTCTGTTCCTCCACTCTCCTGCCAGGGCTCCACATTGGATAAACCCCTGCAGGGGCGAGTGAAACTGCCACCCAGGTTTGCCTCCCAGGGCACAGCCCATGGAGAGCTCTAAGGCAAGTGGCAGAAAACTAGCACAGGTGCAGTGCGTCTTGCAAAGCACCCAGCCTATGCCGGCCCTGGGCTAGAAATGGGAAGAGAGGAGACCATGGCACTGCCCTCAAAGATCTTAGAGTCTGTGGAGGAGTCAGGCAGAGAGAGGGGGTGTTCCCTTGGCAAAGGACTCCATGAGCAGATGCAGGCCATGGGCGACGCTCCTGCAGAAGCTTTGGGGTTTGCCGCATGTGCCTGGAAGGAGCGCGCCCACCTTGACATGCCTCGCCTCCTGTTGCCATTGACAACGTGAAGGCAAACTCCTGGGGCTGGGCCTTTTTCCTTGAGATAAAATATGTATAATTCTCTGTTATCAAATGATTATTAAACAAAATCTAATTGAAAAAATAGAAAGAAGAAAAGATAAGTCATTTATCATCCTGTTCTCCAAAGACAACTGTGAACAGCTTGGTGGAACTCCTTCCAGTGGCTTTCCTTGGAGCTTTGCCTCTGTGGATGTGGTAAGAGTCGGATGCGATTTTGAATTTTGAGATTTTGATTGAGCATTGTTGTAGTATTTTGCCATGTTATGATAAATCATTGGCAAACATAGTTTTTGACGGCTGCATAATATTCTGCATAATATTCATAATAATGAATGCTAGTATAGTTCATATTATAATTCTTCTACTGTATTTATTTATTTATTTATTTTTGAGATAGAGTCTTGCTTTGTCACCGAGGCTGGAATGCAGTGGCGCGATCTCAGCTCACTGCAACCTCCACCTCCTGAGTTCAAGCTGTCCTCCCACCTCAGCCTCCTTCAATAGCTGTGACTACAGGTATTCGCCACCATGCTGGACTAATTTTTGCATTTTTTAGTAGAGACGGGGTTTCACCATGTTGGCCAGGCTGGTCTTGAACTCCTGACCTCAGGTGATCTGCCCGCTTCGGCCTCCCACAGTGCTGGGATTACAGGCATGAGCCACCACGCTCAGCCTTCTTCTACTGTTTAAATGTTTAGGTTATATCCTGTTTCATTAATATTAAAGAATGCTATAATTAAAAACTTTGTGTATAGAGAATTTTTCCATGTTTCAGATTATTTATCCAGGATGATGTCTCTAAAATAAAGCTACTAGAGGTTGAAGTATCTAGCCCAGGGCCAGCCACAGAATAGACACAACTTGGTTGATAACTATTGTTGTTCAGTGGTGAGTGTTTATGTAAAGCTCTTCTGCAATTAAGAACTGCTCCAAAGTCCTTCCTCTAGAACAGCGCTTGAATATGATGTGAGCCACGTAATTCTCAATGTTATAATAACCACATTTCAAAAAGCAGACACAGTTGAAATTAATTTTAATAATACCTTTTACTGGAGCTGGGCATGGTGTCAGGCCTGTAATCCCAGCACTTTGGGAGGCCGAGTTGGGCAGATCACATGAGCCCAGGAGTTTGAGACCAGGCTGAGCAACATGGCAAAACCTCATCTCTACAGACAAATACAAAAATTAGCCAAATAGGTGGTGTGTGGCTGTAGTCCCAGCTACTCGGGAGGCTGAGGTGAGAGGATCACTTGAGCCTGGGGGGTTAAGGCTGCAGTGAGCCAAGATTGCACCAGCGTACCCCAACCTGGGTGACAAAGTAAGACCCTGTCTCAAAAAAAAACATTAATTAATTAAAACAAACATAAAAATACATTTTACTTAACCGATTATATCTAAAATATTATTTCAACATATGATTATATGTAATCAACATAAAATTTATCAATGAGATAGTCTACATTTTTTTCCCATGTAAACCTTTGAAATCTGATGTATAGATTTTATGCTTACAACACAGCTCCATTCAAACCAGCCTCATTCCCAGTGTTCAGTAGCCACGTGGGTGCCTGATAGCCACTGTGGACAGTGCAGGTCTAGGGCAAGGAACCCACCAGAGATATTTGCCACTGTTGGCATCTTCACCTAGCCCTGAAATCCAGCCACCTTTTAATGCCTCCCCGAACCCCCTTACTGGCGTTCTGGACTGAGGGTGGACCGGGTGGCCAGGTGTGACATGACTTCTGTACCTGGACATTTTTACCAGTCGTCCTCATTCCTGCCTTGACCTTGACCTTAGCCAATCACAGCATCCCTCTATCCCAGTGTGCCTGGCACTGGTTCATTCAGAGACATTGCACACTTCCCGCATGGTAAGCCCTGGGCCTGACCCTAGGGATACAGGTGGACAAACAGAACTTTCTTGTAAAATTTAATTACAGAACTTGTCAGTGTTTTTACGGTCTAGTGGGGGAGACAGACTTTAATCAAATCATCACACAAATATATATAGTTTCTAAATGTGGTTAAGTGCTACAAGGGAAATGCACTTTTAAAAATGCTAACACTGGGTCATGGCATGAGTGGCCCGCCCTGAAGGCATTTAATAAAGGTGGCCCAGCCCCTGGCCAGGCTGTCTTAGGGAACATTCATGTGAAAGATGAGAGTGAGATAAGAGGATCTCAGTTTCCTTCTGGTATCCAGGGTCCCTAAGCTACATTAACAGAGTTTCTAGGACAGACAGTAGCTCACCGGTTCCTGTGTCTGGGGCCCAGTTGATCAATTTGTTGTTTGTCATCTCTAAAAAGTATTGCGGCCAGCTGGAACATAAAAGTAATGAGGAAACAGGCCAGGTGCAGTGGCTCATGCCTGTAATCCCAGCACTTTGGGAGGCTGAGGTGGGCGGGGGATCACCTGAGGTCGGGAGTTTGAGATCAGCCTCACCAACATGACTAAAACCTGTCTCTACCGAAAATACAAAATTAGCCGGGCATGGTGGCACACGCCTGTAATCCCAGCTACTTGGGAGGCTGAGGCAGGAGAATCACTTGAACCTGGAAGGCGGAGATTGCAATGAGCCGAGATCGTGCCACTGCACTGCAGCCTGGGGAACAAGAGTGAAACTCTGTCTCAAAAACAAACAAACAAAAAAGTGATGAGGAAGCAGAAGGCTACCCATTCATTCATTCATTCATTCATTTGTTCCTGTGTTCACGCAGCAACTCTCAGTGAGTGCTCTGTGGGATGCCAGGCAGGCTCTGCACAGTCAGAATGGCAAAGTCAGCCTTCTCTCTGGCAGATTACACACTGCCAACTGAACACACTTTTCCGGGGAACATATCCACTTAAAAGAGAGGAAAAATCAATGCTAATAGAACTCCTTATCTGGTTCCAAAAATGACATCGTCCGTAGTGGCTGATGCTTTGAGCCCATGGCTGCTCTGGAGGCATGAGCCCTGCATGGACACAATTTTGTAAGCTCCTCGAACCTGGCCAAATCAATCAATGAGAGGCTGCAGCATGGAGAGAGTCTGGGTTCCAGGGGCAAACTGTACCATTCCTCTTCTAACCTGAAACAGGACGGAGACCCTCCCTTCAACCTCCAGCCCCTAGGGACAGGGTAATTTCAGCTGCACCTGATGTACCCTATACATCACTGTCTTCTCCACCAGCTCTCAAATTAAACTCTGATGTATAAAGTTAAACAAAAATGAGATAAAATTTGGCAGAGGTTGAAGAGGGTCAAAGTAGTCCAAACATAAGGTAGACTATTGCTTCTTTTGATTTATGTTATTCTGTACACTGAGAAAAAAATAAAATTATAAATCTCCCCGAGACTTTCTCATTGAGAATGAGGCATTGCTAATTGATTTTCAATAGACTCCCAGGGTTTTCAGCTGGGAGGAGCACTATAGCTGTTGTTTGTAGTGAAGATGCCATGGTTCGACCTCGGACATGTACTGTGATGATGTAAAAATATCCTGCAAAATTAACATCTGCAGGCAGTGATGTTGAAAACCACCCTGCCTTACCTGGCTCATGTCACAGACCACAGTGTCTGTCCTTCCTTATTTTCTTATTTAATCCTTGCAAACCCCTAATATGTGACACACAGAATTCACTGTCCCCTTTTGGCAGTTAGGGAAACTGAGGCTTAAAGAAACCACGTGTCTTCAGTAAATATTAGCATGTCTACTAAATGGCTGGGACACAGAAGTGAACAAGACCAGTACCCTCTCCTAGAGACCTTCTTCCAGTACAAGAGACGATAATCAAGTCAAATGACTAAATATAAAGGATTATTAGTGTGTAGAATTAATTGTGAGGAAATGGAAGTGGGAAAAGGGATAGAGAAAAAGGGGTATAGAAAGCCAAGGGAGGGCCTTAACAAGGGAATATTTAACAGTAAAACAGTAAGATTTACTTTTTTTTTTTTTTTTGAGATAGGGTCTTGCTCTGTCACCCAGGCTGGAGTTCAGTGGTACTATCAAAGCTCACTGCAGCCTCAAACTCCTGGGCTCAAACAATCCTCTCACCTCAGCCTCTCAAGTAGCTGGGATTATAGGTACACAACAACACACCTGGCTTATTTTTTAATTTTTTGTAGAGATGGGATCTCACTATGTTGTCCAGGCTGGTCTTGAACTCCTGGCCTCAAAGGATCCTTCTACCTCAGCCTCCCAAAGCACTGGGATTACAGGCATAAGCCACCAAGCCTGGCCCAAGATATACATTTTTAAAGGATGGTGAAGGCTGCTGTGTGTAGAACTAACTCAGGGGGACAAGGGCAACATCAGAGAGACCAGTTAGTAGGCTGTGCTCATTTTCTGGACAAGATATGGTGGTGAGTTGGGCCAGGTGGTGGCAGGAGTGGTAGGTTGCAGAGCTTAGAACAATTTTGAAGATAAGGTGTCTCCAAGGGATCTGTTCCTGCTCCGTTGCTCTTTCCACAGCACGCTACCTGCAGCTTCTGCTGGTATCACTGCACCAGACTCTGGAGCACGCTGCTTCTCTGGAGGAGGATAAAGACAGGGAGGCTATCTAGGGAGATAAGACTGCACCAGCAGGCAGCAGGGGCTTCCGAGAAGAGGGCCCCTAGTCCTGGCTGCGTATGTGCTTGTGTGTGTCACTTGCGATGTGCATAATCATCTTCAGTCTTATTTTTCCCAGGTAACTGCAAAAGGTAATTTCCAGCTCATTTAGCTCTGTTCTTTCCCTAAGCTCCTCTAGTCTGGCTTTTGTCTCTGCCACTCCTACCAAAACCACTCTGCTCAAGGCCATGATCAATGTCTCCATTGCCTAGTCCAGGACAGTCAGAGCTGCTCTGGGACAGATACACCAGATGCATGAGTTTCCTGATAGAGCAGGATCTCAGTGGAGGCTCGATGCCCACCTGCCTGATGCTGTGGGATGGATTTCTGCACAGATGCAACCTCTGTGGGCAGAGGCCAGGATGAGGCTTATGTGGCTGTGAAGACAGCCTTTGATCTGTTTTCTGATGCAACCACAGTGCTGCAGGCCCTGCTTCATCTTGGAGGTTTGATGAGTGCAGACATGAGAGGTTTCTAGGTAGAGCTGAGCCCTGGGCTCTCGAGTCTCCTCTGTCTGCATATCTGCATGTGGTTGGCAAAGTGCCAGCCAACCTCAGTGCAACCCTCACCAAGTTCTCAAGGAACAGCCTCTGAAAGTCCCTCTCTATGCTGAGTTCTAGGGAAGGAAAAGGAACTCAGGGAATAGAAGAGCTGATCTGCCCAAGTCATACATTTCTTGGGGGCACAGGAGGACTACATCTCTCATGCTCACTTGAAATTAACTGTGGCCACTCAAATTAAGGTTTACCAGATGGAACATGAGCGGGAGTGATGTGTTCTCTCTAAAGGCCTAACCCATGAAAAACCTATTGGGAACACTCCCCCATGCTCTTTTCCATTCCATGAGCTGGATGCAGATGATGGCAAGGAACTAGGGTGAGGTGGAACCACAAAACAGAGGGAGCTTGGATCCCTGAATGACCACATGGACATACACATACACCAAAGACTGTCTTGTAAGCAAGAAATAAACATCTACTGTATGGAACCTTTGCATGGAGGGTCTATTTGTTATAGCAGCTTAGCTTACCCTGACTAATACAATCCCTGCTCTCTGAGAATTTAAAATTGCTTCAAGGAGACAAGACTCACTCATACAATTCTGGAATGGTAGTACGTGGCTTCGAAGAAGGGTGGGTTGTAAGGTTTGGACTTTCAGTTCTGAAGTCACAAGCTATAGGCCCTTGGGTATTAGACTCTCCTATTGAAGGCCTTTTTCTGGAAAGCTGGAAGATAGACTGGGGAGAAGGCCCTTCTGGAAGAGGACACATTACAATCAAGGGTTCAAAAGTAGGGCTTGAAGCAAGCATAGATGAGATCAACAATGTTAATTCCTAGAAAATGAAAAAGGAAAATGGCCTTTAAATACCTAAGAGCTTTGACTGCTGCAGGGATGAGACGAAGGCCAGACTTTCATAACTTCTCTCCTGTGACTTCACACACCTCAGAAGTTTTCTGGTGAGGAGCCCTGAACCTGGGTGTGTGGGGAGTTGGTGTCAGCTTGCTGTTTCTCTCCCATGCCTTTTCTCCTGGCTAGGAACCCCACTTGTTGTCTGTTTTAACCAATAACTTAGCTCAGACTTGAATGCTTGATTGGAACAGCAAGTCTCCAGCTTTCTGCAGAGGTCTTTGGGGACAGGAATATGATGAAGTTTCTGAGCTGAGGATTCTAACTGAGACTTCCAGCTCTCAGCTGAACTTCAGACGTGTTCTTTACAGTCACAGCTGTGAAGCTTTTCAGGGCAAGGCCCTGAAAAGCTCAGCTTGGATCTGTCTGTCCCTACCAGGTTCTGGGGGAAGGGGGAGGAGAGCAGGCAGAACACTCCCAGTTTACAGCCCAGGGATGCTGAGTCCTGGGGCCAAAGGTGTTGCTCATCACCCTCGAGCCCTAGAAGTGGCAGGACCTCAGGAGAATTCAAAGTGGTCTTCCTCTTAGGAAAGATAAACACTTATTCCACTGGTTCTCCTCTTCCTGGACACTCCACTCCCTTCTTCCCAGACTCACACACCTCCTAACTGCACCCCAATGAATGGTGCTTCTCTGGGTCCCCCACAGACAAACATTGGGGAGCAGCCACTAAAGACTTGGGTTCTGGTTCCAACTGCTGATTTTGATTAAGGGTGTGACCTTGGCCCTCTTCATCCCCCTCTCTTCTTCCCCTGTTCATTCACAGCTGCTTTTGTTAATATTCATGGTGCATTATGTAACTATTGTTCACAGTTGAGCCAAGTAGTGTACTAGACTTGCTTGGTTGGTTTCATTCTCCTTTTGTTTTCCCTGAAGCCAATAATCAACTCATTTTCATTTGCTTGGTGTTGTTTGCACAGATGATTAAGTTTTCCCTTACCTACCTGCAGCCTGTCAAGACAATTTTCCACAAGATTGAACAGATCAGAAAATCCACTGGGAGCAGTTTCTTCTTCTTCTTGGAGGTGTCCCCTCTGTAGGCCTCTGACGTTCCAGTTCAGTTCCCTGTTTGGGCAACAGCACAACTATCATATGGGCTTTTCTTCACCTCCAGCTTGGAGAATTTCTTTACTTCTCTCATCCATTGGATCCACTGCTTCCTGGAGCCGATGCCTTTCCCTCCTTGGTTTCATCCCTTCTTTTGTTGGTGCACAGCCCCCAGCAGCTGTCTGCTAATGCAGGGATGACATCTGGGGGTTAAGCTAGCAGGACAAAGGAGCTTCTGCCATTTCTCTTCTGGATAATCATCCCCCAACAAACAACAACAGCAGCAAATAAATAAAACAAGAAGAATGTGAAAGAGAAATGCAAATTTCATTTTATACAAAATAAGCAGACAGACACAACCCAGTACTGCAAAGAGTGGAAAATAGGTGGGAGAGAGTCGAAGGACCTTGTTCTGCTAGGTGTCTGCAGCAGGGCAGAAGCCGATCTACCAGGCAGAACCCCAGAGTAGCTCAGGAATCCAAGATGCCACACAAGGCAAAGTGAGGTGTGGCAGGTCACAGGTTGCAGGCCTCCATGGGGAATAGCTAGGCCCCCAGGTTCCCACCCCTGAGCCTGACACCTTCCCCTGTCCTTTTGGAAGACGGGAAGAGGATCCAGGCAAGGGCCAGGGTGAACACAAACCAAAACGAGGGGGATTGGGGGAAGTTTACTCTTGTACACAGTCCCCCAGCTCTTTTCTGTCTGGCTCATGGTCCAGGAGCAGAGGTAGGTCATGGGTCACCTTTTCTTTATGTCCTACAAGAGGTATGAATTTTAACACATGCACTGGTTGTGTAACCAGAACTTCAATCAGGATACAGAAGAGTTCCATCCCCTCCTGCCCCCGACTCCCTCATGTTACCCCTTTTATAGACAAACACTCCCTCCACCCCTTGCCCCTGGGAGCCACTGATCTGTTCTCCATCACTGCAATGTTGTCTCTTTAAGAATGTCACATAAATGGAGTCATGTCATATGCTACCTTTTGAGACTGGCTTCCTTCACTCGGCATAATGCCTATTTATTTATTTATTTATTTATTTATTTATTTATTTATTGAGACAGATTGTTGCTCTTGTCGCCTAGGCTGGAGTGCAGTGGCATGATCTCGGCTCATTGCAACCTCCACCTCCTGGGTTCAAGCGATTCTCCTGCCTCGGCCTCCCAGGTAGCTGAGATTACAGGCATGCACCACCACACCCGGCTTATTTTGGTATTTTTAGTAGAGACAGGGTATCACCATGTTAGTCAGGCTGGTCTCAAACTCCTGACCTCAGGTGATCCAACTGCCTCAGCCTCCCAAAGTGCTGGGATTACAGGCGTGAGCCAACGTACCTGCCCAATGCCTTTGAGACTCATCCAAATTATTTCACGTATTAGGAATTTATTTTTCCTTATTTCTGAGTAGTGTTTCATTGTAAGGATGTACCACAGTGTGTTTATCCATCCACCCCTTGAACGACATTTTGGGTTGTTTCTAGTTTTGACAGTTATGAAGACTATTGCTACAAACATTTGCATACAGGGTTTTGTGTAAAAACAGATTTTTATTTCACTGGAGTAAACACCCAAAGGTGGGATTACTGGGTCCTATGGAAAGTGTATGTCTAATCTTATAGGAAGCTACCAAACATTTTTTCAGAGTGGCTGTACTGATTTTTATTCCCACCAGCAATATATAAGAGTCTTGTTGTTAGACATGTTTGCCAACACTTGGTATTGACAGTATTTTTTTAAAAAATGTTATCATTTTAATAGGTATATAGTGGTATCTCACTATGACTTCAAGTTGCATTTCCCTAACAGCTAATTATGTTGCACATTTTTATGTCCTTATTTGCCATTCTTACATCTTTTTGGTGAGTGTCTCTTCAAGTCTTTTGCTCATTTTAAAAATTGAGTTGTTAGTATACTTACTGTTGAGGCCTGCGTGTTCTTTACACATTAAATATTCAAGTTCTTTTAAAAAAAAAATACAGGGGCCTTTTGTATTCCCTAAACTGGAATGCAGTGGCATGATCATAGTTTACTGTAGCCTTGAACTCCTGGGATCGAGGGATCCTCCCACCTCAGCCTTCCAACTAGCTGGGACTACAGGTGCATGCCATCAGGCCCAGCTAATTTTTATTTTATTTTTTGTAGAGGAGGGGACTTGCTTTGTTGCTCAGGCTGGTCCTAAACTGCTGCCCTCAAGCAATCCTCCTTCCTTGGCCTTCCGAAGGCATGAGAATTACAGGCATGAGCCACTGTGCCTGGCCCATAAAGATGCAAGTTCTTTGATGAATAGGTTACTTACTATTTTTTTTGTCCCAATCTATAGCTTCTGGTTTCATTCCTTTAATTGTCTTATATAGAGCAAAAGATGTTTTTGTTGTTGTTGTTTTGTTTGTTTGTTTGGCAGAGCCTTGCACTGTCACCCAGGCTGGAATGCAGTGGCATAATCTCAGCTCACTGCAGCCTCTGTCTCCCAGGTTCAAGCGATTCTCCTGCCTCAGCCTCCTGAGTAGCTGGGATGACAGGCGCCTGCCACCACGCCTGGCTAGTTTTTTGTATTTTTAGTAGAGATGGGGTTTCAATCAGTTGGCCAGGCTGGTCTTGAACTCCTAGCCTTGTTATCCGCCTGCCTCGGCCACCCAAAGTGCTGGGATTACAGGCGTGAGCCACCGCGCCCAGCCTAGAGCAAAAGATTTTGATTGTGATCATGGACGCCATCTTCAAACTGATTCCCGTCTCCATTAATGTGCATTTATTGAGCACCTGTAGTATACAGGTCCCTGTTGGGGGTTGAGCTTTACAAGACTGATGGAACCTGGTGCTCAGAGCATCCTCTAAGATCTTTGCCCTTCCCCAGGGGAGGAGGTGCTGGTTTAGACCCATAGCCCTGAGGGAAGTTCGGGACTTACTTAGGTTTTTCAACCCCAACTATCCTCAGCTTCAAACCAATGCCACCGAATTACCCCCTGAGCATTCCTGTCTTACCCACCCTCCTTTGCCTAAGCCTTGTTTTCCTTCACTCAAGCATTGATCTCCTCCTTCCTTCCTGGGTTAACCTTGCCTACAATTCAAAGCTCAGCTGGGATAATCCATCAGGCCTGAAAGCTTCTCCAACCCAAAGTTTCTATCTCTCTGTCTATGGCCTTGTTTGATTATATCATCTTTTCTTCCCACCTGGTAGGGTTTTGGGGATTAAATAATATGAAGCATATAGACATGTGCAGCAAAAAGCCTATTAGAAAGTAGATTTTCCATGCAAGTTGCTACAAAATCAAATAAGTTCCCAGTTCCTGAGAACCCAAGGTTTGATATGGTTTGCCTGTGTCTCCACCCAAATCTCATCTTGAGTTGTAGTTCCCACAATTCCCATGTGTCATGGGAAGGACCCAATGGGCATAGGTCTTTTCTGTGCTGTTCTCATGGTAGTGAATCTTTCTCAGGAGATCTGATGGTCTTACAAAGGGGAGTCCCCCTGCACACACTCTCTTTCCTGCTGCCACGTAAGACATGCCTTTGCTCCTCCTTGCCTTCCACTATGATTGTGAGGCCTCCCCAGCCTTCTGCCACTGTGAGTCCATTAAACTTTTTCCTTTGTAAATTACCCAGTCTCCAGTATGTTTTTATCAGCAGCATGAAAATGGACTAATACAAAGTTCCCTCTAATTCTATGTTAGAAGCCTGTTTTAGAAGGGCTTCCACGATTATTTTAATGAGAGCAAACTGGTTCATGAGTACACCGGGCAACACACGGGCACTTTCACAGGAAAGTTAAGAGCATCTTCCGCCAAAGGAGAGCCAGAGGCCAGTCAGGAAAAGGAAGGATTTCTTAATAATAGGAGGTCTTTCGCTATTCCAGTGTCCTGCCGCAAAATGATAGTACAGACCTGGCTGCTAGTCCCCTAGAGTGCCCAGTGCTTCCTTTTCTAGAACTGAGACAAATAAAAAGTAAACTCCAGTTCTGGAGTCCTGTTTTGCAGGCCCCGTTCCCAAATGTCAGCTCCTAATGGGCAACAGCTGCCTCTGTGGTTTCTTCTAGGCAAGTGATTCATGTCTTTGCTCAGAAACGATAAGCAGAACAAATGTTTGCTTAGACATATAACAGAGGGACAATTGGAAAACAGGAGACTGGCAACTGGAAATAGTTTGCAGCTATTTGATCCATGATAATTAGTCTGAATTAGTCATATGGTGCTCACTGGCCAGGCCTTTGGGCCAGAGGCAGCGTGGGGGAATAGACAGCTGGTCTTCCTGGAAAAGAAGTGCAGAAGGGAACATAGCAGACACAGAGGTTTGCTCAGAACACGTCAGATTGGCTCTTGCCCTCTCAAAGGTGACCCGTCTTGACCATCTGCCTTAGTTGCACTCCATACCGGATCCGGGTCCCCAGCCTGGAAATGAGTGGAGAGGCAGAAACTACACACCCATGGGAGATGCCTCTAAAATCCATTAACAATTTTTTACACACTCAGAAGTTAAAGTAAACAATAGGTTGAATTTTGTGTGTGTGCAGGTGGGAAAAAGCTTCAAAAATATCCAGACACCCACATTCATTGGATTTTAATCTTAGGGATCATGTTAGGTATACTGACTCATTTAAGAGATATATGGACCTTGAATTTGGAACCTAAAAGTGGGACTTTGAGTGGAATTTTCAGTCTGATTATGTTGATATAATTTAAGATCTTGTAGCCTACATTATACTTATACAGAATGTACTCCTGTGGTCATGCTCCAATACATTATTTAGCAGATCTATCATAAATATTTTTCTTTCTGTGAGAAAAGGTTTCACTCTGTCCCCCAGGCTGGAGTGCAATGGCACAATCATGGCTGACTACAGCCTCAACCTCCTGGGCTCAAGCAATCCTCCCACCTCAGTCTCCCGAGTAGCTGGGTCTACAGGTGCCCTCCACGACCACGCCCAGCTAATTTTTTTTTTTTTTTTTTTTTTTTTTTTTTTGTAGATACTGGGTTTCGACATGTTGCCCAGGCTCGTTATCATGAATATTTCTATGAGAAGGGAGAAAAGTCAGATACATTCAATATTTCAGCCAAAAAAAAGAAAAGCTACATTTTTGTCAAAAACTTCTCAGACCATTTTTTGCAGAGTCAGGAGGAAAAACAAAAAGTGAAGCCCACAAACCCGACCCCCTCCTCACCTCAGATTAGAATCTGTAATATTGGAGGCCTCTGGGAGTAGAATTTAAGTCACTAGGAAGGTGGACACATCGGCAAAGCCAGCCCGGAGCTGAGTAGGGCATCGACTGCTTTACCAGCAAACATGAACGAAGCTAATTTTGAGCACGGGATATTGAAAAACTCAACCCTCACGTCTCAGGTGGATTTTTCTTTTTCTTTTTCTTTTTTTTTTTTTTTTTGAGAAAGAGTCTCGCTCTGTCGCCCAGGCTGGAGTGCAGTGGCACAATCTCGGCTCACTGCAAACTCTGCCTCCCGGGTTCACGCCATTCTCCTGCCTCAGCCTCCCGAGTAGCTGGGACTACAGGCGCCCGCCACCACGCCCTGCTAATTTTTTGTTTTTTTAGTAGAGACGGGGTTTCAGGTGTTAGCCTGGTTGTTAGCCAGGATGGTCTCAATCTCCTGGCCTCGTGATCCACCCGCCTCGGCCTCCCAAAGTGCTGGGATTCCAGGCGTGAGCCACCGCGCCCGGCCCCGAATTTTTCTAAATACATGATAAGAGGTTGTAAATGGGGTGACCTGCTCCTCCCTCCTTGCCCACGAGCAGTTCCAATGGGGTGTCTCTCTGCTTGGGGCTGAAGCAGATGTGGCTGCGGGAGGGGAGGTAGGAAGGTAGGAACAGGAGCCTGCAAGAGAGTGGTCTTCCTTATTGACGCAGACGACTGTTGGTTTCAATGTTCCCAGCCTCCCTTTCCTCCTTCTTCTGTTAACAACACCTTGGATTTTCTCTGAGAAAAGCACTTTTCCCATATTCTCAGTCCCTGGTGCTTGGATGGGATTAGAAAGGGCTCTTCCTCCTGCCTCCCCTGCACCCCCATTCCAGGGAGAACCTGGGGTCCAGCTCGGTCAGCCAGCATCCTCCAGCCACCAAGGCTGGCACCAGAAGGGCTGCTGAATATTGGATGCAGGACTTGGGCCTCATCTCCAGCGATGCAAAGCAGCTTTCTCCCGTGGTTGCTGAGAGGAGGCTGCGGTCCTGGGGTGGTCCATGGGCCCTGGTTTCCTCCACGTCCAGCCCTGCTGTAACAGTTCTCACGACACAGCCGAAGCCTCTGGACCCATTGTGCTGGACCTACCCTGAGAAGGCTCAGTTGACTCTGTGCCTAATCTAGTTTGATACTTTTGTCTGGTTGTTTGCTCTTACCCCTTGCAAAAGACAGTGTCATCACATGCACTCATCTTGGCCAAAGGCGGTGCGGGAGGAAAGGCATGGAGATGACGCCAGAATTTAGGTTCCACTTTTTGACACTGAGACCTCCCAAGGGGAACCGCAGGCTCTCAGTGCGGAAGCCCCCTCCATAGCTCCCCTGACCTGTCCAGCACCTGCCTCCAGAGGTGAGGAGGGGCTGTGCAAGTTCCTAAAGGCAGCCACCATGGACAGGTCTCACCAGTCCCAAGTCCTTCCTCTAGGCCCCCATCCACCTCCTTGGACTGGCAGCAGTGGGTCTCAGCTCTCAGGCCCCAGAAGCCACACTGGGAGTCCTCTGTTCACTGAGAGGCAGCCTGAACCACGGAAAGGAGAGACCTGGGTCTCTCCAGCTAAATACCCCCATTCCCTCCTGCTGTGCCCATGGCTGTGGCACCAGGGCCTCCTGCCAGCAGGACCACCATGCCCTCTGTGTCCTCTGAACACCTCCACTCAGAGCTGACTCAGTTCAGCAAAGGCGGAGCATGAACTTGTGAGGAGAGACACTAAGCAGGCTGGAGTAGCTGAAACATCACTTTCCACTGCTCCCTGGGAAACGGCCAGAAAGATTCCTGCCAGGCCCGGAATCCCTGCATGCACTTGATCCCCAAGACCTCAGGACCCTCTTGCCCTCCCTCTCTGCACGACATTTGCTCTTCTCTCTGGAACCCTCTACCCTTGGGCATCTCGGAGTTGGCTTCTGCTTATGCTGTTTTTCGGATCTCAGCTTGAAGGATACTTCCTTAAGGATGACTTTCCTGCCCACACCCAGGCCAGGCCACTCTGTTGCAAGATTTTGCACACTTATTCATTCATGTATTTAGTATTTTGGGGCGTTTGTTGTTTTTGAACAGCACTTGCTTATTCTTCCTGACTGGATGTCACCTATGGCCCCAGCTGACATTTCTGTGTCTGTCTGTCACTCTGCGGGTGTCTGTCTGTCACTCCGTGGGCTGTGTTAAGGACAGTCTTGTACTGCACTGTGTTCTCAGCATCCAGCATATCCACGTGGGCTCACAGTGAACAAATGAATGCATTTGTCTGATGGTTCTTTTTGTTCTGTTTTGTTTTGTTTTGAGACAGAGCCTTACTCTGTCGCCCAGGCTGGAGTGCAGTGGCATAATCTCAGCATACTACAACCTCTGCCTCCTGGGTTCAAGTGATTCTCATGCCTGAGCCTCCCAAGTAGCTGGGATTACAGGTGTGCATCACCATGCCTGAATAATTATTGTATTTTTAGTAAAGACAGCGTTTCACCATGTTGGCCAGGCTGGTCTCAAACTCCTGGCGTCAAGTGATCTGCCCACCTTGGCTTCCCAATGTGCTGGGATTACAGGCTGGAGCCACTACACCCGTGCAGTCTGATAGTTCTTATATGCACTTCTTACTCTCATAGTGTTTTTAAACAATTTTTAATTGATGCCTAATAGATGTTCATAGTTCTTCCATGACTTAAGCTAAATCTTGCTCTTCCTGGCCTCAGATATGTGGCCAAGACTCACATCCTCCTAAAAGCCATTCCCAAATGACTTCAAAAAAAAAATAGGAGGAGGAATTCAGGAACAATCCATAACAGGCACCACAGTGAAACGCCAGGTGCAGCAACTCTGGCAGAGGAAGGGCTGGTCTGGGAAGGTGCAGTGCTAGGGCGGGTCCCAGAATTGCTAAGCTCTGTGTCCTTGGAGAGAGGGACAGGGGATGGTGACAGCTTCAGGCCCTCTTACAACCGAGATGATTGCCCCTGGCCCCAGGATTTTGGCCGCCTTCAGGAGCAGTTGGTGCTGCAGTACGTGCTGCCTCGGGTTGGGTACTGTGAGCTGCCATCACCCTGATGCCTCCATGGGCTGAGCAGAAGACACGCCGATGTGTTTTGATTCATAGCAGGCGAGGCTATGTACATTTTACCAAGAAGCCTGAATGTAAAATGGACGGATGTTACTATCAGACACAACAGGGGGCCTACAAGTTTCTAAGTGCCTGTGCTGTAAGTCTGTCTTGAACATATAGCCCAGTTTAGCAATGGAGCTGGTGTGAACAGCTGTGTGTGTGTGTGCATGCACACATGCACCTGTCTCTTGCACACTGTCTCTTGGCTATGGCTACAACCATCCCCCAAGGATGAGATAGGAGCTAGCGGATGGAGCACCTGGGGGCTGGGCCAGAGCACACCTGCAGGTCCTCAGCCTCACAGGAGTAATTTCTGTGGGTCTTTCTGCTGCCTAAGTTGAGGATCTACTTGCTGGCCACTCATGCCTGTCCAGCTTTTAAAACAATATTTGTTTACCTTTTTCTAAGTATATAAAGTAATACATATTCATAGTAGAAAATGTAGAAAATTTAAAAATGTTTAAGAATAATATCATCTGTAATCCCTCTACTCAGAGAAAATATATTGGTGCATTTACACCCAGTTTTTCATTAATAAATATTTTGTAACAAAATTTTTGTGACCTAGTTAGTATGACCTTATTATTTATTTACTTCTGTATCTTGCTTAACAATATATCAAGAACAGTTTCATATCATTACTGTTCCCTGGAAATAACTTTTTACTGGCTGCATAGTATTCCATCATTTGGATATATTACTATTTATTTAACCCATTCTCCACCTTGGAACATTTAAGTTGTCTCAATTATCTTGCAGTAGACAGTAGATGTAAGTGAATGCTCTTATATACAGGTTTTTGTGAGTTTCTGATTGTTTCTTAGGAAAACCTTAAGACCTTTGTTGGACCAACTGGGGAAGAATTTCTTTCCTGCTCAGGCTGCTCAGCTGATAGAGTGCTGGCCTGGAGCAGCTGAAAGACACTTTGCTGCTTTCTGGAGAATGAAGCCACTGGGAAACCACATAGGAGGGAAGAGAGAGACAGCTTCTCGATGATGTCATCTGAACACCTGGATCCTGCTGTGCCTGGACTTGCAGTCCCATTGTCTACCAATATAGTTCATTGAATTCAACTTCAGCTGGATGTCATTCATCTGCTTCCAGAACTTGTGTCTAATGCAGAGCTGAATGCATACTCTCAGAGTTGGAAGTGGATGCAATCCACAAATCTAGCACCCAAATTTCTTTTTTCTGTTCTTTTTTTTTTTTAATTTGAGATGGAGTCTTGCTCTGTCACCCAGGCTGAAGTGTAGTGGCGCAATCTCAGCTCACTGCAACCTCTGCCTCCCAGATTCAAGCGATCCTTCTGCCTCAGCCTCCCGAGTAGCTGGAATTACAGGCGTGTGCCACCACGGCTGGCCTAATTTTGGTATTTTTAGTAGAGATGGGGTTTCACCATGTTGGCCAGGCTGATATCGAACTCCTGGCCTCAAGTGATCTACCCCCCTTGGCCTCCCAAAGTGCTGGGATTACAGGTGTGAACCACCATGCCCGGCCTCAAATTGCTTTTACAGAGGCAAGTGGCCACCGAGTCTGTGATTGGGATCCTCCTGTGGAGACCTGTGGAGACTCGTGGCTCACTACCTTTGAAGGCAGTGTTAGGGTAATCTCTCCACATTTCCCTGCTGAAAGCTCTGAGTGTTAGTAAATTCCTTCTCATATTAGCTAAAATGTATTTTCCTGTGCCTTTTATTCACTGATGGGGAATACAAGCATTCTTTTTGAGGGTGGCCAATGCTAGTAATTCCCTCCATACAGTCAGTGATGGATAGAGTTAACCCATGGTTGCTGCATGTAGTACTGTCACTTGCTGTACCACCAGGACTCAAGTTGATGCTCAACGCAACATTCTTTTGCAGGGCCCTTGTCCTCAGTTTCCCTTCTTTTGGGGTGGGCTGAGAGAGACAGCTTATTCAGCATGAAGCTGTAGTATCTACAGTTTAGCAAATGTCTGCGGAGCCTTTAAAGCAGTTTTTATCATAATAAAAATATTTTAACTTATAACCCCAGAAAGAGATAGGCATGGGAGTCTTTATACAGCACAGAAATCCAGATGAGCATAATTTGAAAGTCATTTGAATTGTAATGAGTATTTTTAATGTAAACAGGCAGGAGGAAAAACTTGCTGGGTTCTCTTGTAGCACAGACACCCAGATATATGTCTTTTGATAGTGATATTAAAGTGTCAAGGGTGCATAGGAGGCTGCAGATGTCAGCGGCATGAATGGGCAAGGCAATTTCTGTGGTTGCAGGCTGGAGGTTCCAGCAGGAATAGAAAGGCAATCTCTGTGCTAGATGGCCCAGGGTCACTGCAAGTCTAGCTCCTAAATGAAAATCAGGGACAAGATGTGGCCTGTAACCACAGTCACTGCTCTTCGTAAGGCTGGTGGAAAGGTGAACTGGAAAGGTTTTTAGGGTTAGGGAGATACAGGAACTCCCAAACATCAGGCACCTGATAGCACTCTCCACCTAACATCTGCATTTATATTGACCTAATGCATCTGTTCAATTTGTCTCATTCTTTGTGCTCACACACATTTATTTGAAACAAAACTTTCCATCATTACTATAGGTGAAAATCCTTGATCACTTGCCTTGAATACAAGAAACCATTATTAAATGCAAGCTAGATAATTTTGCTTGTCTTACAGCCATGAGCCTTAAGTCTGTTCCCCCCACCCCCCCCCCCCCCCGCCTTTTTTTTTTGTTAAAAAGATGAGCAAAATGTGAGAATGATGCAAAAGAGATCCTGGTACCAAAAGAAGCCTTCTAACTGGATATCATCAGAGGGACAGAAAGAATTAAAGTATGGACAAATTTCTCAAAGTGGTATTACTGTTATTTAATTAGTTGTCCATGTGCTACCTAAAACCTTTCAACTACATCTTTTATGAAGTATCCCATATGGACAGAGTCAAATTCCCTCATTTAACAGATGGAAAGTTTGAGGGCCAGAGAGGGGAAGGGGCCCTGCTGAGGTTCCAACAGCTTTCTGATGCCTTGTTCCATGCTTTGCCTTATTTCTGCTGTCCACCTCATCAGCTCTTAAGTGAATGTTGTGGTCCCTAATTGTGGGATTGCAGTGTGTCCAGTCAGGGCAGCCTCTTCACTTTCCTGGAGGAAAAGGCAGTGTGATCTCTCACTGGGTGATCTCTCACTAGGGTGATCTCTCTGCATAGGGCACCCAGGCTGGAAACTAGCAGGGAGCTGGCCAGCACACCCAGCAGGTGCCAGGCTGCAGGGAGCTCCTGCTTCATCTCAAACACAAGAACACTCAGCTCAAAGCACAATATTTTCTGGCTTAGAGTTTGGCTCTTAGAGTGGCAGCTGTTCCTACCAAAGCAAACATTGAAAATCTGTAATTTTCAGAAATAATCGCCAACCCTCAAAAAAGATGTGTTTACACCAAAACTCCTCCGTGTGTTCACCCTGCATTCACTCAGTGTCGAGTTGCAGTTTTCTCTGCACTTCATCGCTCTGCTTCCTCCTGAACAATTGCTTTTGCCAGGGAGCATCAGCACAGACAACTAGATCCTGAGCAATGACCAGCTGGGCTCCTCCCCAAATGGAGCCAGATAATTTTGTGTTACCACTTCTGCATTTTTTTCAAATCACATCTATGCTTAAGCAGAGAGCAAACTCTCAACTCCAGCGGCCAGCCTATGGGAAGCTATAAACCTTCATTAGTTCAGCTTCAGGTGTCTTCATCAGCCTCTCCCGTAGGTGGCCTTGCAACCTGATCTTGGTTTCAAAATTAAAAATGCAGCTTCCTTGGCCTTCTCTGGACTCACAGAGCCTACAGTTGGAGACTTATGCACTCTACATTTTAAAATGGGACTCACAAGCCTGTGCACTTGAGGCCCATGGGTGGATGGCATTGCCTGGCTGGGAAATGTCAATTTCCCAACTGGGCATCCATCCATCCACCAGCCAAGTGGCCAGTGGATCTTTGTTGAGCAGTTCCTGTTTGCCGAGCCTTGTGTAGATCTCTGCTGCGAGGGAGGAGGAGGTCCCCACCTTAAGGAGCTTTTAAGGCTTGTTGGGAAGGCAAGGCATATATCTGAAAAGCCCCATTGCATGCAAGTTAACTAACGATACAGGATGATGCCATGAGACCTCTGCCATCCACGTACCAGAACCTGCTCTGCTGATTTCCTGGCTCGATGTCCATTTGCTGCTGGCTCATGCTCATATTCACAAGTCACTCTTGAGAGTCCTTTCCCTGTGCCAGACCCCGTGCTGAGTTTCAGACACGCAGGGATGGACAGCACACAGCCTTGGCCCTCCAGGCGCTTGCATCCGACTGTGGAGAGCCACTCTTAGAAACCCAGGGAGCAATCCAAGTCTGTGTGTGACGCCACTCCTGGACCTGGGGAACACAGAGCCCCTGCCAGTGCCCTGGGAGCTGGTATTCTTGCAGGGTTGGAGACAGACCTGTCTTTTGTGGCCTGTTAGTTTCCTTGTGGCTGTTGCACCAATGACCACAAACATGGAGACTTAAAATTACAGACATTTGTGCTCTCACAGTTCTGGAGACCAGGAGACTGAACTCAGCATCACTGGGCCCACATCGAAGTGTGGCATGGCCCTGCTTCCTCAGGGGGCTCCCAGGGAGAATCCGTTCCTTGCCTCCTCTGGCTTCTGCTGGCTCCGGTGTTCCTGGGCTTGTGGCTGTATCACTCCAGCTTCAGTGCCAGCACCTTCAAATTTCTCCGTGCTGAATTTTCACATAGACTTGCCCTCTGTCTGTGTCAAGCCTCCCTCTGCCTTCCTCCCTTAAGGTCACTTGTCACTGCGTTTAGGTCCCACCAGGATAATCTTTGCATCTCAAGATTCTGTTCTTAATCACATCAACAGAGACCCCCTTTTCCTCATAAAGCGACAACCACAGGTTCCAGTGGCTGGGACCTAATGTTTCGGGGAGCACTGTGCTGCCTGTCACATGTGGTTTCCTAGATCATCAGGCCCAGGCTGGCCTTTTGGATGTGGCCTTAAGTATTCACGCCACAGAGGCTCATTCTCTTGTCCCTGTTCTACCACTTTTTAGCCAACTTCCCCAGGACACGTGTCCTTCCTGGTAAGGAAGCGCTTGGGGTCACAGATCAGCCTGCGGCTTTGTGGCCTCCTGGGAGACAGGCCCAGCCCGGCCCACCTCCTCCTGTCGCCTGGAGGTTTCTGAGAGCTCATCGTCACTTTCTCGTCCCTCAGTGTGAATGCCTAATCATTCATTGAAGGCCTGAGTTCTGTGAACAGAAAGCAGGTTACGAGTCAGATCCATGGCTGGGGTCAGTGAGGAAATACAAAGGAGATTAGGGGGACAAAGAGGGGACAGGGCAGGCAGAACTCTGGTAAGGCAAGCAGGCCACCCTGGCCTCAGCCCTCCTGGAGCACGGCTCTGCTCTGTGTGAGACCTGAGAGGGGCACGGGGCCCGTGTGCACCTGTAGCTCTCCCCACTCTGTATTCCGGGGGATTCAGGGGATTCGTACCACGCCTGCCAGTGGAAGCTCTGGTTTTTCGTTTTTTTTTTGTTTGTTTGTTTTGTTTTTTTGCTTTGTTTTGTTTTTAAGAGACAAGGTCTCACTCTGTTGTCCAGGCATGATCACCACTCACTGCAGCCTCTATCTCCTGGACTCAAGCAATCCTCACCTTCAGCCTCCCGAATCGCTGGAACACAGATGCACACCATCACACCCAGCTAGTTTTTAAATTTTTTTGTAGAAATAGGGTCTCACTAGATTACCCAGGCTGGTCTCAAACTCCTGGCCTTAAGCAATCTTCTTGCCTTGGCCTCCCAAAGTGCTGGTATTACAGGCATGAGCCACCTGGCCAAAATTCTACTTTCAAAACAAGCAAACCAAAGGACCTCATGCTGAGGCCCTGATTCTCACTGAGGCGGTTGCATCAATACAATGATTCTGATCCTCACAGCATCTCAGGGGAGGCTCCCTGCCCTCCAGAGGTTGGCCTCTGATGGCCATTTCACAGATGAAGAGACTGAGGATCCGAGAGAATAAGCAACCTAACTGAGGACACAGAAAGGGAGAAAAATGGCCAAGTGGCCAGGGTGTGGAAGCCAGGCCTGGGGATTCTCTGCCATGAAACATTGGCTGTCATGACTGAGCTCCTAGCCTGTGAGGACTTGCATGTATGCACGGCCTGGTTGTGCATAGAAGGGAGAGAAAGGCCGGCCGTTAGTCTTTCTGGACTTCTCAGGCTTTGGCCTCCTCCGAGACCCTGGGGGGCTGCCCTTTCTGCCTTGTATTCCCCCAAAGTCTCTGCTTCCTAACAACAGAGTTTGCCTTCTTGCTTAAGACCCAGTGAGCAGGCTTCTGTTCTTGCAGCCAAAGGAGCTTTGGTCCCAGCAGTGGTGGTGGCTGGGGCAGCGCAGCCTCCTGCATGGGCTTGGTGGAGTCCCGGGGCCCCTGTGTGCAAGGTCCATGCTCCTCCAGCTCCCAGAGGCCCAGCAGGGGCCAGGGCTGGGTCTTGCTGACCCTGAGGTTAAAGCTACCACTATCGCTAGGGAGAGCTCTCTGTGGGCTTTCACACCCCAGAAGTCCCAGGATACAAGTCTCCTGAGGAGGGCCTCTGGGAGAGTCCTGCTGGGGACATGGATCCCTGTGCGGGGGGTATTTTATAGATATGCAGGATGCTGAAGTTTCAATCCAAGCCTTTTCACTTCATCGCCAACCACCCTGCTCTCTTTAGTACCAGCAACATCATCAAGTCACCGCAGAGAAGCAAGTACCCCTGGGCAGCCTTGACCCCCACCCAGAGAGACTCACCAGGTTACAGAGGCTGGAATCTGATGGGGTGATGGTTGTTGGTTGGGGTTTCTCAGGTTTAAGGAGAGGATTTTCCCTACCCATACCCCCCACCCCATTGCCATTCTCAAGAACTCATCCCAGTTGCCCGGAAGAACATCCCAGGCTGAGTTATGTTGTGTGACCTTCTCACCAGTCTTTGCAGATTAGAAGTAGGGTGGACATCTGAGCCAAGCCATGCCAGTGTTCTGTTTGTGGAGGATTTGGAGTTAAGGCGGGGAGGCCCTGGGAGCCAGCCTCCTGTCTTCAAGGTGCCAGTGACTTAGAGGCCATGGGTTTCTTCCTTTTGTCCTAAAAACATAGAGAGGGCTGATGCAGAGGAGAACCACAGGAGCCGAGGGAGAAGAGATGCCACCTTGGGGCTCCTCGTGTTCCCAGGTACAGGCTGTACGTCTGGAAGGCAGGGCCCTCCTTCCTGCCTTGGGTTTCCCCAAAAGTCTCTGCCTCCTAACAAGGTTTACTTCCTTCCTTAAGAACCAATGAGCAGGCCTCTGTTCCTAGCTGCCAAAGGGCATCTGGCCACAGCAGCAGGAGCTGTGCAGCCCCATGCGTGGGCTTGGAGGCCTCACACAGCTTCTGCATGGAGGGCGAGGGGCTCCTCCAGCTCCCTGAGGCCCAGCAGGGCCTGGGGCTGGGTCTTGCTGACCCTGAGGGTAAAGTCACCCCAGTCATGAGGGGAAGGGCTCTGTGGGCTTCCTGAAGGACATACGCTTTGGAGGTAGAGCAGGGTGGCCTATGGGGAGAGGGAAGGAACAGGGCCACAAGTTGTCCCAGAACATTTGGCTGTTAGAGGGAGTGTATCAGGGCAGGAAGGGAGATGGCCCTGGCGCCGGCAGCTCTGGTTAGCTTCCTCTGCATGTCACATGTCCACATCTCCAGAGTTCCTGCAAGGACAACAACAGTGCCATTTAAGTGAGGAACCTGAGGTTTAGAGGACATATTTCCTTCCCAGGGCTGCCGTCAGAGAACAGTAACTGGTTGGGGGAGAGGTGGGGGCTTAAGACAAGAGACATTTATTCTCCCACTATTCTGGAGGCCAGAAGCCTGAAATCAAAATGTCCACAGGGCTCTGCGCCCTCCAAAGGCCCTAGGAAGAGGCCTTCCTTACCTTTTCTGGTGGCTCCAGGTGTTCCTGGGCTTGTGGCTGCCTCGCTCCAGTCTCTGCCTGTGTATTCATGTCGTCTTTCCTCTTATCTCTTGGTCTTCTCTTCCATCTCTTAAAAGAGCGCTTGTCCTTGGATTTGGGCCCACCTGGATAATCCAGCATGATCTCATCTCTAGATCCTTAACTTAATTCCGTCTACAGAGACCCCTTTTCCAAATAAGGACACATTCACAGATGCTGAGGGTGGCAGGTGGACATGCTATTTTGGGGCCTCATTTAACTTTCTGCAGATAGGCTGGCTGATTTTCCACTGTCACGCAGCAGTAAATATCTGAGCGAGGTCTGGAACCAGCCCAGTCTGACTGCCATGATATTTGCTGGATACAACATGAAGATATGGGAGGAGAGGGAGAAAGGCCAGGGCAGAAAGTGCCTCCCAACACTTTCAGTATTTCCTGCACTCTCTGGGAAAACATAGGTATGATGATATTTATTCTAGATCAATGGCTGTTAGAGAAAAGCCAGGGTGGGAGGCCCTGGGACGGCCTTCACTCCTGGGTCCCTGTGCTCCCACATATGTTCCTACATGAACCATGGCCTCCCTCTCAGAAGATGCCCTCAGATCCCATGGGTGCATTGCTAGCAACATCCACAGGCACCGGGATCTTGAGCACTGGAGCGGCCCCAAAGGGGAAGGTGTTGGTTGGTCCAGGAGGAGAGCACTCTCCAGGGAGGTGAAGGGCCAGAAGCAGAATGGAGCAGAATTCCTTCTACTCAGGCTGGGCTGCAAGGAGAGGCACTGCCCAGGGAGGCCGATAGTGAAACCTGGTGCTACCTGGCAGTCAGTCTGCAAAAGGGAGGAGGCTGTGGAGAACCCTGTCCCCCTACCTACATTTCTGTCACCCCAGAATTGTTCATGCAGTGCTTTGACACTGCCAGCACCTCTGACCTCTGACCCTCTGTAGAATCCAAATGCGGAACTTTATCAGGGATCCATGCCCACCCCCAGCACACACACACACACACACAACACACACACACACACACACACACGTTTTTGTGGGATGAGTCTGAGAGGACCCTCCAGGGCTGTCCACGTTTCCCACTCCAGCCCTCCTTCCTTTACCTTCACACTTGGCCTCCCGACTTACTCTCAACCCACCTCCTTGGTGTGCAAACTAACAAAATGCACTTTTCTGCCCAAACTCCCCTACATCATTAAGTGACATAGAAAGTTCAGTTCAATACGGGGGAAAATTGAATTTATCTTGGAAATGTTTTATTCTTCCAAAATTTCACTTTGGCAAAGTCTAATGCATAGAAAAGCATGAAATACTACAGCTCCAGACCAAGCAAGTTGTTCCACTAAGCATTAAGCCGCAGGGTCCGAATTCTGCCTCTCTCCCGTCAACCACTCTCTTTAACTCAAATGCCCATCAACGTCCCGGCTAAATGTGAGTTTTCCACGGATCGCATCTTATCATAATGTCACAAAACCCATAGAATTACAAATCAGGTTTAAGGCAGAAAACATGACAGGCAAATATAAGTACACAAAAAGTACATTAAGGATCCATCTTCATTTATTCTCCGCATTCCAACCTACCTCTCCGCGCAGACCCGCTCCGTGCGGCGCTCAGCTTGAAGTAGCCTCAGATCCATTTTAAAGTGGACTGAAATATAAATGACAGTTCACACTGCACATGAACATAGACAACTGTATAAAATATTTAAATAAAGACAAGAAAGAACAGAGGATTGCAGCAAAGCCTTTGGCAGAACCGGCCTTGGGGAATTTAGCAGCTTGAGATTCATTACAAATATCATCTTTAATGTTATTTTTAGTTCAATATTTTGTAGCACTCAGAAGTAAATCTTGGTGCGCTGTCTCCTCTCCCCTGCCTTTCTCTCCTTGGGTGTCTGATCCTTCAGTTGTACTGAAACCTAATACGTTTTCAATAAAATTGATTTGTGACGTCGTAATGCTGTTTGTTTACCATCTCCCATTCCTTGTTGTAATGGGAGAGAACTATTGCATCATTTGGCAAAGTGAGGAGGATTGCTCTTGATTGCTGAATAAATTGACATGAACCTGGAAACAACCCTGTTGCAATGTGAAAATGCTCCATTGAGCCTTCCCTCCCTCCTGCACTCTCCCATTTTGAAGTTCTCGCCTGGTATTCCAGTCCTGAGTGCTAAGGGATCATCTGTCCTCCCGAAAGAGAGCCATTGTCCCAAATATGGATGCAGAAGAGAGAGAAAACTTGGTTTTAAATAATTGCTCTTTGGTTTCTTTCTCAGTGTGACTCTTCATCTCTAGCTAGTTTGCCACCTCAGGAGGAAATTCTAAAAAATGGCATTTGTCCCCAGGTGAGGGGTAGGAGAGGACCAGTTGACTAGAAGCCCTGTTCTGGGGTCATTTTGCAAATTCTTCAGTCTTCCAGGGGAACTGCAGGGAGAGTTAAACAAAGCTCTGTCCAGGAGGCAGCTGGCAAGATGGAAAGGAAGGCAGAAAACATTGCCTTGCTGCTCGGCCAGCTCCTGGGGTGTATGAGTGGAAGCCCTTGAGGAAAGGACAGACCCTAGTGGTTTTTGACAGAGCAGAGCTGGGGTTTCACGTTTGTCACTCCAGGGCAGGCTTTGACTCCTGGCCCAGGGAAGTGAGGGGCTGGGGAGAGAGGCTCAGACGGGAGCTCAGAGCAGCCTGGGAAAGGGATTTTTCAACCCAGATATTAATGGGCCCATGATGTTTCCTAGATGGAGCCCTCAAGGGCAAGCCACCCTCTCTGTGACTTGGTTTCTTCACATCAAAAATGAGTCTGATGCCCTTTGCCCTTGACTTTAGTAGGATTTCTGAGGAAGAAGGAAAAAAAAATTCTCTTTTAGTATTGAAGTTATGTTTACATATGTAAAAGCAAAGGGAGAGAACTCAGGTGGTGATTTGGGTAATTTATAACTAAATAAAGCCTAATAGTGTTTTGTTTATTTATTCGTTTGATTTTTAGAGACAGAGTCTCACTCTGTTGCCCAGGCTGGAGTGCAGTGGTGCATTCATGGCTCACTGCAGCCTCCATGTCTCTGGGCTCAAGCAATCCTCCCGCCTCAGCCTCCTAGGTAGCTGGGACTATAGGCATGCACCACAGTGCCCAGCTAATTTTTATATTTTTCTGTAGAGACAGGGTCTCATTACATTGCTTAGGCTGGTCTCAAACTTCTGGTCTCAAACAACCCTCCTGTGCCTCCCAAAGCACTGGGATTATAGGCGTGAGCCAGTGCACTTGGCCAAGCCTAATCATTTTAAAAACAAAGATAGTTAGATATTTCAACTATGGAACAAAAAAATACCCAACGGTTGTTGTAGTTAGATTTTTGTTGTTTTGTTTCTTATTTATCAAGAGAACTACTTCACCAGATATTGTGTTGATGTGGCCCAAGGTTAACAGGAAAAATCAGAAGGACTCAGGTATCTGAGAACATGAGTACCCCACGCAGCCAGGATGCTGCCAGTCTAGGAAACTGAGGTGCTGGCCAGGGGAGAGCCAGGCTTATAGAATTCAGAACCGGTTCTGGGTGGCCTTTGGAATGTATTGTGATATGGTTTGGCTGTGTCCCCACCCAAATCTCATCTTGAATCTTAGCTCCCACAATTCCCATGTGTTGTGGGAGGGACCCAGGGAGAGGTAATTTCATCATGGGGGCCGGTCTTTCCCATGCTATTCTCATGATAGTGAATAAGTCTCACGAGATCTGATGGTTTTATCAGGGGTTTCCACTTTTGCTTTTTCCTCATTTTCTCTTGCCACTACCATGTGAGAAATGCCTTTTGCCTCCCGCCATGATTCTGAGGCCTCCCCAGCCATGTGGAACTGTAAGTCCAATTAAACCTCTTTTTCTTCCCAGTCTCAGGTATATCTTTATCAGCAGCATGAAAACAGACTAAACAATAAATTGGTACCAGTATATTGGGGTGTTGCTGAAAAGATACCCAAAAATGTGGAAATGGGTAACAGGCAGAGACTGGAACAGTTTGAAGGGCTGAGAAGAAGACAAGAAAATGTGGGAAAGTTTGGAACTTCCTAGAGACTTGTTGAATGGCTTTGCCCAAAATGCTGATATGGACAATAAAATCCAGGCTGAGGTGGTCTCAGCTGGAGATGAGGAACTTGTTGGGAACTGGATCAAGGGTGACTCTTGATATGTTTTCACAAAGAGACTGGTGACATTTTGCCCCTGCCCTAGAGATTTGTGACACTTTGAATTAAGAGAAATGATTTAGGGTTTTTGCCAAAGTAATGACTATTACTTTTGCACCAACCTAATAGCAGAAGTCAGGTGCATGGACTGCAGCCTGCTAAAGGCTATCTGGTTGGCACACCATCAGCTACAGGCAGCAGGACTTTGCAAGTGAAATCTCTTTCTACCATTTCTCTACCAATCTTCAATCTGCATTCTGGACCGCAAAGACAAGAAAGCTCACTGTGCCACAGTCCGTTTTGAGCATATCAGAGGATAAGCATGCTACATAATAATGGGTCAGGCAGAAGGAAAAGCTGACTTCTTGCAGCTCACATCGTAGGAGAGGAAAGGGTCAAGTTCAGAGCAGCAGAGGCACTGTTTTTGCCTTTTTTCCCGTGACATGACACCATTCCACTTAAGTAGCTGCTGTCAGATTCAATGAGAAAATACGTGTAAAGCATTTTACACACTGTCTGGCACATACTAACCACTCAATAAATGTTAGCTTGTTATTATTATCATTTTCCTAAATGGAGAGGTCAAACCAATTAGCTGAGATTTTCTTTTTAATGAAAACTCTGATGAGTTAATCATTGTGAGGTAGGGAGGCTTTGAAACCCCTGTTAACTGGGATGATTAAAACATACTTGATTAAGCTGAGGCAGTGACAGCATATAGATTTTCTTACAGGCCAACTCCAACCGAGTCATGGTGGTGGCCACTATTGTTAAGAAGGGTTCTGAGGCTGAACAAGGCTTAGGACGAGGGAGTTTTCAGATGAATTAGTCACATGTGCCTTGCACACCAGAGATATGTGGGCAGGGGTGATACATGACATTCCTGTCCTTTGGAATAATCAGAATTCATGGCTTTTATTAATCATAGAGCTTCAAGAAAACAGATTAGAAAGGCTGCTTAGCTCCATAAGCTGCAAATGTTAGAACAGAGGTAAGATGAGAAAGAAGTTTCCAGAATGTGCCAAAGGTAAATATGCTTCTTCAACGTTGTCTGGATTTTCCCAAGAAGAAAAAGGAGGAGAATGGTGATGAGAAGAAGATGGAGAAGGAGAAAATCCTTTAAGATATGACTTACAGAGGCATTATAAACTGAAAGGATCAGCGTCTAGAATGTGTGCGTGTGTGCGTGAACACAGAAAACCATAAACAAATAAGAAAAAGACAAACACCTAATAGAAAGACAGGTCAAGGCTAAGACTTCTTAGAGAAAAGCCAATGATCAATAAATAAAAGCTGCTCGATTTCACCAGTGGTCCATGCTGTGTGAACTAAAACAGCATTCTATGGCTCCAAATTGGCAAAACTTTTGAATCTGACAGTATAAAGGATTGGGAGGATGTGAGAACTGGGTAGGGGTGCACACAACTCACAAGCCCTTAGGACAGCAAGTTGGCAACCTCTAGCACAGCTATAAACGTGCCAATCTTCTGCTGTTCCAGCATTTCCACACTAGGTGTGTACTCTCAGAAAACGACAGTCAATGAGTCCCATGGAAGGATGCTTCCCATAGTATGGTGCAGTAAACATCAAAAGCCAAAACTAGCCAGACAGCCCCACAACAGGGAAATGGTGCATAGCGACCAGACACAAGATGTATGGTTTACCTCTGAGTAATAGAGAAGTGTCCACGTCATGTTTATGTAGAGAACAAGTATGGCACGGAGGACAGTCCCTCGTCTTCTACCAATGCCGTACGTTTTCCATCTAAATACAAAGAACATGTCCTGAAGGCCACACACCCACAGATAATTATGATAATACAGAATATATGGCGGATTGGGATGGGAGAGGGTCAGAGAGGACTTTACTCTTATCTGTAATGTTTTAATATTTTATAACAATAATGTGTTCATGTATTCTTTGAGTAATTAAAAGTTAATGGCTCATGCCTATAATCCCAGCACTTTGGGAGGCCAAGGTGGGCAGATCACTTGAGGTCAGGAGTTTGAGATCAGCCTGATCAACACGGTGAAACCCCGTCTCTACTAAAAATACAAAAATTAGCCGGGCATGCCTGTAATCCCAGCTATTAGGGAGGCTGAGGCAGGAGAATCACTTGAACCCGGGAGGCAGAGGTTGCAGTGGGCCAAGAGCACGCCACTGTACTCCAGCCTGGGTAACAGAGCAAGGTTCTGTCTCAAAAAAAAAAAAAAAAGTTAATTTAAAAAGAGCCTCGACTCCTGGATTTACAGAGCACAGGCAGGCGGCTGGGGGTGGTCAGCTGGATGCACGTGGCGATGGCAATGTCTCTGCGTCCACAGCAGCCTCTGGCCCTTTTCCTTGGCTGTTACTGGCCATGTTCATGACTGAGCTCCTTTGAAATGTGTTCACTGGGGAAGAGCAGTCTCCTGTTTCCTGTTGCTACTGCTTGAAATCATGATTTCAGAGCCCAGGCTGTAGGATGGGCAGCTGCCTCTTCCCTAGGTGGGAACAGAATACTGGCCCAGCCTCTTGAAGTCTCCTTGCAGGTTCCTACCCTCTTGGTACTTTAGAGGGGACCCTGAGAAGCAGAAGACATCTTTTTATTCCTGGAAGCCCCTGCTCTCCTTGTCCATGGTGCTGGAGGGTGAATATCTCCAAATCAGCACCTCCATGGCACCACGTGTGGGTGACCAACAACTGCTCACAAAGGTTTCTTCCCCAACCTCTGGGGGAACTCCAGGCAGGGAGACCTGTGGAAATACCTCAGAGGATATTCCTGTAATATGGACTGCTTGGACCTCTTAGACCCTCCCCACTTGCTCTTGCATTCACCAACCCAGCCTCCTCACGGCCAGCCAGTCCTCTTCCTGGCCTCTCTTCCAGGCCCAGCTCTGTGCCAGCGCCTGGGGGAGGCTCCATTCTCTTACCCTCCTGCATGCTTTGTTTTACTCCCACTGGCCAGGAGCCTTCTGGACCTCCTTGAGAAGCAGTCTCAGGCCAGCTCAGGCTGGGGTTGGGGAGATGGGCTATGGTTGTTTCCTGATATGATTTGGAACTTTTGTTCTCTCCAAATCTTATGTAAAGAAGTGGCCTCCCATGTTGGAAGTGGGGCCTACCGGGAGGTGTCTGAGTCATGGGGGCAGAACCCTGATGGGTGTCTGGGTGCCATCCTCACCATAATGAGGGAGTTCTCACTCCGAGTTCACAGGGGAGCTTGTTTGAAAGAGCCTGGTACCTCCTCCCCTCTCTCTTGTTCCCACTCTCGCCATGAGACACACTGGCTCCCCTCCCTACTCTGCCATGATTGGAAGCTTCCCGAGGTGTCTCCAGAAGCCAATGTCAGCCCCATGCAGGTTCTGTACAGCCTGCTGAACCGTGAGCCAAGTAAGCCTCTTCTCTTTATAAATTACCCAGTCTCAGGCATTCCTTTATAGCGATGCAAACAGATGAACACGTTTCCCCTATTCTTTTTGACTTTCTATGACCTTCCCGGTGTCCACCGCCCCTTGTCTAAACCTATGCTGTCGTTACCTGTGCGGTGCTGAGTCCCCAATCAGGCCTTCTCATCACCAGCAACCAGCATTGCCTCTTGAACCCATCTTTCCCTGCACAGCAGCCTGGAGGCACTGCTTCCAGGGAGAAGTGCTAAACACAGAGTGCCCTTGTTATTGTTGTTAATGGTGAAATACTCACTGAGGGCCTGGGATAGAGGAGGATCAAGACCAACTCCGGTATGCACATCTTTACCTGCTGTGCTGCTCAGCACCTTAGGGCCAGGAAGGGAACTCAGAGGTGGGTCTGGTCCACAGAGCCAGGGTGCTTGGGCTGCAGCCTTGCACAGATGAGACTGCTCTCTGGTTCAGGAAGCACCAGCAGCTCCGAGTCAGGTCGTCTGGGTTCAGTTCTGGGCTTGGCCACTTAGAATCTGGTGCTGACAGAGTGGCTGTCCCTCATAGCTGAGGCTGAACTCTGGTCTGTTTCGTCTTGTGTGTGGGGCATATAATTATTCCTTTCTTACCTGTCTCCTGGCTGGAGGGTGAAGTTGTCATGCACGAGAAAGGGCATTTGGAAGGCCCATGTTTACAAGGTCCCTTGGTCCTGGGCAGGGACGTTCTTCTGTAGCCTTCGATCCAGGCTCATTCATCAGTCACCTGATTGGCACAGATTTATTGAGAACCCATTTGCCAAGTATTCTTCTAGACTGGAGGAATGCAGAGAAAAGCACAGTCCAGCCCTCCTGTTATTTTCAGTCTAGCAGGAGGGGAGGGAAATAGAAATGGAAGTGCACAGAGTGGCAGGTGCTATTAGGGGCTGAAACAAAAGGTGCTCTGGGCACACCGTAGGTCATGCGGCCCGGGGAGATCCCCCTCAGCTGACTTCATCTATGTCAGAGTGAACAGCATGGACGAAAGCACCGAAGTGTGAGGGAGTATGGTGCCTTCTTCTTCAAAAAGGCACATTTCAGAGTGGCTGATGTTTGCTAAGGGAATGAAGTTCAAGGACAAGCTGTGCAGGGGAGCAAATACAATTTGAGGCAGTTGATGCCATCCACATCTCCACAGCACTCACAGGGCTCATCTGTGGACCAATTTCTACTGCAAGTTCCTCCAACCCTGCAGGACAGGCAGCTCAGAAGTGCTAGGGAGTTAACATCCCCAGGAGCATCCATCCCGCATTGGGTGGGACCGCTCTGTGTCCCATTCTGCACTGCATCCCCAGGGGTCTCAGCAGATCTGAGCTCCAGTTACCCCTAGCAGCAAGCTGCTCACAAACCCATCTGGCTTTCTTCTCTTCCCTGTCTCACTTCCTTGCTCCCCCATGGACATTTGCTGCCATTGCCCCCCAAATAAACTACTCAAAGAAGCCAGTGCCTGCGAGCCCAAATCTGAAACAAGCCAGACTGTGAAAAACCTGGTTTTGCCTCAATACTCACTCTGTATGAGATCCAATGGGCTGTCCCATTCAGAAGAAGTTTCTGCATTTCTGTCTGTTTCTGCTGTTCCTGCTACCCAGTCAACAGAGCACATGTCAGCCTCCTTCCAGCCCTGGGACAGCCCTGCCCCTCCCTTACCTTGTCCCAGTCTCCCCATCACACCCACACCCCTTGTTTACCAAATGTTCGATCTTGGTTATGTTACTATAAAAATCAAGCAGCTGGCAATTCCAGCTTGATTACCAGGTCTCCAGTTTTGATTAGTAAATTACTGTGGTAATCAAGGTTAATTCTCGCTGCAGCGCTCAGCAATGGATTTTATATTTTTCAGGGAAATGGTTTTCCTGCCTGGGATGGAGAACATTTCATTAAAGGAACCCAAAGATAGGAAAGAAAGGAAGTGAGTCCTGGAAGTATGGAGAATGGGCACCTGCAGGTCTCCTCTCTCTGTCCTACCTTCCAGTCGGCCCTTGGCTGGGGTCAAGGAGCCAGGACAGGACAGGGCCTCCTGAGAAATACTAGTCCACCACTTCTGGCTTTTGGAGTGCCATTGAGAGACCAGGGAAAAACTCTTCTTGCTGGAACTGAAAGCCACTGAGCTCAGGTCAGAAATCCTAGCTGCTGGGGGGTAAAGGGGTCAGTGCTCAAGATCAGAGATGTCTTTGGGTGATTGATATCTTTAAGTGCTTCAGGGGGATGTGAAGGAAAGTAGGCTCTGTCAGTGCTTGTGTGCGGGCAGCCTCTAGACTCTAGACTCCCCGCCCTACGGGATGTCACTTTCTCCAGGGAATGAATGGCATCTATGGAAGGGGTCAGGAGTTCGGAGAGACACCCAGGCTTGCAAGAGAGCTCTTGGGATGGTGGAACCTTGCAGCTGGATTTCATTTCTGATTTTTGTCCTGGGTCTAGTATATGGACTGTGGACCCCAGACAAGTTGGAATTAAGGTGTTCTGACCTACAGATAGAGATAGGACAAGAGAGAATGGGGGCTGGCCCCAGCCCACCCAGGATTTCTCTGTGAGCTAATCCCACCACCTGTAACTCCCTATATTGCCATCAATAAATGTCAGCAATGAATGCTTTGCCTCTAGAAGGTGAGATTTGTTTTTAGTATCTCTTTGGGGGATGGACACTGTCAGTCCATAGAATTTATATCAAACTTTTTTAGCAGCAAAGATGTGTGGCAGTGAAGGTTATGGTCAGTGCAGAGGTGCTCCCACCTCATCCCACTCTGAGTCAAAGGAAGCTCACAGGTTGCTCTGCTGCCAACCCCACCCTCTATCTGTCCTTCTCTCCTACACATCCATAATCGCCCTCTGGACCAGAGCACGCAGCTGGTCCTAACTTCACCTGGATGTAAAGATGAAGCGAGTCGTCCTGCAGGCTCCACCCTTCACTCTGCTCCATACAGTAGGAACTGGTGTGCACATGGTGTAGACTCTGTTCTGGGGAGTCTCACCCCAGAACCGCCAAGCAGGAAGAACAGATGATTAAAACCCAGACCTGGCCTTTGACTTGGTCATCTTGTTTTCTGGGGGTCTCAGGAAGAGACTGCCTTCTTGGTGTCTCCCCTTCCCAGATTACTGTCTCCAATTTCAGGAGTCCCCAAAGCTTATTAGCACCTTTACAAAGTGGGTGTGGGTGAGGTGGAGTCTGGACTGGGAAGACCTGGAGCTAGCACTCCTGTCTGGAGGTGAGATTGATATGTCCTCATTCTCAGTGCCCCTGTGGGGCCATGCCTCTAGGAACAGATGTTTGCTCAGGGGAAGGACAACATGTGTCCAAACCTCATTTCAAATATGTTTTGTGCTGGGTATGGTGGCTCATACCTGTAATCTCAGTACTTTGGGAGTCCGAGGCTGGTGGACTGCCTGAGGTCAGGAGTTCGAGACTAGTCTGGCCAACATGGTGAAACCCCGTTTCTACTAAAAATACAAAAAATTAGCAGGATGTGGTGGGCGCATGCCTGTAATCCCAGATACTTAGGAGGCTGAGGCATGAGAATCGCTTGAACCTGGGAGGTGGAGGTTGCAGTTAGCCGAGATTGTGCCATTGTACTCCAGCCTGGGTGACAAAAGTGAAACTCCATCTCTTTCTCTTTCTCTCTCTCTCTCTCTATACATATATATATATATGCACATATGTATATACACACACACATATATATGTGTTTTGTTAGGCAGAAAGTGAAAAGCCTTTTTCCTCCCCACTGCAAAATCTGGGTGTCCCGAGACCCCTCAGAATTCTCGGACAGGATCTTGGATCTTCATCTCTGTGCCTTTGGCAGCCACGAAACCCCACCCATCCTTCAAGTTTCCTTACAACAAAATTATGCTGTGCTCTTCTGGAGTGGCATGAATAAAGCCCCATGAAAGCAGAGAGTCCCAAGAAAGGGCCTAATTCCAGGAAGAGATGGAAACTCTTGCAGGTCCCCTTGCTTAAGAACAATTAAGCCCTGACACGTGCTTGGGTGGCAGGGTCAGGAGAATTGTCTGAGGGCCACTGCGGCTTATGACAGGGGCTGCCAGTTTCCTTCTAACTCTGAGAAGCATGTGAGCTGGACTTAAACTCCATCCAGCATTGTCTACATCTCCCTCACCCTTGCTAGCTTTATGACCTTGGGCAAGGCACTTCCTTCCTTGTACCTCAGCTTCCTCCTCTGTCAAATGGGTATTATAGCAGTGATTAATTCACAGGACTATGTTAGGATAAATGAGGTAAGACATACAAAAGGCTTTCACCTTTTATAAGAAATAGTGCTTAAATGTGGCCCATCAATATTTCTTACCCCAGCAGGGCAGTATTATGCAAATCTGTGCTTGCATGATGTGATGTTTGCTGATGAGCTGGTAGCCAAAGCCAGCCCAGGGTCAATGTGGGAGAGCAAGGACAGCGGGAGGTCTGACTCCCTGAATCCAGGTGTGCTATGAATTCCCTTTGTCAGCAATTACTACAATGTCTGAGTCTCCGGATGTTCTTGCATCCTTGTGCCTCACCCCCTTGTGTCCAGTGGATTCTTTTTCATCCCTCTTTCCCGTACGTTTTGTCTTGAACTACACAATGTCAGTGGGATGAGGTGCAGGAGAAAGAGAGTGGTCTTAAGAGAGAAGATATCTTTGGGGTAGATGAAGAATCCATAAACTGCAAGACTACTTTATGGGCCGCTAGAGATGAGGAAAAAGTAGTCATACCGAAATGTGTTTTGGGAGGCTAAATTTTACACATTTGTTTGGTATTATGCAAATTTTCCTTTGTAGATTACTCTCAGCAGAGAAAAGCACCATGATGTCAGTGCCACGTTAAAGTGGTTAGTGTATCACCCTGCAGCAAGACTGTGGAATCAGAACCCCAGAACAATGACTTCTGGCATTGTCTCTCTATTAGTGATTGCAGCTGATGTCATTTTGCCAAACAAAATTATAAGCAAAATGGATGTTTTGGGTCAGAGTGTGCCAAGGAATATAAAGCTGCATTTCTTTCAATAAATCCTGCCCTCTTCTGCCAGGACAAAGACATACAACCTATGGTGATTGACGTTTTCACCACTAAATTATACTATGTCTATTTCTAGAAGAAATGTCTCCATTCCAAAATTAGCAAACCATCAACATAACATAAAATAACATGAACATGGTGTCATTTCGCAAAGATATTGATTCATGTAGACTCACTGGATTAATAACTGGTTTCCCATAAAAGGAGTAGTCACTATGTCTTTGGTAGACAGAAAAAATATACACTTTAGAACAATATATATTGGTACCTTTAAGCCTGATTGCTAAGCTCAAATAAACAGAAGAGTTTTCAGAGGAAACATTGCAAACGAAGAGAGAGGTGACATACGGCAATGTACAAATGGATCCAGGAGTGATGGAAAGCTAATAAAAAAAGACAACTATTTATTTATTTGGAGCATTTGATTTTACTCTATTGGATTACATGAAGCTCTAATTTTTCACTGCAGTCAATCTGTATAAAAGTTCAACTGATTGAAGCATATATTTAATTCCTAAATGCCTTTTCTTTCAACCCCCTACTTCTTCAAAGTTGGACCTTTAGTGTCTTGAGTAGCAAAGAGGTTTGGCTTATGTTGGAGCAACCAGACCCAAGGAGGCATTTAAATGCTGTGGGTGATTTACTCAGTTCCTAACGACAGCCAATCCACTCTTTTCTCCTCTAGGACTGGATTTGCCAATATATTGAGAAAATATGTTTCTTTGCATTTTTTTTGATGTTTTCTTCAATGAAGTTCCATGGTAATAAAGTAATTGAAATTAACCTTCCCAGTTTACTCATGGCATTTAGAATGAAATTCAAACTCCTTACCAGAGACTGTTGGTTCCACATGTGTTGGTTCAGCTTGCTTTTCTAAGCTCACCTCTCTCTACTCTTCTTGCCACACCCAGGGTTGGCCCTTTCCGTCAAAGGAACAGTGCTCATCACTGCCCCTCTATTTGGAATCTTCTTCCAGCCTTTCACATTGCTGCAACCATCTTGTCTTTTGGCCTTTGCTCCTCAAAGACACCTTCCTTATCCATATAATTTTCTAGAAAAATGACCAACTGTCCATGACCCACTTTCATTGAATTATTGCATTTTAATATCATCGTCTCTTCCCTCTGGAATATAAACCCTTTGAGAAAGGGAGAGTCCTTATGGGGCTTGTTGATGGCTGTATCCCTGTGGCCCCGCACAGTGTTGGCAGACAGAAGGTGCTCAATAACTGAATGGATACACTTCTGGGAGGAAGATTCAGAAACAGAAAGCAATCTTTTTGACTCAGTTCCAATTTGCTGTCATGTTTTTGTAGGATAATTGTCTTCTTTATATCTCAATTTTTCTTCCCTTAAATAAGAAGAGTGGTGTTTATATGCTGTCCAGAAATGGTGCACAGATTAAGTCCATTGTAAAACAAAACAAAATAAAGCTATCTAGTTATTTATTTGCTTTTAAAAAACTTTTCTGGTTTCTTCACAATAGGCTTAAGAGGTAAGAGTTTGTTTAACATAGAAAACCAACTATGACTGTGAGGACACATCTGCTCTAGGGATTAAAGCTAACTCAGTATGTAAAACATCCCTTTGGAAATGGTCATATGTGTCTTCAGGGGATTTGACAACTGGTTCTCCCATTTGTTTTTCATTGTTGAAACAGATCATTGTTTCTGCAGTTGAATACTGGATTAAGTAGTTGTATTAAAAATTAACATTTTAATGCACTAAAATCACAGACCACGAGACGACCACCCAAGGAGACACAGAGGAAATGGGACCCAGAAGAGACTGCATATTCATTGGTTCCCATTTTATGTTTATTTCTGGACAAAAGCTGATTGAGTAAGCTGGCAGGTAGACTAGCCTACTTCTTCAACCATTGTGTTTCCATGCCTGGCCTCCACCCTCTTCAACTGGGAATAGATTATTTTCATTAACCCAACAGTAGTGATTCCCCCTGCAGCTTCAGTCTCCAGTTATTTGTAGCTGAATCTATTGCTTCTCTGGAAAGGATTGCAGATAGCCAATGGCCTTCCAATGCTCTGGGTGGATTTGCTGGCTGTAGTCCCATCTGGAGGCAATGGAGGGGAGTGCTTCCTTGGATATCTTTCTCCAGGTGAAACCATTTGGCAAGGTCTCAGAACTCTAGGAACAGTCTGGAAGCCCCTTTTTTTGCCAATGTTGGGAATGTCTTGCCCATCACAGGGATTTGTCTGCTTTGGAGGTTATCAAACCTGAAATTGAAGGCAGTGGTCCAGCAGGATTTAAAGTCTTTTCTAATTGGCAGAACCTGGAAATAATATTGTGAATCTGGAACCAAAGGGCCCCTATTGCCAGTGCCTTTGGATTCTAGAAATGTGAGCTCAATAGTACCTATTGAATAGTCCCTAAATCTCTGTCCTTACCTCGCAGGTCAGCAGTTCTAGAAGAATCTTTCTGGACAAAAGACCTGGAGTTGGCACTTTTGGCTGCCACTCAACATTGAATGGCCTCTAGCTGTGACCCATCTTGGGACAAGAAAATAAACTGTAAGTTTGGAAAATGAAGACTTTTAAAAAGATTAGACTGGGAGCAGTGGCCCGTCCTTATAATCCCAGCACTTTGGGAGGTCAAGGCAGGAGGATCAATTGAGGCTAGGGGTTTGAGACCAGCCTGGGCAACATAGCAAGACCTCATCTCTACGAAAATAGGAAGTATTAGCCAGGTGTGGTGGCGTGCTCCTGTGGTCGCAGCTACTAGGGAGGCTGAGGTGGGAGGATCCCTTGAGCCCAAGAGTTTGGGGCTGCAGTGAGCTGTAATTGTGCCACTGTACTCCAGCCTGGGTGACAGAGTGAGACCCTGTCTCTAAAAAAATAATAAAAAATAAAAAGATTAGATACCTGCTGGACCTCATTTGCAACTGGTAAAATCAGAAGCTGTCTTCCAGCAGGTGTTTATATGAGAATAAAATAAGAGAGAGGAGGAGCTGCCCCAGAAGGAGAAGTCCCCAGGAGGGGACTCTCAGCCAGTCACACTCTGCAGCCCAGTGGACTGTTTCAGGAACCTCCTCTCCAATTCTTCCACCCTTGCCTGCTTTTTGGTTCCCAACCCCCACTCCCACAGTGATTTTGTAATTTTCATTCCATCCTTCCTGAAGATAAAAGACACCATGGGTGGGATCCGTGAATAAAAGTCGTTATTTATCGATGCCGGTTTTGGGGAACATTTTTCCTTCTGATTCATGAACCACTTTTCTACATTCGAAAAGCAGTTCATAAATCGTTCAGCACCGGCAGAAATTAATAATAATGAATCCATTTACATAAAATAGTCTCATCCTGCCAGGTGCTGATAATATTTGAAGCTGGAATCTCTTTAGGAAACTGGATGGCATATGTGCGTGTGTTTTCCTATACATCAGACCTCACACCTTCCTTTTGTGAGTTTTACCAGAAATTTAATTATTTAGTGGCCAGTCTTGATCACTGGGAGATGCTATTTGCAAAACTGGGGAAAGATAAAAATAAGAGAAATATTGCAGTGTCTTAAGAAGATAGTTTTAAGCCATGAGAGTTCGTGTCTAGTGAAATTAACCCTTTGAGTAGTTCAGAGAAATACAGCTACCCACGGAATCATTGAGTCCTAAGAAGGATCGTCACTATCTTATGGCTCACATATGCTCACACTCACACAAGCATGAACACACACAGGATTTTTTTGCAGTAACAAAAATGAATGCATACATCGTAAACTCTATTTTCAAAGGTATATGACAAAGAGCATAAATTATATTATAAGTAGGTCTTATGTAAAAAAAAAAAAAAAGAGTACTGTGATCAGACGAACTGGTGCAACATACCAATTAACACAAACAAGATAGGGTGCCTGCCTCCAGAGTAGCACACTCCACAAATGGACTGAAGAGTTTGGCAGAAATGTTTTGCTTGAGTACTTTTTTTCCCCAGCAGGAACAGAAGGTTAAGCTCTCATACTCCTCAGTCATTAGAATCTGATTACCACTGTTTGTTACATGGTCCCTTTCTTGTTTTGTATATTGATCCCACTTTATCCTCTCATGCTACTCCTATTCCTATAGGAAAACATGCGGTTGTGTTAAATGTACATTTTTGTTTTGTTTGCATCCATTTTTAACTTACGTAAAGGATATTATGTTATTTACTTGGTTCTGTATCTTTCTTGTTTCATGAAACACAGTGACTTTCACATGTACCCACATTGTTCTGCAAACATGAAATCTGCCGCTTCACCATGATTTCACACACGCTTATGTTGTTGCTCTCTAAATGTAAAATCTGCTGCTTCTGGTTGTACACAGTTCTCTCTAATGTCCATCCATTCTTCCAGTTGGCTGTCTCCAATTCTCCATCCCTACAGACAATGCTGCAGAAAGAGTCTTTTCAAACAGGTGCAAGGATTTCTTTGGGATATATGTCCATGAGCAGAATTGCAGGGTCACTGCATGTGCATATATTAAATTTGACTAGGTTGTGCCAGATGCTCCTGGGTGGCTGGCAGCTCCAGTCTACATTCCCACCAGCAGTGTGGGGAGTCCATATCCTTGCCAACATGTGGCATTATCCAACTGTCTTGTCAATCCGAAAAGAATGAAGCGCTGTCTCGTTTTAATGGCATTTGTTTCTAATTGCTAATAAATGTGAACATCTCTATATGTGCTTATTAATTAGCCTTTTGAATCTCTGCTCTAAATGGCCTATTTACAGCCTTTGTACATCTCTTTCCTTCTGAAATTGTTTGACAACTTCTTATTGATTTATAGGCATTCTTTATCAGTTTTTGACATCATAAACTTCTCCAAATCTGTCACTGCCTATAAACTGTCTATAGTGTCTTCAGTTGAGTAGAAGTTCTCCTTTTTCCTCTATAGTTGTACAGTCCTGTGGTAGGCAGACTTCCAAGGTGCCACCCAGTGATCTCTGTCTCCTGGTACTCACGTGGTTGTGAATCCCTTCATATCAAGTGTAGGCTGAGCCTAGTGACTTGCTTTTCATGGATGGGGTATAGCAAAGATGATGGCAGGCCACTCCATGATTAGATTACAAATGAGTGTGACTTACAGCTTGCTAGTAGACTCTATTGCCCTTCCAGCTTGCACACTTTGACAAAGACGGCTACCATATTGGACAGGTCCATGAGACAAGAAACTGAGAAAGGCCAATAGCCATTGAGAAACGGAAGCCCTTAGTCCAACAGCCTGTAGAGAACTGATTTTTGCTGCAATCACATGAGCCTGGAAGTGGATCTTTCCCCACTTGAGCCTTGAGATGACTGAAGCTCCGGCCAATACGTCAATTGCAGCCTGGAAGAGAAACCCCAAAGGACCCTGCTAAGCCACACTGGATTCCTGACCCATGGAGATAAAGAGGCACATTGTTGTAAGCCATTCAGTGTTGGGTTATTTTGTCACTCAGCAACAGATGACTCATAGCAATTCTAAAGTTGTAATTTTGACACTTAAGCCTTTAGTTTATCCAGATTTCACTCCTCTGTAGTGTTAGGAAGAGATCCAGCTTAATTTTTCAACAGAATTGGTCTTGAATTCCAAACCTGCTATTTACATTCTGTTTCACAAGGTGAGATAATGTATGAAAAATTGCTTAAGGCAGTGTCTTCCTCCCACAAAGAAAAGGCAGCTACAGATGCAGTTATTTGCTATTATGCAACTCAGTGAGAGGCCATTGTAGAGGATATTCTCCAAAACTCCCTGACAATGAGTCACTTCCTGATTGATAATTTCACATAGCTGCATTCTTAGGAGCTCACTTGGGAACCTAAACCATGGAGAAGTTAAGATTTTGTCCCAGAAGTCTCCTCTGAGACATAGGTCCTCTGAGACACAGGCTACTTTAAGGAAAAGATAAAAAATCACCTGGGTTCTGTTCCTGACTACTGCTGACTAGCTGTGCTGTATGGAGTGGGTTCACTTTCCTTTCCTTTTCTTTCTTTCTTTTTTTTTTCTTTTGAGCCTGTCACCCAGGCTGGAGTGCAGTGGTGGGATCTTGGTTCACTGCAACCTCTGTCTCCTAGATTCAAGCCATTCTCTTGCCTCAGCCTCCCAAGTAGCTGGGATTACAGGTGCGTGACACCACATCTGGCTAATTTTTGTATTTTTAGTAAAGATGGAGTTTCACTATGTTGGCCAGGATGGTCTTGAATTCCTGACCTCAAGTGATCCACCCACCTCAGCCTCCCAAAATGCTGGGATTACAGGCCACTTTCCTTTTCTGTCTTAGTTTCCCCATCCTTTGAATGAAGAAGGCAAATAGGGTGATTTCACTTTCATTCCATCCACCACTCTGTTCCCTGAGAAGCAGCAGGAAGGCCTTGGAGAATGAGGATTTTCACTCTAGAGCTGCAGAAAAGCAGGTTGGAATTCACCTTGTGAGACTGACCTTGGGTAGAATCAGGTCAGGGCCTGATTGCTCTGTCCTTCCTCTGCCATGTCCTGCTTGGTGCTCAGTATCCCCCCTTCTACATGGGACCTCCAGCTGCCCTAGTTGAGTCAGCTCTGTTAAAATAGCTTACAGGCCAGGTGCGTTGGCTCATGACTGTAATCCTAGCACTTTGGGAGGCCAAGGCAGGCAAATCACTTGAGGTCAGGAGTTTGAGATGAGCAGGGCCAACATGGCAAAATCCGGTCTCTACTAAATATACAAAAATTAGCCAGGCATGGTGGCATGCACCTGTAATCCCAGCTACTTGGGAGGCTGAGGCAGGAGAATGGCTTGAGCCTGGGAGGCGGAGGTTGCAGTAAGTGGAGATCGTGCCACTGCACTCCAGCCTGGGTGACAGAGTGAGACTCTGTCTCAAAACAAACAAACAAACAAACAAACAAAAATAGCTTACATATCACACAATGGTCTCTTTCCTCTTATAACAGCCACAATACATTTGGCCATAAATTTTTGTCTCTAATTTTCAAGTCTGTGTCTGCTGGGGGAGAGATGAAGTGTGTGCAATTCTGAATCACTTTAATGCTACTCAAAGAAATACCACTCAGTCAGTCTTTTGGAGTCATTCCTCCTATAGAACAAGCCCCAGTGCTCACCTGATTGGTAGAGACAGATAAAGGAGACACCCACACACCAAGGTCTTTTTGGATGAGTTTGAAACTTTGCAAAACACCTGGCAGAATCGTAAGTTCTAGTCTGAGCAGCTCACAATACGTATGAAAGGCCATCAGAGAATGTGTGCTTTTGAGACAGGTTCTCAGAAAACCTGTGGGAAGCATGGCTAAAGTGGTGTGAACATACCCTGTAGTTACCACCACCTGGGACTTCCACATTGAACAGGACCACTGGTGGATCTGGTTAGAGAGAGAGAGAATGTGACAGACTGATGTGGCATCTGATAGCTCCTGCTTCCCGTGGAAGATCTCTTCAGTTGTCACAAAGGATCCGCAAGCTCCAGTGAAAAACCAACAGCTACAGACCCTGTTGAGCCCATGGGGGCTGCAGAGCACTGTGCTTGCTGAACTCTGCCACTGAGCTCCATGCACTGTCTCAAGTAATCCTCAAAACTGCCACGTGAAGTAGGTGCTCTTGTTTCCCCCATTGCACAGGTGAGTCATCAGAGGTGCATTCTAGGGTCAATCAGAGGGGTGAGACAACAGCAACGATAAACCAATTCATCTTCAATTAAGGACACCATGGACAAAAATATGACTGACTGGGAAAAGACATTGGCAATGTCTTTGACTACCAAGGGATTGTATTTAGGTAATATCAAGAACATCAGCCAACAAAGAGCCAAGAAATAACCCAAATAGAAAAGAGACAAAGTGCATGAAATAAAAGAAGAAATTCAAAATGTTCACTAAAAAATAAAGAGATGCTCAAATCCACAAATAATGAGACATTAAATTAAATTAAAACAATGAGGAAGTAGGCCGGGCCTGGTGCTCACGCCTGTAATCCCAGCACTTTGGGAGGCCGAAGTGGGTGGATCACCTGAGGTCAGGAGTTCAAGACCAGCCTCAATATGGAGAAACCCCATCTCTACTAAAAATACAAAATTAGCCAGGCCTGGTGGTGCATGCCTGTAATCCCAGCTACTCGGGAGGCTGAGGCAGGAGAATTGCTTGAACCCAGGAAGCAGAGGTTGCAGTGAGCCAAAATTGGACCATTGCACTCCAGCCTGGGCAACAAGGGCAAAACTCCTCAAAAAAAAAATGTGGAGGTACCCTATCTGTATCATTAGATTGGCAAAATATGAGGCATGTGGATGGTGCTGTTACAAGAAAGGGGTCCAGATCCAGACACCAAGAGGGGGTTCTTGGATCTCACACAAGAAAGAATTCAGGGTGAGTCCATAGAGCAAAGTGAAAGCAAGTTTATTCAGAAAGTAGAGGAATAAAACAATGGCTACTCCATAGACAGAACAGCCCCAAGGGTAGCTGGTTGCCCATTTTTATAGTTATTTATTGACATTACACTAAATAAGGGATGGATTGTTCATGCCTCCCCTTTTTAGACCATAGAGGGTAACTTCCTGCATTGCCATGGCATTTGTAAACTGTCATGGCGCTGGTGGGAGTGTAGCAGTGAGGACAACCAGAGGTCACTCTCCTTGCCATTTTGGTTTCGGTGGGTTTTAGCCAGCTTCTTTACTGCAACCTGTTTTATCAGCAAGGTCTTTATAACCTGTATTTTGTGCTGACCTCCTGTCTCATTCTGTGACTTAGAATGCCTTAACCATCTGGGAATGCAGCCCAGTAGGTCTCAGCCTCATTTTGCCCAGCTTTTATTCAAGATGGAATTACTCTTATTCCAATGTCTTTGACAGTGCTAAGCTTTAATAGGTTGTTGGGGTTCTAGGAGCTCCCACACGGAGTCAGTGGGAGTATAGACTGATGTAGGTATCTGGAGAACAATCTGGCAGAGGGGAGTCAACATGAGAATCTGCATCCCCGGAGCAGGCAATTTTGTTCCTTAGTACACATTCCCAAGAAATTCTCACACTGCTCCACATAGGGCCCTGAGCTAGGGTATTCACAGCAGCCTTGCCTATGGTGGTACAGAATTGAAGCAGCCTGGATGCCCATCTCTGGGGCAGGGATGGAGGACTGTCATCTGGCAGATGCCAACCTTGGGGGGATCATCCAGCCATCAGAAGTCACAGACTATGTGAACCCATGACAACAGGCACGGATGTGAAGGCACAGTGCTCAGCAAAGACAGCGGGAAACAGAATAAGATGATGAATGCACTCCCATTGACACAAATTATCCAAAATGTTTGACAGTCTGTATTACACAAGTGGAATGGGAGCCAGTTCCTGGAATATTGACCCTTTCATTGGTGGGCTGTAGGAGATTCAATAATAGAGCTGGGCTGGCCTGAGTGTTGAACAACCAACCCTCTGGGGACATGGGGAAGGGGCATTTTGCCAACCAAGATGACAATATTTTCAATATTTTAACCATAGATCTGGCTGCACTGGTGCATTTTGGCTGAATATCAACCCTAGGTGGAAGCCCTGAGCACAACACCCTTGGTCAGAACGGTAACAGGACACTCTCCTGTTCATGGTAGGGGGAGAAATCCGACAGTGGGGTAAGAGTCCAGGTCCTGTGGGAGTCCAAACTTGCAGGGCATAGACAGGAGTGATGAGCTGGATGACACTTGTGAACATGGCATAAGGGGCTTTTCAAAAAAAGGCCTCAACCCAAAGAGTAACTCAGGATAGAAATTCAGACACTTTGAAGACTCCAGGAGCTGAAATTATTTGTGTTTAGGGAAAGGCCTCTCCAACTTGTCCAAGTGACAACAGCATATGTCCACCCACCTACTGCTCTCCATGTAGGTCCACCGTGGTTAGAGCAAGTCTGACACCACCCACGAAGTCTGGATGGGAGTGACAGATTCCTCCTGTTCAACCACACCACCCCCAAAGGGATTGCCCCCCGCAGATGTTTTCTGTAACCTGCTCTGTAGGCAGGTGCCAGGTATGGATTTGTGAGTTGGGGTAGCTGTGATTTGGAGACACAGGCCATTGGTGTTGAGTTTGAGACCTAGTCAAGCTGTGGTCTCAGGAGTTCCAAGAAAGTGGATAGGAGGTTGGACATCTTTTGTGGCTGGGGAGGAAGCCCCTGTGTGAGTACTCAGATCGGATGCCGAGACGCATCTGTTTGTGCTCATTCTGTGATGACAGGGACACATTGATCCTATGCTTCGCTAGCTCACAAGGGGCTGGGAGTAACAATCAAGCAGTGAGTATGTAAGACGAACACACCACAATCCCCATCATTAGGGTGAGTGGAGTCTGGATCATCTGCCCTGTCAGGGAGGCAGCAGACTGCTGGGAAAAACTGGGTGCATTCCAAACACAATCAGATCCTGCAGGCGTTACGGGCCTTCTCAAATCCACATTGGTCCATGCCAGGATGCTGGAATGCCAAGGGGCCATTACCCCCTGGCCCTTCTATTCCAGTCTGCTGTGAACGCTCCTTTGGAAATGGTAGAGAATTTGCATTTATCAGAAAATTGCTTACTTACTCTAATCATCTATTTGTAAGGTTTTATTTTAGCTAGATAATGAATAAGACTAAATTGATGTCAGGCATGGAGTAATTTTAACCAATACCTTCAGAAGTCTGTAATACCAAATATTGGAAAATTATATGTAGGGTAATCTAAATAATGAGATGTTAAAATTTCTTGGATCCCAGGAACTCTTCAATTCATTTTTTCCTCTCTCTCTTTCAACCTCACTGTGGGAGGCGCCATCTCTGACATCTTTATATATGATGTTCTCATTTCAAAATGCCACTGAACCTTCAAATGAACACTTGCGTATGGTCCTTGAATACAAAAATACTTAAATCAAGATTTTTATATTTTGGTGCAGCCAGCCAGAATGCACAGAGAGAGATGGGAAGATTTAGCTCAGAAGCCTACCCAGGAAGGCAGAAAAGGTCCAGCTAAGGGAAGGGGAGAGGCACCGGGCTAGCAAACAGATACACGTGGAGATGCTAAAGATGGAAGGAAGAGTGTCTTCCTTTGGCCTCCTGTAACCTGGAGCAAACACAAAATCCAAGTTGCAAAGGAAAATTCCTTCTCCTGAGACTAAGGACTTCAAAAGATGCTCCAAAAGGAATAAATACCATAAAATGTATACTGTGTGCATCGCCTGTGGCCAGCTCCTGTGTCTACAGAGAAGAAAGAGGAGATGGTGCACTGCAAGGCAGGTGGAGCTCAGTGAGCTCAGCATGAAGACCTGGGAGCTCCCTGACCATTGCCCACAAGCTTACTTCACTATTCTAGTCTCAGAGCAAATCGGGTAAATAGATAATTTGCATGAGGGTTAAAGAAGAGTTAAGGGGATCCAATGCCTGGATGAGTCCTTGTCCGCTAAGGGCAAGGAATGGGGCTGGTGCTTGACTGACGTGATTGAACTTGATTATAACAGTGACAGATACATTGGCTAGAGTCACACCTTTTTATTTTATTCACTTTATCTTTATTTTTCCAGCCTTATTGAGGTGTAATTGACAAATACAATTATATATATTCAAGGTGCATAACATGAGGATATGATATATGAATATATCATGAGACAATCACCACAACTCACTTAGTTAACACATCCTTCACCTTGCATAGTTACCTTTTTGTGTGTGTGGTGAAAGTATTTAGGATCTACTCTCTTAGTAAATTTCAAGTATACAATGCATTATTCTTAGCTGCAGTGAACATGGTGCATATTCGATACCCAGAATTTATTCCTCTTATCATTGATCAACATCTCTTTCCCCTTCCTGCCCTCCTCAACCCTAGCAATAAAAATTCTACTCTCTGCTTCTATGAATTCAACTTTTTTAGCGTCTACATGTAAGTGAGATCAGGTAGTATTTGTCTTTGTCTGGCTTATTTCAGTTGGACAATTCAATTAGACATTTTGTAATGTCTTCCAGGTTCATCCGTGTTTTTGCAAATGGCAGAATTTCCTCCTGTTTTATGGCTGAGTAATATTCCATTCTCTCTCTCTCTCTCTGTGTGTTTGTTTGGGGTGGGGTGTCACATTTTCTTTATTCATTCACCTGTTGGTGGGCACTAGATTGGTTTGATGTCTTGGCCATTGCAAATAGCACTGCATGTCATACCTTTTCATAGAGGAGGAAATAAAAGCTCAGTAGGTGTAACTAACTTGCCACAATCCTATACACAGGGAGTGGCCAAGCCAGTGTGTGAAACCTGATATAACTAGGTCTGAAGCCCACACTCTCAAGGGAGTTGCCAGGGATCAAGGGAAAAGCTCTAGAGTAGAGCTATGTGGCTGAGCCACATATCCCATCGATGGAGTAGCCTCTGAATATTTAATAGTGACTACACTTTGCCAAAATGGGTCAAATATTTTGGAAGTTTAAAGTTTGGAGACAAAGGTGGAAAACTTTGTGTGTGGAGTAAGAAACGTTGGTTTATTTTGGCACTAAGCCCACCTTGGTTTTGTTGGGACAGCTCTGCTTCTCCCTATTATTAGGCAGTGGCCTGCCAGCCTTACCCAATACTGCAAGGAACCCAACCAGTGAGGGGAGCCGCAGTCAGGGATTTGGGAAGCGCAGAGTGCAGGCAGGTCCCGTGGGTTGGTAAAGTCACAGGAAGAGCAGATTTGATGCACTTTCTGCCTTAAGTGTCCCTTTCCTCCATTCTCTGTTTCTCTTGGTTTTGTTTTGTTTTTGGAGGAGATACTAGAATACTCATACTCAACCTTCAAAACTCAGCTCGAATACCACCGCCCCCAAATAACCTCCCCAGATTCTAAGAGGTCAGATTAAAGGCTCCCTTAGTTCACAGGCACCCCATGCACTTGCTGTTGTGTGGCACGGTGTGCTTGTCTGTCTCCCACTGCTAGGCAGCGAGCTTTCAGAGCAGAGACACACATGGCTGTTGCGGAAGAACTGGGGACAGATGAAGCGCACGTGTGCATGAGGCTGTGGTGCAGGCAGGGGCAGCAGGCTGCAGCCTGGACCAGCCACCTTGAGGAAGAAGGGCATCCAGACTGCTGGTGACCCATGCAGCCAGTGCAGAGTGAGAGCCCAGCAAAGTGGCCTTTTTGGGAATCTGATATGGATTGGTACATGGGGGCAGGGGCCATGTTGGCCAACCAGAGGGCAGGGTCGCTCAGTTTGTGAGTCCTTGCCCGGGGCTGTCTGCATCACCAGTCTATCAGGAAGTTCCTTCCTGCAATAGCAGTGTTTGAGCGGGGATTAGGGCCTGAAAACTGCAAGTAGTGACCTCACTCCCCACCCCACATTGATCCATTGACTATTGACTAGAACCAAGACTGGAAAGGTCTTATTCCCTTCTCAGATCCTCCCAGTCCTCAGAAAAGGGTCAGATAAAGTGCGACCAAGACACAGAGGAAGAAGATGGAAAGGGAGAGAAAGACAGAGATGGTAGACAACAAGACAATTGTGATGCGAAGGGAGAGTTCCAGGCAGGAGAGGGCAGCATTGGAGGGAGATTCACCTGAGATCCATGTAGGAAACCAAACTCCAGCCCAGCCTCTGCTACCAAGAGGGTCCCACCTCACCCAGTTCTGTTCTCCCATGCATAGAAAAATTTAAAAATATATTTTACTCTTTTCTCTGATACTCAATTCCCCTGAGGAATATTTTTTGTTTTGCTTTGTTTTGTTATTGTTGTTGTTGTTTTTTAAGGGAAAAATGTTCACGGAAGGTTATAAAACACATATAATTTACTCATGGTAATTGCCCACATGTTATTTATGTGCTGTGCTGGCAGTGAGACCGAGAAGAACGACTTGATCAATGCATTAGTCTAATCACGGGGTTCCTGCTCTTAATTTCTTTTGCTGGTAATTTCCATACTCAGGCAGCAATGCGTAGAATTATCTCGATTTACAGATCTCGGGGCCCTGGGGAAAATCTCTTTGGAGCCATTTCTGTCTCCTGGGAAATTTGAAATTTATTCAACACTGAGTTTGAAAGCCCTATGATATGGGTTCAACAACTCCAAATAATACCTTAGAAATTTAGTAGGTCTGTGTGACATTTTTCCTTTTTTAATTAGTAACTTTAGGGGGCTCAGAAACGGATCACAGAACATTTTTAAGAACAACTTTTGGTCAACTTGAAGCCAAGATTTGGCAGACTTGGCGTTTGCCGGGAAACACACACAAAGAAAAACACTACTCTTTCTTTTCTTGTTAAATCCATGAAAGTTCCTGGCTTGGCTTTGCCCCGGGTTTGTAACACAGTCTTCTAAGGTGGAGTATTTATGGCAAATCTATTGAAAGCCATGGGAGAAATTTCCTGTAACTTCAATTTACTTTGACAGAAGGAGACGCAACACCTGCTGTTAGCTGAACCTGCTGACCAGGCTCCGTCTCCTCAAAGTTTTGGGGGAGCAGAGAAGATGGTATGAGCAGAACTTCTTTCTCTTGGATCAGCTCCTAGGTTTGTTCTAGTGCCTGAAGAGAACAGGTTGCAGTATCTCCAACTGCAAAGCAGGTGCGTGGAGCCACATTCCTTCTGTTGAGCAAAGCCCTTCAGAGGGGCCCACGGGCAGGTGAGTCCTCCTCCCTTAACACAATATCACAGACAGTCCAGCCTCCAAGCCTCAAAGGGCAGAGCAAAAGGGCCAAAGAGGAGATGGCAGGCACAGCCTGGACTGTCTGAGATTTCAGATCCGCAGAGGAAAAGTTGGCAAGCGTCGGGACCAACATTCTTCTACCATTAACACTCACCTAGGAATAATATCTATATTTTGGGCTGGCACTTCAGGTTTACTGTCTCGTATAATCTCAACAACCTGGGAGGTAGATGCATTCATATTCTTATTTTGCAGATGAGGCAATTGATCCTCCGACAGGTTGAGGAGCACCTGCAAGGTCTCAGACAGGTGGTAAGTATCAGAAAGAGAGGGTTTAAATGCAGATTCGGTCTGATTCTGCAGGAGATCTCATACCTGAACAGGTGAGTCATCGTCACGTTTCAGGAGCAACCACCAGGGCATGCTGAACTTCCTAAGGCAGTAGGGTGACCAGCTGCCTTGGTTTGCCGGAGACTGGGGGTTTCCCAGGACACAAGACTTGCAATGCTAAAACTGGGAAAGTTCTGGACAGACTGGGACAAGCTGGTTCCCTTATCTGGAAGTGAGAATAAAACATAAGCTACTAAGAGTGCTGTGACTTTAAACTGTAAAATCAAAATAAGTAGCAAACCAGTGGTTTGTGGGTAGGATGTGAGTCTCTGGCGAGTTTCTTTTTAACTGCATGGAGTTCCTAAGGCATTTTACACAGATTGCATTTGAAATGCCAGAGTTGTTGCATAGAAAGTTGGACCTCGGGCTTTCAAAAAATAGAAAGAGCAGGTCTTGGAAGGCTACAGTCCCAGCAAGGGTGATGGCTCCTTTCGTAATTCTCAGTTCCTGCTGGCCAACCTTATTCATTAGACCATGGGCTTGGCTCTTGGAGACAGTCAATGTTTTCCGTAGAGAATATTACCCCGCAGTGGCCAGGAAGCAAATGCCAATAGATCTCCAAAATATTTGATCATACCAATGGATTGCCTAGAATATCCTGTGGTCTTTCTGTTGCCTTTGAGAGAACGTCATGGAATACCAGGTGGGGGTGGGGCAGGTGAGCTCAGGGTAGCAAGGATTCTGACATAGCAAAGGGAAATTCTGTATGGGACAGACTCAAAGGTCCCAGATGCCCTCTCAAATGAAGATGGCAATATTCCAAATATTCATTGATCCATAAGCATCTCACGGCAGGTATAAGATCTGGGAGAACTCATCTTATTCCATCCCCAGGAAACAAACATCCCTTCTTGGGCAATGTCTCCAGGCCACGCTTCTCATCCGCAGAGCAGGTGCCTGTTCTCCCCGGGCCATCTGACAGGGGAGATAGAAAATCTGCAAGAGAAAGCTCACAGCACGGGGCTGAGCCCTGGAGGGGAAGCACAGAGGCCTGTATTCTAATTCACTGATGATCAATTTGCAAGTTCTTTTTCTCTTAGTTCCCTTAGTTTCCTTCCAGGTAATGCAGAATTCCTTGAAGCTTCTCTAGGTTGTTTTACTTTGCAATCTTTGGTCAGAAGGTCTTTCTCATGTTAACAGGTGAGTTAAGGTAAGAGCCCCAGACTCCTGGGCTTCCCCCAGCCCACTCCATGATCCCAAAAGAGATTCCACTGGGGGATACAGTTTGAATCACCTGAACTAGACAATTATTACAGCTTCTCTTCCAGGTTGAATATTTCAGGGTCCCTTGCCAAACAGGGGAAGATCTTGTTAAACCAAAATCCCAAATAGATTTCAAATATGCTGGAAGTTTACATGACCCTAAAGACTGCTCTCCATGAGAGACTCAGGGGCTGGGGTAGTACCTTCTAAATTTCCATGGGAAAATGAACATGCTCCAGCAAGAGCTTGGGAAAAGAAGATAGTCCCTAAGTTTTATTGTTTGAAATTTGTCACTCAAGGATGTGAACGTGTCGCTGACAATTATGTAGCATCTCAGAGCTCAGAAAGCACTTTTGCATCGATTATTTCATTTCTTGTTCGTGCCAATTGTGTGAGGTGGACAACGTTATGTTCATATGAGAAATGCAGCCCAGAGAGGCTCAAACCCAGCACTTTTAACTCCCAATCTCCCTCTTTTCTCAGTACCATGTGGTAAGTCTTTATTAACCAGAGTGTCCAATTAACCAGAACATGCCTGTGTCTTAGGGATCATCCCAGACTGATTTTCTTTGCAGAAAACCCCAGGGAGCCACAGCCTTTCCTGCACCTCCTTTTGTTAGCTGTATGTTTTTTTAGCGGCCCAGTGAGGCCTGCATTTCAGAGCCTGTGTTGCAAAGCTCATTGCTGTGGAGGAGACGGTTATGGGCTGGGGCCTGGGTCTTCCGCCCCTTCCTGGCAGACCAGGAGCTTCAGTTGCTCTCTGTGAAGTTCTTCTTTGCAGGAGCCTGACACAGACGACAGCCCCAGGTAATCCCTATTCTTCAAGACCAAGCCAGGGAAAATCTTCCAGATGTTCTTGCTACTCACCCCGACCTTGCGGTCTTACCCTTCTGGCTGAACAAGAGACAAACAGCTCCTCTCCACTTGGCTGTGTGCGGCTTAACGAATGCGTATGAAGACCGTATAAATAATTCACATCACTCAAGAGGTGGCGAGCTGAACAAGTCCCTTCTGGTTACATTTATTTCAAGATAAGGTGAAACTAAGTGAGTGATGGCCCAGTTACAGAGGCCAGGGTCCAAAGGGGATTGGGACACTCTAAGTTACACCACCAGAGTGATTTGTGCAGAACTGTGTCAACTTAGAGATCCTGGCACCTTGGGGGAAAGGGAAATGTCTTATCTCTAAGAAAAGTGATACAGGATGAGTATTTTCCAAGTACAGCCTATAAGCTAATTCTGCAGAATCAATTTGGCTCTGCCAGGAACCAAGTTTCTGCTTTAATCTAAGAGGAACTCTGAATTAGTAACCTTGCACATGTTGTCTTCCCTTGGAAATGTCACTAAGGGACTCTTCGAAGCATGGGTGTGGGTCCTTGGTGTAGGTCCTCTAGGTGCATGAGGTGGCACTTTCCAGAAGCATGGGTGAACCTCCCAAGGGAGTCCAGAGTCTTTTATTGGAATCAATGGATGAGAAAAATATTGTTTTGCAACTTGAGTGAATGTGGCCTCCATGATCAAAACCTGGACTAGAAAAGCCTGTGGAGTGGCCCTAGAACAGGGCAAGGTAGAGAGGAGAGTTTTCTCCTGCTGTGAATTTACCACTCATTCCTGTATTGTAGCCACATGCTTTAATTTTTTTTCTTCTCCCTTTTCCCACAGTGCCCCCTAAATATTTCCACTGAAGACTTTTAGAACTTTGGAATAAGGAAATTGTATCTCCAGCTGACAATAAAATTTACGAAGCAAAGAATGCCTCCGTTAATACTTTCCAAACGTCTTTGTTTTTGAACGAGCAAGATGCTGAGAACCTTCCAATTCAGTAACCCTGCCTCTGACAGGCAGCAGAACAGTTAGCAAGGTTGACAGATAGATGCAGCCACACGATGCAATAATCCTTGCTGCACTGAACTTTGTATTTAAACACTTATTTTATGTTTAATTAATTTCTCCAAAGAGGAAAACTTCCAGGCTGCCTTTGAAGCCGGCTGTTTGTTTAAGATATTTTGTTTTAAGAATAAGAGAAAAAAAGGAAGGAAGGAAACGGAGGGAAAATGTTTATGTTTTTCCTGTTGTTTTTTCAAATATGATGTGACATTGTGAAAAGGCCTCCTGAAAGTGCAATTTTTTGTTTGTGATGGAAGAGAGATGCACCTATGAGTCTTACATCATCAAAGAAACAGACGCTTATCTATAATTTATGCTTTGCTTTAAGCTTCTGCTGATCTGATGTGGCTTTTTTAAGACAACACAGGCAGCCCTGGCATCACTTGTCAATCATCGGGGCATGCTCAAATCGTAGACCATTAGCAGGAGGGACGGCAGAGTTTCTTTAATGACGCTTTTATACGGGGCATCCTGGCAGTGAAACAGAGAGGGTTTGATTTGATCAATGCATTAGCCTAATCACAGCGTTCCTGCTCTTAATTTCTTTTGTCGGCAATTTCCATACATGGGTTGCGTTCAGGGTTCTGGCAAAAACCCGTTCAGAACTCCGTGTGACATGTGCAGTCACCTTGCCCGGATTTCTCTCGGTGGGAAGCGACGTCTGCAAGAGAGGGGACGGCGGCTGGGCTGGATGGCTGCCTTTGAGTCCGTCCTGCGGTGAGGCTGGGGAAGGCCCATTCCACGCGAGCCTTGGCTTCAGCCCTGAGGTGCCTGCCAGCCCCCGTGGCAGACCCCGGCCCTGCCAATTTCAGCCCCCTTGGTGATTCTGTTCCAGCGCTCGCCAAAAGCAGAATCCGTGTATAATGAACAAGTTTCATGTTCAACATTTTAAGTGTCTATTTATGAGTCCCAGTAATTAGCCCTTTGTCTGCAATTCTGGCGATGATGATTAGAATTCCATCTCACGTTATGAATGCTGCTCCCCAAACTTGTCCTTCTCGCCTGGAGAATCCCAAGCAGGTGGGCACCTGAAAGGCAAAGAAAGGGGGCGATTTGGGGAGTGGCCGGTCTCTTCTTTTACCAGCCCTCCAGCAGCCTCCTTCCTTTGATCCCATTCTTCCCTGGCTGTATGTAATTTCAGACTTCTCAGAATCCATTTTCCTGGCTTTTGTTCTGAAACTTGTTTTCTTCTCATCCTCCACTGTCATCCCCAAAGGGTGCATTTTTTTATATCATGCCCTACACATGATATTTGTACCTTTTGCAAAATCTTGTCAGGATGCTATGAGGTTTGAGAGTCTTTCCAAACGAATCATTCTCAGAATCAAAATATTATGAAGGAGGCCAAATTATCTCTAATTATAACCTCCAGAAAAGTGGAGAACTTTTTCAACAAACAGAACAGGGGTAAGCATCTTACAGAAATATTTGCAAGAAAAGTAATATTCTTTTTTTTTAAAGCTATCAAATCATGTAAGCATACAAATAAATGTATTTTAATAAGGGTAAAATTACTAGTTAATGAGTTTGCTTTGGGGTTTTGTATCTTCGGTACAAAAATATATAAATGCTTTTATTAAGGTTGTACCTATTATTTTCTAAATGAACACAAACACACAATCTAATCCATTTAGCAATAATATATTTTAACATATCACTTACTCCCTCTGCCACTTCTTATTAGGGTACACTCTAGAAAACTGAATAATAATCTGTACCACATAGACTCTCAGCATCCTTTATGACTATAAAAGGAATTCGAGTTTTTGATGATATCACAGCAATGTAAACAGATAATTGGAAAGCCAGGGCTTCCTTTAGAGGGAAGCCAGGGTCAGCCTTGGGGCTTGGAATTGGGCAGTCTCTTTGCAAACTTGTCTTATTCCATGGATAAATTTCTTCCCATTTCCCCCAGTACCTGGAGGATGGTGGTGGTGGTTTCTGGAGGACTTTTCTCCACCCTGGGCCAGGACTTCTGGGGAGGCAGATGGAGTAGCCGTTTGAAGTTCTGAGTTCATATCTTTGCAGAAAGAAAAGCATCTCCAGGCTTCCAGGAAGCCCTGGCTGGTGGCTGATGTATGGACCCAGGCAGGGCAATGATTGGCCAGTCATGAAAAATTAGCCTAACTCACAACTTCCTGAAGAATGAAGGAGAGGAGCTGCGAAGGCAAACAACCGTGGGAAGGAGAGGCCCGGTTCGTGGCTCATGTCTGTAATCCCAGCACTTTGAGACACTGAGGCGGGCTGATCACAAGGTCAGGAGATGGAGACCATCCTGGCTAATACAATAAAACCCCATCTCTACTACAAAGACAAAAAAATTAGTCGGGTGTGGTGGTGGGCGCCTGTAGTCCCAGATACTCGGGAGGCTGAAGCAGGAAAATGGTGTGAACCTGGGAGGCGGAGCTTGCAGTGAGCTGAGATGGTGCCACTACACTCCAGCCTGGGCAACAGAGCAAGACTCCGTCTCAGAAAAAAAAAAAAAAGAACTGTGGGAGGGAGAAAAGGCCACAGAGCACTCTTTCCAAGTTAGAACAACGCTTGGGCATTTCTTGGTTCTGCCCTTATCTTGGTCCATGACTATGGCTTGTGTGTGTGTGTGTGTGTGTGTGTGTGTCTGCTTCAGTAGGCTAATTGAGTATCTAAACAAACTAATTAATCACAGGAATTCATACAAGATGGACAGGTCTGGAGAGGTGATGTTCATCAAACCCCTCCATTTGTTTTTTAATCCTTGCAGCAATTTATTTGCTGAATATGCACATTTCTTCCTTGAAATTTCCTAGCTGTGGCCAAGGTTAACTGTATACAGACTCATTCAGTATTTATGATTTTGCATAGTGGAGAAGTTTTTTTTTTTTTTTCTTCAGAGTCAGAGAATCTGGGTGCATTAATCAAAAATAATGAATAAAATGATCCGTCTGACAATTCTCATAGCCGCCTAGGTTTCAGGAGAATAACGAACTAACTTTATTAATCAACAGTTCCTGATTAATTGTTACAAAGTGTCATCCATAAATTTCCCTTCATTTTAATAATACTTGCTGAACGCTAACAATATCCCCAGTGATTTCAGATTTATGGCAGCCTGGGCACTGCGAGGAGTGTGGCACTCCAGCCTTCTCTGCTCCCCCGAGCCTGAGTGGCTCTTCAATCCCAGCCTGATCTCTGTTTTCCTGGCACCCCTCTTTCTGTGACCCCTTCTTCCCCACCCCTCTCCTGGCTCCTCTGCCTATGTCTGCCAGGCAGAGAAACCACCGGCTCCCGGGAGCACCTGTGCTTGGCACCCCAGCCCCACCAGGGCTCCCCACCCATTTCACCTCTTCAGGCCCAGTTTCATGAAGGATAACGTAGAGAACAGCGCCGCAACCCATTAACCATGACAGTTTCACTTTTCTCTCCTAATTACTCGTTCCTGCCTATTTGGCATTTTCTTAGAAAAATTTGTTGAATAATGACCAGCATTAAAATGGAGGCTCTTAAGAATTTATACGCAGAGCTTAATTTATCATGTACTTTCCTTATCTTGCAGCCGAATTTATTTCTAAGTGTCTTTGCTATGCCTGTGACAGTGTAGTCATTTTCTTAAGGGCACAGCATGTATCGGTAACACATTTAAAAATGCAACACTATTTAATCAGAAGAAGCTCAGGCTGGTTTCTTTGTGAATTGTGTTTGTTTACTGCAACTGCCGGCTTGACATAAGGCAATTAGTACTAATTGTTTAACCCAGCTGCCTTGCTGAGAGCAACCAAGAACTTTTGTACTTTATCTTGTTTTCTCTAGTCGCTCTTTGCTATCCAATTGCTGCCATATTTGCTCTTGTTTCCAGTGTTTTCAACAGGGTGTAATTCTGCTTTTGTGAAACGGGCAGGAGGCTGTCTTCCTCAAGAGAATATTGTGAGGAGGACAATCTTCAGCAAAGTTCATCTGGCTGGCTCTTCTTGTGGGTTGCTGTGAGGTCTTTGAAAGCCAGCAAGAAATTGAGGTCAAAATGGACAACGGGAACTCAAAAACTGTACGTGAGCCTGGGAAGACATTCTCTCCCCCGCCTGCTTTTAGCTAAACTTCTGCAAAAAGGAAAATCCTAAGGCTCAGATTTCAATGGGTTTTAAGTTATGAGGAGAAGCTGTAACTTCAGGCTACCATCTGTCTGCCTCGAATATTTTACTTCTTGCTTATTCTTTGTCAAAGTTTGCATCTATAGGAGGCCACTGGGAGTAGGAGGAAAATTCATGATTTATCATGTTTTGATTTGCTTGTAATGGCTTAAATATGCTTCCACGGAGTCTCAGAGATTACATCTTTCCAAAAGAGGGAATTGTATTAGAGGTGGACATGAAGCCTCCCCTTGGGGTGGCGGAGTTGTTGCAGGATGGCTCTGGCTCTGGCTGAATCAGGGTGACCCTACACCATTGTTGTTCAGCCACCAGGATATGATGGTTGTCCTAGGTGCATCCCTGTGGACCAGCTAGGGTAGCACATCTCCCTGAAAGATTGCAAGGACCCTGAGGCTAGACACTTGATCACAGCAACAATGTCATATACAGGACACTATGGGGCGTGTCTTATAGAAGTCTGTTGAATTACTACCAGGCCAATGGCCACCAATTAAAATACAATCATGCACTGAATAATGACATTTTTGTCAATGATGGACTCATAAACAATGATGGTCCCATAAGATTCTAATGAAGCTGAAAAATTCCTGTCACCTAGTGATATAGCCATTGTGATGTTGTAGCAAAATTAATTGATTTTTTTTATAAATATGGCATCGCCCAAGTGAACATGGCTTGTCTTTTTTTAGACATAGTCTTGCTCTGCTGCCCAGGCCAGAGGAATCTCAGCTCACTTCAACCTCTGTCTCCCGGGTTCAGGGAATTCTCCTGCCTCAGCCTCCTGAGTAGCTGGGACTACAGGCACAAGCCACCACACCTGGCTAATTTTTTTGTATTTTTAGTAGTGAGAGGGTTTCGCCATGTTGGCCAGGATGGTCTCAAAATCCTGACCTCAAGTGTTCCACTTGCCTTGGCCTCCCAAAGTGCTGGGATTACAGGCATGAGCCACCATGCTCAGCCTACGTTGCTTATTAAATCTACAGTAGTGTACAGTAATGTCCTAGGCCATCACATTCACTCACCACTCACTCAATGACTCACCCAGAGCAAATTCCAGTCTGCAAACTCCATTTATAGTAAGGACTCTATACAAATGTATCATTTTTATGTTTCATATTATATTTTCACTGTGTGTGTTCTATGTTTAGGTATGTTTGAATACACAAATCCTTACCATGATGTTACAAATGCCTATAGTATTTAGTACAGTAACATACTGTACAGGTTTGTAGCCTAAGAGCCGTAGGCTATCAAGCTCAGCCTAAGTGCATAGCAGCCTCTGTCATCTATATGTGTGTACGTTTCCCTTATGATATTTGCACAGTGATGAAATTGCCCAAGGATGCCTTTCTTAGAATGTGTAAATGCAACATTGCAAGCATAAAGATGAACATCAAAGAACTCAGCCCAGGTGTCAGGGGATGAAACTCCACCTATGGGTGCCATAGTTGGTAAGTATGACAGGGAGGGATGTGGGTCATTTTCCCAGCTTATGATTAGGTTTGTTCTAGCAGCCAAGAGTACATGTGCTGACTCCAAGTGAGTTCACACATACAGAAATGTTTTTCTCTCACATAACTGGATCTTCAGAGATACCGGACTTGATGCATATTCTAGTAGAGCTCAATAATTCCCCTGGAAATCTGGGTCTTTCTTTTTTTGAGGTCAGCTTTGGCTCCATCCTCTGGCTGACTGTGCATGTGATTGCTGGCTGGTGGTCCATTGCAGCCAGGACGGCATGCTCTCATTCTCTTTCCAGGTGAACAAGAATAACTGTTTCTCCAATTACGGGACATTATAAGTTGTTTCCTTCATTCTGATTGAATGCACCCACGTCGCTTGCCACATTTGGACCAATAACAGATCCCAGAAGAAAACCATGCCGATTGGCTTAGAAGGCTGTGGATGTTTCCAAGGCTAGGAAAATAACTGAGCAGAATCAAGGCTGTGTTGGAAAGGTGTGCTGGAGAGGAGACCAAGTGTTACAACTCAGATCTATCAGCTTATCAAAGGAGGAAGAAAGCTAGCTCTTGGGTGAAATTTCCCAATGTTTAAATAAAGGCAGCTAATGCAAGTTTTGCCCTAAAAACGTCATGTAAGTCAGTGGAGCACGGTGGCTCAGGCCTGTAATCCCAGCACTTTGGGAGGCTGAGGTGGGTGGACTGCCCGATCTCAGGATTTCGAGACCAACCTGGGAAACCCCATCTCTACTAAAATACAAAAAATTAGCCGGGCGTGCCCTGTAATCCCAGCTACTCAGGAGGCTGAGACAGGAGAATTACTTGAACCTGGGAGGCGGACATTGTAGTGAGCCAGGATTGCGCCACTGCATTCCAGCCTGTGTCACAGAGCGAAACTCCATCTAAAAAAAAAAAAAAAAGACAAAGCAAAAAAGCAAAAATAAAAACAACAACAAAAAAAACAAAAGCATCTCACAGGTCAATCATGTGATCATGTGGCACAATGAAGCATGATTAAGCAAGACCTGACTCTGATTCCTGAGTCTCCAGTTCTGGTTCTCTGGGGAAGTAGGAAACTGATGGAATGGAGAAAGCCAAGAGTGGGTGGAATTCCATCCACAGGATGGTCAAGAACTCTAGACTTGAGAAGCTCTTGGCAAGTTTCTCCTTCCGTCTTGTGGCTGTCTGGGAAGAACACATGTAATACATTTCAGTAGGCTCCCAACAGCAGCACCTCAGAGACTTTTAAAAGGTCAAGAGCTTTCTTAAGAACTACTGGAGAGTAACTTGGGTGCTGGGGAAAATTAAGATTAATATACATTGGAAGTTAAATCCTGCCTTTTTTTTTTTTACCCCCTAGGAAAACTCTTAATGTTAGCAGAAGCCTGGATCAGCTGAGAAAGCTACAGGTTTTCTGTTCCAAAAATGCTTTTGTTGCTAATTAAAATTAGTCTAATTTTGAAATGATCACATCATTAAAGAGTATTTCAACTGATGTTGATTTGATGATACCTACAAACATCTTAGAATAAAGAGGCTGGTGTTTTAGCATTAAAAGGTGCTCTGATTAGACCTAAATCTGTGAAATTGATGACATGAGCTTCTGGTACCTCTTCATTCGTTTTTTTCCCCTTCTGCATAAAATAATTATGAATACTTCACTCCATGCAATCCACGTTTATTTTATTTTTTACAGGGTTGGGGGAGGGCTGGATTAAGTGCTAGCTCTTTGCTTGTCTATGGTATTGCTCTAGCAATATCTTAATTAAGTCTAGAGTCAAGATGAAATATGTGCCCCAAGTATGTTTCTAATCCTTTCAAACTTGCAGGTTTGATGTGTGATCCTGGGCCAAGTCTTTAGAATGGTGTCTCTTATGTCAATAAATCTTCTGAGACGTGTCAGCCAGGTCATTGACATCTTTGGTGAAATGGAGAACTGGCTCTCAGAGGGGCTGCAGGTTGAAGGCACAGTCCCAGAGGATTTTCACCTTCTTCCCCAGGGCAGGGCTTTTTCCACAGTCTCCTCTGCATAAATATTCTGTGCATTCATGTCTCCTTTCCTCTACTTGCCTGGCAGGTCAACTCCATACCTTCTCCTCTTGGCCTATCCAAACTCTAACCACCTGCAAAAGCCACTCCTGAAATCAAGAAGGTTTCTCTCCTTTATCTCTTGCAGGAGTTACCAATGATGCCAACCATTTGGATGCTCAATCAAAGTACTTTAGCAGATTTGTATTAAGTACCTGGATTCATCCATTTGACACATATCATAGAACCCATGCTTAGAGTAATGAGAAAGGCAGACAGGCAGATGTGATCACTGCTCCTAGGACATTCACATTCAGAGGTGTGATAGGGAGTAAACAGTGAGGCACACGCAGCATTTCAGATTGTAAAATGCTCACAAAGGGAGTGAAGAGGGTGGCAGGACAGGAAGATTGGTGATAGAAAGCCATCTGAACAAATAACCTTTTACCCCTCTCCCAAGATAAGGAAGACATGTCCAGTGAGTGGTGATTCACTTCTCATGTTTGGGTATATCTGATAAGGAAAGTCAAGGCTGCTGGGCCTTGGCCATGACCTAAGGATGTAGCAGAACTTCATGAGGATGACCTCTGGAGAGGATGGCTTTGGGGCTGAGACCTATAGATGAGAAGGGAAGAGCCTTTCAGGAAGTCCATGTTGTTTCCTGGAGTCCACTGTGCATTCATCTAATCTTTCCACCTCCTAGACTGAGAAACTGAGAATGCCTTAAAGGCCAGATTGGCTAAATTCATATGGATAGGGCCTCTGAATTCTGGCAGTGGGTGGGCCTTCTAAGTGGTACCCTTCCCAGTAGATACTTGCTGAGCCTAACTGAAGGAGAAGCAGTCCAGACTCTTCCCATTCCCTAAAGAGAAAAAAGTTGAGAGCAATTCAGGATGACAATGTGACCCTGAGCATGGAAACCTCACTTCTAGAAGTGATTATTTTTCTTAGACTTCATGTCACCAGTATTTCGCAAGTTGAAATGAAAACCACAGAGGCGCTTCACCATTTATTGCGAGTGAAGAAAAACTTCTAAGCTTCTTTTCTGCCCTGACTTTCCTTCTAGACTTTAGAACACCTCTCATGGCCCAGCCATAAGGCCTTCCTCAACACAGAGTAGGGCTGAAACATCTAGCTTATGGTGTGATTATTTGGGGCCACACTCTTATTCCTTTAAGACCAGCCCCTCCCAGAAGATCTTGCCTGATTCCTCCTTAAGAATCAGTGCAAGTGCCCTAGAAGTACAAGCAGGCCAGGCCATGGTGTGTGTTTGCCCAACAATGTTTTAAGACTCTCTAGTACAGTGGGGATTGACCAGAGCTGCTTCCTTTGACCTCAAAGACTGTCATATAGTCATGATCTGGAGAGTCTGTGGATTGAGCACCTGAGCCAGAGTGACCAGCAGCAACTTGTCTGGGCATCTTGCAAGTAACTTTTTTTTGGTTTATTTTTGAGACAAAGTCTTGCTCTGTCACTTGGGTTTGAGTGCAGTGGTGTTAACATAGCTCACTGCAGCCTCGAATTCCTGGCCTCAAGAGATTCTTCTGCCTCAGCCTCCCAAGTAGCTGGGACCACAGATGCACACCACCATGCCTGGATAATTCCTTTTTAGTTTTTGTAGAGATAGGATCTCCCAGTGTTGCCCAAGCTGATCTCTAACTCCTGGCCTCAAGCAGTCCTCCCGCTTCAGCCACCCGAAGTGCTGAGACTACAGGTGTGAGTCACTGTGCCCAGCAACAAAAAACCTTTTACCACCCTCCAACGTAAGGAAGAAGTTTCCAGTGAGGGGTGAAAGACAGTGACTTGGCTTCTCATGTTTGGGGTATATCTGTTAAGGAAAGTCAAGGCTGTTGGGATCCAGCCATGACCCAAGGATTTAGCAGAACTTCACTGAATGTTTTGAATCAGCCCATATGGCTTCAGATTGGATGTCCCTTTGGTGCTGGGCTGGACCTTTGGCTCTGAGCCTCTGCACAATCATGAATCTGTACAATCATGAAAAGCAGAGTTCACATTTCCCCACTCTGTGAGCTACTAGCCACAATGACCAGTAGGTCTCACGAGTCCTTCCCCCTACCCTTCCCTTGAAGGCAACCTCTTGGCTTTCATCATCATGTTTGGCCACCTTTGGGGAAAAGGTAGAACAGTTAACATCTGAGGCCACTTTCAAGACAATATGTCTCAAGCTTCGTCCCCCATGGTGGTGGCACATTGTGAAGGAGGGAACAAAGAAACCACTTTTTCTATCAGGGACTTTCCAAAGATAAGATAATTTTGTTCCTCTTCTGACCTATAAAAAAGTTATCAAAAAAAACTCTAGTAACATTCATTTTCATCTGCATATTATATTTACAATGATTCCAGAATAGAATACAAATACACACAATGAGATTTCTCATTGCTTGGGATTGTCTTTGCCTCCAAACATTCCAGATATATCACACAGCTGTTGATTTCAATGCCCTTGGAGAGACACTTCAACACACAGTACCAAGTTTCAATGCCTACTTTAAAGAGGAACCCTGAATGCAGGACAGATAATACTTTAGCTCTTGATTTCAATGATTTTACTGTTTGTATTGAGGTTTTGTGGGGTGTATTTATTTATTTATTCCTGATACACAGAGTCTCACTCTGTCACCCAGGCTAGAGTGCGGTGGTGTGATCATGACTTATTGTAGCCTTGAACGCCTGGGCTCAACCAGTCCTCCAATTCAGCCTCCCAAGTAGGACCACACGTGCATGCCACCATGCCAAGCTAAATTATCTCTCTCTCTTTTTTTTTTTTGTAGAGATGGGGTCTCACTACATTGCCCAGGCTGGTCTCAAACTCCTAGGCTCAAGCAATCCTCCTGCCTTGGCCTCCCAAAGTGCTTTTTGTATTCTTACTGGTTGCATGAGTTCTAGTTGAATGAATACCAGAAGTAAATATTGTATGGTATCAAACACGCAAGGTAGCACACAGTGAGGGTGTACCAAGTGGAAATTTAGGAACTCAGCTGAAGCCCAAGTGACTGGCTCATGTGAGGCTCCCACCAAGCTGTAATTATAGATGAGCGGCAAGCCACCCAGTGACTGTCCCTCCAGGGGTCTGCCAGTCCTGTGAGAGGAGCCAGGCTCTATGGTGCTGATCAGCACACTCCCACTTTCCTCGGATGGATCTTTCTGATGGACAGCCTGCTGGCTCCTGTGGAAAAAGAGAGGTTAACAGAAAAGGACAGAGGAGGGGCAGGGGAGAAACTCCTCTGACTGGAGACCATGGTGTGCACAGGCCCCACTCGTCTGTCTGCTGGGGATGATGCCTGGCCCTGGTGTGTGAGGTCCCGCTCATCTGGGTTCCTATAAATCTTTGAGAACTCTGTAAGATAAGCCCAGGGTCACCAAGCCCCACCCCATATCACGAGTCCAGTATGGGCTGACCCATTCCAACACCCAGTGTCAGTATCTGCATCACTGTGGCTTGGGGCTATTTTTTTTTTTTTCAGAGCACTGAAGGCTACTCTGCCTGGACACAACAGGTGGGATGTGCCAAGGAAGGAAGGAACACTCCCAGCAGCAGCCCTCAGCCAATGACTATGCAATGAGTTGCAGAGAACCACAGCACTTCCTTCACACCCCACCGGGAACGTCCTAGCATCTCCCATGGTGCCAGGCATCATTGTGGTGGCCATCTTCACAATGCATTTGCTGGTGGAAGAACTGTCTGTGCCACAGTCGCATTCCTGCCAGCATTTCCTAGGGAGCTGAATAAGGAGAACACATGGACACAGGGAGGGGAACAACACACACTGGGGCCTGTCGGCGAGCAGGGGGAGGGAGAGCACAGGATAAATAGCTAATGCATGTAGGGCTTGATACCTAGGTCATGGGTTGATAGGTACAGCAAACTACTATGGCACACATTTACCTGTGTAACAAACCTGCACAGTCAGATCTGTGTTCAGGGTCAGCTTCTGGAGCAATGCAAACTGAGACCCCTGAATTCTTAGAATGTCAGTCAGGCACCTGGTGGGCAGGTTCCTGGACCTCTCATTTTTTACTGACTATGTAGGAACTCAGATCAACTTGCCCTCACCTCTGCCCTGCAGTGGATGTTCTGGCAAGGAGATCAGATAAGGAAACAGCCCTTTCCTACAGAGAGAAAGAACCCTCAAAAGAGAGGATCTGGTAGCGATTTCCTGGAGCAGGGTTGCAAAGAGAACTCCTACTTTTAGTAAAGGAATAAAGGAAGGTTCCTGCCAGGAAGGATAATGATAGGATTTTGAAGGGTCTACAGGAGCTGGAAAATCAAATGGGATCAGAAAAATCACACAGGTGGGAATATTCCAGGACAACATGGAGCACCATGAGTAGGTGGTTTTGGCTGGAGTGGATGAAGGGCTTATGAAGGGAGGAGACCTGGAAGAGAAAGTGGCAAAAGAACATTAGGAAGATGCAGGAGGTTGCTGGGCCCTATGCATCACTCACAGAAGAATTTAGAATAGATATGAAGCATGTATCGATGCTCCTATCTATGGAATTAAATTGAAATAAGCCCTCCTCGGTCTAGCTTTGGACTCAAGCCATTCAAAGGCTTAAGGGAATAAAACAGAAAAAAAAGATAAGAAATGAGTTCAACCTGTCAACTGTGATGATAACAGTGATTGCAACATTGATAAAGTGCTTTAGTAGAAATATGGAATTTAGAAGAAAATGAAATGAAGGCAGCAGACTATTCTCACTGACAGTGATGTTGGCAAGCAGGAAGGCTTGACTGCTCTGAGATGGGTCATCCCCAGCCACCCCACACCTTGGGGTTCCCACAAGCCTGGGTTCAGGGGCTTAGTTTTTCAGGATGGGAACCCATCCCATTGTGTTTTTTAGCTGGATTCAAAATCTCCCATTCTGGAAATGATGGGAAGCCAAGGTCCTGAGTTCACTTTATTAGTTTTGGGGAGAGCAATAAAACAGTCTAAGATAGAAAGTCAGGGCAAAGGCAATTGCCTGTTCACAGGATCTCTCCCACACACCTCCTTGGCTTAGTTTCATGGAGGCTGCATGCAAGAAATAACTAAGACTCGTCCAAGGCTCAGGCTGCCTAAAATCAGATCTCTGTATATCTCTAAGCATCCTGGCAATACTTCCTTGGAGTGGTAAGTCCACTGTACTGAACGGGGATCAGTGCTGGGGTTAAATATGTTTTTTTTCCTTTTTCCTTTTGGTAAACACTTTTGAACTTTTTATCAAAGTGTAATGTGCATATGGCTGTGGAGAAATAAAAATGCTTTTACACTGTTGGTGGGGATGTAAATTAGTTCAACCATTGTGGAAGACAGTGTGGCAATTCCTCAAAGACCTAGAACCAGAAATACCATTTGGCCCAGCAATCCTATTACTGGGTATATACCCAAAGGAATATAAATTACTCTATTATAAAGATACACACACGTGTATATTCATTGCAGCACTATTCACAATAGCAAATACATGGAATTAATCCAAATGCACATTAATGATAGACTGGATACAGAAAATGTGGTACATATACATCATGCAACACTATGCAGCCATAAAAAGGAACAAGATCATGTCCTTTGCAGGGACATAAATGGAGCTGGAAGCCACTACCCTCAGCAAACTAACACAGGAACAGAAAACCAAACATGGCATGTTCTCATAAGTGGGAGATGAACAAAAAGAACACATGGACACAGGGAGGGGAACAATATACACTGGGACCTGTTGGTGGGGGCTGGTGGAGGGAGAGCATCAGGATAAATAGCTAATGCATGCAGGGCTTAATACCTAGGTGGTGGGTTGATAGGTGCAGCAAACCACCATGGCACATGTGTATATATGTAACAAACCTGCATGTCCTGCAGATGTATACTGGAACTTAAAATTAAATTAAATTAAAAAAAAGAAAGAAAATATCCACATTAACGTGATCTATTCTTCAGGAAAAATAGTTGAAAATGCAACCAACTCTTGGTGAAATGTATAAATAAATCTTTGCTATACTTTACTTCAAATAAATTATTTTAAAATAAAGTACACAAGACATAATCACACAGCTGAATAACTTTTCACAAACCAAATGCATCCATGAAATCAGCACACACATCACCAAATAACATTATCAGTACCCTCAGAAGTCTCATAAGGCCACTTGCAGTTGCTAATCCCCCTCACCCAGAGGAAGTATTCTGACATCTGGATTAGTTCTCTGTTGCTTAAAACAACAGTATATGTTTATTATCTCTCATAGTTTCTATGGATCAGGAGTTTTGGAGCAGCTTACCTGGATGGTTCTGATTTGGAGTCTTTCATAAGGTTGTAGTGAAAATATCAACCAGGGTTGTAATAATCTGAAGGCCTGATTGGGGATGGTGAATCTGTTCCAAAGGTGGCTCACTCACAAGGCTTGTAATTTGAGGATGGTTGTTTGTAGGCTTTTATTTCTTTCCATGTGGGGCCTCACTAAAGGCTGCTTGAGTTTCCTTCCAACATGGCAGCCAGTTTCCTCCAGAGAGTCACGTGAAGCCCACCTTAGAAATCACATGATATCACCTCCGCCACATTTTATTTTTTTAGAAGCAAGTCGCTAAGTCTAGCCTGTCTTGAAGGAGAGGTAATTAGGCTCCATCTTTCAAAGCGAGGAATGTCAAACATTTTGCAGAAATATTTTAAAATCACCACAACTTGTAACACTGTAGATTGCTTTCACCTGTTTTTAATTGATATGCAGGAGATTGTACAGTATCACATACAGTATGTGATGACACACAAAAGACATTCAAAAGTATGTCTTTTGTGTCTGCCTTCTATCAGTCAACATTATGTTTGGGAAATTTATCCATGTTGTTGCACATAGTTGCAGTTCATTCATTTTCATTGCCATAGAAAATGCTACAGTATAACTATACCATAAAAATGTGTATCTGTGCAATTGTAGACAGATATTGACTATCAGGAATAAAGTTGCTATGACGAATTTAGGTTTCTCTTGGCTTGCTTGATGGTTTAAGGCCAGCTCATGACTCTGTCCCATGAGAAATTATTGTACAGTGGCCTTCTCTATAAGGATGATCAAGAAACTTGTTACTCCCCAAGGAAAGATTGTAAGTCCTACACTGACCAAAACTGAGGTCTGGTACTAGCAGTCATAGCCACTTTGCCATTTGTGCAACATTTTAGTCCCCTTCCCCCCCGAACTTTCTTTCAGAAAATACAAAGAGGTTAATTAGCATTAGTCACAGTTTAAGAATTAGCCAAAAGCCTCCGCTGTTTGCAAGCTATCTTTTAAGAAGCTGAAGCAAACCCCATGGCATCTGAAGCCAGAACACTTCTCTGAGTTGTCCTGATATCTCAGAAAAGGCCTGGAGGAGACATGAGCAAATGAGTGTACTCATGGGTGAACCATCCAGTGGGAACAGTCTTGGGACAGACAGATGTGAGGTTGCCTAGCAACGCAGCATGACCAGGGAGAAGGGCCCTCAGAGGGCATCTCCAAACAGGCTGTAAAGAGTGGCACACCTGAAAGGTGTCATTCCACATGAAGATGGAGAGGCAGGTGGCCCTGATTCCCGAGAAGTCCCTGGTGGAGGTGGAGAGGATGCAGGCACCAGGAATAACATTGGGAGCTCTTTCTTTCTCCCAGAAAATCACTTCACTGACTCACACTTTGTAGCCCTAAACACTCATTTCTCTGCTCCTCACACTCACATTCCTCTCATCTCCCAGTGAGGAAGTCAAGCAGATGCTGTCCTGCCCTGGTCTCTTCTGTGCATACAGCCCCACTTCCACCTGCTGGAGCCTGCACTTCAGTGCCTGAAACATTTCTTAGGGCACTGGAGTCAAGACAACAGCATGGCAGTCAGTTTCCCTGCTCTCCAACAAGGAGGCATCCTCTACCCACAAGTGCCAGGAGTTAATGGAGAAACACCGTGGCTGCCCCTCTGATATGTTTTGGCTGTATTCCCACCCTAATATCATCTTGAATTATAGTTTCCATAATCCCCACATGTCATGGGAGGGACCTGGTGGGAGGTAATTGAATCATGGGGTGTTTTCCCCCACTATATTCTCACGAGTAATGATAATGAGTAAGTTCTTACACAACCTGATGGTTTTATAAGGGGCTCCCCCCTTTGCTCGATTCTCATTCTTCTGTCTTCTGCTGCCATGTGAAGAAGGACATGTTTGCTTCCCTTTCTGCCATGTTTGTAAGTTACCTAAGGCTTCCCCAGCCATGCTAAACTATGAGTCAATTACACCTCTTTCCTTTATAAAACACCCAGTCTCGGGTATGTCTTTTTTAGTAGCATAAGAATGGACTAGTACACCTTCCCTCTTGCAAGAGGGCTCAGGGCTGTGTCCTATGCAGGCTCCTGCAGTGCAGTTCCCCATTGGGATCAGACGTTAGTCGCCCACAGGGCAAACCATTTGATAAGATGCCATTTATTGGCTCTTTTTCTTCCTTGCCTCCCCTACCCACCTACCCGTGTTTTTTCACCTCCCAAATAAAAAACTTGCAGTTGAGTCCTTGTCTCAGGGTCTGCTCTGGGAGAACTGAGACCCACACAGGTGGTCCTCAGAATCATAGCTTTTAGCTCATTTGTTGATTTATTTAGTATATACATTTATTGCTCTTTTGCCCTGTGCCAGGCATGGTGCTTGTTGCTGGAAACTCACTGAGAAACAAAACCCCAAAGGAGCTTCCCTTCCTGTTAGGGAGACAGGCAAAAACCAGGAAGCATGAATGTAATGATGGGTAAGAGGGTGAATCTAGTGAGAGGGGCTACTTGAGATTGGGGGTGCAGCAAGAGTCCCTCTGAGCTGCTCAGGTTTGAGATGCCTGGCCAGGCTCAGCCTCTGTGGGGCTCTCCCACAGGAATGCATGGCTGGCCACTGTCCCTCCCTGCCACCCCCAACCCCAATACCTGGCTCCATGGCTGCCACTCACCATGGGCTGCTCCTTAGGGGAGACTCAGCCAAGCTCAGGTCCATGGGCCAAGTGGGTTTCTTCCTATCACTGCATCCTCAGATTCAGGCTGCCCTCTAGCTCCAGCTCTCAGTTGGCCATAGCAGTCTTCTAAAACCTGGATCCAGGTGTTGTAAGACATGGGCCACAGAACTGATGCATGAGGGAAGAATAAAGACCAACGCTCATCAAGCTATTTCCGTGTGCCAGACTCTACTGGGGGCTTCAAAATATATGGCCTCATTGACTTCACCTAATATCTGTTTGGAGTAAGTATTTTATCACTGGTATTAGAGGGGGAAACTGACACTCAGAGGGGCAGAGTGACTTCTCTGAGTCTCAGTGCTAACACAAGCCAAGGTTTAGGTTCCGGTCTACATGTCTCCAAACCCATTGTCTCTGGACCACAATCATACTGTGTACACAGTCCCTGACCGGAGTCTCTCCTGGGACACTTAACTTTCTTTTAAGGACTCTTCATTCTCACCCTCATGTCCACGCTGGCTCAGTCTTATCCTTTAAGCCCTTATGATGCCTCATTCCTCCAGGAAGCCTTCTGAGAGGAACAATCAGAGACAGAAGTCAAAGGCTGGAGCCCCTGGCTTGCTTCTGGGGGAACCTGAGCTGGAAGTCAGCAGATGACATTAGAGCCTCCCTGGCCATTGCTTATTGCCTGGGCACATAGTGAATACCACTCAGGACAGGGTCCAGAGGGCAAGGCTGGCTGGTGTGTGCTGGCCTCTCCCCCATATCCCAGGCTGGGCAGCCCCCACTGTGTTTCCATAGTGATGATGACAACTATGATGATGACCTTATTGGTCATCATTGGGTGGCCACATTCGATGCTCGGCGTTTTCTACGTAATATCTTAGGTAATTCCCCTACCACCTGCTGCTCCACAATCAGGTCTGTTGTAACATGTCTGTTCTCTAAAGGGGCAGGGCACAGACATAGGTGACAGCTCCATCAAGAATCAAGCGGGGATGACGCAGTGGGCTGTGTCTTGCACGGCAGTGGAGAGGATATCACTGAACTCTCTAGACTCATTTTACAACATTCTCCTGTCATTCCTTGGGAAGTGTTCAACAAAGCTTCTTCCCTTTGCATTCATCTGAGCCTGGCTTCTGTCAGTGTATGCGCTTTTCAAAAATGCTGTCAATCCCCCACTTCTTGAATCAGTTAATTAACTAGTTGAGTGTCTGTTTAAGCAGAGGAAAACCCAAATTGCGTAGGATCCCACCCACCTCTCTGCAAGTCAATTCAGTAAACATTCACCGCAGCCCTGCTGGCTTGCCCAACACAGTGGCCACATGGGAGGGACGTGGAAGAGGTGGCCACCTGGGTCTTGCCCTTGGGAGACAGGTATGTGCCCTTCCCTGGCTACCAAACAGGAAAGAGCATGTCTGGTGTCAGCTCTGTCCTTATATAATCTAGGAATGACAGGAAGCAGTGCTGGCGGTGCAGAGGGGAATAGAGCTACGCCTTGCAGAACCGGGTTTCAGCTAAGATAAGGGTGACTTTCCCTTTCCGTCTGCAGCAGGGAGTGCAATATGCACAGTTCACTGGGTCTGGATAACTTGCACAGAAATTGAAGTGTGTTGGGAGAATCATAGGAAAGGCTGAAGAATGTGAGATCCAGGTGACAGAAATTAATAGGTAGCTACTTCAGGAAAACTCTGCTGGCATGAGATGGGTGCCAAGTGTTGACCTTACCTGTGTCTGTCCAGATTGAAAGGGGAGGGAGGAGAAAGCAGGAGAGGGAGCAAGAGTGAGAGAGAGAGAGGGTTGGGAGAGAGTGGGAGCCTCAATGATGCCCAGCCCCTAGCTGGGGAAGGGCAGGGCCCTTGGCTGGCTGTCCCCCGAAAACTGACCACAGTGCCTCAAGAGAACTGTCCCAATCCTGGTGTTTTCCCCAGAAGATGGAGATATGGATGCAAAGTGGGTAAAGCTACAGATACCTGCTCCAGGGCGTGGGGGTGGAGGGTGCAACTTCGTGCCTCAGAGAGAAGTGTGTGAAGGGCCTGAATTTTCCCTGACAAACAGCAAGACCAACTGGGAGATTACAAGCACTGGGTTCCTTCCAAAGTCTAAGGAATCAGAAGCCTCCATGGATGTCTGGGTCTAGGAGAATTCTGAGAAAGCAGCCAGGGCATCTCTGGAACATGGATGAGAGACTGGAGGTGAATTTAGTGTTGTGGAAACTAGAGAGTCCAAAGAGTGGTGGTTGTGAGGAGTCCTTGAAATATTAAGCATAGAATTACTGTAGGAGCTGGCCATTCCACTTGTGGGCACATACACACAAGAGTTGAAAGGAGGGACTTGACTGGATATTTCATTCCAAAAGGTGAAAGCAACCCCAAAAATCCATCTATGTATGAATGGAAAAGCAAAATGTGGGCTATGCATAAAATGGGAGGTATTCTGCCTTAAAAAGGAGGGAAATTCTGACACATAGGGCAACATGATGAACCTCAAAGATAAAGATAAGTGAAATAAGCCAGTTACAGAAGTACACTTTTGTATGATTCCACTTATATGGGGTGCCTAAAGTAGTTGAATTCATCAAAACAGAAAGTAGACATGGGCTTGCCAGAAGGTTTGGGTAAAGGGAAGTAGGGAATTATTGTTTAATGAATGTGGAGTTTGTTTGAGATGATGGAAAACTTCTGGAGTTGGATTCACAACAATGTAAACACGCTTAATGCCATGGAACTGTACACCTAAAAAGATTAAAATGGTGAATCTTATCTTATGTGTATTTTACTACAATTAAAAAAGAATACAGAGACAGGGATGGGCTGCTTGGACCCTGTCACCAGAGACATTCAAGCAGAAGCTGCATGACTCTAGATCTTGGTTATGAAATGAGACTCAGATAGAAGATAAGGTTTGTCTCGCCCCTAGACTCAGGGTGATGCCGTGGAAAGGCGGCTTTGCAGTCAGACAAAAATGGATGAGTATCCCAGCTCTGCATCCTAGTTAGCTGTGGGACTTGGCCGAGTTGCCTAAATTCTCTAAGCCTTCCCTTCCTTTGTCATCTGTGAAATGGATGTTCCAATGACTACCATGCTAGTTAATTGTGAGGACTAAATGAGGCAATGTGCCTGGAAACAAAACCCAATGGAACCCAATAAAAAACATCTCAGGACAACAGATACGCACAAATGACCCTGAGACATGAACAGATGCTCAATTTCACTCATAACAGCAGAGATGCAAATCACAAAGGCTCAACACCTGAAGATATCAATTTTGACCTATCAGACTGGAACATCCCATGGTTTGAGAACATACACTACATCATTGGAGAGGCCATAGTGAAAGAGCCACAAGTATTGCTGGTTCAAAGCAAAATAATGCCAACCCTGTGTAGGGCAATTTGGCAGTGTTTATAAATATATAAAATCAACATTTCCTGGTGACCTACATTATGAGATATATATCATATAATTATCTATCTATCTATCTATCTGTCTGCCTGTCTATGTATCTATCTAGAGGTTTTCATCCTGCCTAACTCCCATAGCCATTATCATAATGTTGGGGCACTTCAGGCCTCAGGAGCAGACCTCAGAAAACAGAATCTCTCTCTGACCTTCTTCCTCCTGTCACCTGCCCCATACCCTGGAGAAAAAAATACTGCACAGAGAGGCCAAAAAGAATCTGAACGGATAGGCCTGGCTGGGTTTGGATCATGCCCTTTTTGTCCAATCACATTTCTACATGTTGATCAGTCACGCCTATTCAGTGAAGTCTCCATAAAAGGCCCCAGAGGAGTGGGTCTGGAGCATCCATGTGGCTGAATTTATGGAGCTTCCTGAACGGTGGTGCCCAGGGAGGGCATGGAAGCTCAGTGCCCTTTCCTTTGTACCTCACCTGTGTATCTCTCCATCTGATTCATTTGTGATAGCCTTTATAATAAACTGGTACATGTGTTTCCCTGAGTTCTGTGAGCCACTCCAGCAAATTAGTCAAGTCCAAAGAGGGGGTTGTGGGGACCCCAACTTGAAGCCCTTCAGTCAGAAGTTCTAGAGGCCCAGACTTGCAACTGACATCTGAAGTCAGGGAAGTCTTGGGGACTGAGCCCTCACACTGTAACATCTGACGCTATCTCTCGGTAGATAGTGTCAGAATTGAATTGAAATAGAGGACACTCAGAGAAATGCAAGTGGCAAAGTCTCCATACTCTGAAGATATCAATTTTGACTTTTCACATTGAAGCATCCAATGGTTTGAGAACATACACTGTTGGGAGAGGTTATGGTGGAAGGGCTACATGTATTGCTGGTTTAAAGCAAAATAAAACCAACCCTGTGTGGGGCAATTTGACAATCATTATAAATATATAAAATCAGCATTTCACACTGCAGTGTTCACTGCAGAATTAATGGCTCACTTGGTGGTGTGAAGAACTCCCCACATATTTTAGGGTCACGGAAGTCTTCTGTGATGATTGTTGTGAAGAGTGAGAGTAGGAGAAAACACAGTTTGAGGTTTTTTTCTCAAACACCTGGCAATCTCACTACTGGGAAATTATCCTACAGCTATACCAGCAAGTATGCAAAATGACATAATACAAAGTTTTTTTTACAGTAGAAAAATGTATAATATCAAAAAACTTAAAACAATTGAATATTCATTTATAAGGGACTGGTTAAATAAACTGTGTCATATCCACAGAAAAGGGACAGTGTGCAGCACAGGAAAAGAATGAGGAAGCTGCGCTAATAATACAAAGTGACAAAAAGCAAAATTCAAACAATGTGCCTGTGAGCCACATTTTCTTGTAAGAGAGACAAGGAGGTTAAAATGATATCTGTAGTTGTTTCTTTTTGCCTAAAGAAACCCTGTGAGGATAAACACAAAACTAGACTAGGCATGGTGGCTCACACCTATAATTCCAGCACTTTGGGAATCCAAGGTGGGAGGATTGCTTGAGGTCAGGGGCTCAGTACTAACCTGGACAACATTGTGAGACCCCATCTCTTAAAAAAATAAAAATAAAAAAATAATAAATTAGCCAGGTGTGGTGGTGGCCTTCTGTGGTCCCAGGACTCAGGAGGATTCCTTTAGCCCAGGAGTTCAAGGCTGAACTCCAGCCTAGGTGACAAAGCCAGACCACATCTCAAACAAAACAAAACATGTAACTAATAAAGCCAAGTAACTAATAAAAATAATTTCCTGTAGGTGAAGGGACTGGACTGGGACTGAGATATCTCTGGGTATACTTCTAAATTTTAGATCATGTTAATGCGTTACTTACATGAACTTTAATTTTTAAAAAATGCTAAAAATAAAACTTATGAAACTTCATTGGAGACATAAAAAGAAAATTTAATGAATAAATTGGCATATTATGTTTCTATTGAGTCTAGAGAAAGGCTCAGTACTCTGAAGACAATCAATTTATTTCAAATTAATCAATTAATTCAATGCATTTGTAATCAACAATGCAACATATAGAATCTGAAAGAGTTATTCTAATGTTCATCATACAGGAAAGAAAACAATTCTAGAATTGTCAGGACAGTTTTGGACAAAGATAACGAGGGGTTTATGTTATCAAAATATACCTTTATAGTAGTTAAAGTGTATTTTAAATACATTAATTATATTTTATTATTACATGGAAAAAGAAAGATACATTAATGAAAAAGAGTGCAGAGTCTGGAAACGGACCCATATGTCTATGAAAATTTACAGAATAATAAAAATAAAACAAGATCTTTGTTTTACAACATTAATGCAGTGAAATGCAAATAGGTTAGAAATCTACAGATTTAAAAACAAAACTTTGAAAGCACAAGAATAAAATGCAGAATAATTTTTAGGGTTTGGGTAATAAAGACTTTCTAAAGCAGGAGAGAAAACTTAGACATAATAAAGTAAAAGAGTAATCAGACTTTATTGGCAATTTAAAAATCACCATACATACAGTTGTTTCAATTTACCAGTGACAAACAGAAATTAAAAATTAAAAAAATATTTGCAACAGCATTAAATTTTCACCTCAAAAAAATAAATCTAATGAAAAGTATGTGAGGCTTCTTTACAATAATTATAAAGTATTATCATTAATAATCATCACTATATTACCTTTTATTATTTAATAATGAAATCATTATTACTAAGATGTAAATGAATGGATCTATATACCTTGTTCTTGGGTTGGATTTTAGCTATGCCAATTCTCTCCAGATGATTTATTATAGTTGATGTAATCTCAATAAAGACATCAATATCTGTTTTTGGAGAAAATTGGCAAGCTGACTTAAATTTTAATGAGACTATAAAGGGCTAAGAATAGCCAAGATACTCCTTAAGAAGAAGAAGAAGGTGGAAGGACTTACTCTTCTGGTTATTCAAAGTTATGATGAAACTACAGCAGTGAAGACTGTGGCATTGGTTCAAGGATGGATAAATAGGCCAATGAACAGGAAACAGGTCAGAGAGAGTCAGGGACACTTGATCCATGACAAAAAGCACACTGCAATGGGGAAACGATGTCCTTTCAATAAACACTACTAGGCCAATTGAATAATATAGAGAAAAAGGTTGACTCCCTACCTCACACCAACCTGTCCATATACAAAGATCAATTCCAGGTAGTTTATAAATCTAAGTGTGGAAGGAAAACAATAAAGCTTCTAAGGAAAACATTGGAGAGTTTTCTTATAGCCTTAGGGTAGAAAAGACTTCTCAAGTAAGATATAGAAAGTAGTGTCATAGAAGAAGATTGATTAATTGAACTGCATTAAAATGAAAAGCTTTTGTTCATTAAAAGACATCATGAAGAAGCAAAGATAAATCACAGAGTGGGAGAATGTATTTGCAAAGCAAATTACCAATAAACAACTTATTCCTGGAATATATAAAGAACTCCTGCAAATCAATACAAAATGACACACAACTGTGCCAGCTATTAATTTATTGCCTCTCAGCTCCAAATTCACCCAATTTCCCCCTAGTTTGCAATACTGGAGCTGGGATCTGTACTCAGTTCCTGCTTTGCTCAGTGGCTTTATGTCAGGCTGTGTCAATAGGGATCACTGATGGAGGCTGCAAGAATGGAAGAGGGACAGGGATGTTTTCTCTCCCTGGATTTTGCCATTGGTGGTAAGCAGAACAGTCCAAGGGCCGTGAGTTCCTGCAGCGCCCCTGTGACAGTAGGCATTTCTCATGGTTTTGGGATAGCCCAGCAAGCTTTGTCTTTATTGCAGAGGCATGTGACAAAGTTCTGCAACAGCTGCATCATCTCAACAATCTGAATCTCTGTTTTTAGAGGCCTCTTTTCTAAGCTGCCAAGTTTCTTCCTTGGCTTCCTTTTCTCTCAGCCCCAGGAGTGGTCGCTTTCTGCAGCTGCTACCCAGATACAACTTAGAGTCCTCTTTTACCTCTTTTGGTTATTCGCCATCTCTTGCCTACTTAAGAAATATTTGCAATACTTTTTTTCTTTGTTCAAATTTCTGAGTGTGGAATCATTCTCCTAACTGAATCCTGGCATATACAACAACCCAATAGAGAAACGGGAGAGACTCAAACAGGTACATCATAAAGAGGATGCCCAAATGGCAAAGAAACATATGAAAGAGGGCTCACCTTCATTACTCATCTGAGAAATGCAAATTTAAGGCAAACACAATACCACTATCCACCCATTAGAATGGTTAAAATTAGAAAGACTCACAATACCAAGTGTTGATGAGAATGTGGAACAGCCAAAACTCTTACAATGCTGATAGGTCCATGAAATGATGAAACTACTTTGAAAAAGTGACATTGTCTATACTCTGTGTATACTATGTGGCATACACCCAACTGCAAAGGATATAAAGATACACTGAAAAACATGTACAAGAATATTCATGGCAGCATTGTTTATAAAAGCCAAACTCTGAAATTAAAATAAAAACAACTCAGAGGTCCATCAGAAGTAGAATAGGTAAAATATGATACAATGATTAAATGCAATGTTATACAAAAACAGAAACAATCTGTACCTATGTTGTATAACATGGATGAATTTCACAAACATGATACTGACCAACAGAAATAAGGAGCTGGGTGCTGAGAAGTATATGACATATGATTATTCTATATAAATTTTTAAAGGGCTAAACTCATCTTTTGATAGTTATCATTGCTGGGAAATCATTACCTCTAGATGGAGAAAGGAGGTAGTGACTGGGAGGGTGTAAGAAGGGAACCTCATGGCAGGTAAAATTTTTTTATTTCTTGACCTGGGATATGTTCATTTTGTGAAACTTGATGAACTCACTGTTTTAAAATCATGTACTTTTCTGCATATATGTTATTCTTCAATTAAAAAGTAAAAAGAAGACAGAAAAAGAAAAGGCAGCATGTTAAGACAAAATACTTAACTATATTTTATTAGTGAAAGTTTAGGATCCAATCCACATAAAGAGTTTCTGTTTAAAAATGACAAACAACCTTAGAGAAAAATGGACAAAGATTATAAAAAACAATTCACATAATACATACTATTATCCAATATAAAAGGCAGATTCCCTTAGTTTCTCTCTTCGAAGCCTGGGAAATAGGTACTTAAACACCAATGGCCTTGACTACCCATTTGAATAGGAAAACAAAAGGCTGACAAAATGTTGGGCGGGGGGATGTGGGAAAAGGGGCATCAGTACCCCTTTTCTGACTGTACCATCAGTCAGATATAAATTGTTAAAATTCTTTTGGAGGAAAATTTGGCAATATTTATCAAAATAAAAACAGGACTAACCCCTAGTCCACCATTTCACTTCTAGAAATTCTAAAATAACATTCACGCATGTTCAAAAAGATGTAAGCAAAATAATGTTTTGTTTTGTTTTTCTTTGAGACACAGTTTTGCTCTGTCGCCCATGCTAGAGTGCAGCGGCGCGATCTCTGCTCACTTCAAGCTCTTTTTGATGCCATTCTCCTGTCTCAGCCTCCCAAGTAGCTGAGACTACACCCAGCACCCGCCACGGTGCCCAGCTAATTTTTTGTATTTTTGTTTTTTTAGTAGAGACGGGGTTTCACCATGTTAGCCAGGGTGGTCTTGATCTCCTGACGTCATGATCCACCCGCCTCGGCCTCCCAAAGTGCTGGGATTACAGGCTTGAGCCACCATGCCCAGCCACAAAATAATGTTTATCGCAGCATTTTTTTCTTGTAACATAAAAAAGAAATGGGAAATTAAGTCTCTATGAATCAGAAGAAAATCAAGTTTCTTCATACAATGGAATACTACATGGCTGGTAAAAATATAATGGGGTCCTCTGTGACTTAACGTGACAAAATCTAGCGTAAGGCTAACTCATGAAAGCAACTCTCAAATCAGTGCATTAAACATTATAGCATTCATGTAAAAGAATTAAATACTCAGAGTATGTTTGTAAGGGTTGTTTTCAAGTTTGTCTCTATAGCCTCATAGACTACTTAAATATACCATACCAGAATATTTTTAAGTCACAGAAGTAAAGCGCTAATAAGCAAAAATAAGCATTTAAAGTCTCCTCCATGATGCCTGCTAGATAGTAGAATTCTTATTCCCTGATGTCCTAATGGCAGACTCTGGCTGATGAAAGTGATCAACACCTAACTATACAGGCATTTCAAACAACAGGATTTATTTACGGAGGACAGGAAGGAGGGAGCAGAAATTCTTGTTCAGAAAATAAATTCCTTAGAATTTCATTGAGCTTGTTTATTCTTGGCCTACTCCATGATATGGAATACTTACTTGGACCATCTTCTATCGGTTTAGGGATGGTGGGATGCTCTCTGTCCTGGACAAGGCTGATATGGATCCATAGAAATAAAATGTGAGCCTCCTGTGTGACTTTAAATGTTCCAATAGCGAAATCAGAAAAAAGTAAAATGAAACCAGAGAAATTAATTTTAATAATATATGTTATTAACCCAAGGTATGAAAACAATTATTATCTCAACATTTAATTAATATAAAAGTATTAATGGAATATGATGTATTCAATTTTTTGGTAAGATCTTCAAAATCTGGTGTGCATGTCACACTTACAGCCCATCTTGATTTGGATGCTATGTTTTTCTTGACTTGATCTGTATTTAAATTTCACAAACTTCCCAGTAGATTCAAATACCTAAGTTGTTTTGAACATATCTAAGCATATGAGTTTTTCAAGAACAGAATCAAGTATCAGTTTTTTAAAATTTGGATTTAGACAGAATGAAGTAAAGTTAAAAATTCAGTGCCTCCATTGCCCTGGCCATATTTCGAGTACCCAGTAGCCACATGTGGCCAGTGGCTCCATATTGGACAAGGCAAGTGGAGACCAGTCCTCCCATGTGGTCTTGGAGGTGGGTCTTGGCATTCTTGGGAACTGCTGCCCCAGCCAGCTGGGCTCCCTGGCCATGTTAGCTCTTCTCTGCATCCTGAACACGTGGGAGCTGCAGGCACTGGGACAACCAGGCAAGGGCTGGAGCTCTGCCAGCTTCCAGGGCAGGCAGCTGGTCCCACTTGTCTCAGACACCTGGCTGCCTGACATTTACCCAGCAGCCTCGGCTCCACCATGCAAAGCTGGCGAGGACAGACCAGGGTTCCTGCAGGCTGTGAAGGGCTCTGCAGAGGGACTGCATTCCTGGGGGATGAGCCTGACCTTGGGATGAACCCAGTGGGATGACATAAGCCATGATTTCACAACATGGCAGTGATCACGAGCTCTCTGTGAGCTGGGGTGGACCGCGGTTTCTGCTGAGAGCATGGCGGCTACAGGGGAAACTGAGGCAGCCCACAGCTCTGTCCTGCACCAAGATCTCTCCTTCAAGACAGGTCCCAGAGCCTCAGCATCATCAATCCCTGGGACACACATATCAGTGGCGAGAACTTGTATTTCCTCTGAAAACGGAAGGGCTGCTTTTCCACATCTTGAGAAGTAGCTATTTTTCTCTTTCTTCCTTAAATCAGTGATGAAGCTTCTGTTCAAGTTTCATTCTCGAGAACTGTGCAGAAGCTTCCCTCGCTTTGCGCTCTGGGCTGGGAAGACTACATGGTTCCATCAGTATTCTGTGTTCTCATTTTGGTGAAATTGAAATTTCATGGATTAAATCACCTCTCCTATGTACCCAGTACATGCCATGGAGACAACCCAATAAAAGGCATGGTCCCTGTCCTCCAGGATCCCACAGTTTCATGGAGGAAGTCAAAGGAGACTTCTTTTTATTAAAAACAGTGGCTCACAACCTTGCCTGCACAGTAGAATCCCTGGAAAGTTTTAAAAAGCATCAATGCCTAGGATGCACCACAGAGGTTCTGATTTAATTGGTCTAGGATGCAGCTTTGGCATTGGGATTTTATTTTGTTTTATTTATTTTATTTTATTGTTTGAGATGGAGTTCTGCTCTGTCACCCAGCCTGGAGTGCAATGGTGTGATCTCAGCTCACTGCAACCTTCGCCTCCTAGGTTCAAGCAATTCTCCTGCCTCAACTTCCTGAGTAGCTGGGATTACAGGTGCCCAACACTATGCCCACCTAATTTTGGTATTTTTAGTAGAGATTGGGTTTTACCATGTTGGCCAGGCTGGTGGTGAACTCCTGACCTCAGGTGATCCACCCACCTCCCAAAGTGCTGGGATTACAGGCGTGAACCACTGCCCCTGGCCGGCATGGGGATGTTAAAAGCTTCTCAGGTAATTCTCCTGTGCAGTCTGGGTGCGAGTGACAGTTTTACATCTCAAGTCCATGACCTTAGGGACAATCAACTGGGTCCCAGGAACTCTAATTGAATCCCAGGACTTCTGTGTTCAATGTAGCCTCCAAAGTTATCCTTTAGGTTGGCTGTGGTGGCTCACACCTGTAATCCCAGCACTGTGAGAGGCCAAGGTGGGTGGATCGCTTGAGGTCAGGTGTTCGAGACTAGCCTGGCCAACATGGCAAAACCCTGTCTGTACTAAAAATATAAAAATTAGCCAGGTGTGGTGGGGGGTGCCTGTAATCCCAGCTACTCGGGATGCTGAGGCAGGAGAATCGCATGAACCCGGGAGGCAGAAGTTGCAGTGAGCCAAGATCATGCCACTGCACTCCAACTTGGGCAACAGAACAAGACTCCCTCTTACAAAAACAAAACAAAACAAAAAACCACATGACAACAAAGTGATCCTTCGAAGTGTAAATTAGGCCGTAACCTTCTTCTCTTCAAAATTCTCTGTTGGCTCCCCATGTCCCTTTAAGTAACAGTCAAAGCCCTTGTGTCTCCTGCAAAGTCCATATGACGGGCTTCCCATGATGTCTGGGACCCATCTTCCATGCCCCTCTGCCTGCTTGCTCCCTGGGATCCAGCCGCCCGTGCCTCCTGGCCTTCCCTTGAATACCCCAGGCTCAGCCTTGACTTGGAGCTTTTGCACTGGGTCTTTCTCCTGCTTCCTCCTGTCTGGGGAATGGTCTTCCCCCAGAAATACACGTGGCCAACTCTCTCCTCTCCTTCACACCATTGCTCACATATTATCTTCTCAGTGAGGCTTTCTCTGGTCCTCTCCCAGCCCTGGTGCCCCTTTACCCAGCTCTCCATTTTCCAGCGTACTTGTCTCCTTCCAACGTACTATATGATGTACTTTCTAGCAATGTCTGTTTGTTAGCACCTGTCTCTCCTGCTAGAGATGTGTCTACTTTGTTTGCTGATGTATTCCTGGTGCCTAGGATGTGCCCGACATGAAATGTGTTCTGAAAATATTTAATAAATACATGAAAATCTGGAGAGTCCTAATTAAGACAGATTTCTCAGTAAATGAAGATGATGATTTTAGATGTTTAATGTCCCACATCCAGATTCTAACGAGAATAACAACAGGACTATAGTAAGAGTGATAACCAACACCTTCCTTGGAAAATAGGGAAGAGGTGTGCTACAGAAAGGTCAGAAACTGCAAGGAATTCCTACTAAAAATAGCAGGAGCCTAGGCGTGGTGGCTCATGCCTGTAATTCCAGCTACTGGGGAGAATGAGGCAAGAGCATCTCTTCAGCTCAGGAGTTCGCGGCTGCAGTGAGCTATGCTTGTACCACTGCATTCCAGCCTGGGAGACAGGATGAGACTCCCATCTCAAAAAAAATACAGTAAGTAAATGACAGGTCAAAAAATGAAGAAAAGACCCAAAAGAAATGCGCACCTGCTTGTCTGAGAAAGCAGGAGGTGTCAGGAGACTAGAAGAGACTATGGCAGATCCATTTACACTTCTGCATTGTAAGTATTGAGAATGGAGCTGTGGGCAGGTCATGCGATTGACGTGAACTCCTTGTTCTTTAGCTGTTATGGGTCAACACTGTGGGACGTAGCTGCTCAGAGAGGTTCAAGTGTGAGTACAGTAGTGCCTCCTTATATTCGGGGGATACATTCCAAGGCCCCCACTGCATACCTGAAACTGTGGATAGTACTGAACCCTGTACATACATACCTACGATAAGGCTTAATTTATAATTTAGTCACATAGTTAGGGATTAAAAACAATAACTAATAATAAACCAAAAAAAACAAAATAAGTAAAACAAGGGCTGCCGGGCTCAGTGGCTCATGCCTGTAATCCCAGCACTTTGAGAGGTTGAGGTGAGTGGATCACCTGAGGTCATGAGTTCGAGACCAGCCTGGCCAACATGGTGAAAACCCATTTCTACTAAAAATACAAAAAAATTAGCCAGGCTTGGTGGTGGGCACCTGTAATCCCAGCTACTCAGAAGGCTGAAACAGGAGAATCGCTTGAACTTGGGAGGTGGAGGTTGCAGTGAGCCCAGATCGCACCACTGCACTCTAGGCTGGGTGACGGAGTGAAACCCCATCTCAAAAAATTAAAAAATAAAAAATAAAAATAAATTTTAAAAAATAAGGACTACTTGAATACAAGCTCTGGAATACCAAGACAGTGGATATACTAACCTATAAGTGACTAATGGGTGCACAGTGTCTACAGCCTGGATATACCGGACAAAGGAATGATTCACGTCCCAGACAGGACTGAGCATGATGACATGAGATTTTATCAGCTACTCAGAACTCCACACTATTTAAAAGTTATGAATTGTTTATTTCCGGAATTGTTCATTTAATATTTTCAGACCAAGGTTGACCCTGGGTAACTGATACTGTGGAAAGCAAAATCTTAGATAAGGGGGAACAACTGTAATAACAGCTGCAAATACGAAACCCCAGGCATGGAGGGCTCCCAGCACGGACATGATTCTTCCCAAGGTAGTGGACCGGACCTCGGGGCTGGGAAGCAGTGGTATTCCACATTGGACGTGGAGGCAGATCTAAAGGGAAAACTCCATATGGAAAGCTAATCCTCAGTGTTTGGCTTAAGCAAACACAGAAAAGGAACTGTAGCAAATTGAAATTTTCCTGCTATGATCATCTCCCAGGATGCTTTCTGCTCCTCTCCAGTCGCTGTAGAACTAAACTGGTTTGTAAACTTCTGTCAACCCATCTTTCAGTTTCAGATCTGAATGTATCCAGGTGGACAGGGAGGGATGAGGGGGAGAATCAGCTCACACTGTTTGGGGCATTTACCTAGTTTGGTAGACTTCTTCTTGTTTTAGCTTGAATAATGTGACCAAAAAAAGGTACCTATGAAAAGACTCTGCATTATTTAAGCAAAAGAATATGGCAGTTATAACATACTTAAAATATACTGCATTATTTACCATGTGCTTTCAGTTAAATTCAGAAAAAAATAAACTCTGTAAAATGAAGGAAAAGATGTGAAAATGAGCAAACAGACTGAAATGAAATGGAGGTTCCTGAATTACTAAAATCCTGTAAATAAATAGATAGAACCACAGTGCAGGTGAAAATGACATTATAGGCATTAAATGGCAAAAGTGATACCAGAAAAAAAAAAAAAACAAATGAAGGATACAGAAGGAAAACACGATAAGCTCCAACAGGGCAGAATTTTCTTTTTTAGCTATGAAGATAGACGTTCTGAGAGTCAGGATGAGAGAGACATGGAGGAGATAAGCGAAATATTGAAATATTCATTTAAATACGAAATATTCAAATATCCAAATATCCAGATTTAAAATATAGGAAGAAATAGTGAACAAAAAAATATATACCATTGATATTCCCCCAAAAAAGAGACAAGAAAAATAAAACTGAATACATTATCAAGGATATAATAGTATAAATGTATTTTGGATTTAACAAAGACATTAATCTGAAGATTCATATGGCTTTACATTTACAATACCATTGATGAGGTTCATGAAAAGTGATTAGTTTTTGCACATAAATTTTGTAAAATATTTTTATTTCAAAGGAAAAGAAAAACTCCATAAAGGACAGAAAAGCCAACTAAAACAGAAGAAAGATCAGGCTGTTTTCTTACTTGTGCTCTGCAGTGTTAGGAGTGAAAGTATGATGAAACTGGCAAATTTGATGTCCAGAGAAAAAACTTTTGCTACAGAAAACTTTAAAATGTGGCACACAGTCCAAGGCACAAAAGCAGGACAGGAGACAAAACCTAGGTGTGCACTAGCTGGGTGGTCTGATCAGAAGCAGCTATACATAGAACCCTAGAAGTGAACGAGGGAAGAAACACACTCCACAGAGGAAATAAAATATCCTTGTGGCTTGTCTTAGGCTCTAGTTGGAATAAAAAGAAGAAAGGTTTTACTAAGAATTTCTAATATAAATCATTGCATGAGTTTGGGACTGAAATTTATACTACCTGTGTGGACTGAAAATCTCCATGAAATTTTATTTTAAAGTGATTTCAAATTGGCAATCCTCACATGTCTAGGAGAACTAAACTAAATCTTCTTTGGAAGACCACTTTAACTTCAGATTTCAAAAAACTCCAATAGATAAAAATTCCTGATAATATGTATCCATAATCAGAAATTACAAATCACATGAGGCAACATGCCTGCCATAGCAAAACTCAGCAAAAAAAAAAAAACTACAGAATTATCACAAAACCTATAGCTACCACAATGATAAAATTCAGAATATTTTAAAGTATGTTTATTATAATTAAATAAAGAGTTTCCAAAGTGTGATTATGGAACTAGAAACTATGAAAAATGACCAGGAAACTTTTGAAAAAGAATGATAAAATCCCTAGGACTTAAAAAAAACTCAAGGCCCAGGATAAACAGACATAGAAAATAGAGTAGGAAAGTCTAACATGTCTTTTCAGAGTTCTAGAATAAACACATTGAGAGAATTGGGGAAAAGGTAATATTTGAAGATAAAGTGGCTGCAAATTTCTGAAATTGATTAAAAAATACTAATTGTCAGATTCAGAAAGCACAACTTCTCCCAAACTGAATAAATCTACAGCTGCAAAACCCTCAGGGCAAAAAGTGGACAGAAAATGAAGAGGAATGATGCATATTAATGATAATTTCTCTGGAAATGGAAATATGAACAGCAATGCTAGAAGCTAGAAAATAAAACAATACCTTCAAAATTTTGAAAAAATATTACTCTAAACCTGGAGTTGCCAGGTGTAAAATTATATCTTGCAAGAATGAAGTTGAAATACATATATATCAACAAGAAAAAATTGTAGAGTTTAAAAAGAATAGGCTCTTAAAAAGGAAACTTCTAAAGTCCATTGTTTGTAATTCAGAAAAAAAAAATCTGAGGTGTAGGAAAGAATGGTGAGCAAAGAAAATTATACACATGTGGGTAGAACTAATTAAATAATACAATGTAAAACAAATATTATGATTTATAAAGTGTACAGTACAAACTGAGTAAAAATAAAATATTGGGCAAAAACAGCATATATCAGTGTCAGGTGTTAAATATTCTAAGCTGATTCTATTAATCTGAAAGAGGGAAAATCTATTAATGAACTAGAAAACTGAAAAACAGAAGATTAGACCAATCACCTACATTTAAAATACCGAAAAAGATAGAAAAACAGTGAAAAACAACAAAAACCCCCAAAATTAAATGATAGAAATATTATCAATTATAATAATCTGCACAATAAATGTAAATGAATTATACTTTCTAGGTGAAGAACAAAGGTTTTTAGACTCCAATTTAAGAAAAATATTCTGTTTACAAGAGGAACACCTAAAATATTCAGTCACAAAAGTTTGAAAGTAAAAAAATGAAGACAGGTATACAGAATAAAAACCAACGAGCCAAAAGGAAGCTAGTGTAGCAATATCAACGCTATACAAACTTAGTAATTCAAAATGAACTACTGAATATAAAGTATATCACACCGTATTGTGCCCCAAACTTCTATGAATTTAATGCATAGCTTTACAATATGCAAATGAAACAATGAATATTACTGAAGCAGAACAAATAAATCCATCATCTTGCAGAAGATTTTAGCACATCTTTTTCAGTAAATTATAGAACAGGTAGAAGACAAATGATTGAATATATAGAAAATTTAATCCATAAACTAACAAACTTAATTAATAGGTAATATAAAATAACATTCTTAAATTCAGAAAAATTCTTTCCAAGGATACGTGGAATATTTATTAAAATGAAACACATGCAGTAAGACAAAAATTTCAAAGAACTGATTTCATACTGAACACAACATGGTTAATTTGGAAATTAAAATGAGTTTTAGAATCTCAGACATGGAAATTTAAAAATGTATCTCCAGGTAGCTTATTATATCTATTAATTAGAAATTAGTAATTAATAATGTTAAAAATACTTTGGTTTATACACACACACATATGTATTTATAATAACTCTTGGAAAGCCAAGAAAGTTGCATCTAAAAAATTTATACCATTTACATTGGAAAAGAGGCAAATGTTAAAATAGAATAGAAATTAATAAAATAAAAAGTATTATGCTAGAGAAACTGAGCAAAGCTAATATTTGGTTGTTTTAAAAGAATAATAAAATAGACCAACTCTGGCAAGATATATTATGAAAACATCATAGAAAGAAAGCACAAATACAATTATTTTGAGAATGAAAAAAGCAAAAAGGTTAAACTGTGATTTAAAGAAAGTAGTTTATTTTTTCAACTTTATGACAATATATGCAACATTTAATTGAAATGGACAAATTCTTAAAAAAAAAAATCAACTAATCTGACCAAAGGAGAAATCTTTAATTTCTAGAGTCCTATAGCCATTGAATACCATGCATCAGTAGTTAAAAAAATAAATTAATTAAAAAAAAACTTTCCACTATGAAACACTAGGCACAGATGATTTTATAGATACATTATACCAATGAAGAAATAATCCTAAACCTTCACAAACACTTTAAAGCAAAACAAAACAAAACAAAAAAACAAGAGGGTACAATTCCCAAATTATGTTATATGGCTACCACAACACAGATATATCATAGCTAGACTAGGACAATGTATGAAAAAAGTTACAGGCTAATCTTACTCATTAGTATGGAGCAGAAACCTATATCCCTTCAGCTAATGACTTGTGAAAAGATAACATGCAATGACCAAGTTTGTTTTATTTCAGGAAGGCAAAGTAAATACAAAAATTGTGAAACTTATAAAAGTTGTTCATCATATTACATTGAGAAGATCATGTTAAACTCTTTTATTCTGATTACTGTTTTCTAATTCTAATTTTAATTTTCTTAATGTTTGTTTCTTATATTTTGCAGGTACGTTTTTATGTGCATTCACATTTAGAATGGAGGAGTACATTCACTTGGATTTATCCCTTTTTCATTATGAAATATATCTCTTTGTTTTTAGCAATGTTTGTTCTAAAGTCTACTCTATCTGATATTGCTATGACTGCACTAGCTTTTCTTGGTTAGGGTTTGCATGGTATGTCTTTTCTCATCCTTTCATTTTTAACAACTCTGTGTTCTTACGCCCCAACTTGTGAGTCTTAAACAGGATATAGCTTGGTTTTGTCTTTATACTCAGGCTGCCAATCTTTGCTTCTTGGAGCATTTACTCATTTATATGTAATGTAATTACTGTTATATTGTGTTTATTGTCCTCCATTTTTTTTTCTGTTTCTACTTGACCCACTTGTTTCATATTCTTTGGCCTCTCCTGTCTTGACTTCTTTTAAATCAATCAGACTTTTCATTATTCTCATTCTTTCCTTTATTAATTTATTGTTATTTGTTATTTTATTATTCTTTTAGTTTTTACCCTAAAGATTACATCATTTATTGATGTGTTAATGTCTAAAATAAGTTATTGCCTTTCCACTTCTCTGATTATGCTCAAAATCTGAGACATTCTAAGTCCACTTAAATGGGTATATTCCATTATACCCATCTAATGAGTTCTAATCTTAATGTATTTTAAGTTTTTCTAATTTCCATTCATTTCTTCTTTTGATTATATATATATATTTGCTTCTTCTTTTGCAGTCTTGCTGTCATATATTTTAATTTTCCATGTTTCAAACCTCATATTATTAATACCATTATCTTTTTTTTTTTTTTTTTTTTTTGAGATGGAGTCTCGCCCTGTCTCCTAGGCTGGAGTGCAGTGGTGTGATCTCAGCTCACTGCAAGCTCCGCCTCCTGGGTTCATGCGATTCTCCCACCTCAGCCTCCCGAGTAGCTGGGACTACAGGCGCCCGCCACCATGCCTAGCTAATTTTTTGTATTTTTAGTAGAGACGGGGTTTCACCATTTACAGGATGGTCTCGGTCTCCTGACCTCATGATCCGCCTGCCTCCATTATCTTTTTATACAGTTGATTTCAGTCCATGTACATATATAGTCACTGCTTTGCTTTCTTTTCCTTCTTTCAATTCTGTGATTCCCTGCAGAATTTTTTTTGTATTAGACTCAACTATATGAACTTGCTATTATTCATCAGTTTTCATCAACACAAGCATCACTATCATATAGTTCAACCTAATATTACCTTAACGCATTTGTCTGAATAACCTGTGTAACTTTTATAAGATGGAGTCTTGCTTTGTTGCTCAGATGGAGTGCAGTGATTATTCACAGGTGCTATGGTAGTGCTACAGCTGCAAACTGCTGGATTAAAAAGATTCTCCTTCCTCAGCTTTCTGAGTAACTGGGACTGCAAGGCATCCACTACTGCACCTGGCTGTGAGACTCGTGTCTGTTTTTTATTTTGTCTCTTGGTCATGTGGCCCTGAATTTTGGTGTGTGTACTACTTTCTTTAAATACATTGTTAAGTACACAAAGCACACAAATGTTAATGCGTACCTTGATGCCTTTTTAGATATGTGTATCCCTGTGTAATTTCCATCTAGATCAAGGGATACAGCATTTTTAGCAGTTCAATAGGTTCCCTCATGCCCTCTGCCAATTATTATCTCTCCAAGAATAGTTGGGGGAGTTATACTTGTTTTCAATTTCATGTGAATGAAATCGTGGAGTTGATGTTTCTTCCCTTAACTTTATGTCCATGAGTTCATCAATGCTGTGTCTATCAGGATTTTGTTTCTTTTCGTTGTTGAGTAGCATTCCATTGCAAAAATTGAATTTTTTATACAGTTGAAATTTATTTATACAATTAAAAATTTTTAAACAGTTGAAATTTTTTTCAAATATATTTATCCGTTCTACTATTTATGGACACATTTTTCATCATGGTGGTTTTATAAAGAATGTAGCTATAAACATTCTGGTGCATGTCTTTTGGTGGACATGAACACCCACTTTGGGAGAAGATTTATATACTGGTAATTACAGTTATTAGATGATAATATGTATGTATATTTTGATTTAGTAGGTATTCCTAAATAGTTTTACAGAATGATTGTGCCAATTTATATTCTTATTAGCAATTTAAGAGAATTTCAGCTGTTCTCCATCCTCCCAAACACCTGGTAATGTGAGTCTTTTAAATTTAGTCTTTCTTGTAAGTATATAGCAGTGTCTCATGAGCTTTATTTGTATTTCTCTGATGCTTGAACACTTTTTCATATGTTTATTGGCGATTTCAAAATCCTCTGTTGTGCTGGACAACAAGGTGAAACCTCGTTTCTACTAAAAATACAAAAAATTAGCCGAGTGTGGTGGCACATGTCTGCAGTCCCAGCTGCCCGAAGGGCTGAGGTGGGAGGATCACATGAGCCTGGGAGTTCTAGGCTGCAGTGAGCTGTGATCTTGCCACTGCACTCTAGCCTGGACCACATAGTGAGTGAGACCTTATCTAAAAAAAAATCCAATCCTATATTGTGAAGTGCCTGTTCATATTTCTTTCTTATTTTTGTTAGGGTCATCAAAATTTTTCTAATTTATTTGTAGAAACATTTTTTTTAATACTCTGAATTTGAGTTTACAGTTGAAGGTTTGTACTGGAAATATCTCTTTCATGTTTATGGCTTATCTGTTTATTCTCTTAAAGGTGTCTTTTAATGAAAAGGGATTCTTAATTTTGATTAAATCATTATAGAAATCTTTTATAGTTGGTATATTTTTAATCTTGATAAACAAATGTTTGCCTTATTCAAAGATAATTAAAGATCTTTTCCTACTATGTGTCTCCTAGAAAACTAATTTATTTTTATTATCATATTTAGTTCATTGGTTCATCTTGAATTAATTTTTTTGTATAGTATGAAATGGGGGTTGTATTAGCCAGGAATCTCCAGATAAACCCTACCAATAGGATAGACAGATACATACATACACACATAGTAAAGTTTATTGTAAGGAATTGGCTCATGCCATTATAGAGACTGAGAAGTTCCAAAATTTGTAGTCAGCAAGTAGAGATCCAAGAGCACTGATGGTGTAGTTCCAATAAGGAGCCAGCAGGCTTGAGACTTGAGGATAACCAGTGTTTCAGTTTGAGTCTAAAGGCTGGAAAAAACCAACATTCCAGCCTAAGTCTGTCAGGCAGAAGAAATTTCCTCTAACTCAAGGGAGGGTCAGCCTTTCGTTCTATCTATCTAGGCTTTTAATTGACTGGAGGAGAGACACCGACATTAGGAAGTGTAATCGGTTTCCCTCATTCTACCAATTCAAATGTTAGCCTCAACCAAAAACTCCATCACAGACACCCCGAGAACAATGTTTGACCAATTATCTGGGCACCCCATGGCCCAATCCAGTTGATACACAAAGTTAACCATCATAAAGGTCAAGGTTGGCTTTTATCTTTGTGTGTGCGTGTGTGTGTGTGTATGTGTGTGTGTATACGTATACATTGTTGTTTTTCATCATGGTGAATATGGCACAAAGCTATTTGGTATATCAGATAAATACAAAAGAAAGCTCAGTAAGACACTTCTCTATACCTATATGTATACACATACACACACATATGTGTGTATATCCATATATATGTATGTGTGTATATGTGTGTATACGCACACACGTATATATTTGACCTATCACCATTTCAAAAAATGACCATCCTATTTCCACTGAATGTTGTGTGTATCCTTTGTCATTAATGATATGTCTGTATAAGGTGGTTGTTAACACAATCAATAATGTTGACTGAAAATATAGCTATATACATATGTTTGTATTTTAAAATATTTTCTATTTTTACTAAAGTAATAAATGTGTATAGTTTAAAAATTATGCCGTATTAAATAATTCTGCTTCACTCCTTTATTCTCTCCTACTTCTACTTCCTATAAGTGATGGCTTTTCATATTTTTTCTATTCTAATTAATACTTATGTTGCTACTTCTTGATTTATGAATGTTTCATATTATATACTGATTTCTTGTTTTATTAGCTACATTTTTTGTTTTTACATATCTACCCCCATTTCCCTTCCTCTATCTAATCAATATATCTATATTACCATTTGTGAGTAAATCATTAATTAATGTTTATATTAATATGACCATATTGTTTTCTGACTAGACAAGCAGTGTACAGTAATTGTTTTGTACAACTTTTTGCTTTTTTGGCACTGACAATTGCTTTGTTTTATAATTTAATTAGTGTTCTATGTATGGGGAGCCATTTCTCCCTAAGCGCTCCAAAGACCTGTCAAATACCTGTCAGTAATTTTCCAAGTGTTCAGACACATTTTCAAGCACCTATATGCATCCCACCCGAGAGACTTCCCTCATATAAACCTTAGTGAACTTGGTCTCCCAGCTTACAGTGTTACAGCAGAGAAGCAGAGTTTTTATCTCATTTCCTATTCCTTTGTATATAGCCAGTTTGCATTTTTGATTGTTTTTCCTCTTGGAATCTCTTAGGATCTACTTTTTATCCCTGGTGTTCTGAAATTGTGTGATGCTGCGTGTGGCTGGCATAGGTCTTTTCAATTTAATTTAATTAACTTTTTGCACATTTCCCCGTACGCTTCATGGGCTCAATCTGGCCATTACTCAGCAATTACTCGGCACTATTTATTTGATGATATTCTTCCCACAGTTTTCTCCCACTGGTCAGGTGTGGGAGCTCCTGGATAGATCTAACAGGCTTTTCCCTTTCTCTCTCCTTACATTCATCTCTTTATCACTTTAGTTCTACTATCTATTTTAATCTCTTCCATCTATTGTCTGTTCCTCCAAGTTCTTTTCTATTTGCTTATTTGCTTTATTTTAAAAATTTTATTTAATTAATTTTTTTAAGAGACAGGGTCTCACTCTGTTGCACAGGCTGGAGTGCAGTGGTACGATCATGCCTTATTGCAGTCTCCAACTCCGAGGCTCAATTGATCCTCCCGCTTCAGCCTCCTGTGCAGTTGGGACTGCAGCACATGCCACTACACCCGACTAATTTTATTTTTTATTATTCTGTAGAGATGGAGTCTTGCTATGTTGCCCTGGCTGGTCTCAAACTTCTGGTCTCAAGCTATCCTCCTTCCTGGGGCTCCCAAAGTGCTGGGATTACAGGTGTGAGCCACTATGCGTGGCCGGCTTTAATTCTTGTGCCCCTTTTTGTCTTGGTCTATGCCTTTCATGTCGAGTCTTTTCTCTCAGGTATTGGGACTTTGGGCTGCTCACTCATACTTAGGAGCAAGACTTTAAGCTCATTGGAAGCTCTGGGTATCTGCACCAGCTATCCGCAGTGGACCTCCACCACGATGCAGTTAGACGGCCAGCTTTTTTGTCTCTCTGGTACACATACCCTCTAAAGACAGGCCTTATAAGCCTCTTTATTGGTGACCACTTGGTTTCTCTTGAAAATAATCCTGCAATCTCCCCACCTAGTGGTAGGGGTTATGCCAAATGGCTGACTCCTGGGAACAGGGCAAGGAAGAGAGGTGGGGTGTGAGCATTCTGGATGTAAACTTATTTATTCCTTTTGTGGTTTCCCCACATCTGCAGCCTCTCAATTCCAAAGATAATAAAACTCCTATTTCCTGCAGAGATAGGAATGGATATTTCCATGGCCACACATGGAAGACAAGGAGATTGGAAAAGACATGGGGGTGGCACCTAACTGCTCAGTACAGATGTGCAACCTTGGAAACTGGTGCCCCCAAGTCCAAAACCTCCCCAGAGTCCCATGGGGAAAATTAATTTGTTTTTAACTGTGACTACCTCTGTAGGCACAAATATTTCTGTTTTCTTAGCCCTTCTGACTCATTTACCCCCATTCTGTTTTCTATCTTTGAAATCTAACTTACATCTATGAACACTGTTGATTCATCCTCTATTATCTTTATCTTTATGGGCTATTATTACTTCAGTTACTTTACTATTGCACCAATAGAGTTTTGGGAGAGTAAAACAATTCTTATTTATATCTAAATCTCTTTACACACATGCAAACACACACATAATTATTCCCAAAATAAGCAGAGAATGCTAGTTAAAAATAAAACTTCTACTTTCACAAAGATTAACACAAAGAAAATCTCAACCAACTATAAAATGTAAAAATACAAGCCCATATTCTGTGATTAAAATACAATAAAATGCATAGCAAAATAATAATCCTATCCACTTGTCAATAACAGCAACTGTTACTAGCCCCACTATTATTATTATTAATATTATTATTACTACTAGTAGTAAATAACTCCTGGAATAAAGAGGAATTCAAAATAACTTATAAACTCTTTAAAAATGAACAGTAATGAAAACATCACATGTAAAGATCTGTGAATACTCACATGAATATGTATAGTCTAACACACATATCAGAAAATAAGGAAGATAAAAGAATAAACCTAAAAAATAAAAAAAAAAAGCCATAAACCTAAAACTCAAGAAACTAGAAAACTGGTGAAAAAATAAACTGAAATTCTATGTGACTATTTCATAAAGATAATGGGAACAATTACTAAAATAGAAGTTTAAACAAATAAACCAAAACTCAGAAAGGTTGCTTAATAAGATTAATAAAAATAAAATTTTTCACAAGCCTAATCAAGAAGAATAAAGAAGGAAAAAGTAAACAACATTAGAAAAAATGGGGTAGATGCATAAAGATTAAGAACATTATGAAAAGTTATGTGTAATCTACACACGGCTTTATGGTAACAAAGGTGAACATTTAAACCAGTTTTTTTAAAGATAATAAAAGTGGAAAAAAATCAACTAAAGATAGGATCGACTACCTAAATATACTAACAACCATAGAATAAAATGAAAGGGACTCACATAGCAATCCCTAAAAATGTTAACAGGATCAGATGGCTTTATGGGTAAGTTCTACCAAATTCTTTTTTTTTTTTTTTTTTTTTTTTTTTTTGTGACAGAGTTTTGCTCTGTCGCCCAGGCTGGAGTGCAGTGGCCCAATCTCGGTTCGCTGCAAGCTCCGCCTCCCAGGTTCACACGATTCTCCTGCCTCAGCCTCCCGAGTTGCTGGGACTACAGGCGTCTGCCACCACACCCGGCTATTTTTTTGTATTTTTAGTAGAGACGGGGTTTCACCATGTTAGCCAGGATGGTCTCTATCTCCTGACCTCGTGATCCGCCCACCTCAGCCTGCCAAAGTGCTGGGATTACAGGCGTGAGCCACAGCGCCCGGCCTATTCTACCAAATTCTTATTGAATAAAAATGATACTATATATCCTATCAACTGTTTCAGACCAGAAGAATAAAAATGGAAAGCTCCTCAACTAATTCTAGAATCCCAGTTCAACTTCACACCTAAACCAAATAAAGAGCTTTCTACAACAGACAACAAATCAAGGAAAAGGAAAGAAAAAAAAAACTAGCCATGCTTACATTTGAACATATACTCAAAGATACTCAAAGAAACAATGCAGATATTATTGTAACAATAATATAAACAATAGCAAGCTTTGACCCACTATGGTTAACTCAGGAAGATAGAATGGATTCAACATTAGCGAATCTATCTTATAATTAACTAACTTAAAAGATTGAACAGAAAAAAATGTGATAATCACAAAAGATGATAGATTTTAATATCCATTCTTATTAAAATTATTAGCAAGCTAGTTATAACGAGGAAGATACTTGTTAAAGAATTAAGAATTACAGCAAATATTTTAAAATAGTAAAATATTAGAAGTCTTTCTGTTTAAGTCAGAAAAAAGAATGCTAACACTCCCTGCAACTTTTCGCATTCTTCTCAAGGTTTTAGCCAGACAACAAAAAGTAAGAGATGTAAAACTGAAAAAGAAAAGAAAGATTGCCTCTAAATAGTTGACTTAATACATGAGTGTGGTATGAGATTAAAGTAAAAAGTTCACCATACTAATAACTTTCCTCAGCTCCAGCCATCGCCAAGTAGAAGATAATTAAAAAAAGATGCTAATCTGAAAAGAACCCAAATAATAATTAACTAAATTCCTAGGAAAAATACCTTTCTTTTCAAAGTTTTCTTAGGTGATCTTATTTGAGTGTCAGGCTAATGTACTGAACTATTTATTTGGGTATGTGTGTGTTAGTTTGTGTGTGTGTATTCGTATGTGTGTATTGGTTTGTGTGTATTTGCACTGGTTTGCGTGTGTGTGTGTTGGTTTGTGTGTATGTGTGTAACGGTTTGTGCGTATGTGTGTAGTGGTTTGTGTGTGTGTATTGGTTTGTGTGTATTGGTTTTTGTGTATATTGGTTTATGTGTATATATTGGTTTGTGTGTGTATTGGTTTGTGTTTGCATTGGTTTGTGTGTGTTGTGTGTATGTGTGTAGTGGTTTGTGTGTGTGTATTGGTTTGTGTTTGCACTGGTTTGTGTGTGTTGTGTGTATGTGTGTAGTGGTTTGTGTGTGTGTATTGGTTTGTGTGTATGTGTGTAGTGGTTTGTGTGTATGTGTGTATTGGTTTGTGTGTGTGTATTGGTTTGTGTGTGTATTGGTTTGTGTTTGTATTGGTTTTTGTGTGTGTATGTGTGTAGTGGTTTGTGTGTGCATATTGGTTTGTGCATATGTGTGTAGTGGTTTGTGTTTGTGTATTGGTTTGTGTATGTGTGTATTGGTTTGTGTGTATGTGTAGTGGTGTGTGTGTATGTGTATTTGTATGTGTATGTGTGTATTGGTTTGTATATGTGTGTATTTCTATGTGTATGTGTGTATTGGTTTGTATATGTGTGTATTTGTGTGTGTGTATTGGTTTGTGTATGTGTATTGGTTTGTATATGTGTGTATTTCTATGTGCATGTGTGTGTTGGTTTGTGTATGTGTGTATTGGTTTGTGTGTATGTGTAGTGGTGTGTGTGTATGTGTATTTGTATGTGTGTATTGGTTGGTATATGTGTGTTGGTTTGTGTATGTGTGTATTGGTATGTATATGTGTGTATTTGTGTGTGTGTATTGGTTTGTGTATGTGTATTGGTTTGTATATGTGTGTATTTCTATGTGTATGTGTGTACTGGTTTGTGTATGTGTGTTGGTTTGCGCGTGTGTGTATTTCTCTTTTACTCTTCCTCTGCCATCCCATGAAAGTGGGCCTTTTCCTGTACTAACTCAAGACAGGTACTGCGCCCAGGGCTGAAAAGGGAGCTGTCTGCGTTCTTCCCTGCTTTTTCAGGAGCTCACGGAAGAGGCCATGCTACCCACCAGGGGCAAACACCAAAGAAGAGAAAGGGGTCTTTGAAGATGACAGGAAGGTAAGAGGACATGCCTTCTGTTGTTCTGAGGAGGAGGTCAGAGTCCAAAGACAGCAAGGACACAACAGGGCTTCACCTGTGGGTTGTGGGGAGGCCTCCGGATGATGGCTCGTGCCTCACCTATGAAGGCAGGGCCCTGGGGTGCTGATTTCCAGCCTCCACAAAGGCTGGGCATGGACGTGAGAGTGACCTAACTTAAAGGGACATTCCGGGTTTGGGAAGGAGCATAGCTGGGGCGACTTGGATAGCCTTAAGGGTCAGAGGCCCCTCATCTCTTTTCGCTGTTGGACGCTAAAGAAGGCAGGATGGCTGGTGGTAAAGAATCGAATCTGAAGTCAGCCATGTGCTGAGGGCAACAAGATATGGAGCGGAAGCCCATGCCCTTGTGGACAACACGAGGCCGCCATGACACCAATCAGGGCCAACGCTGGGAAGAGAATCAACGTCCACTTTGTTTTAGGTGTCATTTTTTCTTTCCCGTTTCAGGTAGTCCATTCCAACCCTAAATGATGAACTCTGTGAGGCTCAGTTTCCTCTTCTGTAAACTGCAGACAATCCTCATAGCATCCCTGTGAAAATGGAAAAGCTAAGATGTCCAGTGTGCTTGGCACAGTTGCTAACATGTCATAAACACCCCAAACGTGTCAGGTATTATTATTGTTACTGTTGTTGTCTTGAATAACATCGAATCAAAATATATGCTGAAATCCTATGAGAAATATAAAGATAAATAGAAAGAAGCATAGCACTGGTGGTAGATGATAATTGCATTTTTCTGATTTGATACCATATTTTATTCTTAGCTCACTTAATATATCAAAGTCAGAGGAGCCTATTGATAAAATTGATTTAATAGTAATATATCAAACCTTGCAGAGATAATGCTTGTTTTTTTCTAGTGCCCATGGAATATTTACAGTAATAATTACATTCACCCTCTAAAAGATCTGAATAAATTCTTTAAAATGTAATGCCTGTATTGTCTAATTGCCATACAAACTATATATAAATAATAGAATTTAAATGAGAAACTTCTTGAAATTTAATAAACCCTTCTATGTATCTCAGTAAAAGGTGGCACACAACTATAAATATAGACTATTTGTAAAATAATGAGACAACATAAGACAATGTATGAGCTGCAGCCAAAGCTGTACTTATTATTACAATAATAATCTTAAATATTTTTCATATTGAGCAAGACAAAAATAAATACACTGACCATTACATTCAACAAATCAGCAACAAAATGGGGAAGCATAAGAAAAGTGGGAGGAAGGAATTAACAGAAATAACAAGAATAAATATGCATTCAGCAGAATTGCTATAAATGAGATTGGTTTCTCTGAAATGACAAATAAAATATTCAAACCCAAGAAATCTAATCAAGAAAAAATGAGACCAAAATAGGATTGAGAATAAATATATAATCACAAATACAAAGAGGATTTATAGACTTTTCAGAGATTTCTGTGAACAACTCTGCTAAAAATGGAAATTGCATAAAATTGATCACATTCTGGGAAAAATGCATTTAAAGCGGCTTATGAAAATCTAGAAAATACAAATAAACCAGAGACTCTTAAAAAAATAAAGGATTGTAAAAGAACTATGTGTTTGTTTCTATGTGTATGTGTGTATCAGTTCTATAAGGATGCTGGGACCAGAGGGTTTTACAGGCAAGGTCTATCAATCCTCTAAGGAAAAGGTAAATTCACTGTATTTTAACTATTATAGAGAACTGAAAAGTTGGAAAGGTTACTCTCTCTGTCTCTCTCTGTCACACACACACACAGAAATTTAAAATGAAGAGAATATATTCTGAAAAAGAGGAAATACTGTATTTTGGATAACATATAACTTACCTGGAAAATTCAACAAAATCAACAGAAAAACTGCTTGAATTAATTAGAGAGCTAAGGAGAGTGGAATATTAAATAATGTAATATAAAAATAATCACTATTAGAGATAACCAGTTGATACATTTAATTTAGAAAATTCCTATTTATTACAACATCCCTAAACAGAGATTGTTCAGAAATAAATTCAACAAGAAATGTGCAGGACCTATATGTGGAAAACAATCCTACAAAATTTTACCCAGGGCTGCACAGGTCAACACTCCAGGACGGACAGGGTGGCAAGTCCTAGGCTCAAGGACAGAGATGCTGATATCGGAGCACTGGGTTGTGATTTGAAGATTCACGTGTTGAATACAGGTCTTTTTCATGACTGGGTATCTACTCAAAGGAAAAGAAATTGTTCTACTATTAATAAAAAGACACTGGCATGCACATGTTTATTGCAACACTAATCACAATAGCAAGGACATGAAATCAACCTATGTGTCCATTATGGGTGGATTGGATAAAAGAAAGTGTGGTACATATACATCATGGAATACTACACAACCATAAAGACAAATCAAATAATGTCTTTTACAGCAATTTGTGTGGAGCTGGAGGCAATGATTCTAGGTGAAGTAACTCAGGAATGGAAAACCGAATACCACATGTTCTCACTTACAAGTGGGAGCTAAATATTTTGTCCAAATGGACATAAAGATGGGAACAATAGACACTGAGGACCCCAAAAAGGGAGCAGGAAGGGAGGAGGGAGGGGAGCAAGGGCGGAAAAACTATTGAGTCCCACGCTCACTACCTGGGCAATGGGATCAATAGAAGCCCAAATCTCAGAATCAGGCAATACACCCATGTACCTACCACACATGCACATGTACCCCCTGAATCTAAAATTTATAAAAAGCAAGAAAAAATAAATATAAATACAACCTAGACACTATTAAAAAAAAAAAAACAAAAGAAAGAAACATGTCTTTTTTTTTTTTTTTTTTTTTTTTTTTTTTTGTTGAGACAGAGTTTCACTCTTGTTGCCCAGGCTGGAGTGCAGTGGCACGATCTCGGCTCACCACAACCTCCGCCTCCCAGGTTCAAACGATTCTCCTGTCTCAGCCTCCTGAGTAGCTAGGATTACAGGCATGCTCCACCAAGCCTGGCTAATTTCATATTTTTAGTAGAGACGAGGTTACTCCATGTTGGTCAGGCTGGTCTCGAACTTCCAACCTCAGGTGATCCGCCCACCTTGGCTTCCCAAAGTGCCGAGATTACAGGCATGAGCCACCATGCCCTGCCGAAAACATGTCTTTTTCAAGTCTTTGGGAGACTTTTAATAAAGAGATTAGTGAGAAATTTCCAGAAGCCTGGAGAGATGTAAATGAAGTGAAGCTGATGAGGAACGACCCTGTGTTGGGAAGAAAGGTCCTCCCTGGTTTAGATTAGATACCCCACCCCCCTCCACTGAGGACCTGAGTAAGCAGGGTCCTGCCTTGATGGGGGCACACGTGGTGAAGCTAGGAGAGAAAGCAAGTTCTCTTCCTATGGGGGTATCTGCACGTGCACACCTCCTTTTTCCATGATCGCCAGCCTGAGAAGGACCCTGTCTCCAACCTTCCCACTGTTTACTTCCAACATGGGGAGCTTCCTTGACCTCCCAGAAGCACCATCCGAGGTCTCAGACTCTGGAATTAACTTGCAGCTCAAGAGAGCTTACTGACTGCATGTTGTACGTGGGGACCTGCTTCACAGAGGGCGATGTTGTCCTGGGCCTCTGTCCCAGAACCTCCAGCTTGACCCTTAGGCTTAAAGTTGTTGTTGTTTTTGTTTTCTTTCAATAGCTTTTGGGGTACAAGTGGTTTTTGGTCACATGGATGCCTTCTATACTGATGAATTCTGAATTTTAGTGCACCCATCACCTGAACAGTGTATGTTGTACCCAATATGTAGTCTTTTATTACTCAAGCCCCTCCAACTTCCCCAACTCCCAAGTTCCCAAAGTCCATTATATCACTGTATGACTTTGAGTCCTCATAGCTTAGCTTCCACTTGTAAGTGAAAACATGTGGTATTTGGTTTTCCATTCATGAGTTACTTCATTTAGAATAATGGCCTTCAGCTCCATCCAAGTTGCTGCAAAATACATTATTTTATTCCTTTTTATAGTTGAGTAGTATTCCATGGTGTATATCTACCACATTTTCTTTATCCACTCATTGGTTATCTTAGATCTCAGACCTGAAACTGTAAAAATTCTAAAGATAATGTTGGAAAAACTCTTCTGGACATCCAGGCAAAAAAATTCGTAACTAAGACCCCAAAAGCAAATGCAACAAAAACAAAAATAAATAAATGGGACCTAATGAAACTAAAAAACTTCTGCACAGCAGAAGAAATAATAGGCAGAGTAAACAGACAAATCAGGCTGAAAGATAAAGGAGAAGGCAGGTGGCTTTTTCATTTGCCAAGGGTCTCAGAAGACAGTCGGCCCAGTTGATTGACAGTCAGTCCAGTTGATTGACCTCCCACTGTCCACATTAACTGATTTCCTAGGTAATTTCTAAATACTCACCTCACTTTTCTACAGACTGGGTTTGCTGGGATCATACCAGGGTGGACTAGGAAAGTTTGAGTCTTCACTCTCATCAGTTTCCTTCCTGACCCCACCCCCAAGCCACTTTAAATAAAGATAAGATCTAAGTAGAAAATCATGCACTCGCTATGAACACCCAGCTTCAAGAGAAGTGCCCTAAATGCCTCCGGTAGAGAAAACCTCAGTGCGTCGTATGCTTGTTTCCATATGCAAATGAAGGCTTCACCAACTTCCACCCCTCTTTGCTGCCTGGCATATCGTGATTGGCAGGGCTGTACTTCCTACCCTCCATATGCAAATACACCTCATATTCACTAACGCACAGTTTTAACCCCACCCCACAGGTGGGAGGTCGCAAAAGCAAAGGATTTTTTTTTCTAGTTCTTGTCAATCAACCAGCCAAGCTAGTTTATTTAATTTTATACACTAGCTCAAAGTCACAGCCAGTGTCTGAAAGGCCTGAGGGGTTTCTCAGAGGTATCCTAATTTCGTGCAACCAGCTCCTGACTTTCATCTGCACCAAGGTGGGCAGTCAAGATGAATGAGTGAATAGAAATATGACACAGGAAGGCCCTGAATAGACTCAGTGGTCAGGAGACATTAATCTTGACGTGTGTGATCTACTTTCGCAGAGGAGCTGAAGTCACCCTTTCTGCCCACCACACCTCATTTATTTGGTTAATCTCCCATAACTTGGGCCTTATGATTAACCCTGTAAGTAAGCTCTGCTCTGGTGGGTCTTTGCCCCTCTGAGTTTCCAAAATGGCATAGATTATTGAAATCTCTCCTCTGACCCATTCATAGACATCAGCCTTCACGCCATCTGGGGCTGCCCCTCTCCTTTGTGACTTTGACCTTAAACAGCCCAGTCCTATAAATACCACCACTGAGGTCAATGCCAGGTGCAAAGAGCATGCTTTGGTGTGCAATCCCTCAGCACCTAGTTGGTGCCAGGCCCTGAGGGATGTGCTGTTGGGAGTGTAGAGATGATTTATGCTCAGAGAAAGGAGACCTTCACTCTTTAACCTGGCGAGGCGTGTTCTGCAATTGAGGAATATTCCTCAGAAGGACGGCAGGTGGAAGCTTGCTGCTGGCTTGTGGAGGCGGAGGTGATTGAGCAGCCTCGCTTAGCAGACAGGCATTTGTCAGGCGGGAAAAACAAGGGTAGAGTGGAATCACAAGTCCGATGTGATGACAACTTTAGTGTGAGGGAAAGAGCATCCAGAAAGGCTGTTTTGAGATGTTAACCTGGGTCATTCCTCTCTCCTAACTGAATAAGGCACAAAAACAGTAGCTGCTGCATTTACCATTGTGCAGAAATTTCAGATGCAACATCTTATCATTGGTTCCATGATTCTTGATGCCCTCAACCACACTGAGGATTTTAAAAAAGGTTAAGAGAATGGAGACAGGGAGAGAATCTGTTAGATGGATTTCTCTGGAAAAAGTTGGATATGGGTCCTACATCCCTCCCCACAACCTCACCTCAAGACAGAAAGGAAGTGCTTCAAAAGGGTTGCTTGGGGAAGTTGGTGTGTGCCCTGCAGCCAGGAGGACACGGGTGCTTGTGGCTGCCTCCACTTGGGAGACCCGGAGGTGGCTGATTTGTCAGCAGAACAAGAGAGAGACAGTTTTAGCAGCCTTGGGACAGCCTGCTCCCCAGAGTTCACAGGAATGCCTCCCACTGGCTGTGCAGGAATCAATGCCTTCTTGCAGGGCACAGCCACTCCCACAGAGAGACTCCCTGGGGATGGGCCACCGGGAACTCAGGGACTGAGGCCATGGTGAAGGGCATTACCTACTTCCCGGACAAATTTTTCAAAGTGCAACCCACAAAAGCAGCCCTCAAGAGCCTGTGTCACTTTAAACAATCTGCCAGTCAAGTGAGAATCTCACTAAACTCTCCAGTCTCCCTCTCCCGTGCTCCAACTGCCCAGGACCAAGAAACATTCGCTTGGAAGTGGGAAAAGAGGGGAGCATGAAGGCAGGCTTCCCTGGCTTCCCCGGCAGCCCATCTGCCAGGGAGAGGTCCCAGCTGTGCAGGTGGTGCTGGTGAATGGGAGAAGTCAAATTTGTAGAGAAAGTTGGAAACTGACTACTACGTAAGACTGGCTTTTAAAACCACTCAGTTGGCACTTCCATGAGTTCAGACTATTGTAAGAATTTTCTATTCTCGAGTGACTTGGAAAGTCATGGAGGCTCGTCTAAGTTTGCACTCAGGAGATAAAGAAGAAATAACCCAGCAAGCAGGCTTACAGGACAGAAGGAAGGAAGTATTGCATACCATGCCTCTGTTTGTTTCACACACTGGGGACAGCACTTAGGCTTTGAATGAGTGGGTCTCAAAGGCCAGGGGTTGCGGGGGTATGCACACTTTCCATGGGTGCCTGTATTAGTTCGTCTTCACACTGCTGATGAAGACATATCCAAGCCTGGATAATTTATAAAGAAAAAGAGGTCTAGTGGACTTACAGTTACACATTGCTGGGGAGGCCTCACAATCCTGGCAGAAGGCAAAAAGCACATCTTACATGGTGGCAGACAAGAGGGAGTATGAGAGCCAAGTGAAAAGGGAAACTCATTATAAAACCATCAGATCTCGTGAGACTTATTCACTACAATGAGAACAGTATGGGGGAACCCGCCCCCATCATTCAATTATTTCCCACTGGGTCTCTCCCACAACACGTGGGAATCATGGGAGCTACAATTCAAGATGAGATTTGGGGGGAGACACAGCCAAACCATATCAGTGCCCCAAACTTAATGATTACAAAACCTAGAACACTCCAAGGTGCTAAAGACACAGTTCATATTACTGTAGAAAGTGAGATAAGTAAACTTCACTTCCAAACCCCCTCCTCCAGCATTTTACTGCAAGCAATGGTAGAAACATATAGAAATGGAGAAGTCATTTTTCAACATTGTTATGTAGTTTTCTAAATTCTAATGACTGCATAATAGTCTACTTAACCAATCTCTGATGGATGGACATTAGGTTACTTCCAATTTTTCACCATTAGAAACAACGCTATGATGAATATTCTTATGCATAAATCTTTGTGGTTTCCTCTGATTATATCCTGTGGTGAAAACAGAAAAAGTGGTACTACTGAACTAAAGGAGGGAAAAATTGTAAGGCTTTTGAACATAACGCTGGTGTCCCCCAAACCTTCTACCAATTTATATTTTCATACTTTCACCTTAGTTCTAAGTTTCTACTCAATGGACAAGAAATATTTTAAAGTCTTTTCTAATCTGATAAAAGCTTACTGGTAGGTTTTTAATTTGTATTCCTTTGAAATCTAGTGAGAATAAATTTTCAGCCAGGCACGGTGGCTCACGCCTATAAATCCAACACTTTGGGAGGCTGAGGCAGGTGGATCACTTGGGGTCAGGAGTTCGAGACCAACCTGGCCAACATGGTGAAACCCTATCTCTACTAAAAACACAAACATTAGCCAGGCATGGTGGCATGCACCTGCAATCCCAGCTACTCAGGAGGCTGAGTAAGGAGAATAGCTTAAACCCGGGAGGCAGAGGCTGCCATGAGCCAAGATCACGCCACTGCACTGTAGCCTGAGTGACAGAGCAAGACTCCATCTCAAAAAAAAAAAAAAAAAATTCTAGGTTAACCAAATGTATTTCCTCTTTTACAACTTTCCTTTGTAGTTTCCTTGTTTTATTTTATTTCAATTGAAAATGACTGTATATAATTATGGGATACAATGTGATATTTTGTTACATGTATACACTGTAGAAAGATCAAATCAGCCTAAGTAACATATACATCACCTGAAATATTTATGAATTTTTTCTGTGGTGAGAAAATTTAAAATTTTCTATTTTAGTTATTTACAAGACATTGTTATTAACTATAGTCAGCTTGCTGTGCAATTTATCACCAGAACTTATTCTTTCTACCTAGGTGAAACTTTAGAACCTTTGACCAACATCTTCCCTTTCCCTACCTGCCTCACCCCCATTCCCTGGCAACTACCATTCTACTCTCTACTTCTACAAGTTTGACCTTTTCATTTATTTATTTTTATTTTTATTTATTTATTTTGAGATAGGATCTCACTCTGTCACCCAGGCTGGAGTGCAGTGGTGTGATCTTGGCTCACTGCAACCTCCACCTCCCAGGTTCAAGCGATTACTCCTGCCTCGGCCTCCTGAGTAGAGTTACAGACATGTGCTACCATGCCTGGCTAATTTTTGTATTTTTAGTAGAGATGGGGTTTCACCATGTTGGGCCAGGTTGGTCTCGAACTCCTGACCTCAAGTGACCCACACGCCTCGGCCTCCCAAAGTGCTGGGATTATAGTCCTGAGCCATTGTACCCGGCCAAGTTTGACTTTCTTAGATTCCACATATAAATGAGATCATGCTGTATTTGTCTCCCTGTGCCTGGTTTATATCACTTAGTGTAAAGTCCTCTAGGTTTGTCTATGTGTCGTTTACAACTTTTCATGTATTATCTTTCATTTGTATATATTTTTGTGTTCTTTATCTTTTTCATATCTGTTTATATGTTCTTTACATAATAAAGGCATTGACTGCTTGTCTTATTTGATGTAAATTTCAACTACAGTTAGCTGTTTACCTTTTAGTAGTGATTTTTGATACTTGGGTCTTTTAAATAGTATGTAGCAAAATCTATAAATCTTTTTCTATAAGATTTATTCTACTAAGGTTTTGTAACAACAGAGAAAAATGTCTATGTTATAATTTTAGGTTAAAAGACAAGGTACAAATTTATATTTACAGTATGATTAGAGCTATATCACACACACACACACACGTGCACACACACGCACCCCAAATTAAAACCAAAGTCCTAATAGCAAAATCAAGAAGTCTGTCAAAATTCAACAATGGCTTAAGTTGATAGTTGGCCATGTAGATATTTTTTCTTTTTATTTCTATTTTCTACATAACTTCTGTCTTGTATATGGAGACACAAATATTAGAAGTGAATCTTATTCCACAAACCCAAGTGTGCAAGAAATGTCAAAATGTTTTTATTAAATCAAGATAAATCTGACTTGAATTACCATCTAGCAGGGCTGTCAGCAGATTTTAGCCCACCTATTTTGTCTCTTCTGTCCCTTTTTTAAAAAATTAATTTTTTAAAATAAATTTTTTAATTTCCATAGGTTATTGGGGAACAGGTGGTGTTTGGTTACATTAGTTAAGTTGTTTAGTGGTGATTTGTGAGATTTTGGTGCGCCCATCTCCAGAGCAGTATACACTGCCCCCAATTTGTAGTCTTTTATCCCACCCCATTCCCACCCTTTCCCCGTGAGTCCCCAAAGTCCACTGTGTCATTCTTATGCCTTTGCATCCTCATAGCTTAGCTCCCACTTATGAGTTAGAACATACAATGTTTGGTTTTCCATTCCTGAGTTACTTCACTAGAGTAATAGTCTCCAGTCTCATCCAGGTCACTGTGAATGCAATTAATTCATTCCTTTTTATGGCTGAGTAGTATTCCATTGTGTGTGTGTGTGTGTTTGTATATATATATATATGTTCTTATATATATATTCTTATATATATACATATACAAATTCATAGATATATATATGGATATATACATATATGTATATGTACAATATATATGAATATATACTATATATTGTATATATATTCAATACAATAGATATACAATACAATAGATATACAATACAATAGATATACAATACAATATACAACATACAATGAATATATATACAATAAAAATATATATGTGTATATACATACACTATATATATACGTGTATATATTCCATCATATATATACATGTATATATATATTCCATCATATATATACATGTATATATATATTCCATCATATATATATACATGTATATATATATTCCATCATATATATATACATGTATATATATATTCCATCATATATATATACATGTATATATATATTCCATCATATATATATACATGTATATATATATTCCATCATATATATATACATGTATATATATATTCCATCATATATATATACATGTATATATATATTCCATCATATATATATACATGTATATATATATTCCATCATATATATATACATGTATATATATATTCCATCATATATATATACATGTATATATATATTCCATCATATATATATACATGTTTGTATATATATATTCCATCATATATATATACATGTTTGTATATATATATTCCATCATATATATATACATGTATATATATTCCATCATATATATATACATGTATATATATTCCATCATATATATATACAGGTATATATATTCCATCATATATATATACATGTTTGTATATATATATATTCCATCATATATATATACATGTTTGTATATATATATATTCCATCATATATATATATACATGTTTGTATATATATATTCCATCATATATATATACATGTTTGTATATATATATTCCATCATATATATATACATGTTTGTATATATATATTCCATCATATATATATACATGTTTGTATATATATATTCCATCATATATATATACACGTGTATATATATATTCCATCATATATATATACATGTGTGTATATATATATTCCATCATATATATATACATGTGTATATATATATTCCATCATATATATATACATGTGTATATACATATATATACCATCATGTATACACACACACACACACACACACACACACACACCCCTCAGTTTCTTTATCCACTCATTGATTGATGGTCATTTGGTCTGGTTCCATGTTTTTGCAATTGTGAGTTGAACACTCTAAAATCCCAAAGGTTGAGCCAATAGTCACTAAACAGGAGCTCATAGTCTTCAGCTGATCCTGATCCCAGCCCCCAGGCCTCATCCAAACTCTCCAATCCATGAGGAAAGACATTCTTCCAATCCTGACCTGCCACAGGCAAAGGAGCTTTCCCAAGACTCAGAGCCCAGGTACAGGTTCAGCCTGTTTGTGCCACACTGACATTCTGTTCTGAGGCCTCAGCCCCCTGTGGTCCTGCTTCTGGGCTGCAAAGCTCCAACCACCACCCATTCCCATACGTCATCACACCCCTGCTTCTAACCTGCCTCACCCTCCACATCAAAAACACGTGTGTCTCTCCTCTCTCCCAAAGAACTCAGGCCTGGGGAAAACAAAAGCCAGGAAGGGAGGTTGCCTTTAGGAAAAACCCAATGTGTCTACAGAAAGAATTTAAAGATATTGATTCAAGGTTTCAGTGAGACAGGAGGAGTAGGTTTTAGTGCCGCATGATGACCACAGTTAATGTTAAAATATTATTATTTCAAAATTGCCAAAAGAGTTTTAACATTCTTGCAACAAAAAAAGATAAATTGGCAAGATGATGGATATATTACTTGACTTGATTGGATTGTTCTATAATGTACACGTAGATCAAAACATCACATTGTACCCCATAAGTATACACATTTATATTTAACTGTGAATTACATTTGTTTTATTTTATTTATCCATTTTTTATTGTAGAGATGAGGTCTCGCCATGTTGCCCAGGCTGGTCTCAAACTCTCAGCCTCAAGTGATCCTCCCACCTTGGCCTCCCAAAGGGCGGGGATTACAGACATGAGCCACCATGCCCAGCCAAAAATTAATTATTTTTTATCAAATAAGAAATTTAAACATCTCTTTCCTTTAAATCAGGATCTGTGGTGTTTACTCAGCTGACCTGTGTTCTCTTCCATAACTGCCCTCTTAATATTCAATGCTGCAGTCCCACTCCCTAACATCTTGCTATGGCTTCAATGTGTCCCCCAACATTCATGGGTTGAAAACCAAATCTCCATTCCAATAGTGTTGAGAGGCGGGAACTTTAAGAGCAGCTTGGGTCTTGAGGGCTCTGCCTTCAAACCCAATGCTCTCTCTCTCCTCTGGGTGTCCTCAGATACTGTTCCCTGGCCTGGAATATTCCTCTTCCACTGAATTCTCTTTGCCTGATCACCTGCCATCCCCACCTCAAGTCTCAGCAAAAAGCCACCTTCGCCTGGAAGCCTTCTCTGTCCCCTCATGCCTGGGTGAGTGCCATTTAGAGTCCTCTTCACCTGGTGTTACATAGCCTGTTTCTGTATTTACGGCCTTCTTCAGACTGGAAGCTCCATGAGGCAGGGCCATGTCTGCAGTGCAGTGGGCACTCAGTGAATGAAAAAATCAACAGTGCTCCCCTGCTTTTGCCGTCCTGTCCCGAAGCCAGCGTGCTGGTCCCTGGGCAATGTAGGGAGTGTGGGAGCTCTGCTTTGTACAGCTCATCACTCCAGTCACTTGATGTGGGAGATTGTCATCAGCTGTTGACATACCTGACTTGCCCAGCTGATCTGTGGGCCACTTGAGGGATAGGATCATGTCTCATTTGTCTTTACTTTCTTAGTGCTCAGCTTAGTGCCTGGCACACACCACACACACATGAGATTTTTTTTTTTTTTTTTTTTTTTAGTTCTTAAATCCAGCCCATTTCTTTGGGGCCTGCTGTGGAAGATGAAAATGGAAGTTGGCAGCTGGAATGGATCTGTAGACAGGAAACCTGGGAGATGACAACTGCCGTCCTGGGATGGGAGCAGGGTCCAGGGAAGGATCAGGGGCTCATATCTTCCAGATTTCAGCTCTTAGCACTCCCGCAGGGCTCCATCTCTGACCTACTGACCGGCTCCTAGGAAGGGCTCTGCCAGTTATTCCTTTTGCTTTCTTCTTGCACTTCCCACAGCCAAACCATGAAATAACAGGACCTGGACTCTGCCAGACATGCAGACATCTCCTACCCAACTGGAGAGCTGAAACCTGAATATTGCTCTTGGCCCCACTTGGAATGTCTGCTCCGCAGCCGGCCTCTCCCAATACATACACATACGCACACACATGCATATACACACATGCATACATACATGCACACACATGCATACATATAACACACACACACACACACATGCATGCACGCACACACACAGGTGCATGCACACACACAGGTGCATGCGCAGGTTCACCTGTACACATCACCCATATTTACTTGCTCTTCACCTTTTAGTCTAACACAAATTACTCCAAGAGCCTTCCCTGAACTACAACTTCATCAGCCCTTCTACTGATGTATGAACGCTCAGTGTGCTGGCTGGTTTCTTATTTAGTGCTACATCCCCCACTAGGTACAAATTCCTGAGTTGCAGAGGTTGGCTGTCATGGTCCCTACCCTGCCCCTGACGCTTGGCATAGCATCTGGCACCCAGCAATGTAATGAATACCACTGAGTGTGGAATCCCTCCACAACCATCACAAGTAGGAAGCCCCAGCGGTTTTGAGTTAACTCCCAGTTCACCAAAGCCAGTGGCCACCATCCCTACTGTCTGAAGTTTCAAGCCAAGCTCCTCAAGTGAGGCTGAGTCAAAAGATGTTTTCTGCTTTGTGACCTCTCAGGCTGAAAATACTTGAGAGGTCAAGTATTGAGAAAAAAAGGGGAGGGGTGGGGTTAAGCAGTTTGAGCTCTTTACAAACAAGATGCAAGCAAACAAAGCCCAGGCCCCAGGTGAAAGATAAACATAACATGTTCTATAAATCACAATTACAAAATATTCATCTGTCCTCCTTAAAACACAATCCCGCATAAGCCATTCTGAAATATGTAAAATGTTGCAGCACTGTTGGGGAAATGCATGATCTCAGATTTAAGAAGAACCATTGAACCCAGTACACCCCACTTGCCTTTATCTTTTGGTATTTCCAGAACCAGAGGCTCCAGTAACCCTCATTTTCCCTCATGCCAACACCCTGCAAATCTGTGTCACCCCAGATAGACTGTGGGCCCAGCATTTGCCTCAGCTGCACTAGAGAGAGGTTTGCCATCAGTAGCAGTTAGGAGATTAAATGGGTACAGTAGTCTCAGACATGGGAACCACAGAGTTAAAAGTTCAGAAAAGACTATGATAATAAATGTGATAGAAAGTTCAGGCAATCCCATTACTGTGCATATGCCCAAAGGAAAATAAATCATTCTACGAAAAAGACACCTGCACTCATATGTTCATCACAGCACTATTCACAAAAGCAAAGACATGGTATCAACCCACTGCCCATCAACAGTGGACTGGATAAAGAAAAGGTGGTCCATATACATCATGGAATACAATGCAGCAATAAAAAAGAGTGAAATCATGTTTTCTGCAGCAACACGGATGCAGCTGGAGGCCATTATCCTAAGTGAATTAAAGCAGGAACAGAAAACAGAGTGTCACATGTTCTCAATTATAAGTGGGAGCTGAACCTTGGGTACACATGGACATAAACATGGGAGCAGTAGACACTGGGAACTCCAAAAGAGGGGACGGAAGGGAGGAGGGCAAAGGCTGAAAAACTTTCTATTGGGTCCCATGCTCACTACCTGGGTGATGGGATCAATCATATCCCAAATCTCAGCATCACGCAATGTACTCTTGTAATAAACCTGCACATGGACCCTTAAATGTAAAATAAAATTAAAAGAAAAATAAAGAAAGTTCAGGCCTTATATAGATCTTAACTGAAACCTAATAATAACATTTGATTTGAATATGAAGAGGGAGAAAGCAAAAGAGATAATTATTTTGCCTTAAAACATGTGCCGGCAAACTTTTGTAAGGGGACAATTAGTGAATATTTCAGACTGTGACCACATGGCCTTTGCCAAAACTCACCTCTGCCACTATAGCATGAAAGCGGTCACCAACAGTGTGTAAACAAACGACTATGGCTGAGTTCCAATACAAGCTTACTTACAAAAATAGGCAGCGGGCCAGATTTGGCCCACAACCCATAGTTTGCTAACCTCTGTCTTATAGTAGAGTGGAATAGAATGGAATGGAATAGAATAGAATAGAATAGAATAGAATAGAAGAATAGAATAGAATAGTTGTGTACTCTTCCCAAATCAATAAAAGTTTAACAACAGTCTAAGAATTGCATGTCTATATACACATTTACTGACAAAATGATTCTGAGTTTCATTTGAAGAGTAAAATAAGAGTAAATAAAAATTTTAAGGAAATAGGAGAGACTTGCAGTAATAGATATTGAAATGCATTATAAAGCTATAGCACTTAAAACAACGTGGAATGGACAGATCAATGGATAAGAATTGATATCCCAGAAACATTCCCTAGTGTATACAAACATTTCATTTATGATAAAATCAGCATCTCATCAAAAGAAAAAGATAGATTTTTCAATTGATAATTACTAGATAATTAGGAAAAAGCCATTCAAGTCTTTTTTTTAATCTATCCATCCTATTCTATAGCAAGCCAATTTTAGATTAAGTAGTTAAATTTCAAAAGTTACTTGAAAATACAACAGTGATCAGGATGGGAAAGAACTTTCAAAGCATAAAATTAGGGTAACATACAAGAAGTGAATAAAACTAACCTCTTCATCTAAAAACACATCACTATCATAAACAATAACAACAAAAAACAAATGAACAGTGATTTTTAAAAACACTATAGATAAGGAATTAATTTTCTTTCTACTTTTAAAACTACTTAGAAATCAATTTAAGAAAAAAATCTATCTACCTGAAAACAAAATCAATGAGTGATCCTTTCTGAGTTGTGGTAATACTAGCAATCTTTGTTTTTATGCTTTTCTGTATTTGTCTATATTTTGCAATACAGGTGTATTACTTTTATAAGCATAATAAAGACCAACAATATTTTAAAGCAAACATTTACCACAATAGGAGTGGGCTGGAGGAAGAGGTTGTGAAAAACATGAGATTCTAAAGAATATTAGTGCAAATGGTAATAAAGACATAAAAATGGGCATAGTCAGAACTAATTAAAGAAATGACAATGAAACACCAATTTTAATGTATAAAAGTGGCAGAATTTTTACAAAAACATATAAGATTCTCTGTGGGGAATGTATAAAGAAATTGTATTATCATACATGCTTGTCATCAAGTAATTGGATAAAACACTTCTGGAAGGCAATTTGGCAATATATATAAAGAACCTTAAATATGTACATACCCTTTAGTCTAGTCCCACTTCTAAAACTTAGTCCTTAAAAGTGAATTAGGCAGGTGCAGATAATTTATGTACAAGAGGGGGATAACACAGAAGGATAGGTGGGATGAGTGTCCTCCTGCATCGGTCCATTCTTGCTTTGCTATAAAGTAGTACCTGAGGCTGGGTAGTATATAAAGAAGAAGTTTATTCTGGCTCACAATTCTGCAGGCTGTATGGAGGCATGGCAAACAGCATCTGCCACTGATGAGAACTCAGGAAGTCTAAAATCATGGTGGAAGGCAAAGGAGGAGAAGGCATGTCACATCCAAGAGTGAGAGCAAGAAGGGGAAGTCCAAGACTCTTTTAAATGATCAGCTCTTGCATAAACTACCAGAGTGAGAACTCACTCATTACCATGGGGATGGCACTGAGGCATTCATGAGGGTTCCATCAATGTAACACAATCACCTCCACCAGGCCCCACCTCCAGCATTGGGGATTACATTTAAAAATGAGATTTGGAGGAGACACACATCCAAACCATATTATGATGCCCTTGGCCCCCCAGTTGACATGCCTTTCTCGCATTGCAAAATACAATTGTCTTTTCCTAACAGTGCCCCAAAGTCTTAACTTGTTCTAGCATTAAGTCCAAAGTCCTAAGTCTCATCTGAGACTCAAGTCAAGTTCCATCCACCTGTGAGCCTGTGAAATCAAAGACAAGTTATTTACTTCCAAGGTACGAAGGTGGCACGGGCATTGGATAAATTCCCATTCCAAAAGGAGAAATAGGTCAAAAGAAAGAGGCAATAGACTCCATGCAAATCTAAAATCCACCAGGGTAGACATTAAATTTTAAAGCTCCAACATAATCTCCTTTGACTCCATGTCCTGCATCTTGGTGCTAGAGGTGGGCACCCAGGCCTTGGGCAGCTCCACCCTTGTGGCTTTGCAGAGTGCAGCCCACATGGATGCTCTCGCAGGTTAGAGTTGAGAGCCTGCAGATTTTCCATGCTGAAATTGCAAACTGCTGGTGGTTCTACCATTCTCAGGTCTGGAGACTTCCTTCCCACAGCTCCACTCAGCAGTGCCCTGGTAAGGACTCTAACCCTACATTTCCCCTCAACACTACTGTAGCAGATGCTTTCTGTGTGGCCTAAGACTCTGAAGCAGGCCTCTGTGTGCTTTCCAATATATCCTCTGAAATCTGGGTGGAAGCTGCCAAGCCTCCTTCACTCTTGCATTCTGTGTGCCTGCAGGCTTAAAATCATATGGAAGCAGGCAAGGCTTGCTCCCTCCAAAGGTGTGGCCTAAGCTGTTATCTGCAGCCCTTTGAGCCAAAGCTGGAGCTGGAGCAGCCAGGGAGCAGTATCCTGAGGCTGCACAGGAGCAGCAGGGCCCCAGGCCTGGCCCTGAAAGCATTCTTTCCTCCTAGACCTCTGGGCCTGTGAGGGGAGGGCCTGTCTTTAAGATTTCTGAAATGCTTTTAAGACCTTTCCCCATGTTCTTGAATATTAGAACCTATCATTTTTTTGGCCATGCAAATGGCTAAGTTGTTCTCTTAGCCTACTTGGATTTCTCTCCTGAAAATGCTCTTTCCTTCTCTACTACATGGCTAGGGAGCAAATTTCAAAATTTTTATGCTCTGCTTCCCTTTCAAATATAAGTTCCAACTTTAAGTCATCCCTTTGCTCCTATATCTGTTCATAGGTTGTTAGAAGCAGCCATGCCACATCTTGAATGCTTTGGTGCTTAGAAATTTCTTCCACCAGATACCCTAGATCATCACTCTTAAGTGCAAACTTCCACAATGACCTAGGATGTGATCATGATGCAACCAAACTCTTTGCTAAGGTGTAACAAGAATGATCTTTGCTCCAATTCCCAGTAAGTTCCTCATTTCCATCAGAGACCTTTCCATCCTGGCCTTCATTGTCCATATTTCTAGTGGCATTTTGGTCGCAACCACTTAACAAGTCTCTAAGAAGTTTCAAACTTTCCCTCATCTTCCTGTCTTCTTCTGAGGCCTTCAAACTCTTTCAACCTTGTATGAGTCTGTTTTCACACTGCTGATAAAGACATAACTGAGACTGGGCAATTTAAAAAAAAGAAAGAGGTTTAATGGGCTTACAGTTCCACATGACTAGGGAGGACTCATAATCATGGAGGAAGGCAAGAAGGAACAAATCACAACTTACATGGATGACAGCAGACGAAGAGAGAGCTTGTGCAGGGAAACTCTGCTTTTTAAAACTATCAAATCTGGTGAGACTTATTCACTACCACAAGAACAGCATGGGAAATACCTGCTCCCATGATTCAGTTACCTCCCACTTGGTCCTTCCCACAACATGTGAGAATTCAAGATGAGATTTTCGTGAGGACACAGCCAAACCATATCATTCTGCCCCTGGCCTCTCCCAAATCTCACGTCCTCACATTTCAAAACCAGTCATGCCTTCTCAACAGTCCCCCAAAGTCTTAATTTGCTTCAGCATTAACTCAAATGTCCAAAGTCCAAAGTCTCATCCAAAACAGGCAAGTCCCTTTTGCCTATGAGCCTGCAAAATCCAAAGCAAGTTAGCTACTTCCTGGATACAATGGGGGTACAGGCATTGGGTAAATACAGCCATTCCAAATGGGAGAAATTGGCCAAAACCAAGGGGCTACATGCCCCATGCAAGTCAGAAATCCAGTGGGGCAGTCAAATCTTAAAGCTCCAAAATGATCTCCTCTGACTCCATGTCTCACACCAAGGTCATGCTGATGCAAGAGGTGAGTACTCATGCTCTTGAACAGCTCCTCCCCTGTGGCTTTGCAGGGTACAGCCTCCCTCCTGGCTGTTTTCATGGGCTGCCATTGAGTGTCTGTGGCTTTTCTAGGTGCCTGGTGCAAGCTGTCAATGGATCTACCATTCTGGGGTCTGGAGGATGGTAGCCCTCTTCTCACAGCTCCACTAGGTGGAGCCCGAGTAGGGACTCTGTGTAGGGGCTCTGATCCCGTATTTCCCTTCTGCACTGCCCTAGCAGAGGTTCTTCATGAGGGCCCTGCCCCTGCAGCAAACTTCTGCCTGGACATCCAGGCATTTCTACACATCCTCTGAAATCTAGGTGGAGGTTCCCAAACCTCAATTCTTGACTTTTGTGCACCTGGAGTCTCTATACCACTTGGGAACTCCCAAGGCTTGGGGCTTTCACCCTCTGAAGCCATGGCCTGAGCTGTAGCTTGACCTGTTTCTGTCATAGCTAAACAGCTTGGATACAAGGCGAAAAGTCCCTAGACTGCACACAGCAGGGGGATCTTAGGCCTGGCCCACAATACCATTTTTCCCTCCTAAACCTGTGATGGGAGGCACCACTGCAAAGGTCTCTGACATGCCTTGGAAACATTTTTCCCATTGACTTGGTGATTAACATTGGGCTCCTTGCTACTTATGCAAATTTCTGCAGCTGGCTTGAATTTCTTCTCAGAAAATGGGATTTGCATTATCAGGCCTATTGCATTGTCAGGCTGCAAATTTTCCAAACGTTCATGCTCTGCTTACTTTATGAAACTGGATTCCTTTAACAGCACTCCAGTCACCTCTTGAATGCTATGTTGCTTAGAAATTTCTTCTGCCAGATACCCTAAATCATCTCTCTCAAGTTCAAAGTTCCACAGATCTCTAGGGCAGGGGAAAAATGCTGCCAGTCTCTTTGCTAAAATATAAAAAGAGTCATCTTTGCTCCAGTTCCCAGCAAGTTCCTCATCTCCATCTGAGATCACCTCAGCCTGGATTTCATTGTCCATGTCATTATCACCATTTTGGTCTTCTTCTGAACCCTCCAAACTGTTCCAACCTTTGCCTGTTACGTAGTTCCAAAGTCACGTCCATATTTTCAGGTATCTTTTCAGCAGTGCCCCACTCCCAGCACCAATTTACTGTATTAGTCAATTTTCATGCTGCTGATAAAGACATACTTGAGACTAGGCAATTTACAAAAGAAAGAGGTTTAATAGACTTACCGTTCCAAGTGGCTGGTGAAGCCTCACAATCATGGTGGAAGGCAAGGAGAAACAAATCACGTCTTACATGGATGGCAGCAGGCAGAGAGAGCTTGTGCAGGGAAACTGCCCCTTATAGAACCATCAGATCTCCTGAGACTTATTCACTATCACAAGAATAGCACAGGAAAGACCTGCCCCCATAATTCAATTACCTGTCACTGGGTCCCTCCCACAACACATGTTGTGTTTGGGTGGGGACACAGCCAAACCATATCAAACCTCTTCCCATTACCACATTTTCAGGTATCTTTACAGCAACACCCCACTCCTTGGTAACAATTTTCTATATTAGTCTGTTTGCATGGCTATAAAGGAATACCCAAGGCTGGGTAATTTGTAAAGAAAAGAGGTTTATTTTGGATCACAATTCTGCAGGCTGTACAAGCATGGCACTAGCATCTGCTCCTGGTGAGGCTTCAGGAAGCATCCAATTGTGGTGGAAGGTGAAAGGGGAGCAGGAACATCACATGGCAGCAGTTTGAGCAAGAGAGAGAGGCAGGGAGGTTCCAGATTATTTTAAACAACCAGATCTCATGTGAACTACCAGAGCAAGAACTCATTCACGACCATGGGAGGGCACCAAGCTGTTCATGAGGTAATCCACCCCACTGACCCAAACACTTCCTACCAGGCCCCTCCTGCAACATTGGTGGTCACAACATTTCTTTTCTTTCTTATTTCTTTTTTTTTAGTTTTTTTTTCTTTTTCTTTTTTTTCTTTCTTTTTTTTTTTTTTTTTGAGATAGGGTCTCATTTTATCACTTGGGCTGGCATACACATACAGTGGAGCAATCATGGTTCACTGCAGCCTTGACCTTCTCCTGGGCTTAGTTGATCCTCCCACCTCAGCCTCCCAAGTAGCTGGGACTAATGGCATGCACCACCACATGCAGCTAAATTTTTTATTTCTATTTTTGTATTTTCAGTAGAGACGGAGTTTCCCCATCTTGCCCAGGCTGGTCTCAAACTCCTGGGCTCAAGCGATCCACCCACCTCAGCCTCCCAAAGTGCTATGATTACAGGCCGGAGCCACTGCATCTGGCTGGAGGTCACATTTCAACATGAGATTTGTAGGGCACAAAACATCCAAACCACATCACCTCTCTGAGCTTACCATCAGTGGGAAGCTGACCCCACTTCTGGCACTGCATAATTTCTTTTCCATTTGTGACAAATTATTGGTTTCAGCCTGGACCCTGACACCAAGAATGTCCTCAACTCTCAGCCTGCACTTGATAAGCACCTTACACAAGTTTCTGGAAAAGTTGCTGCTCAAGATGGGCCAGCCACATCTCTGATGCCTGATTACTCTTATCCCTGAAAGGTTCTCATCTTTCTCCTTCCCTAAATGGGCTGAGTCTGGTGTCAAGGGGGTGGTGTTTTGTGTCAAAAGACCTGGAGGTCTTAGCCTATGTTCTGCACAGCGTGATCTTGGGCAGACCACTTCTTCTCTAACTCGACAAGCATGTACTGACCACCTGCCATGTGCTGGGCTCTGTGCCAGGGTATATACTGGTGAACAAGGCACCTGGGATGAAACTTGCACACTTGTTTTTTTTTTATCTTTAAAAAATAATGAGAATGTGCTTATCCTCCACCCTTAATGTGCTTAACCCTTCCACCTTCAGCTATTGCAAGGCAAAACAAAGACAGTATATGTGAATCTGCTGTACAGTCAATGAAGTTCTACAACCCTGCAAAACATTTTCTTTAGGGTACTCCAAGTTATGCTATGAGCACTGTAGATAACAAGGCCATGAAATCTCTTTCTCCGCTGTGCCTTGACAAAGATCAGCAAAGTATCCTGGAAGGTCCTAATCATCCTAGAGCAAGACTGGATGAGGTGGGATTCTTATTCTGGGTCACATAGTGGTGGATATTGATGAAGATTTTTCTGATACAGCTCAGTTGCAAAGGCAAAAATCCAAGAGTCATTCTAGAAAGTTCTCTCTTGACCAACCCTTCCCCATCACCATATTCAAACTGCCACCAAGCTCTGTTATTTCCCACTTTCCTCCAGATCATTTCAGAATGCTGTGTAAAATTGTTTGAAATCTTTCTTTTGCTCTTAGGATAAAGACCCACTGTCTACAGGCAGAAATGAGCCAATCCCTCCTATTTAACATCATATCTAATACTTCTGTCTTCCAGCCTCCCTGACCTCAAATGCACCAAGGCCTCCTGCCCCAGGGCCTCTGCACAGTATGCTTTTGTTGCCTCCTTCCTCATCCCCTTTCCTTACATATTCCTTTTGTCTCCTTCCAATTTTATATGTGGCCTCTGAAACATCAGTTCCTCAGCAAACTTATCCCCAAGCCCCAAATTTGGATAAGATTCTTCTCTTGACACCCCATACAGTTCATAAAACTTTTTTTGTTTGTTTGTTTTTGAGACAAGGGTCTCACTCTGTCCCCTAGGAGTGCAGGGTTGTGATCACGGCTCACTGCAGCCTCAAATTCCTGGGCTCAGATGACCCGCCTACCTCAGCCTCCAGAGTAGCTAGGACTACAGGCGTGTACTACCAAGCTCATCTAGGTTTTCTTTTTTTTTGGTAGAGGCTGGGTCTTACTATGTTGCCCAGACTGCACACAACTTTTCTATCCTAAGCTAAGCTTGTCCCAGTTTGTAAGATAACTTGATTATATGTCCCTATTGTGAGATATTTGATTTCAGACTCTTTGTCTGTTTCTTCGTTTTTTATTTTTATTTTTTTGAGACAGACTTTTGCTCTTGTTGCCCAGGCTGGAGTGCAGTGGCACAATCTCAGCTCACTGCAACCTCCGCCTCCCGGGTTCAAGTAATTCTCCTGCCTCAGACTCCAGAGTAGCTGGGATTAAAGGCATGCACCACCACGCCCAGTTAATTTTTTTGTATTTTTAGTAGAGACAGGGTTTCACCATGTTGGCCAGGCTGGTCTCAAACTCCTGACCTCAGGTGATCCACCCACCTTAGCCTCCCAAAGTGCTGGGATTACTGGCGCGAACCACTGCACCTGGCATGTTTCTTCTTTCAAAGGTAAGCTCCCTGAGGGTAGATTCCTATTGAATAGACGAATGAACAAGTGGAGAGGAAAGAGCTTGACCATCTGCACTGGAGGTGAAAGCTAAACCCTGGAACATCAAACCGATGGCCACACTGAAATGACAGCCAGGAAACCGGGCCTTCCCACGGGCCAGCATGGGACGCCTCATGTCCATGATCTGACCACCTCCTGCACATGGACATAGAGCAGGGAACACCATGAGCAGCAGGGGAGATTTTAAGGAGGAAGTAGAAAATAAAAGAGGACCTCAATCCCCATGCCTGTGAGACATGAGGGCTCTGTTGCCCTGTGGATTCTGTTTTATGCTTCCTTTTCTGCCTTTTCTTCTTGTCCTGTGCTTTTCCTTCTCTAGTAAAGCGCTCTGTATTCTAAACGTGGTAATAAACCAAGTGGCCTTGTCTGCTCTCATCTTTAACCAGAAATATAATCTCCTCGTTAACCTTTGGGGGGAGGTCTGGCTCTGCCCCTCAAGGGTCAGAGGCCAGAATATTTGGGCATGCCCGTGGCCTTAGCTTCCTTGGTCAGCCTGAGTTAATGGGAGATCAGCATGTGGGGCAGAGCTCTCATTTGCTGGGGGTGGAGGGGGCACAGTCATTAATGGTTTCTATGGCAAAACACTCTGGGTCTTTTGCATTTGAGAGCATTGCTACTTATTTATTTATGTATTTATTTATGGTTTAGAGACAGAGACTCACTCTGTTGCCCAGGCTGGGGTGCAGTGGTACAATCGTAGCTCACTGAAGACTTAAACTCCTGGGCTCAAGTGATTCTCCCACTTCAGTCTCCTGAGTAGCTGGGTTACAAGCGCACACCACCATGCCTGGATCATTCTTTTTATTTTTTCTTTTGTAGAGACAAGGTCTGGGTATATTGCCCAGGCTCCTGGGTATATTGCCAGAGGTCTCGAACTCCTGACCTCTAGCAATTCCCTCACCTTGGCCTCCAGAAATTCTGGGATTATAGGCATGAGCCACTGCACCTGGTGGGAGCATTGTTATTTAAAAGTTTGTGGATATTCTTCCTGTGACTAGTGTGGAATCCCGAGGCCCCAGGAAATTCAGACTTATGTTTCATGATGGGGAGGGTCTAACTCCTTATATTATTCCTTCTGATCGTACTCACCCAATGGGGAGAAATAAAATGAAAAGAATACCAGGTGAGCCACTTCATCTGCTATCATTTTGGCAACAAGAAATGGAAGCTGACCGGGCTCAATGGCTCATGCCTGTAATCCCAGCTCTTTGGGAGGTTGAGGTGGGAGGATGCTTGAGCCCAGGAGTTGGACACCAGCTTGGGCAACATGGCTAAACCTCATCTCTTTAAAAAAAGTATAAAAATTGGGCAGGTGTGGTGGTGTGCACCTGTAGTCCCAGCTACTCTGGAGGCTGAGGTCGGAGGATCAGTTGAGTCTGGGAGGTCAAGGCTGCCGTGAACAATTATTGTACCATTGCACTCCAGCCTGGGTGACAGAGCCAGACCCTGTCTCAAAATAAATGAATAAAAAGTGGGAGCTATTTCTGCAGCATCCACAGCAAACAGAGATGGACTTACTCCCTTAAATCTGAGCTGAGTTGGCCAAATTCTCACTGCGTAAGTTGGTCTAATGCCAGCAACATTTCCTGGATATGAGAGTTTTCAGAGCTCTTAGAAGGGGTTGGGCCAAGCATGGCGGCTCATGCCTATAATCCCAGCACTTTGGGAGGCCGAGGTGGGCGGATCACCTGAGGTCAGGAGTTCAAGAACAGCTTGGCCAACATGGTGAAACCCCATCTCTACTAAAAATACAAAAATTAGCCGGGCATGGCAGCAGGTGCCTGTAATCCCAGCTACTCAGGAGGCTGAGGCAGGAGAATTGCTAGAACCTGGGAGGCAGAGGCTGCAGTGAGCCAAGATGTCTCCACTGTACTCCAGCTTGGGCAACAAAGCGAGACTCTGTCTCACTTTTTAAAAAAAAAGAAAAAGTGGGTGGGGGAGGTTGGAGCCATGGGTGTCTGACTCTCCCTGGGATGATTTACATATATTATCTCATTTAATCTTCACAGCAAGCCTTTGAGGCAGGCAGCATGAGTCAGCTGAGGCTCAAAGAGATAAAGCCACCCACCCAAGATAGGGCAGCTGGTAAGTGAGATGCCACCTACACCCTCAGTCCTACTTACTCGGAAGTCCATGTACGCTGATGTTTGCTGTTACCACACTCTGTGGTTCTGCCACTACCATCCTTGTGAAACTCGTGAAAGCTGCAGACATGCCACAGCTCAGCCTTCCCAATTATAAAAGGAGAATAAAAAATATCTCCAAGAGGATGGAGTTTTCTAGAGCTCCTTCTTCCATCTAGTTGATGACCCTTAGAAAATGCTTAGTAAAATGAGAAAGCATTTTTAATAGGAAAAGGTCAAATGAAGAAATCTTCTAGATGACACCATAAAGCTTTAAAAACCCTTTCGACTTCTGTTCTAAGCCCTTCTTCCCGGTACTCAGGCCAAGAGAATCCCGTCTTGGCATGGCTGCCTCTGAACCATTTTTGCAGAGAGTCAGGCATTCATTCATTCTTTCCCTGAATGTTTCCTGAGCAGTTCTGACCAAAGCACAGGGGAGTCAGCCACTATTCCTGCCCTCCAGTTGCTCCTTGGCTTGCATCTTAATCTTCTGGGCTGCTATAACAAAATAGCACACATGGGATGGTTTTTAAACAACAGAAACTTGTAGCTTCCACGGTTGAAGGCTAGAAGTTCAAGATCAAGGTGCTGGCAGACTTGGTGTCGGGGGAGGTCCCGCTTCTTGGTTCATAGAAGGTGACTTCTATGTGTTCTCAGATAGTGGAAGAAAACAACAGTGGTTTCTTCCATCACTTATAAAGACAGGAATCCCATTCATAGCACTCCACCCTCCTGACCTAATCACCTCCCCTGCCCTGCCCACTTCCTAACACCATCACATGGGGGATTAGGTTTCAACACATGAATTTTGGAGAGGCACAATGATTCAATCCCTAACATTTAACACATAAGTCTTGCAAGTAGCTTGAGGGTGTAGGAAGCAAGTGCTTTGGGAGCTCAGAGCAGTGTACCTGGCCTGGCTTGACTGGACATGCAGCTTATCTTAGAAGACCATGCGTGATGGAAGTTCTCAGGTGTTCACTCTTGAGGTTGCACCCTAGGCTCTCTCAGATGCTCCCCTGCAAGCCACTGTTCCCCAATTCTCTGCAAGGGTTCACCTCTGGCCTTCAGGACAAAGTGGAGACTTGGGCACCCTTGGGCAATGGGACCCCTTCAGGTGGACAGATAAGGTTTATACCCAGTCTGTGGGGCCAGGTCGGGATCATGGCATGACTGTGGGCATCTCGGTGTGCCAGGGTGTCTCTCCAGCACTAGGGGACCCAGGATTGCCACTGTTAGGTATCTGGTAGTTCAGCTCAACACACATGATATTTTAGCTTCTTGAATTTTTCTTATTGGACCTTAGAGGCAGAGGACCTGGTTAATTATGCTCCTTGGTTCAAGACACTTTATTATGGTGGGTCAAGTCTAGGCCCTCTGTTTTGTTTTGTTTTTTTCTTATACAACTTTTATTTTAGAATCACAGGGTCCACGTGCAGGTCTGTTACACGATTGCACAATGCACGATGCTGAGGTTTGGGATATGCTTGATCCTGTTACTCAGGTAGTGAGCATGGTGCCCAATAGGCAGGTTTTCAGCCCTGGCCCCTCTTCCTCCCTCCCCTGCCTTATAGTGTCTATTGTTCCCATTTTTATTTCCCCATGTATACCCAACATTGAACTCCCACTTATAAGTGAGAACATGCTGTATTTGGTTTTCTGTTTCTGCATTAGTTTGCTTAGAATAATGGCTTCCAGCTGCATCCATGTTGCTGCAAAGGACATGATTTCATTCTTTTTTTTTGTGGCTGTGTAGTGTTCCATGGTGTATATATAGCACATTTCTTTATCTGATCCACAGTTGATAGGCGCCTGGGTTGATTCCATGTTTTTGCTATTGTGAACAGCCCTGTAATGAAGATACGGGTGCATTTTTGGTAGAATGATTTGTTTTCCTTTGGGTCTATACCTAATAGTGTGATTGCTGGGTTGAATGGTAGTTCAATTCTTAGTTCTTTGAGAAATCTGTAAACTGCTTTTCACAGTGGCTGCACTAATTTCCATTATGTCTGATCTCTGTTGTTTTTATTTTTAACTCTCCCCCCACTTTAAATTTTACACAATAAAGTTGGAAGACATTTACATTGATCACCTGTATACCTACCACCTAGGTCCTACCTTAGCACATTATTATAGTTTAAAAAGATCATTTTTAGTAGAGACGGGGTTTCATCATGTTGGCCAGGCTGGTCTTGAACTCCTGATCTCAGGTGATTCCCCCACCTCGGCCTCCCAAAGTGCTGGGATTACAGGCATGGCAGGTGCCTGTAATCCCAGCTACTCGGGAGGCTAAGGCAGCAGAATTGCTTGAACCCAGGAGGCAGAGGTTGCAGTGAGCCAAGATCGCACCACTGGACTCCAGCCTGGGCAACAAGAGTGAAACTCCATCTCAAAAAAAAAAAAATATGTCTATCTATCCATTGATCTGAACTTCTATATGCTGATGAATCTATTTTTCAAATGCATATCAAGGTAAATTGCAGATATCAGTAGACTTACCTGCCAAGACTTGAGTATTTACTTCAATATTTTAGTGCTTTTTCTCCTTTGTTGTAAAGTTTACATAAAAATGAATATACAAATATTAAGTGCACTAATTATGAGTGTTGACAATATGTACACCATTACAACCCTAACCTCTATCAAGATGTAGAACATTATCTTCTTCTAGAAAGTTCCCTGAAGCCCCTTTCTGACCCATCCTCCACCCAACTCCACAGAGGCATGCACTACTCCAGGTTTTTCCCTTTATAGATTAGTTTTGCCTGCCCTGAATCTTTACCTATATAGAATCATAGATCTTACAATCTTTTGGGTAGGGCTTCTTTTACTCAGCAGAAAGTTTTCAAGCATCATTTGTGTGCTGTAGGTATCAATAGTTTGTTCTTTTTTGTTGCTGAGAAGTATTCCATTATACAAATATGCTAGAATTTGTTTATCCATTTTTTAGGCCATTTCCACCATTTGAATAAAACTGATGTGAGCATTTAGGTACAAGTCTTGATGTAATCTTATGTTTTCATTTCTTCCTAATTAATACTTAGGAGGGGAATTGTCATGTCACTGGCTAGGTATGCTTTTAGTTTTATAAGAAAATGCCAAGACTTTTGCCAAAATGAATGTACTATTTTATCTTCCCACCAACAATATAGGAAGGTTCTCACCGGCCCCACATCTTTGCCCATATTAGGTGTTGTTGAACTGAATGTGAAGCATTCTGCCAGGTGATAAGGGGTGTCCCATTGCAGTTTTAACACGCATTTCACTATTAGCTAATGATGTTGAGTGCCGTTTCTCGTACTTGTTGGCCATCCCTTTATCTTGTTTTGTGAAGTGTTTGTTTAAATATTTTGCTTTCATTTCTTTAATTTGGTTATTTGTCCTTTTATTATTGAAATGTGGGATCCTTTATATGTCCTCCATAGTAGCACTTTGTGAGACATGTTTTACTTCTATTTTTCCCAGTCTGTGTCTTGTCTTTTATTTTCATAGTGGCTTCTTTTGATGAGCAGCATTTTATAATTTTGAAGAAGTGTAAATTATCATGCTTTTCTTTCTTTCTTCTTCTTTTTTTTTTTTTTCTGAGACGAGTTTCGCTCTTGTCACCCAGGCTGGAGTACAATGGCGCGATTTCTGCTCACTGCAACCTCCGCCTCCTGGGTTCAAGCAATTTTCGGGTCTCAGCCTCCCAAGTAGTTGGGGTTACAGGCATGCGCCACTATATGCCTCGCTAATTTTTGTATTTTTGGTACAGATGGGGTTTCGCCATATTGGCCATGCTGGTCTCAAACTCCTGACCTCAGGTGATCTGCCTGCCTCAGCCTCCCAAGTGCTGGGATTACATGCGTGAGCCACTGCCCCTGGCCTATCATGCCTTTTTTTTTTTTTTATGGCCACTGTGTGCTGTGCCCCTATCCAAAATCTTGTGCCTACTATTGGTTCACAAGGAGATTCTGTTTTCTTCTTAAAGCTTTATGATTTAGCTTGAATATTTAAGTCTATCGTCCATCTTATATTGTGGAAAAACTTTTTTTCCCTATTATACTAGTCCTCACTTATCCATGAAAGAGATGTTCCCAGATCCGCAGCAGATGCCTGAAACCACAGAGAGTTCCAAACCCTACGTACCCTGTGTTTTGTCTTATACACACATATCTATGATAAAGTTTAATTTATAAATTAGGCATAATAAGAGATGAACAATAATAACTAAAAATGAAATAGGGCAGGCTAAGCATGGTGGCTCATGCCTGTAATCCCAGCACTTTGGGAAGCTGAGGTGGGTGGAGGGTGAATCATCTGAGGTCAGGAGTTTGAGACTAGCCTGGCCAACATGGTGAAATGCCATGTCTACTAAAAATACAAAAATTAGCTGGGCGTGGTGGCATATATCTGTAATCCCAGCTACTTGGAAGGCTGAGGCAGGAGGATCACTTGAATCCAGGAGGCAGAGGTTGCAGTAAGCCGAGATTACACAATTGCACTTCAGCCTGGGCGACAAGAGCAAAACTCCATCTCAACGTTATTCAAGTGCCATTTGTTGGGAAAAAAAAAAGAATGAAATAGGACAATTAGACAATACGCTGCAATCACAGTCGTGTGCATGCCGTTTTGCTCTCTAAATAACTTACTGTACTGCACTCAGCCTTCTTCTTGTGATGACATGGGATGATAAAAGGCCTATGTGATGAGATTCCATGACCGTCAATCTGATAACTGAGACAGCTACTGAGTGACTAGTGGTGGGCGGCACCTACAGCATGGATATGCAGGACAAGGGGATGACGTCCATCCTCCGTGGGACAGAGCCGGCGGTGCCGGATTTCATCGCACTATGCTGAACTCCCAGCAACTTAATACTTATGGATGGTTTGTTTCTGAAACTTTTTTTTTTTGAGACAGAGTTTTGCTCTTATTGCCCGCACTCGAGTGCATGCAATGGCACAATCTCAGCTCACAGCAACCTCTGCCTCCCGGTTTCAAGTGATTCTCCTACCTCAGTCCCCCAAGTAGCTGGGATTACAGGTGCCTGCCACCATGCCTGGCTAATTTTTTTTTATTTTTTAGTAGAGACGGGCTTTCACCATGTTGGCCAGGCTGGTCTTGAACTCCTGACCTCAGGTGATCCACCTGCCTCGGCCTCCCAAAGTGTGGGATTACAGGCATAAGCCACCACGCCTGGCCTGAAACTTTCTATTTAGTATTTTTGGACCAAGATTGACCACAGGTAATGGACACCGTGGAGAATGAAACCATGGATGAGAGGGTGCAACTGTGCTGTTTTAAAAATTGAATGAATGCCTGTGTGAGTCCATTTCTTGGTTCCTCCTCTTCTTTTTAAAAAGTATGGCTTCTTTTGTCTTTTCCTTCTCCATTCCCATGTCCTGTCCTCAAACATGAGATGCCATTTGTAATGTGTTGAAACTATTCATTTATTTTGTAAATGTTCTTGGAAAAGATGAATTTTTGTTTTGTGTATAAGTGTCTTTATACAACTGATATTGCACTATACATCTTATGGTGTTAACTGTTGACCTATTAAAATAAGATATATATGATATCTACATGTCTTTATCTATATCTAGCTATCGATTGACTGATCTATTGATCAGTTGATCTATCTCTTTTAATGAGCCATTAACATTGCCATGAGCTAACACTTTCTTTCTTTCTTTTTTTTTTTTTGAAACAGGATCTTGTTCTATCACCCGGACTGGAGTGCAGTTGCATGATCTCAGTTCGTTGCAACCCCTGTCTCCTGGGTTCAAGCTATTCTCCTGTCTCAGCCTCCCAAGTGCCTGGGATTACAAGCACATACCATGATGCTCAGCTAATTTTTGTATATTTGGTAGAGATGGGATTTCACCATGTTGGTCAGGCTGGTCTGGAACTCCTGGCCTCAAGTGATCAGCCTGCCTTGTCATCCCAAAGTTCTGGGATTACAGGTGTGAGCCACAGCACCAACCTGAGCTAACAGTCTTGTGTCAGGGTAATGCTGTTTTGTGTATCATGTCTCAACTCTCTAATATCTCAGTGGTGGACATCTGCTCACCTCCAACTTTGTACTACCAAAATCAATACTGCAGTAACATGGCCAGAAATATCCTGTGGACCTGAATGAGAATCCCTTTTGAGGTAGAAACCCAGGGGCAGAGATCCTGGGTAATAGAATATAGAAGACAGCATTTTCTAAAAATGATGACCATACCTATCCCATCCTCACACACTTTCTAGAATGTGAGGTTGACACTCTTCATTGAGAGGTGAAGTTCCCATTCTCTTTTCTTGATCCTGGGTTGCAGCCAGTTGAAACGGTGCTACATAATGCTGAGGCTAGGTCATTGAAATATCATGCACCTTTTTCTGGATCTGTGGGGCCCCTCACTCTTGGGACATAGTCCCCATGCTGAGTGGCAGCCAAGCAGCCACAAGATGAAGTCACCTGGAAGAATCCCGGCCAACAGCCTCAACTAGGTTGCTAGCTGATGGCCAGCAAGCAAGTGCCAGGCATGAGAGTGAGTTTCTGGTGGTTCCAGCCCCCAGCTATCAAGTCACCCCCCAGCCTTTGAGCTACCCTGGCCACAAGGAGCAGAGATAAGCTTTCCCTATTAAGCACTGCCCAGTTTGAAGACTAATGAGCAGAGTAATAATTGATTTTTTAAAGCCACTGAGTATACGGTGGCTTGCTATGCAGCAAAAGAGAGCTGGAACGTATGAATTCAGGGTATGAATCTCCAAGAAATATTAGAGGCGGCCCCTTTGCAGGGCTTCAGATTCTATTCTCCCAACATCAGTGCCCCAGGCCCCTCTGCCCTCATGTCTCTGCTGTTTACTTAGCATTGCCTCTTACTAATTTTGCCTAATAGTTGCCAAGTAACAGCTCATCCATTAAAATTGTGTTTTTCTGATTACTAACGATTTTGAACACTTCTTCGCATGCTTCTAAGCTTTTTGGGTTTTCCCTTCTGAGAAATGCTTGTTCATACGTTTCCCCCATATTTATATTAGGCTGCTGTCTTTCTGTTTGTTTTGCAGGAGGTCCTTCTCTAGCCTTGATATTAGTCCCTTGTCAGTTTCAGTCGTTGTAAATATCTTTTTGCATTCAGTTACCTGCCTTTGACAGTTGCTTCCTAGCCACAGCAGACAAACGACAGAATGAGAGATTCCATGGAGAAAGAGCCCCCATCTGTGCCGTCATTGTCCTAAGCTCTTTAAAGCAGTTCTCAACAACATTTTCTCACATTTTTGTACAATGCCCTGCCGTCTAACAATATATGCATATTTATGAATTTAATTATTAAAACAACCCCAAAAGATAGCTATTGCCACTCTCCCTGTATTTTGTAGCTTGGTAAATGAAAGCCTAGCTAGCTGAAGTGACCTGCCCAAGGTCACACAATTTTTACATGTTGTCAGAAAATATTTACCATCAGCTCCATTCTTCCCACGGTCCAACAGAGCTGAGGGCTGAGGGCAGAGAAAGGACTTCCATCAGATCAGGTGATAATTCAGTCCCTTAGGAGAGGTGAAGACTGCTGAGTGGACCCAAGCGATTCAGCCTTGGAGCCAGGGGTCTGGAGACAAGGCCTACCTGTATTACCAGCTCCATGTTTGGGTGAAACATTTCTCCCGTCTAGGCCTAAATTTCCCAATCCAGAAAACAAGCTCAATTGTCATAATGACAATGACCTCCCAAATGAATCACGAAAGTTAAAAGAAGTAATATAAACTGTGAAGTATTTTTACCCAAAAAGTCTAAGGAATTAGTTCACCTGGACAAAAACCCTGGGTTGGAGTAGCTATGTCAGGGTTTCAGGCTTAGCTCAGGTCCTGAAAAGCTGTGTGGCCCTGGGAAAACTCCTTCACCTCTCTGGGCTGCAGGGTGCTTATTGGTCTAAGGAGGCCCTTACACACATCTCTACAGGCCCTTCCAGCCTAGAGATTCAAGCTGAACCTGAGCTAGGGTCAGAGGCGGTTCCCAGGGAAAGAGCAGGGGGGTGTGTGTGTGTGTGTGCGTGTGTGTGTAAGTGTGCATGTCTGACTTGTGCATGTATAAGTACACCTCTGAGTTCACATGTGCATTTGAGCCTGTGTAAGCAGGTGCATATATGTGCATATATGTGCATATGTGAGGCTATGCTTGTGTTTCGGAGCATGCATGTGTGTGTGTGTGTGTGTGTATGTATATATTTGTATATATCTATGCATGTAAGCATATGTGTTTGTATGTGAAGAGAGTGCTGTATCTTGAAAAAAATGTTTTTGAGAATTAATAGATGTGCATCTTTTCCTTGAATTTCCTGGATTATACCCCAAGGCCCTTTCTTCCCACACAATGAGAAAGGTGTGGTTTGCTGTTCTGGGGACTGGGCGGTGGTGACAGAAGGCAGATAGTAGGGACGGGTGTCATGGAAGCATCCAGATGGGTGTGCACTCTTGCTTCCTTGGGTTTTCAAGCCCTCCTTTCTCTGCAGAGTCCCAGGTTGGGCTGGTGGAAGAGGCAGGAACCAGGAGGACAGGACAAACAGGGCTGAGAACAGAAGTGCCTGAGCATGGGGAGCCAACCTGGAGAGCCTGGCCTTCTTGGCCTCTTCCTACCCTCTGATGAGCACCAGCGCCTAGCAGCAGCCCACAACAGACACTCACAGGTGTGTTGGGGCTGTGTGTGCTGGGGGTGGGGTCTCTGCTGCTCGGCTCACGGTGTTGGGGAGGACTGACTTTGCTGCATGGGAAAGGGCAGGGATAAGGAGCAGGGCTGCCCCAGTCCAGCCGGATCCAGGCTCTGATGGACATGGCAGCCCTCACTCCTTCTCCTCCAGCCCTGTGGGGTGCAGCTGTTGGCCTCTTCCTGCTGCACCACTTCCAGAGCCACCTGGGCCTGGCAGTTTGTCACCACTAAAAGCCTCATATCCTGGCTCCCCCTGCACTATTAATCTCAGAAAAACGCATTGTCAAACCTAATGAAAAAGGGGAAGCCACCAAGGAGAAGGTGTCCACACCTCGGGCTGACAGTTGTCAGGCAGGCGGGCAGCAGCGTCCTGCTGGGGACAGAGCTGGATGAACAGAAGCAGTGGAAAGTGCCTGGGGAGATGGGCACGGGGACTCAGGACCCCGTGCACGGGGTGAGCTTGTGCTTGCCAACAGCAGAGGAGGGAGGACCAAGGACAGGAGGCCTGGGGCCTGGAGGGACACTGTCAGGGACATGGGGCAGCACTCCCAAAGAGAAGTACCACCTGACCAGGACTCCCAGAAAAGGAAGCCCCTGGCAGCTGCCAGCTGTGTCCCCAGCCCTGTCCTATCCTCTAAGACCAAGCAAAGGGGGAAGGACTGAGCTCCAATCAGAGGCCATCAACGGAAAGGCCTCAGGCCTCACCTGGCCCATTGAAAGGTTTCACTTGGTCTGTTGAGTGTTGAAATTGTTTTCAATGATATAAAATTTTTAATTGGGATAGCCTATGTAAAGAGCGAGATTTGCAATTTCTCTTGAAAAATGAAAAAAAAAACTGACCATTTTTGGTTTGGGGGTGTGATGAGCTGTAGCTGCAGGGTCGTGACTGGTGGGCATGGGCTTGCCGGCCGCCCTGGCCGCAGCACTCCTGGCGGCTGGCCACATCCCTTGCCACTCACTGCGGCAGCCGTGGAAGTCTTCGTTATTCATAGATGCCAAGAATCTTCAGTGTCCTGCAGCTGCGTATGAATTTCTCTTTCTGCTCTCCCTCAGCCATGTGTTGGTGCTGTGGGACAAGCCAGGGTTTTGCTAGCATGAAAATCAAAGGCAGTATATTTTAGCCTTCCCATCACAGACCCTCTCCTGTCCCCTTCTCATTCCGGGACTGGTTCTCTCTCTTATTCAGCCACCATTGCAGTTCACAGCCCTCCCTCCAAAGGCTCCTATGAACCCAGAGATCATAAGTCAATCTCCCCCTGGACCCACCACACCCCTTGTAGATTGCCCAGGCTGAAGACTGATAATTTGGAGCTCTTTCAACAGGCAGTGCATTCTGTTGGCAAGTGGGTTCTGAGCATCTCCTGCCATTGTGTGCCCAGATGGGGGAACAAGGGGAAAGACAGCACCTGTCACATCACAGGCCCAAGGCTGCCAGAGAGTGACCAAACCCAGAGAGGTAACATATGTGTGACAGATGAGTGTGGAGCAGGCTGGAGTCAATCAGGAGGGCTTCCTGCAGGAGGAGGAGCTTAAGCTGGCTAGTGAGTGAGTGGAACAGGGTGAAGAGCTTGCTTGCTGGAGCAGGCTAGGCCTGAGCTCCAGGATTTGATCTTTTTGGGTATAGCTATGTGCTGTTGGGTGTGGCATTTAGGATCTCTAGACCTCAGCCTCAGTATCTAAAATGGGAATGGTTCTAGTGTCTACACCCTTTCCAGCCTCAAGTACTGCAAGGCTCAGCCTCTGTCTTTCTGGAGTGGTTTGGTCATGTTTGCTGGAGTGAGTCCCTCCTGGGCTTCCTTAGGGCTGGTCCCATCTGCTCTGTGTACCGGGACTCAGGATAAGCCACATGGGAGGTGACCAAGAATCACTTTTTATTTGGCCAAAGATGGGGGAGGCATTGTAGGGATTACTGCAGGAGCCAAGGTCACTGCCAAGTAGATGAGATGGAGAACAAACCCACGAGGTGTTCGCTGCAAGTTGAAAAGTGAAATACTTGGCCTAAGCGGTTTCATAACATTCCTCCTATCTCTCTATGCCCCCCAAGCCCTTTCCTACATTTGGGAGGGATGGCTGTGGTGACTGGGGAAAAAGAACTAGAGAGTTCTACCAGTTGTCTATCAGACAAGAGCCTATGATAGACTGAGGGAAGCTGGGCAGAAAATAAGCTAAGGGTCACATTGTTTCCCAAGCTCAATGAGAATTGGCAAAGCTGCATTATAATTTCAGAAGTATGTGTATGGTATAAGATAACTGTTGGCCTCATTGTTAACCTGGAATCCTTGGCCTCTGGGAAGGATGGTGTCTTCTTATGCCCTCTCCTTCAACTCTCAGGATGAGAAACTACAATTCTGAGTGGAAGGAAGGGCATCCCTTAGTTCATGGGGCCAGTGGGAGGCTTTCTTCCTGTGGGGCCTCTTTGAGCCTTCCAGATGGTTGGAAGTGGCCCTTTATCCTTGTGGGAATAAGGGTGAGACCGAGGGAAAAGACACCGTTAGTGCCTGGCTAGATTTTAGGATGGCACCCACTGCAGATCACCTTCTGGAGGTCTGGGACACCCACCGCAGATCACCTTCTGCAGATCTGGGGCGTCCACAGTAGATCACCCTCTGCAGGTCCAGGACACCCACCGCAGATCACCTTCTACAGATTGGGGGCACCCACCCGCAGATCACCCTCTGCAGGTCTGGGGCGCTCACTGCAGATCACTCTCTGCATGTCCAGGGCACCCACCAAAGATCACCTTCTACAGATCTGGGGCATTCACCCTAGATCACCCTCTGCGGGTCCGGGGCATTCAACGCAGATCACCCACCGCAGATCACCCTCTGGCAGATCACCCTCTGCAGGTCGAGGGCGTTCACAGCAGACCACCCTCTGCAGGTCCGGGGCACCCACTGCAGATCACGCCCTGGAGGTCTTGGCAGTTTGTGAGCACAAGCACATGCATTTTCGTATCCTGAGGAGAATTCACTGGTGTCATCCCAGCTTCTCCGAGTCTGCCCTTTCCATGGATGCAGAGAAATTTTCCATTTCAGTGACCTTCTCCACCTATATTTCATGACTCGTGTGCCACCCTCTCCTCGGAGCTTTGAGCTGAGACCACATTTCCACCCCCGGCATCCCACCGTGCCTCCACTCCAAGCTCTCTGCACCTGCCAGGTGAGACAGGGCTGATCAGAAGATGCTGTGATGAGATAAATCACTTTCCCCTCATCGCCCTGAGGACTCTCGTAGCCTCCTGTTCTGTGAGATGTCTTCTAGACAGTGAATTTTCCCCGAGGCCCTGGGAGCAGGAGCACCCTGCCCCTTGGGGATCTCATTGGCTCCTCTTCAGGTGATTCCTATGAGGTGGCTTCCATGTTTGGTGCTGGTCCACACTGGAGGGCCAGGCCCTATCTTATCGGTATTTGTGACCCTCCGAGTGCCAGTTGAGATCTGGCACAGAAGCACTCAATGACTGTTTGCAAAGAAAATGTGTGAGTTGCAGAGATTCCCTTAGACCTATGCTACAAGCCTGTTCAGAGAATGAGCATTTGCAGGAGATAATAAGTGGGAGAAGATGAGACTGTGACCCGCGGAGAGCTCATCAGCACTTTGGCAAACTTGGGTCTCCACATACGGCTCAGCTAGGCTGTGATTTACCTACTCATGTGTCTCAGTCACTCTACTAGGGCTGGGAGGCAGAGAGAGAAAAGGCAGGAGGGAAGGGAGGGAGGGAGGGGAGGAGGAAAGGGGGCAAGGAGGAAGGGGGAAATAAAAGACTTATTTTGCATAATAGAGATGGAGAGCATTGGTGGGGGGGTGGTGGGTATGAAACTCATACTTTTGTAAACACACAAAGAGAGAAAAATAATAGGTGTGCAGGTAGGTTTGCTATTCTGTTCATCACTGCCCCTCTAATGTCGACAGCCAGCCCTAAAGTCCAAATGCCCCACCTGGGGTAGCCTGCAGGAATCCGTCCTGTGCTGCAATCCCTACAGGAGCCCGGGGACAGTACACTGGTGAAAGCCATCCGATGTGTCTTATTTTTAGCAGCAGGGAAATGTGGACACCTCTGGGTCAACCCTGGGATTCAAATCATGTAACCCAGGTCTCAAATTCTCTCTTGCTCTTCTCTTCACCTATGTGGACTCTAGAGTTACAAATCCCTCCTGGACAGTGGAGGTGGAGTGTGGCCAGCTGTCATTTTGACAGGTCTTCCTTGCTGTTGTCCTCGGCTGTTCAGGTGACCCCCAGATGCATGTGGCTGACTGTGCGTGGCCTGTGTAGACCAGGGCACCTTGGTAGTTTCCTTAGTAACCTGAGCATGCTGAGAAGGCATGGTTTTCATGTGGGCCAGGTAGGGGACAGCCACTTCAACTCACCAGGTAAATGGCAGTGGGACAGGGCACTGGCCTGACCACACTCAGGAAAACCTCACAGAGCACAGAAGAAGAGTGATGCATACACCATCTCCATACAGCCTGAGGGACCGCATCGCCCTGTGTCTGCAGCGACACGGACTGTTGGATCTTCAGTCAATTCAGAAGACATCAACCCATCAGTCTGTCATTTACCATCATTTTTTCTTTCTTTCTTTCCTTTTCTTTTTTTTTTTTTGAGACAGAATCTCACTCTGTTGCCCAGGCTGGAGTGCAGTGCCACAATCTCTGCTCACTGCATCCTCTGCTTCCCAGGTTCAAGGGATTCCCCTGTCTTAGCCTCCCAAGTAGCTGGAACTACTGGAACTACAGGTGCCCGCCACCATGCCCTGCTAATATTTGCATTTTTAGTACAGACAGGGTTTCACCATGTTGGCCAGACTTCTCTCAAACTCCTGACCTCAGGTGATCCGCCCACCTTCACCTCCCAAAGTGCTGAGATTACAGGCATGAGCCACTGTGCCAGGCTCATCTACCATCATTTAAACAAAAACTCATGTGCCTCCTTCTAACTCTAGGTCTGTTCAGGAGCAAATGCCACTGGATGTACGTTGGATCCCACTGTACATCTAGGGCCATGACTTCCACACCTTGGCATACCTCGGCATCACCTGTAGGGCTGCGGCCCCAGCCCTGAGGGCTCCTGACCGAGGAGGTCTGGGGTGAGGCCTGAGAACCTGCATGTTTAACAAGGTCCTAGGTGACACCGATGCTGCTGGTCTGAGGACAGCACTCACCATAGTCAGAGAACCGTGGTCCACCGGAAAAGTGTGAATCCTCGGCCAGGCTGGATTTATCCAGGATTTTACTTCTCCTCCTGCTTTTCTTCCTTTTCTAGAGTCCGGCCGGGAGGACTGCGGGCAGCTGGGACAGAAGTGTTTGGAGGTAACACGTTGTATGTGTTTTCCTTGTTCTCCTGCCCTGCTCACCTCGACTCCCTTCCACAGCTGTAGGCTCGCTCCTCTGCTGTGGGCTTTCCTCTGTTCCTCAGTCACCCTCTGAATGAGGGCACCCTTTCAGGTGATGACACAGACACTCCACAGACATCTGCCGGCTGCCCAGTCTCCAAATGCCCTGCAGAGATGTGACTGGAAGAGTTTGGGGCAATTCCAAGGGAGTCCGTTGAGAGAATCATCCCAGTTGGTTGGAGGAGGGCAAAGAGGTAAGACTGAGAGGAGACGCTCTGTAAGATGAGCACGCAAGAGTATGCCAGGGCAGAGCGGGCACAGGAGAGCAAGCAGGAGTGGGGGACAGGGACGTGTGCTATCTTCCCAGGCAGCTAGAGCCCAAAGCCATGCACAAAGGGAAAATCACCAAGAGGCAAAATGACCACTGAACAATCTCCCAGGATCTGCCAAGTCAATATTTTTGTCATTGTTGTTGTTGTTTGACACAGGGTCTTGCTCTGTCACTCAAGCTGGAGTGCAGTGGTGCCATCATAGCTCAATGCAACCTTCACCTTCCAGGTCAAGCGATCCACTCATCTCAGCCTCCTGAGTAGTTGGGACTACAGACACACACCACTACGCTTGGCTAATTTTTTTCTTTTGTTTTGTAACACAAGGTCTCACTTTGTTGCTCAGGCTGGTCTCAAACCACTGGGCTCAAGTGATACCCCCACCTCGAACTCCCAAAGTGCTGGGATTACAGGTGTGAGCCAGCGTACCCAGCCCCAAGTTAAGACTGAGGAAGCTTTCAGTGACGCCTCCACTCAGGCCCACTCCGAGACATAGATTCTGTCCACCCCAGTGGACCGGGGGCAGAATCTGTGCTACTTCATTGTCATTGTAAGCTTTTGTTTGTTATTTTTAGACTTACTTTCTTTCATGTGAGTTATGTGGATGGTTGAATCCTCATGATTTCTTCTTGCACAGGATATAGCATCCCCGATTTCACCTTTGGAGCGGTGATCATATAGTTTATTGCACAAATCAGACATTTTTTTTTTCTTTTAACAAAGTTAAGATCACAAAATTTTATACCTTGCTTTTTACATGTTATAGGATATAAACACTTCCCGTTTGACTGAAGTATCTACTTAATCAAAAAGACTGATGCTTGTGTAATATTCCATTTTATGAGTGTATCATAATTTATTTCATCATTTCCACATTGTTGAACATTCAGTCTTTATTCTTCTACTTGTCATTGTCATTTTTATGTAAGGAGGACATCTTTGTGTGCACATCTTTGTGGTCATTATGGATTGTTTCCTTAAAAGAAATTCCTGGAAAAGCATTATTAGGTGAATAAAATGACTGTCTTTTAATCCCAAATAGGGTAATAGTACCTCCTTCCTCAACTTACTAAAGAAGAAAAAATCAAGAAGTCGTGAAACTGGGTCCTGTCAACATCTTACTCCAGGAACCTCTAGCAAGAGCACAGCCATGCCCCCCGGAAGAGGTGGAAGACCCTGCTTCCTCTCCATCTACACAGTCTTCTCCCTACAGCCATGCCCCCCAGGAAGAGGTGGAAGACCCTGCTTCCTCTCCATCTACACAGTCTTCTCCCTACAGCCATGCCCCCCAGGAAGAGGTGGAAGACCCTGCTTCCTCTCCATCTACACAGTCTTCTCCCTACAGCCATGCCCCCCAGGAAGAGGTGGAAGACCCTGCTTCCTCTCCATCTACACAGTCTTCTCCCTACAGCCATGCCCCCCAGGAAGAGGTGGAAGACCCTGCTTCCTCTCCATCTACACAGTCTTCTCCCTACAGCCATGCCCCCCAGGAAGAGGTGGAAGACCCTGCTTCCTCTCCATCTACACAGTCTTCTCCCTACAGCCATGCCCCCCAGGAAGAGGTGGAAGACCCTGCTTCCTCTCCATCTACACAGTCTTCTCCCTACAGCCATGCCCCCCGGAAGAGGTGGAAGACCCTGCTTCCTCTCCATCTACACAGTCTTCTCCCTGGGAGCTAGATAGAAAATGCTGATGTAATCGGCATTCAGACCTCCAAAACAAAATTAAAAGACTGGCCAGGAAAAAAAAAGAAAAAAACTTCTGTGTCTTCAGACACTAAGGCAGCCTTCAAAAGCCTTCTGAGCACAGATGGCTGAGAGGTCAGAGAACGGGAAACCCAGGGTCCCTCCGTGCTAATGCTGGTGCCCGGTCTTGGAAGATCTGGGTCTCCTGCCAGCTTCCCTCCTCACCTGTCCCAGAGTCAGAAGGTGAACATCTTTAAGCCTAATGGGGTGAATGCTTACTATACTAGGAGCTCATTTGTAACATAAGGGCCCTACTACAATCCCACTCCTCATGCAAAATTGCCAATTTATGGCAATATTCCTTGTTTAGAAAACAAGGCTATCCAAACACTATAATTACAACGTGCACCAGAAGCCGAGAGTTCCCTACATTAATGCACAGGCTCCAGATACATTCGTCAAATAGAGTTTTTTTTTTTTTTTTTTCTCTTTGCCTTCTTCTCTGGGTACTTTTAAGTTCAGGGACAGAGAACATGTCTTCATTAGAAACATTAACATTCACAGGCTGTAGTAAATTTTGACAGTGAAAAGGTCTCTGTAACCTTTAGTTGTGCAGAAATTTACTTCCCAAGAAAATTACATCTGGCACTGTCTTAATTAATGCTAGCTTTCTTTTCTGAAAATTGTGGGCTTGTCAGTAAAAAAGGCAGAAAAACCTGAATTTAAAAGGCTGGACACAAAAGACGCCGAGAAATAAAGCTCTGTGAGATTTCATAATATTGCTCTGTTTTTGTTCTACAGTAAGAAGATGAAAAGATCTCATTTGATTTTGCCAAATGCAGCAACATACATGTAATGTAGAATTGATTTGCATTTTCTCTCTTTTGTCTCTGAGTTTTATCATGTAAAGTGTGCTTGGGAAGGTATTCTATTTTAAAAGCAATAGGTCAAATAAAATCCATACCTACGAGGAAAAAAAAATAATGTATGACTTCATTTTTTTAGCCTTTCTCTAACTGCTAGTATTAATCGCAGCTAACAGGAAGAACCGTGGCTGTTTTCGCAAGTGAATTTTGATTATCTGACATTCTCTCTCCCGGTTTAAAATGGGTTCTAAGTATGATGGGAGAGCTTGGCTTCACGTCCGGATATTTCTATTTTGCATGGCTTGGACGTCTATTTTGAAAATAAGATGCTTTGGCTTTCTTTGGGGTTTAGAGATTACCCTAGGTTTATTTTTTTTCTTCTCTATTCAACTTTGCATTTTGATGATCTAGCATTACCTTTCTCCAGTTTGAGAAAGGAGCCTCAAATACATGGTCCTAAGTCATTCTTTCTAACGTGTGTTTTGTGTCATGTGACATGAAACTTTTTTTTTTTTAATTTACTTTAACTTCCAGGATACATGTGCAGAATGTGCACGTTTATTACTTAGATATACATGTGCCATGGTGGTTTGCTGCACCTATCAACCCCTCATCTAGGTTTTAAGCCCTGCATGCATTAGCTATTTGTCCTAATGCTCTCCCTCTCCTTATCCCCCAGCCCCCAGACAGGCCCTGGTGTGTGTTGTTCCCTTTCCTGTGTCGACATATTCTCATTGTTCAACTCCTATTTATAAGTGAGAACATGCGGTGCTTGGTTTTCTGTTCCCGTGTTAGTTTGCTGGGGATGATGGTTTCCAGCTTCATCCATGTCCCTATGAAGGACACAATCACCTTCCTTTTTATGGCTGCATAGTATTCCATGGTCTATATGTACCACATTTTCTTTATCCAGTCTATCATTGATGGGCATTTGGGTTGGTTCCAAGTCTTTGTTATTGTAAATGGTGCTGCAGTAAACATACGTGTGCATGTGTCTTTACAGTAGAGTGATTTATATTCCTTTGAGTATATACCCAGTAACATGCTTTTAAAAATGTCTTAGTTTTGCTATGTGTACAGGAGGCTGGAGAACTAGAAGGTGCGTGGTCTTGGAGAAGCTCTGTAGCCATCAAGGCCACCCTGGGGCCAGGCAGGGTGGCTCATGCCTGTAATCCTAGCACTTTGGGAGGCCGAGGCAGGTGAATTACCTGAGGTCAGGAGTTCGAGACAAGCCCGGCCAACATGGCGAAACCCCATCTCTACTAAAAATACAAAAATTAGCCAGGCTTGGCGGCAGGTGCCTGTAATCCCAGTTACTGGGGAAGCTGAGGCAGGAGAATCTCTTGAACCCGGGAGGTGGAGATTGCAGGCAAGATTGTGCCATTGCATTCCAGCCTGCGTGACACAGCGAGACTTTGTGTCAAAAAACAGACAAACAAACAAATAAACCCACCCTGGATTCTGATGATGGGAGAGAGAAAGGGTGACTTGTCCAAAGTCACATTGCAGAGCTGGACTCAGCTCCCAGACTCCTGGGTCCTGTCCTCACCACTCCACAATACCCTCTACAACAGCACACAGGAAGGAGGACTCTCACCTGTTCCTCCTGCATTGTGAAGCCTAAGAAAACAGCGATGGGATCATTGATTTTGATTTGGGGCCAGTACCTCCAAAAATGTGGGGCAGTCCTGCCTTGGAAACTCGAGGGGATTTTAATGGTATCCAGCCAGCATGGTGTCCAGCTAGGGCCTGCTTGGGCACTTTCTGTCCTCCCAAAGTCAGGGAAGGAGGCTGTCTTTGGCTCCAGCCAGCATATCTTGAATGTCTCTGTGACACTGGCTGGCCACCCCTTTTAATAGAAAGAGAAGGACTTAGGCTTCATCAAGCCTTCATACTGAGCTGAAATTTAATTACATAGTTTGTTTCCATTATGTTCTTTTTAATGGTTATTTCATATTTATGGTAAGTGCTATTACTTTTCTATTCATAGTAATAATATAAAACTTCTTTTAAAAATTAAATCCATTTAAGTAAAAAAGAATGAATATAAATTAAATAAAAATATTAAGTAAAAGAGAGTACCAATGGCTCCCCGGGTGTGGTCAAGAATGCGAGGGTGCTAGAGGAAAGCTTAAGGTTCAAGTTGGGCAGAAGTTGCTTTAGAGGACAGAGAGGAGCAGGTGGAGGGGACCCCCACCTGCTCCTCTGGACTCCCGGGTGGGATATGTCTTCCTCAATGTTCCAGGAGCTTTTTACATGAAGGTACCCATTATACATAATTTACGTGTGTTGATCAAATGATGAGTGGGCGCCTCTCGCTCATTTAATAACTCACCGTGGAGGCTGTTGGAGAGACGCCCCTCGTCTCCATGCTTAACAGACTCTCCTGCTGCTCCATGACAGCTGGATAGGAGGCAATATTTTAAGATAAAAGGATTATTAAAATAGTGCATGTGCTGTGTTCACACTCCCATGTGCTTCCTCTTTCTCTGAGTTGTTGTCGAGTGCCATGTAATTTAATAAATTATAACATATTTATAAATAACACCTTAGGTTAATGTTGTCATGCATTTTTCACAACTTAGCATTGTACACAGAACGAGTGGGAAAGTCGGGGGAGAAGGGGTCCAAAATGCAAAGAGAAAGGAGGGTGCTCACAGCGTCAGGTGGGAGTGGGCTTCCCCCCTAAAGACAACAGCTTGTTCAGGGTCGCTCATGTGCAGAGGGTGGCCTACGGGTCCATCAGGGGCTGAGGGATATGCTTGGGGCCTGTGGAAGAGCTTTGGAGGCTGCGGAAATATGGGGTCTGGGGTGAGTCTATGGGGAGTCCATAGGGACCACTGGGGGTCCTTGGTGGTCAGTGTGGGTCCATATGGGGAGTGGTAGGAGGGATCAGAGTCCAGATCTAGACTCTGCCTGAACCTCCTGCAAGCCTTTCACCCCCTCTCTCCCTCTCCAACCCAGGGCCTCAGTTTTCCCACAAGGAGCTTAAGCAAGAGGCTCCTGTCCTTATTCTAGGATTCTAGTTTCCCACAGGAGACAGAACCATTAGCAGGTGGCTGTATTATGTTTAGATGTCTCAGACTTGTCCGGGGCTGTAGGAGTGTGTGGGGGCAGTGGGAGTGTGTTCAGGGCTACGGGGGTCCATGGCTTTGGGAAGGGGCTCAGGGCAGACAGTGTCCAGGCAGGCTGCCTGCAGCTGAACTGACCATCTACCTCTTCATATCCTACCTGCCTGGCTTTTAACTGCTCAGGAAATTAAACACTGTCCATTTGAAAAATTAGAGATAAAACCATAAGAGAGAAAATCAAAAGATCTGAGATGAGCCAATTCCTCCTCATGCGAGACTTGGCTCCAAGGGTCCTGGGAGTGAAGACAAAAGAGAAACTTGAGACTACCACTCCCCACGCTCTAGCACATGTGCAGAGCACTCGGCAATCTTGTGGAAATGTGGATTGTGATTCGGGAGACCTGCGCAGGTGTATGAGGGTGGAACCACACTTTGAGAAGTGACTTTGGACAATCTGGTGCTCAGAGCCTGCAAAAGGAAGCCAGCAAAGCCACAGGCAGAGATGAGCTTTGCACTGGAGATTAAGCAGCTCAAATCCATGCCCTGGACCACCAGGCACCCAGGCCCAAAGGGCTGATTTTCACAAAAGTTTGGGGCTCAGACAGTGCAAAGCCAAATGGAAAGATGCCACCCAGGAGGGATCATAGTCCAGGTCTAGACTGCCTGAGCCTCCTGTAAGCTTTTCACCCTCTCTCTCCCTCTCCCACCCAGGGCCTCGGTTTTCCCACGAGGAGCTTAGGCAAGAGGCTCCTGTCACTATTCTAGGATTCTAGTTTCCCGTAAGAGATAGAACCATTAGCAGGTGACTGTATTATGTTTAGATGTCTCAGACTTGGTGTGAATTGGGACTCCTGTCCCAAATTACCTTCCTCGCCTCCAGCCAAGTTGCCCGAAATGCTATCATTAGTGCATCATTCCTTTGAGGACAAATAGGCTTATCACAAAATGTCACTGCACACAGGGAGGTGGCAAGCCCAGGCTTCTCCGAGTAGACCATCTTCTCTCACAGCCGGGTAGGGGATGAGTGAGGCTGCCTGGGGAGAGAGGGCTGGCTTCAGAGGCACACAGTGACTTGTCCCCCAGGCTGTCTCCATGAGCAGGGCACACAGGAAGGCTCAGGTGAGCTCTGATGTGCAAAGATAAAGGTGTCCAGCTCCTTCGTGGCCCAGAGACAATGTTGCTTTTCTAGGAAAACCCAAGTCTGAGAGAAGCCAAGCCTTGGGAAGGTGGTCTCAGCTGCAGCATCCGGGAGTCCCATAGACTGTGGGCATGCGTTTTCCAAGCAGTGTCCTCTTGTCCCTAGGCAGAGGTTGTTCTTTCTCGATAGCTGTTCCAAGAGTGCTATCCTGGGGCTTCCTAACCACTCCAGACCCTCTGTCCAGCCACCAGGTGCAGAGAGGGTACTGGGAATAGGAGACACCCACCTTGTACTCATGAGGGGCCTTGACTGGGTCCCTGGACTAGGAGAGCTCCCTTCCTTCCTGGGCATCCCCAGAGGGCTGTTGGGTCGATGTTCAACATGGAGCAGAGAGCTCCAGAGATGCTCCCAGGAATTAGGTATCTCTGGAAGCCAGAGCCTGGAAAGCCCCCTCTAGAACGCACGGACCAGATGTCCCTTTTTGTCTATTTAATTTATTTTATTTTATTTTTGACTTTTAAGTTCAGGGGTACATGTGCAGGTTTGCTACATAGGTGAACTTGTGTTGTGGGGGTTTGTTGTACGGATTATTTTGTCACCCAGATATTAAGCCTAGTACCCATTAGTTGTTTTTCCTGATCCCTTCCCTCCTCCCACACCCCACCCTTCAATAAGCTCCAGTGTGTGTTGTTCTCCTCTATGTGTCCACGTGTTCTCATCATTTAGCTTCCACTTATAAGTGAGAACATGCAGTGTTTGGTTTTCTGTTCCTGTGTTACTTTGCTACGAATAATGGCCTCCAGTTCCATCCATGTCCCTGCAAAAGACATGATCTCATTCTTTTTATGACTGCATAGCTTTCCATGGTGTATATGTACCACATTTTCTTTATCCAGTCTACCATGGATGGGTATTTAGGTTGATTCCATGCTGTGGCTATTGGACCAAAGGTTTCTAAGTGGGAAATCCGGGGCCTCAAAGGGCTGCTGGATGAACTAGAAGGGGGATTGTGAGCCCACAACAGTGACATGAAATATGTGCACCTATGCATTTCCATCCTCGTGACATTCTCAAAAAGGCTTTTGATGCTAAAATATCAAACAATAAATAAAACAGGACAAAACACCCTTCATTTGCAGACTTGCCTAGGGTTCAAGGGGTAAGGCTCTTTGGAATGTTTTTCTCCAAACCAGCTTCACTCCTAAGGCTCTTTTTTGACATGTAATGTCTCAGAAGAGAAAAGGCAAATCAGTTTCTTCCTGGGAAACTCAGGCTTCCTGAGTGAGCAATCAAATCCCTACGCACTGAGCTAGCCCTCGCATTCTAGCTGCTGGGCCCTGTCCAAACCCTGGTGAAGAGGGCACCTGGGACTCCTTCCCATAGGGAAGGTCTGGTCCAGCTTTCTAGGTGGCCAGCCAGGCCACAGAATACCTTTCTTTGCCGCTGCGGCATCTATCCCGTGGTTCAACAGTTTCCTTGTGTTACAAGTCCTAGGGCGGCCCTCTCCCCCCCACGCACCGTGCCGGCATGGTCTGGATGCTTGCACACACCGTGCACGTCATTTCTGCCCTGTGCTGAGCTGTGCAGAGAGCCGGAGGGGAACAATATATTACCACGTTCTTTGCCTAACAATTGGTAACACATGACACTTGTATTTGCCCCAAGATAATGTACAAATATGTTTTACAGGGTTTCCTAATGATAATCATGATATTTCATTCTTCTTGCCCTTCTAATAATGATAACAGTCTAGCATTATTATTTTTTTTAACTGTTCTCAGCGAGTGTGACATTCAGTTCAGAGAATCGAATGTCAGCAAGAAATCTGTATGCACTCCCTGAAGCTGGGAGAAGCCCCTTCCGTTTATTTTTAGGTTGCAGGAGAATGAAGTGATCTCACCTTATTCTTTTTTTTCCCCCCTTAGAAAGGTGTTTGGCATTCAGCACCTCTCTGATGTTTATGAAGTCTGGTCTGAGGTGTAGGCATTCTAGGTCTTTTCGAAAGCTGTCCTAATGAGAAGGTGGGGGCTTGATCAACATTGCGTGGGGGCCATGGAGGGAGAGAGTTCCTCCCTTAGAAGAAAAGTTTCTTTCAAAGTGGGCTTTGTATATTGAATGAGGAATGGCTTGGGCCCCTCAGCAAAAGACCCAACTAATTAGTAGGTAAAGCAGCCACTTCAAGGCTCCTTGTAGACACTAGGTAGAAACACCTAATTTTTTTTCCCAGCTACTTCACTGTTCTTCAGGGTGCATTTGACATGCCAATGTGTTTTTTCATCCTTGTCCTCCACCATTAGGGAGCGTTATCTTCAGGGTTAAATACCCAACAAATAGCATATATATATACACTATTATAATAATAATAGTGTGTGTATACATATACATATATATATATATATATATATACATATACACACACTATTATTAACCAGTAGCAGTTCTAGGCATGCTGAAAACTACATTTGAGCTGTTCACCAGAAACTATGCATAAGAGATGAAGATTGATCAAAACCTAGAAAAAGAAAATAGAGAGCCAGCAATGATAAAATTAATATGATAGAGGCTTAAGTTAGGATAGCATTTGTTGCCTCTCTCCTCTAAGTTCTTAGTTTTAAACTGATGCTTCATTGTTCCAATTATCTAAGCTATTTTGACTTATTGGGTTTTTTTCCCTCTTTTTCTTTTCTTTCTTTTTTTTTTTTTTTTGTAGTGGCCAAATGACCAAAAGTGTCCTATTTTTGGCCAAGAAGTGGTGAGATTCTAGCACACACTAAGCCCTTTATGGCTGGCTGGCTGACAGAGCAGGAAATGGTGGCGGCCATAGGTAGGACATTACACTGAAGCCAGGCCTGGGATCCGATTATTTAGGGAGGCAAGTATTTTTGTTGATGAGCGAAATGAAATCCTCTGACAGCAAAATCAATCTTCTGCAGAGACCCCAGAGCATTGATCCTGGTGCACATTGACAGGCTCAGGCTGTTTAGCCATTTGGAATGACCACAAAAAATGAGCAAGTTGTTAAGAGTTTTAGAGTTTTGGTATTTATTGGCAACCGGTGCACTCATATGATTAATCACACATTCGAAATGTGTGTGCCATGGAAATTGACTGCAACGCAGCAGAAACAAAGTTTTCAGTTATCCTCGTATAATAAATTGAAGCTATATCCCTAAGCAGAATTGTCTTCAAGATTCCAATTTGCCTTGTTAAAAGTGTTGTTTATAGAGTAGTTAGCAAAAACGCAAGTAATTACGTGCAGAATTCATTCTAAGCAATTCTTTATTTTCCCCCGTTCTGTATTGGTTTTCCATCTTCATTACCCAGTATTTTGGTCCATCTCAGCAGAAACCTGACTGGTGAGATGGCGGCCAGGACGGCGGCCTTGATGGCTTTGGCCATGCGCAGAGTGCATGTGGTCACAGGCATCAGTGTGTGGGACTCGAACAGGCGGGGCTCCAAGACTCCAGCTCCGGGGCCGTGTTGACAGGGACAAGGCAGGAACGGCTTCGGTGCTATATTTCATTTCATAAAACAATATTTACTTCTGGAGAAGACGCCTCTTTATTTATTTATTTAGTTCGTTTTGAGCAGGAGCACAGTTTGGTATACACGTCGCGGTGGAGCAAGCCACATCTGTTTTGGTTGCGCAACCAGCAGGACTTCATTTCACAAATATCATCCGAGTCAAGAATACAGCTTTTGGAATGCAAATTATGTTTAAGTGAGTAAACATTGCAGCGACTGTGTACCCCCCTAAACCCCCCCAGCATAGGAGGGGATAGGGCAGCAGGCAGTGGGTGCAGGCTGTTTGCAGAGACCCCCAGTCAGGGTCCCTGTGGAGGGTGGGCAGCCTGGAAGGGCTCCCACTGGGGAGGGGAGAGAATGAGCGCAGTGCCTAGAGGGGAAGCCCACTCCGCAAAGCCCTGCTTCCCAGAGGCTCCTGCTTGCTCTCCCCGGAACAGAGACCTCATCCATATCTATCAGGAGAGGCCTAATTATAGAGCTCGGAGATTTTAATGGCACAGGGAAATTTAAATGCGGTGGAAAATATGAATATTCCTAAGCCAGCAGTCAAAATACGAAATGATTGGCTTCCGAATCAATGAATTATAATTTCACAGTGTATTCTCCAAGGTGGAGTCTCTCTCCCTTCCCAGGAAGAGTTTTGTGCAGGCAGACGTGTTTTAATAAACTGTACTTCAGTATTTTGTTCAGCAGAACCTTGCCTCCCTCCAGCCCCGGATGCTGCAGCCTTCGTCAGTGCTCGGTCCCCCCAAACAGATTGCAGGGGACAACAGGAACAATCACAGCATCCTGGGGGCCAGCAGGGGGCCAGTACCTGACAGGCACACTTGAGCCGCAGCCCTGGCTTCCCGGGTGCCTGCAGGAAGCGTATCAGGGTGTCAAAAGTAGGGGACCAGGATATTTGTCTAAAACAATCTGGCTCCTGCTCATGCACCCAAATCCCCCATCTCAAAGCCACAATGCCTTTGTAACTGAAGCCTTTTCCAGCTGGAGCAGCCAGTGGGTCCCCGACGCGGGACACACCCTTCTCAGCCTCAGGCACTGAGTGACTCCCTTCCTCCGGCTCCTATATCTTTACCTGTGGAGGAGATAAGGATGTGCCCCAGCTGCTGTCCATGCAACCCTCAAACTGGAGAGTCATGCCATAAATCCTGTTTTATTTTATGGACAAATAAATGCTGAGGTAAAATATTCCAGGATCGTCGCTTGAATACTTGCCATAGCAGCGGTACTGTAATAACCACCGTGACATTAATTTACTGCATTGTGCCGTGGGAAGAAGGAAGAAGGAGGGAGAGGGGCATTAAAAGAGAAAAATGACTTTCCTTCGAATTTATTGGGATTGGCCTCCCTCATTTTCAGCCATCATTAGTTGATTAGGCCCTGATGACAGTGTGGACAATCGTGCCGGAATAGTTGGCGGAGAGACGCCCTAAAGGTACTCTGTTAATTGAGATGATGTTCATCTTGTACTTACTGAACATAACTGCAGACCGTGGAATTGGTGGTTAGTGTGGTGGAACCAAGCAGGGGGGCCGGGCTGTGGCCAGAGGCCGCGGGCTGGGGTGGGAGCACCTGCTGCTACCCCCTCCCCACCAGACCACGGCATCCACCCAGAGCCCTGGTCACTCCATCTCTATTCTGAGCACTGCCGATGAACCTGTCAAGAGAGGATAAAGCAAGCTTCCCTTTTATCCCAGGAGCGCTCCTGAGCTGCTGCTGCACAGAGACCACCAGGAAGATCCCCCCCATAATCGCCGGCTTTGAGGACTGACTGCAGTCTGAAGGGTATCATTCCGAGACCCGCAAGCCAGAGCTGAGACCAGGCTCCTCTTCTTCCCAGCCTCGATGCTGTAGACAGTCATTCCTAACGGGAATACAGACGCAACTTCCATCCGCATCAATGGCTGGGGCTTGTCCACAAGGAGATCCCAGCCGGGGCAGAGCGAAGGCCTCTCCACCCTGGGATGGAGACCCAGTTTCGTGTCCACAAGCTCCATTGGCAGCGGCCTTGGCCGCGTATCCCGAGCAAGGAGGGTAGCTCCACTTCGTGATCTTTGCTTAAACATTTTCAGAGGCCAACACTCGCTGTCTGTCCCCAGGGCTAGAGAATTGCCTGCTAAAGGTATTTAGGAAAGAAAATGGAATCTGACATGTTTGAGTGATTTAGTAAGGGCCACATACCTTCCGAGGTGCTTGACATCCATTATCCCACTTAATCTCCTCCTACCCTATTTATCGTCATTTAGGGTCAGGGAATCGAAGCTCAGAGAAATGAGCAGGCCCAGTGCCCCATGGCCTGCAGGAGCCTGGAACAGGGAAGTAAGTAGGCAGGGGAGGTCTCTGCTTCCTGAGAGACAGTGGTTGCAGAAGCTCTAGGATCAGACTCCCTGAGCTGGAATCTGGCTGTGCTTCTCTCTTGCTCTGTGATCTTGGACATTGCTTCCTGTCTCTCAGCCTCTATTTAATCGTTTCTAAAACAAAAATAAGTACACAAGACCATGATGTGGGCTCGGTATTTGTGAGTAATTTTGATTGCTGTAGTCGTTGTGGTTAAGGGACCATCAGCAGTTATCCTTCTTGGAATCCCGGTACCTAGGAGGGGGAAGGAGCACAGGATTGCTCCAGCCTCAGTCATGTGAAAAGGGAGTGCCTCCCACACCCTCCCCACAGCCCACCACGCCTGTCATGTCTAGACAACCAGACAGATGCTCGGGCCTGAAGGGTGACAAATCCACTCACAAGATACAGCTTGCTAAGTGGCAGTGGCCTTTTATTCTCTGACATCTTTCCAGACCCTTGAAGGGATTAGAACTGGATTAGTTTGAGATGAGCCTGGCTCTGCCGTTATCACCTGTTTATAGGATAATGACATTATCTAGTTTGGCCCGTAAGGGCCTCCATACGTAGGAGCTTCGTTCTCTTTGATCTGGAGGGTCGCAGACAACATATCTTTAAATCTAAACAAACTCACTGAAGCCCAAGATAAGTGTTCAAAATACCCAGTGAGAAGAAAGGAGCCTCTCTTTTCCCTTCCTGCCCAATGCAAAGAGCAATTTTAAAATTGTGTGCACTCACACGATTTTAAAACCTAAAACTCATCCTGCCACTTTGGACCCTAGCTTCCTTGCGTCTCCTTTCACGTGTGCACAGAATTCTGAAGTTTGTAGAGCTTTTTCAACCCATCTCAACTTATATGGTGAGCACAGCCGTCTGAGCAGAGCAGGGTGAGCTCAATACACATGATACAGGCTGGGACACAAAACACAAGGCTCAGGGAAGACAAGGAGTTTGGCAACCCTCATGTCTTTTTTAAGAGAGGAGCTGTGGTTAAACCCAGCTCATCTGGAAAAACCCAGCACTCATTTCACTGCCTGAAGCCATCTATGAACCGACCTCTCTGCCCAGACAGCTTTCTTTAAAGAGGATCCTCATTACCCTTCACAGAAAACATCTGTTTAGACAGATGTTCCAGGAGGTCCTTGGCCCAAGTCCACTTTCTTGTCCCAAGGCTTCCCTAACGTCCATCATCCCTGTTTAAAAATTATTTTTATTGAAGTATAATTTACATGCAATATAGGCAATCTGCTTTAAGTGTACTGACCTTTTGTTAAGTTTTGGAAAATGTGTACCTTTGTGGAAATGATGCAGGACAGGAAAGACCCAAAACTAGGGCTTAGCCTGGGAAGTTTCTTGGTTTTGCCCAGGAAAGAATTCAAGGGGGAGCCGGTGGTATTAGACAGCAGCTTCTATTGAAAAGGCCATGCACAGCAGCAGAGGGACTGCTCCTTGCAAAGCAGGGCCACCCTACAGACTGTGTGCCTGGACATGCAGCTCAGAGGCACCTCTGCAGACATATTTATACCCACTTTTAATTACATGCAAATTAAGTGGCAGATTATGCAGAAATTTCTAGGAAAAGGGTGGCAACTTCCAGGTCACTGGGTCATTGCCATGGAAAGGGGCAGGGTGTTGCCATGGAGTGTGGCCATGGCAATGGCAAACTGACATGGCACAATGGTAGGCATGTCTCAAGGAAAGCTGCTTCCACTCCACCCCTGTTTCAGCTATTTCTCAATTTGGTCCAGTGTTCAAGCCCAACCTTTGGAGTCGAGTCCCACCTCCTACCTCAGAACCACCACCATAATCAGGATTTAGAATGCATCACCCCAAAATGTTTCTTCATGTCCCTGGCCCCTTGCTTTCAATCTCCTACAGCTCCTAGTGAGTATTGATAGTTCAGTCACTATAGTTTTTCTTTTTCTAGAAATTCGCCTAAGTGGAATTATATAATATGTACCAGCTTCTTTCTTATATCTGGCTTCTTTTACTTGGCATGCTGTTTTTGAGAGTTAGGCATTTTGTTGTGTGTTTGATTAGTTTGATTTTTGTAGTGTGTTTGATTTGCTGTGTGTTTTTCTTTATATTGCAGAGTAGTATTCCACCGTATGTATATACCATAAAATGATTTATCGATGCTCCAGTTTTAGACATGCAAGTAGTTTCCAGCTTAAGGCCATTCTGAATAACGCTGCTATGGACATTTAGGTACAAGTTTTTGTGTTAATATGTTCTCACTTATCTTGGACAAATATCTAGGAGTGAGATTTTGGCCCATATGATAAATAGATATTTACATTATAAGAAACTTTCTATTTTTTAAAGTGGCTGTATTCCTGCCAGTAATGTTTAACATTCCAATTGCTCCACATCCTCACCAACACTTGGTATTGTCAGTCTTTCTAATTTTACCATTCTTGTGTATGTACAGTAGTGTCTTGTTGTGGTAGTATTTGCATTTCCTTAGAAACTAATGATGTTGAGCATTTGTTCATGTCCTTAATTGACATTCATAATATTTTCTTTGGTGAAAGGCCAGTTCAAATCTTTTGCCCATTTAGATTGATTATCTTCTTATATTTGAGTTGTGCCAGTTCCTTATATATTCTGGGTGTATCTCCTTTTTCAGATATTTCTAGCAAATATATTCTCATAGTTTGTGGCTTTTCATTTTCTTAGACATGTCTTTCAAAGACTAAAAGTTCTAATTTTGATAAGTCATTTATTCATTTTTTCTTTTATGGTTTGTGTTTTTTGTGTCTTATGTAAGCAATTTTTACTTAGGCCAAGATCACAGGGTTTTCTTTTCTATTTTCCTCTAGAAGTGTTAATTTTTATGTATAATGTGAGCTAAGAAATGAGGTTTATATTTTCCATGTGCATATATTGTTATTTCAGCATGTTACACCTCTCAATGTATATAAGTCTTTTCTATTTTATCTCAGTAATAATTTGTAGTTTTCAGAATATGCCTCTCACATTGTTTATTTTATTCCTATTAATATTTTTCATACTATTATAAAAGGTATTTTAAAACTTTGCTTTATAAAAATTTGTTGTACATTTTTATTTTTATTCCTTTTTTAATTTTTAATTTTGTGGGTACATAATAGGTGTGTTTATTTATGGAGTACATGAGATATTTTGATATAGGCATGCAGTTTGTAATAATCACGTCACAGAAAATGGGGTATCCATTCCCTCAAGTATTTATCCTTTGTGTTACAAACAACCCACTTATACTCTTTTAGTTATTTTTAAATGTAGAATCAAATTATTATTTACTGTAGTCACACTGTTGTGCTATCAAATACTAGGTCTTTTTCATTGTTTCTGACTAATTTTTTACACATTAATGATCCCCACTCTCCCATGTTGTATATTTTTATGTCTAGTCCATATATTCTGTTTCATTGCTAAATTGACTTATTAATTCTATCTTATTTTATAGATTTCTTGGATTTCCTCCATAGATTATCGTATTATCTGTATGTCTTTTATTTGTTTTTCTTGACTTACTGTCCTATATGGGACCTCCACTGTAAATTTTAATCAAAGTGGTGAAAGCAGACTTCCTTGCCTTTTTCCCAGTCGTAGGGGAAGATTTAATCTTTCATCATTAAATAGGAACTTAGCTGTAGGTTTGTCATAGATACTCTTAATCTAGTTGAAGAAGTTCTCTATATTCTTAGTTTGCTAACAGTTTTTATTCATGAATTGCTGCTCAATTTTGTCCAATGCTTTTTCAGTATCTATGATTGCAATTAGTTCCTGCTATGCTATTTAAAATCTTGCAAGAAAAACCTCAGTGCTTATGGAAAAATTGGGGTGACAGGCACCACACTAAAAACCTTTATCAGTGACACACACAAGAAAAGAAAAGATGAGAACCTAATAAAAATGGTACCACTGTTTTCCACATATTACTACATAGCTGATTTCAGCTCAGTGCAGTTTTTTGCATTCATCTAGTTTTCCTTGATAGCAAAATTGTGCATAAGCAAACACAAAGTTCAAATTGTTCTTAACACGTGAATTGCATTGAAACAAATTCACATTTCAAAACAAGTGTTACAGCAGAATTTATTGTAAAAGTTTGTGTTTTTTAGTTTATTAATAAGGTAAATTGCAATGATTAACTTTTGAATGTTAAACTAGTCTGCCATTTGTTGGATAAGCCCATTTAGTCATGATATATTATTATATTTGTATTTTTCTGGATTTAATTTGTTAAAATTTGTTAGGGGTTTTTGGATGAATATTTATAAGGCGTGTTAATGTGTAGTTCTGTTTTATAGTAATGTCTTCTTGTTATTTTCATATCAGATTAAGGCTGGCTGTGTAAAATGATTGAGGATATATTTCTTCTCCTATAGTTTCTGGAGCGTTTGTATAGAACTGGTATTGTTTATTCTATAAATAAACAATAGAATTCATCATTCAAGTAAACTAGGCCTGAGATTTTCTTTGTCAAAAGTTTTCAAATGATGAATTCCATTTCTTTAATAGATAAAAGCCTATTCCGGTTATTTGCTCCTTCTTAAGTATGCTTCGATAATTTGTATCTCTCAAGAAATTTGACAATTTCTTACAAGTTATTGAATTTACTGACACGAAGTTATTTCTCATATCTCCTTATTATCCTTTCAAGGTCTGTGGGATATGAAGTGATGTCTGTTCTTTAACTCCTAATATTGGTAATTGCTGTGTTCCTTTTTCCCCTTCTTTTTTATTATTTAGTCTTTTTAAATTTTCTTCATTTATTGATACTTTGAAGAACCAAATTTTGTTTCCATAGATTTACTCAATTATCTGTTTTCTATTTTATTAATGTCCAGTCTTTATAATGTTCTTTCTTTCTGCTCACTTTGGGTTTCAGTTGCTCTTCGTTTTCTAGTTTCTTCAAGTAAAAATTCAATCATTGAGTTTAGTTTTTTCTTCTTTTCTAATGTAAGCTTTTAAATATAACAAATTTCCTTAATTATCACTTTATCTACAACCCACACATTTTGATTTTTTAAAATTCAGTTCATACTATTTCCAGGCCATAATGTTGTTTTATTTTTCCTGTGATTTCTTTTTTCACTCATGGATTTTTAGAAGTATGTTTTTAAATTTCAAATGTTTGTGGTTTTTCCAGATACCTTTCTGTTATTGATTTCTAGGTTATTTCCAGTATGGTCAGAGAATATACTTCTTATTTTTCAATTTTTTAAAAATTTATTTAAACTTATTTTATGACCTAGAATATGAGCTACCTTAGTGAATGACCCATATAGACTTGAAAAAATGTGCATTCTACTCTTTTAGGATTTTCTCTAAATGTCCCTAAATGTCACTCAGTTTTGGTTGATTGACAGTGGTGTTCTGGGGAACGTTTAACTGAATATCTGGAAAGAAAAAGTCCTGATACATAGTATTTGATACCTTCTGTGGATATGCATTCTTATCAATGCTGATTTTAAGCTAACAATGTGCTGTCACCACATTGTGCTGTCACAAATGAAATTGCTTTCACTAGCCAGTGCAAGCTAGTTCTAGCACACCACAGTGATTGTGGTATTCAAATCTTCTGTATCTTTGTTGCATTTTGTCTGTATATTCTTTCAGTTACTGAGAGATGAATGTTGTAATCTTGAACAATGATCACTGATTTTTCCATTTCTCTTTTCAGTTCTTTCAGTTTTTGTTTTAATGTAATTTAAAGCTTTATGAAGTGTACATGCATTTAGCATTTACGTGTGTTATAACTTCTTGATAAATTGATCCCTTTATCCTTATGAAATGTACTTCATTATCACTGGTAACTTTCTTTTCTTTGAAATATATTTCTCTGATACTAATATAGCTACCCCCACCTTACCTTTGATTAGTGTTTATATGGTGTAGAATTTTTCATTCTTTTACTTAAAATTTTTTGAATAATTTTGGATTTACAGAGGAATGCAAAGATAGTACTGAGATTCTCTGCATAACTGTCACTCATCTGTCCCTAATGTTAACATCTTAAACAACTATGGCAGATTTGTCAACATTAAGAAATTAACATTGGTGCATTATTAGGAACTAAAGCACATTTTTTACCTGGATTTCCCCAGGTTTGCTACTAGTTTCCTTTCATGTTCCAGGAGTCTATCCAAGAGTCCACATTTGTATTTCGTTATTGTGTCACCTTAGTCTCCTCTGGTCCATGAAGATTTCTCAGTCTTTTTATTGTTTGTCATTGCCTTTATGCATCTAAAATGTACTAGCCAGGTATTTTGTAGACTGTTTCTCAATTCGGGTTTGTCTGACATATTCTCATGTTTATACTGGGATTATAGAATGTGAAGTGTCCTCATTACATCTTTTAGGGGCAGAAATGATAAAAATGACACTATTACTGATGTTAACTTTGATCATTTGGTTAAGTCTGCCAGGTCTCTTCACTGTAAAGTTACTATTTTTTTTTCCATACTGTATTCATTGAAAGTGAGTCACCAAGTTCCCAGAATTAAAGAATTAAGTTATACTTCCTAGAGGGGAGAGAGTATTTATATGTAAAGTTATAGAGTTATAGGTATGTGTGTGTATATACACATACACATACACATACACACACACACACCTATAATTTTATATTTAAATATACATATATAAATATATATACTGTACATGTATATACACATAATGTTTATTGTATAAAATTATTCAAACATTTGTCCCTTTTCCCAACCCCTTGCTTATTTGTAATTTCTTTCTCTAACAGTGAGAAACTTGGCTTCCTTTATTTATAAATTACTAGTTTTTATATGTAAAGTAGTTTTATAATTGCTAAATATATCCCTGTGAGAAACACATTTACTACCTAAGGTACTGTGTTTATATATAGTTTTTTTTGTTGTTGTTTTTATTTAGGTCAGCCCCTTTTTTTCTTCATCCCAGTGGTGATATTTTGTCATATTTTAATAAAGTTAGATTCATTTGTCAAGGTCTACATTCCATCCTGGGATCTTTCAATATCCTGGTTGACTTCTTAAAGAATATCACATACTGTAAAGTTTTCTTTGTAGTGTACAGTTATGTTGATTTTGAGATAAAAAAGCAGTACCATCTATCTACCACCCAAGAACCATACAGAATAGCTTCATCCATTCTAAACATTTTCTTCTCTGTCTTGTTATAGTCAACACCTCCCCACTCCCTAACCCCTGGCAATCCCTGATACGTTTTCTGTACCCATAATTTTGTCTTTTCTATAATATTATATAAATAGAATCAGAAAATAAGTAAACTTTGTGTCTGACTTCTTTCATTTAGCAAAATGCACTTAAGATTTATTCATTTTGTGTAAAGCAATAGCCCATTTCTTTTTATTGCTGAGTAGGGTTATTCCATTGGATAGCTATACTACAGTTTGTTTATTCACTTATCTGTTGAAGAACATGTCGGCATTCTTTTTCTTTTGTCCTCTCTGTGCCGTGTATTTAAAGTGCATTTCTTTTAGACAAGTCGTGTTTTTATATCCAAGCTGACTTTTTTTAATCAAAATATTTAGACCATTTACATTTAGTGTAATTTTTAATATGATTAAGTTTATCATCTTGCTATTTGTTTTTTAATTTTCCCATTTGTTCTTTTTATCTGTCTTCTTTTGGATTAGTTATTTTTTAACTACATTTTATTTCCACTACCATTTTGTATTTTAGTTTTCTAAAGTTTACAACATGTATTTTTTAACTTACCAATTTACTTTCAAATAATATCATGCCACTTAACATACTTTATAAGAATCTTAGAACAGTATACTTGCATATCTTTCCTTACTTTTTGCAATTGTTCTTATATGTTTAATTACTTTTATTATTAACTTTTAATGTGAAGTTCCAAACTAAGAAAATGGCCTCTAACCATAAAGAACAGGATCAAATCCTGGCTTTCTTACTCACTCACTATGTAATCTTAGGCAAATCACTTTACATGTTTGTTCCTCAGTGTCATGGTAAAGTTGTCTGTAAAATAACAAGCTTGATATGAAGAAAAAGTAAAATAAGCCATGACATAGTTGCCACACCATAGCTGGCACACATGAAGCAAAGGGATACAGTATCCCTTCTAGGCCAAACACCAGAAAAAGTTTGTCGGGAGTGGAGAGCTAAAAGTGAACAGTTTCCCATCTCTGAGCACACTCATTCCTTGCTACTCATAGTCTGGCCCTCTGTGACACCAGGAAACAACAGCAGATGCCAAAATGAACCACAGCAGCAAACTAAGGGTGCCCATCTGTGTCAACACCAGCAGACATAACTGATTCTATTCCAAGAAGGAAATTAAACTAAAAATCAGTTGTACTTTATGTGAGCTCCCCAAATCACAAAGACTAGGTTACTAAGGAAACTTGCTTCTGCAAACTTCAAGTGTTGAACTTAAGTGGTGAGTGGTTTTGTCTGCAGACACCATGTAGGATGCCTGCTGGAGATTGGGGGCTTCAGAGCTACCTTATTTTCTTACTTCCTGGCCCAGCTGGCTGCCTCTTCTCCTGAGCTGCTAGCTTTCTTCTGGAGGGATGGATAGGCTAACGCACTTGTGAAGTAAGCTCTGGGTTCAGACACACCTGGATGTAAATCATGGCCCATAATTCATTAATCATAACCCTGCAGAAGCCACTTAGCCCCACCAACCCTCAGTTTCCTAATCTATAAAATGGGAATAAAAATGAAACTTAATGAGATAATGCATTTTAGCTAAGAAGAGTAGTGGGATAATATTCTAAAATATTAGCCAATCTTCCCTGCTCTTCCTCTCTTTCATTTATCCCTCAGTTCATTTTGTTCTATCTCTTAGGCCCTGGGCAGAATAGAGCAGCAGAAAGCAGGCAAAGAAAGGAGTCTTTTCTGACTGTAGATTTCCAGAAGCCTAGGCCCTAGGGCAGGGGCAAGTCTCAGAGGACAGATTCAGGAGAGAGAGATGATGATGAAGGGCCAGGAGTGTGGGCTGTCAGATTGGAAACCAGTCTGAGTTAAATCTGGGAGGAATGAAGGAAGGGAAACAGAAGGGTGAGGGCTTTGTTTCCAGGCCAAGTGCAAAGAGGCAGCACAGCCCCAATCAGTTTTGTGGGATCCACCAAATGGCTGTAGAAGGAAAGGGAGAGAAGAAAGGGCCCAATTGCCTGGGCCAGCCTCTGAGTTACACTGGCTGGGTAGTATGTCCATGCACACAGGCTCCAGGTCAGAGGGAAGCCCAGGATGAGGCAGGACCCACAGAGTGGCCTCTCCACACCCAGGAGTTCAGAATGCCAAGCTTGATGGAGCTTGTGGGCAGGACCAAAACCTCCTTGGAGGTGACCTGCATGGACAAACCTCCAAGGACCAGAAGAAGGGTGCACAATTTAGCAGAGATGTCATCAGAGAAGGGAGGGTGGGATGCGAAAATTTCTCTCTGCTCTTCTCCCTCTACAACTGCATTTTGCTGAATTTGTGCAGGTTAAATAAGCTTATTTCACAATGTGACTTGACAGTAATAATAACACAATCATGTCACACAACCAAGGCCTCAGTTTTTGGCAGGGATTTAAGCTGTCCAGAGCTTTGTTGTGATCATGGGTGCATTTAACATTCCCGACAATCTGCCAGGCACCAGGGCCTGGCTATGAGGGAAGGAACTCCTACAACTCAGAGTCCCTCTCCTTCACTCAGCATCCTCACCAGACCTCGTGGAAGGAAGAAATCCTCTTTAAAAGCAGTGATATTCATGCTTCAGCATTTACTGAGCACCTGCTGTATATTGGGACCAGGAAGAGACCCTGCCCTCATGAGGCTGTCAGTCCAGAGCAGTAGATGTACATTAATCAGTTAAAGGCGAAAGTACCCTCACAGTGACTAGTTTCTAATGAGCAAACAGAACTTGTGGAAGGCTGGCTTCCCCCCATGGCCTCTTATAAGTGTTTAAAATCAATCAATCAATCAGTTAATTAGTAGCTGTTCACTGAGTCCAGCCTGGTAGTCCAGGGCTCCCCTGGCCCAAGTGGTCTCTATGGAAGGTGCAGACACAGAGGCCCCATGCAGATGCCATAACAGATGTGAGAGCATTTGGCAAACAAGAAACTTCCATCAGACATGACAATTTCTGCTATGATGCTTATTGTTATTACTGCAGTCATTGTTGCTATCACCGTCATTAATACAAGCAGTGCTTGTTTGAAGGAGATGGCCTGATTGGAAAACAGGACCAGGCTTGCACGCAGGATCAGGGTGTCTGCAGGGAGCAATGAGCTCAGGACGGAGCCGCAGCCTTCACTTGATTTCTCGCCGTTCCTGGGTCTCTTCTTACCACATCCACCATGTCTCTGGGCCCTTTACCGCTCACTAATTATATTTTCATTACATCCACTTACCCCTTTTACAGAACCAAGTGTGTTTTTTTTGTTAGTTTTTTGTGCTGAGACAGGATCTTACTCTGTCGCCCAGGCTGGAGTGCAGTGACGCCATCATAGCTCACTGCAGCCTCGAATTCCTGGGCTCAAGCGATCTTCCAGCCTCAGCCTCCCAAAGCACTGGGATTACAGGCCTGAGGTACCATGCTGGACCTGTGTCGTTAAAAGAAACATTCTACAATTATCACCAATGGGAAGCCCCTATTATTAGACATAGATAGGAAACAACAGTTCAATAAATACAATGATTAAACATTATTTGTAAATTGTAGCTAAATTCAGCCCCATGCCCCAGCTCTGAGGTAGGTATCACTTAACAGAAAGCCTCAGGATGGAATGAAAAATGTAGAGGGGTAATTTTCTCATCATGGAATCCACGTCATTTGCTACTTTGTGCCTCAGCTTTAAGTCTCTGGCCAGCCATTTTCTCCTGTTGTGTGCAAGTTGATCTAAAAATCCCCACCCAGGCCCCATCCCACATTCCTGCTTCCTGCCCTCAGGGCACCTTGCTTGGCTGCTGTTGAATCAGCCTTCTCTCCTTTCTGTTTTTTTTAAATTAAAATAGAATTTGTTTATTTTTATTGATATATAATAATTATACATATTTATGAGGTACTTGTGATACTCTAATACAGGCATACAATGTGTAATGATCAAATCAGGGTAATTAGCATAACCATCACCTTGAATCTTTATCATTTCTTTGTGTTAGGAACATTGCTAATCTTTTCTTCTAGCTATTTTGAAATACACAATATATTCTTGTTAACAACAGTCACCCTACTGTGCTATCAAATGCTAGAACTTATTTCTTCTAACCGTATGTTTGTACCCATTTACCGACCTCTCTTCATTGCCCTGCCCACAGCCCCCACACCCTTCCCAGCCTCTGGTAACTATCATTCTACCCTCTACTGCCATGCAATCAACTTTTTAGCTCCCACATGTGAGTGAGAACATGTGATATTTGTCTTTCTGTACCTGGCTTATTTCACTCAACATAATGACCTCCAGTTCCATCCATGTTGCAGCAAAGGACAGAATTTCATTATTTTTACTGGCTGAATAGTATTCCTTTACCCATTCATTCATGAGTGGACACTTAGGTTGATTTCATGTTTTTGCAATTGTGAATAGTGCTGCAGTGAATATGGGGGTGTAGGTATCCCTTTGCCATACTCATATTCTTTCCTTTGGATAGATACTGAGTAGAATGATTTTATCTCCTTTAGTGCCTTACCCCTGTTCCATAGAGTCACCTCCCAAATAGGCCACCTCCACATAACCCTGGGCTCCAGCTCAGCTTTCAGGAAAATGTAGGATAAAGCATGGTATCTTTCTAGCCCCTAAAACTGCCTTGTGAACCCCAAAGACATGAGTCCTATAACACTAGCTCCATTACCTGTTAACTGTGAAACCTGGAACAGGTCAGTTAGTGTTTCTGAGCCTGCTTGCTTGCATGAAATACTGGTAACTGTGCTTACCTTACAAATTAATAGGAAGACTAAATGAGCAGACAGCATACAGCAACAGTTTTAGGAGAAGGCAGTGGTTAGGCTGGGCATGGTGGTTCATGCCTGTAATCCCAGCACTTTGGGAGGCTGAGGCGGGTGTATCACGTGAGGTCAAGAGTTCGAGATCAACTTGACCAACATCGAGATCCCATCTCTACTAAAAATATGAAAATTAGCCGGTCGTGGTGGTGCATGCCTGAGGTTCCAGCTACTCAGGAGACTGAGGCATGAGAATTGCTTGAACTCAGGAGGCAGAGGTTGCAGTGAGCAGAGATCACAACACTGCACGCCAGCCTAAAGGCCTGAAGGACAGCGCAAGACTCTATCTCAGGAAAAAAAAAAAAAAAACAAAACAGTGGCACACTCAAGGAGCCCACCCAGGTGCCTGGAGACTGGCTTTTGGCCTGCAGGTGGTGGTGAGGCAGTGCAAGTGTGACAGCTGCTGACAATGAGATACTACCTGCTTTTGCAGAACACACAGATCTATAGCCCAGTGTCAGCCATGGGCCGGTGCTCACCTGGCGTTTGTTGTGGTGCTGGCCCAGCTGTCCGCATTGTTGGGGATGTTAGAGTGGCCCCTTCTGGGTGGAAAGTCGAGGTCCGGGAGGTCTCTATGTAGCTGTCCTCTGTCTGATAAAGGATCCTTGGGGCTGTCTGTCTGGCCACTCCGGAAACCATGGGCCATTGCAGCTACTAGCTCAGCCCTGATGGGGAGCCCCGCAGATGGGGCTTGAGTCCTTCCACTTACTCTTCTCTTTCTCTGCCTCATCTATTACCACTCCCTGCTGGCCTCCTCTCTTACCTGCAGCCCTCCTGTGCATCCAGCTGGAGGTCTGGCCACACCAACAGCTGACCTGGTTCCCTAGACTTTCCAGCCCATGTCTTGGACATGCAGTTCCCACCCTCCACTTCTCTGCAAATTCATCGTCTTCCTTCTGAGACTCCTGTCCCTCAGATCTCCTGCAGAGACCTCACCTTGCCATCTGATGACTCTGGGATGCACCTCCCCCCTCAGCCTGTGGATTCCTAGAGGGCAGCACCTAGTCTCTGTTAACTGCCCCCTCAAGCCCAGATGCTGTGAACAGGAGTCAGCATTGGCTGTGTACCTGGCTGCCTCTCTGCCCCCTGCCCTCAACTACCTCGTCCCACTCTGCCCTGGGGGTGGCTTCAGATGAGTGAAGCTCAGCTCTGGACATACTGGACAGATTGCTGTTCCCCAACTGTGTCAGACCCATTGCTGCCCTTTGCACAGTCATTAGCTCTAATAATTACTGCAGGTCCTCAAACACTTGTCATTCAGGTCTCAGTTCACATGTCACCTCTTTAGAGAACTTCCCCGACTACCCATTGTAAGGTTCCACTCCCTCCGTCTGAAATGATCTGATGTGTTTTCTTAGTAATGCACGCTCTGCCTCCACTCTAGAGCATGATGACTAAAATCCTGCTTATCCTGTTCCCCCTCTACCCCCAGGTTGCTGGCACAGGGCCTGGCCCATAGGAAGTATCTACATGTATTGAATGAATGAATGAATGAATGAATGAATATATAAACCAATCAATGAAAAAACAAACCAATCCTACCAAAAGCCTCAAGACAGACACAGGTGGGAGGACTGGGTAGGCATTACCGTCTCCAGTAACAGATGAGGCACTAGAGTCAAAGAGGGCTCGCGAGTGAGAGTGACAGCCTGGAGCCAGCAACACTGCTGTTTTTCCCCTGGGCTCCTTCTCTGACCCACCTCTACCCACCAGTGAACCCCCGCTGGACATCTGGAAAGGGCATCTTCTCCATCCCTGACATCACTTTGGTCAGAACTGCGCTGGCCTCACTTTCTGATTCATAATTCAGCACCAGCAGCTCACTGCTCCAGTCAGGGGTGAAGCCTCCCATTCATTCAAGATGTTTCAGAACGCCTGCTGCATTACCCCAGAGGCAGCACAGGGCTTGGTACAAAGGTGGATGCATCACAGGCCCTGCATCCCCGGTATTGATTTCTATATGTATGTCCCGCTTATTAGACCGCCAGAATTTATCAGGCAGAGACCAGGTCATTATTTCAGAATTTCTTTCTATTTCCCCCTTTCCCTAAAATCTGAGGGTGGGGTGCTTCTGGAAAAACAATGCGGGATTATAGGTAGACTTTTCTACAAAATAAACATGATGGCATGAAAGTACTAAAGGAACCAAGATGACATCTTCAGAATGGTTATTTTCAGAAAATAATTCATTCAAGAATTGATAAATAGCCCTAGTGTGATAGAGTGTTTGGGGGTGTTTTTTGTTTGTCTGTTGGGGGGCAGTTATTATGAATTGTCTTTTATTTTAAAAAATAGTGTCAAATACTATATTATAATTAGATAGCAATTTTTACAGTTTTATTGAAATATAAAGGATACACAAAAAACAGCACATTTAAAAAATCTTTTACTTTAAGTTCTGGGATACACGTGCTGAACGTGCAGGTTTGTTACATGGGTATACATGTGCCATGGTGGTTTGCTGCACCTATCAACGCGTCATCTAGGTTTTAAGCCCGGCATGCATTAGGAAATTGTCCTAATGCTCTCCCTCCTCTTTCCCTCAACCTCCTGACAGGCCCCTGTGTGTGATGTTCCCCTCTCTGTGTCCATGTTTAATGTGTACAATTTGATGAGTTTGAAATATGAAAACACCTGTGATACCATCCCCAAAATCAAGGTAGTAGGTACACTTAACATCTCCTGGAGTTGCCATGATGCTTTTTTCTTTATGGTAAGAACTCTTTGCTTGTTTGTTTGTTTTGAGACAGAATCTCGCTCTGTTGCCCAGGTTGGAGCGCAGTGGCATGATCTCAACTCACTGCAGCCTCTGTCTCCTAGACTCAAGCCATCCTCCCACTCCAGCTTCCTGATTAGCTGGGACTACAGGCATGAGCCCCCATGCCCAGCTAATTTTTTTTTTGTAGCTTTTGTAGAGACAGTGTCTCACCAAGTTGCCCAAGCTGGTCTCAAACTCCTGGGGTCAAATGATTCATCCGCCCTGGCCTCCCACAGTGCTGGGATTACAACATGAGCTACTGTGCCTGACCTGTGATAAGAATCCTTAACATGAATGAGATCCACCCTCTTAACAAATTTTGAGTGAACAACATTGTTAACCATAGGCACTATGTTGTACAGCAAATCTCTATAATGTACTCATGTAGCATAACCAAAATTTTATACCCACTGATTTTTTTAAATATGGTGAATAGACAACTATTTTCTCTTTACTCCAAACCCAGAGCTTCTAAGTTGGGGCTCTTAACCTTGGGATTGAACCTGACCTGCAATCTATGCTGGGATCCACAAAAATGCTTTTTTGTTTGTTTGTTTGTTTGTTTTTGTTTTTTTTGTTTTGTTTTGTTTTTTGTTTTGAAAAAGGTCTCACTCTATGGCCCAGGCTGGAGTGCGGTGGCACGATCTCAGCTCACTGCAACCTCTACCTCTCGGGTTCAAGTGATTCTCCTGCCTCAGCTTCCAGAATAGCTGGGATTCTAGGCATGCATCACCACTCCAGGCTAATTTTTGTATTTTTAGTAGAGACAGGGTTTCACCATGTTGGCCAGGCTGGTCTCGAATTCCTGACCTCAAGTGATCTGCCTGCCTTGGCCTCCCAAAGTGCTGGGATTACAGGTGAGAGCCACCGTGCCCTGTCCGAAAAATGCTCTTTCTATTGCTGCTGGGGGGGTAATAATACTGCTTTCCAAAGAGCTCTACAGTTTGCAACAAGTCCCCTCCTGGCTGTGGCATGAGAGGTACTTCCTGAGGGAGAGAGAATGCATGTGATGAGCGGATCACACTACAGTGTGTGACTTGCTCACTGATTCCAGCATTCGGTTTGGGCTAAACTGTGTTCTTTCCATTATCTTGGTTTAAAAATATAGGTTTTTTTTTTCATTTTTTAAAAAATCAGGATTTTATACATACCTGGAAAATTAGGAAGTGGGACCATACTGGGCCTATAGTTCTCCAACAAGAGCTGAGCCATGCTCTCCCCAGCAGATGGGCTCCTAGATCCTGTCTGCTCTGGTCCTCACCTGGCCTGCTTTGCTCTTTAGGCCTCTTTGTCTGTGACCCTGGTTTATAAGAACCATGCTTCCCAACCTTCCCCCCTAAATACCCTAGACCACAGATCACCCCTCCACAGTCAAGCAGCTCTGGGAATAGTCAAGGTTCCTGCATAAGCACATTATTTTGAAGGCTTAGGTTTCATCTTGAAAAAAATGTGTGTTCCATTTTATTATATAACAGGGCTATGTATATTTTAATTAAAATTTATATGTTTTTCTTCCCAATGTATGGACTAAAAGTGTCCCTCCAGGAAGATGTGCCAGGCTGTTCTGAGGCTCTGAGTGTTCCAAAGGTGTTAGCTCAGGGTGCCTTCTCTCCAGTTTGAAAAATACAGTCTCTCCCAGTATTGTTGCTCATCATGTCTTTAGTTCCTTTTTAAAATCTTCCAAGTTCTTAACTTTTGGGCACTTTTTAAAATCAGAAATTAAATGCCCTTAATTTGGGGGAGTTGATATGGCCCTCAGAGCTACAAGCCCCTTTGGGCTGGCCCCAGTGCTTGTGTGGGGAAGGGGCCAGGCCCCATGTCCACATGCGGCCTGGCTGGCTCGTGCGTGGAGCTCCTGGGCATCACACACTCAGCTTGCATAGCGCTGCCCTCAGAAACTTTTGCGGGTTATGGCTTATGAAGGGTTCCGGAGAGTTCAGACGCAAATCGATAGCATGCATTACAAGAGAGCGTGAGCTAACAAAGGTGCTGGGGGACCATGCATCTTAAAACAGCTTCTTGGGGACTTTAATTGTCGGGATGTTCAGGAGAAGAATATGACCTTACGGGGCATTTTCCAGAATAGAATAGTCTATATATTAAAAGGCAGCAAATGATTCATAACTGGTTAGTGGCGGGGCCTATGGGTCCATGTTTCCCATGTGAATTTTTTTTTCTGCGTTGCAAACTCTTACATTAAATTGTGATAAATGAAGAGTGGGGGCTACTCATACAAATCAATGACTCTAGTGTGTGTGTCATTAGCCTGAGAGATGCAGGCAGCGGTCAGTCCCATAAATCATGTGATGATCTGCTGTCTGCAACACGATGCAAGCAAGCAGGCACATTAGGGAGGTTAAGGAATGAAATTAATCTGTGCATTTTCCTCTCCCCCTGCCTCCTTCCCCATCACCTGGTCATACGGAAAGAATTAAAATCACATGATCCGAACTAAACCAGCTCCAGAACAGTAAATTGGTTAAGTTTGACTTCACCTTTCAACTCTGAGTTAATTATGTATTAGGGGATTAATTTATTCACAGGCACTGGGAAGGGAAATGGAGAATGGGAGAAACCTGCCAGGGCCTCTCATCCAGATGCCAAAGTTATTAATTGCTCTGGCTGTGCCACAGGCTACCTGGACAGACCCTGGGGTGGGGGGCTATGTGATCGGCCATGGATATGGTGGGGTCTGTCCTGCTCTGAGGATCAGCCAGCTTGGGTTACAGAAGAGGCCCCAGTCTGTGCTCCACAGGGATGCTTGTGATGCTTGGTTGCTGGAGTATCTTGGAAGCCTACGCTAGAAGGAGCCTTTCCCCAGGGTGTGTAGCCAGATTACACTTCAGATGGTAACTGATACCTCTTCCAAGGCCATTCGCCTTGCCTGGAATTCCTCCAGTGAGAGGCAGCTCTCCATTTGCGAAACTACCCATTTTACACATGCAACTCTGATTTGCACAACTCAAGGGTCCTACTCCACCCCCTTGGGATCATATGGAATACCAGGACTACGTCTCCCACGCATACATGATGCCCTCTGTTCACCCGAGGACAGGGAGCATGTTCTCCTCAAACATCCTCCAGGGTGCCTCTCCAATGGCAGCCTTTGGAGGCCTCTTGCCTTTGTGGTCTTCCTGGGAGGTCAGTCTTGATCTCTCTTCTGTGGTGTGGTCCCAGCCGAGTGAGAACAGCTGCAGGTGCAGCAGTACCCAGGGGCTCCTGGAGATGAGACCTGGAGCAGATAGGGGAGCTCCTTTCTCAGTGATGCTACCTGGTGGTGATTGGGCATCAGATCCAGCAGGAAACCCCAGGAAACTCCTGCCTATTTAAGGGTCTGACCACACCAGAAACAGCCTCTCAAAAGACTCCAAACGCTAGCATCATCTGCATGGAGCCATGCAAGAGAAATTGTTAGGTATATTTGTCCATTTGTTGTTAAGACAGAAGGATGCTGAATGGATTTGACACAGACCCTTTGCTTATAAAAACTCACAACAACCAACATGAATGGCAGCATTAATGCTCTGTGCGTGAACAGCACTTCACAATGTTCTAAATGCGTTCCCATGTGTTTGGGATATTGTTTAATCTTCCCAGCAGTCCATGAGTTGGGTCCAATGATTCCCATTTGACTCCCTAAGGAAACTGAGGCTCTGAGAGTTTAAAAGACTTGGCTGAGTTCACATGCCTGGGAAGTGGCTCAGCCACCATAAGATTCAGTTGCAGGAAGGATGGGACCATCTAGGGTCTTTCTTCCTATCAAATCTACAGATGGAAAGTTCTCAGAGTCCAAGCACCCATGACCATCTCTAGAGGCTCTATGCAGCTCCCAGATCCGTGTGCTGCTCCAATAGGGTTACAAAAACAAGTTGAGCTAACATCTAAAAATTAAAAGCTTTCATAGAAAGAAGGGATTTTGGCTTCTCTTGAAAACTTGGAATCTGGCCATTGGGCTGACATTTCACTGTGGTGATACTGGGTTCATGATGAGTGGTGGCTCCACTCAAAGGGCTCTGAGCTCTCACAGGCTCAAGAGACATGTTTTGGGCAGTACACACACTGAGACACTGACCCCCCAAATCCTCACTCTGTGCAATGACCTAATGGCCCTCCTCTCACCCTCCCATAACCCAGTCTTACTGCTGCCCCCACCTCCTGGGGAACCCACGCATCTCTGTCCTGCCCATACACTTTCTCTCTCTGTCCAAGCCCTTCTTGGCTTCAAGTCAAGCTCTGGTCATTTCACTGGCTCCTCTGCCAGCCTTCTCCTTCCTAAGCTCCAAAAGGATTTTTCAGCTGGTTGATGCGGGTGAGCACGCCAGAGCCAGATGCACCCTGGAGACATCTAAATCCAACCTTCTTGTCTGTAGTAATGAAATTAAGGTGAGACAGGTTGCCTGACCTTCTATGTCGCCAACCCCATTCCCAGACCCTCTCCTGGCCCCAAGAAGCCACCCTGATCATGTTGCTATCTGAATGTTCACCTTGGTTGCTCTTTTGGGGAAAAAATACCAAAAACACAGAGAAAAGGGAAATATCAAAATCCGCAGCATTCAGAATTAACCAAAAATCAAAATTTGCCATATTTGTTGCAGAAGTTTAAAAAAAAATCAAGAAATTCTGAGTTCCATCCAGGAAGCTGGCTTCATTATACTCTTAAGGTCTCCACACATCTCTTCCTGATCCCCTTCCATTCTCTTCTTCCAGAAGGAAGCATTATTGTGACTTTTCCTCCAAATCCTTCTAATCTATGTTTACACACACACACACACACACACGCACACACGTTTGTAAATTACATATGTTTTTTGGTTACATGCATGTGTTTAGATCTACATAAAACACTTCTGCTTTTTTCCATCACCATTGCATTTTTTAGGTTTTTACGGTTTGGCTCTGTCCACCCACTCCAAATCTTATCTTGAATTGCAGTTCCTGTAATCCCCACATGTCATGGGTGAGACCTGGTGGGAGGTAATTGAATCATGGGGGCGGGTTTTTCCTGTCCTATTCTCATGATAGTAAGTCTCACGAGATCTGATGGTTTTATAAAGGGGAGTTCCCCTGCACACACTGTCTTGCCTGCCACCATGTAAGATGTGCCTTTGCTCCTCCTTCACCTTCCACCATGATTGTGAGGCCTCCCCAGCCACGTGGAACTGTTAGTCCATTAAACCTCTTTCCTTTATAAATTACCCAGCCTCGGGTACGTCTTTATTGGCAGCATGAAAATGAACTAATACAGAGGTCGACTCCCACCCTCACCTGTAAATCCAGCCTGGCCAAATCCCATCCTCTGAGGGATGTAGGATTTTGTTTCCCAGATCCCCTTTATAATTACTTAATTAATATTTTTTAGACAGAGTCTCACTCTGTTGCCCAGGCTGGAGTGCAATGGCATGATCTCGGCTCACTGTAACCTCCGCCTCCCAGATTCAAGCGATTCTTCCACCTCAGCCTCCCGAGGAGCTGGGACTACAGGCATGCACAACCACGCCCAGCTAATTTTTGTATTTTTAGTAGAGGCAGGGTTCACCATATTGGCCAGGCTGGTCTCGAACTCCTGACCTCGTGATCCACCCACCTTGGCCTCCCAAAGTTCTGGGATTACAGGCATGAGCCACCGTGCCCGGCCCCCCTGATCCCTTTTTGATGGGCATGTGCATTGTGGATTTTTTACTATCACCAATGAAGCTGGAACAAAACTCTGCATCTTTTCTGGGGTTTGCTAATGAGGTCTGCCTAGAGTTTTATTTACTCTCTAAATGTGTCATGGGTCCCTCTCCCCAGTGGGACTGAGACCTTCTGGGGGACCCTAGGGACCACATGTGAAGATACCCAGCACAGCCCCCAGTTGGTCCCTCAGTATTTTCCCTGGCATGTGTAGTCGCATCTCTCCCTTAGCTCTCCACTGAGGCTGCACGTGCTGGTCACACAGCCCTCCAGCTGGCTATGTCCCCACATGTAAGCCCCAGGGAGCCCCAGCCTACGGCCTGTGCGTCTCAGGCCCATTAAACCTCTCACTTTGTATTTCCTAATTCCTTTAAGAAATCCCAAACCTGTCTCCTTGGATAGAAATAAAATAAATGTAATATCTATTGCTATCGCTTAAATACAAATTATAGTATTTTTTATTAAATACTCTCTTGTCAAATGCTTGACATTCCTCATAATAGATAAAAAAACAACTAAAACTAGTTATTTTCTGTTACCTTAGAGGCTTGCAACGTAGTTTGTATTGTATTTACTTGTTATGTTCTGCTTGTCGCATTTCATTATAAGCACGTGAATTATTTTCCCTACTAAATTAAAAGGCAATATCCCCGCCCCCAGCTACCCTTGAGCTTGTATAAAAGGTGAAGATCTGGAGCTATGGGCTCTGGGAAGCCACCTGGTGATCAGGGTCACAGATCCTCTGCCAGCTCACAGTCCTCCTCTGGCATAGGCTGGCCCAGCCCCCGTGCCTGGTAATGGGGTCAGGGGAACCACCCCAATAAACTTTGTGGTGGGGAAAGGCTACATGTATCATTGCTCTAGCCTTACACTCTTTTCTTCCCACTGTTTCTTATCGTCATCATAGCATCCCTATAAGGCAGCAGGTTGGGACTACTGTACCCATTTTACAGATGAGGCAACAATCCTGAAAGGAACTTTTGAGTTATGGTCAGGCTTAGGGCTAGAGCCCTGCAGATTCCATCGCTTCCACCAGCACTGTTGCCACACACATGTGCCAACTGGAGGTTACCGTGCACCAGGCGCTTGGGGAATCTTTTCACGTGCAATGCCTTCTTTGATCCTAACATTAGTTCCTTGAGGTAGAAGTACTGTTATCTCTCTTTTATAGTGTTGATGAAACTGCAGCTCATGGAGGACAAAGAAGTGCCTCTGGTTGTATAAGTTTCACATGCAAGAGCAGAGGTTGGAGCCAGGTCTGTCTGACTTTAGAGCCCAGTTCAGAAGCAGTGAGAAGAAACATCTTCAGCTCTTTGGGGTCACCATCTCTTTTAAGAATGGGGTGAAATCTGTGCCCTGACCTCCTTCCCTCAGGGAGTGCCTATTTCTCACATCACTGGCATTTTACCTATCATTTTGTGAGCTGCTGGGACTAGCTGGGGCTCATGTCTGGACCCACACAAGTCCTGTGATCCAGGTCAGAAACTCCCTCATGAGAGCTTGGAATCAGATGCTTTTGTTGTGTACACAGCCTAAATCAATTGCAACCTCACCAAATGCTCTGTCTCCTGCCCTCCTTTCCTGCATAAGCTCTTTCTGGTAGCTTAGATTTTCCAGACTCAGAATTTGAAATGGGTTCCAGTGGAACTTGGGAGAGTGGAGTTTCTTACAGTGCTGGGATTTGACCTATTTTTCTCTGAGCCCATGGGGACTTGGAGAGTAATGAGCCTGTGCACCCCTGTCAGATCCTCCTGCTCTTTCAGTGCTACCCTCCCTCCCGTCATGGCACTTCTTTGAAAGAGGAGTTGATACCTGAGTAGTAATTCATGGTGCAGATGCACCGCGTTTTCCTTACCCACTCGTCCACTGAGGAGCAGTTAGGTTGGGTCCACATCTTTGCCATCGTGAATTGCGCTGCAATCAACATACACCTGCAGGTGTCTTATTTATAAAATGATTGCTTTTCCTTTCGGTAGACGCCCAGTATGGGATGGCTGGATCAAATGGTAACTCTACTTTTAGTTCTTTGAGAAATCTCCATACTGTTTTCCCATAGAAGCTGTACTAGTTTACATTCCCATCAGCAGTGTCTGAGCGATTCCTTTTCACCACATCCACCCACACATCTTTTTTTTTTTTTTTCCTTTTAAAACATGGCCATTCTGACTAGGGTAAAGTGTTATCTCATTATGGTTCTAACTTGCATTTCCCTGATGACTAGCAATGTTGAACATGTTTTCATCTTTGTTGCCATTTGTATATCATCTTTTGAGAAATGTCTACTCATGTCGTTCACTCACTTCATAATGGAATTATTTGTTTTTCTCTTGCTGATTTGTTTGAACTCCTTGTTGATTCTAGATATTGATCCTTTTTTGGGTGTACAGTTCCTTCAGATCACCTGCAAGCCTGGCAGGTTCTCCAGCCAAGAGCCCAGACAGGCTTGGTACCTGGCAGAAAGTCATGAAAGCTCAGTTTTCACATCTGTAAAATGCAGAACCCTTTCCGGGTACTTCCATGTCAATGAGAGAACTCTGACTCCTTTATTTCTAAGGACCACATACCTTACTATTTCTCCTCTCCCTACACATTTAGACAGTGGGCCTCTGGTTTGAACTGTTCTTGCTGCTTAATCTTACAGAGAACGTTCTCAGGATTCCCCCTATCTTGATGTGTCTCTCTGCATCAGCCACTCCATCACCTGAAAGCTTTGTAGTAACACAGCACCTCTCAGCTGAGGCTTGCTTCTCTTACACAAGTGCTTCCCAGCATGCACTGATAACACTCGGCCACACAGGGAGAGAGGAGCTGATAAGTCCACATGCACATCAGAAAATGATGCCTTTTAAATGCAACAGCCACCTTATTCTGGAGGTAAATCACAGCACTGAAAAATATCTACAGGTACCTATGGAGGAGGAAGATAAAAGAAAAAATACCTTTTTTTGGATGGAAAATAAGAAGCCAAGAAGAATAAGGTTTTCATGCATGGACTATGTCAAGGTCCCACGATTGCCACCAAGACCACCATGATGGAAGCATCTTCTTCATTGGCCAATGGACATCAGTGCAAGGATGGTCGTGCATGGAAAAGAGGAGGCAGAAGGGCGGGAGGGACTTGGTCAGCCTTCAGAGTGAGCAGACTCTAAACTGGACTTCTACCTGGCCCATCAGATCATACTGCTCATGCAGTCTGTTTGGGTTTTGTTTCCTCTGGGGACCTCTTTCACTCCCACAAATATCCTACAACCCTTGAGTAGGAATTAAAACCCATCAGAGATCGAAATAGAATTGGTTATGGTAAAAGGGAGCTGAAACAGTGAGAAAGGGAGGAGAAGGGAAGAAAGATTAAGGCAGACAAGGGAACCTGTGGAGAGAGTGAGAGCTAGAGACAGAAGGAGAGAAGAGGCAGGGCCGTGGAAACAGACACACCATCTCTCCAAGTCCTTCTCAAAGACACTGGAAGAGTTCTGGAAACCGAACAGGTATGGAACACGGCAAGTAGTGGAATGGAGAGCTCAGCCCATTTTCTGGATTTTTAGGGCCCCAGATCACACATCCTGGAATTTCTCATGTTGTTCTCTTTATCTTTGTTACCCATCCCCGACCTAGATTTTCAGCCTGCAAAGGCACTCTTGCTTTCATCAAAACCAGAATTCCCACTGTGTTTTTGTCAAGCACCCTTGCCTTCCTCCTGGGATTCTCATCTGCCTTTTGTTTCAATTCTGTATCTGTCTGCCCTGTCTTCTTCTTCTTCTTCTTCTTCTTTTTTTTTTTTTGTCTCACTCTGTCACATAGGCCAGAGTACAGTGGCATGATTTCAGCTCACTGCAACCTCCGCTTCCTGGGTTCAAACAATCCTCGTGCCTCAGCTTCCCAAGTAGCTGGGATTATAGGCATGCGCCACCATGCCCAGCTAATTTTTTTATTTTTGGTAGAGATGGGGTTTCACCATGTTGGTCAGGCTGGTCTCCAACTCCTGGCCTCAAGTGATCCACCTCCCTCGGCCTCCCAAACTGCTGGAATTACAGGTGTGAGCCACTGCACCCGACCAACCCTGTCTTCTTCTTTAGGTCAGAATTATCTTGTTGCCTTCACAGACCACAGCTGGTCAGCTGCTTCTTCCACCACTCTGACGCAACTCAACTCAGTCCATCGTCTCCACCCCATACAAGGAACCCCAGTTGGCCAGCAAGGTCTCCCTGACAGGGGAAGCATTTCTCTAAGCTCAGAGGGGTTGACAAAGTGGAAACTGCCCACTCTGGAGGTGGCTTCTTCTCCCCAAGGCCAGCACAGAATTCTCCTGGGCTGTGGCATTCTCTTGGAGAGCATCTTGATGCAGATGAAGGGTGCTATATAAATCAATGGATCATAAGTCTGTTGGACAGCACTTATATAGGTAAATGCATGTATGTTATTCACTCAGTGAACCTTCCTAAAAAAGATAATATGCTCAATATCTCACCGTGCTGACATATTTCAACTCAATTGATAATGGGTCAGGATTGAGCAAGGCTTACAGAGTGAATTACCTTTTAGCCATCCCTTCCAGTTTAGGGTTGCAGTCACCAACAAAATCAATGTCGAAGGATTCTTGTTGTCTCAGGCAATACCAACAGTGACTCCTAATGAAATAAACCATTGAAACCTTTTAATCAGACCACCTGCCTAAAAGGAGGAAGCCATCCAGCGGAGGCTGGGGCTCTAGGGATCTATTTTCCCCTTACCGGTCAACGCATGAGTGATTCTTTAATTGTAGTAATGATGTGCTTACCCTGGACCCAGACACTTGGGCAGCAAGAGGCAGCAATTCTCTGGGGCAGAGGGTTGGCGTGACCTCAGCTGGGGCTGCACAGGTCCCCGAGCAGGGCTGCATCACCAGGGGCCATGCAAATGCCTCCAGGTTAGGGGCCTGTTTGACTCCCAGACATGTGATAAATCTAAATCTCTATTGAAAGAAAGCCCTGCAATAAATGAGCCCTGCTCTACATCTGAATTCTAGAGTCACTGTTACAAAAATAGGAGCTGGCTGCAAATGTGACCATCAATGGGCTCCTGCCTCTACCCCTTGCTCTTCCCTCCTCCCTGACCTGCAAATTTCTGAAAAATTAGCTAACATCACCTTAAATATATTTAAATATTAGGAAGCCAAAGGGAGTCCAAAAACACCAGAATTGACCTAGAAGCTCTCTGCAAGGCTCTCTTTTGTGTCCACTGATTCACTCTGAGGCACATTTATGGTTTCCTTCTTCTTTATGGATCATTCCTGGATTTTCTTTGGAAATTCTTCTTTCCCTCATGCTCCTGTCTGAGTGTGCTCTTCTCTTAGCTCTGTGGTGGACCTAGGATTCAGGTCTGTATTAGTCTGTTTTGCATTACTATAAAAAATATCTGAGGCTGGGTAGTTTACAAAGAAAAGAGGTTTATTCGGCTCATGGTTCTGCAGGCTGTACAAGCATGGCACCATGAATTTTTTATGGAGAGGCCTCTAGAAGCTTTTACTCATGGCAGAAGGTGGAGGGGGCAGGCATGTCACATGGCAAGAGGGAGCAAGAGACATGCCAGGCTCTTTTAAACAACCAGCTCCCACGTGAACTAATAGAGTGAGGACTCACTCATTACCATGGGGAGGGCACCAAGCCATTGATGAGGGATCCACGCCCATGACCCAAATATCTCCCATCAGGCCCCACCTCCAACACTGGGGATCACATTTCAGCATGAGATGAAGAGGGGACAAAACATTCTAATGATATCAAGGTCTAACTTAGTCAGTAGTTGATTCCCTAATGAATCTCATCCTGTCAACCAGAGTGTCAACTCAGGACTTCTAATGGGGTGACTAACAGAGAAAGGCCTGGTTCTCTCTTTCCAATCAGACATGGACCTGTGGAGTGTGTTTCTGGTTGGTCATTAGCTGGTGAAAAGCCCATCTGAAAATGTGACCCACACCAAGGAAGTTGAGATAAGAGGCTAAGGCAGTGATTCCAAGCCTCAGGATTCCTACCTGAAGTTCTGACCCCCAAGCAAGATCTTCTTGGATTATTTGGTTTGTGAGTCAAGAAGTTCCCTCTTCACTCTGGCCACTTAGGCTTCTTAGGCTTGGTTTTATCTCCCTCCTTGTCCTCTTCCTCCCTCCTCCTCCTTCTCTTTCTCCTTCATCTCTTCTTCTTCTTCTTCCTCCTCCCTCCTCCTTCTTCTCTTTCTCCTTCATCTCTTCTTCCTCCTCCTCCTTCTTCTTCCTCTTCTTCTCTTTCTTTTCCTCCTACTTTTCCTCTCTCTCTCACTCTCTCTCTTTCTCTCTCTCTCTGTTGTCACAGGCAATCAAAGAATCCTAATGGATTTCACCCACCTACAAGGAAAAACCCATGAGCATTGGGAAATAAGGCTTCTTTACATCTGAGGAAGAAGCCCTTCCTGGGAATCCACTGAGGAAGGGCTCCTGTGCTCCTGTGACCACAGCACCAATCCATGAGGCTACTGGTTTGAGTACTAACCAATAAATTTACAAAGAGCCTTTTAAAAAGCCCTAAGAAAGAATTGAGGGCACAGATGGGAAGGGAACTGCCTTTCTTGGTAAACAAATTAAAAGAAGAGCCACTATCTGTCTAGCTGGTCATACTCAGAGGCACATGATCCCTTGAAGTCCCATTTTTCTGATTGATGATGATGGCTACAGAGAGGAGCTCCTGCTATGGATAACTTTGTTGAATCCCCAATGTGTCTAGAATGGCCAAGAATGAGTCTCTCAGCAGCCAGCACCCCTTAACACTTCCCATGAAAGATCTTTCGGGTCCCTAGAAAAGATCCGTTCATACGCTGGATAGCTGGATCAGTGGAGATGACAAATAAGGTGATCAGGCATGCCAGTAAGTTGGAAGAAACCAAAGTCAAACCAACAGAGTATGAGTTCTCCTTTCCCTTGGGTCTATGTGGAAGCTTCCTAGATGTCTGAGCACCCAGACCCCAATAACTTCCTCTCACCCCCAGCCCTCTTTTGGGGCCAGTGCCATGGGACCAGTTAGTGCAATGGAGGTCCAGCATTCTGCAGGATCCTTGAGTAGGAAGCTGGTGGAGCACCCACCGCCCTTTGTCTACCACGGTGATGAATGGTTGTTGACAAGGCTAAACAAAGGTATTATTAGTAGATTACATCTGAGAGGCTGGACTCATGCAGAAACAGGGCAGCAAGAGCCCTGGGCCCTGCTCAGCCCCCAATTAGTCCACAAAAGCCTAAACCACCAGGTCAGGGATAAAAGTGAATAAATGTTTCTAAATTCTTATCTTAAACACACTTAAGCTTAAAGCTATTTAACTGGAGCTTTAAAAGCATGTGAGCTTCCTGGAGCCCAGCTACCTGCCTCATTCTCTTGCTCTTATTTTTGCTTTTATCCTTTTAGTCTGAAGAAGCCTAATTAGAAGCCTGAACAGGGCTCTCTCTCCCTGCCCTTAAATCAGTAATTGGCTTCAGTGCAGAGACTGTCAGGAAATTAACACATCACAACATGACAGCTGTTAATTTTTTCTCCTTATTTGTCATATGAATCACCGCTGATTTGCCGGAGTGCATAACAAATTAGTGGGCTGTAATCAGCGGCCTCTCTTCTGTGAGCTGCACCTTCCCTTTTTTTTTCCCTTTTTCTCCCCTCTCTCTCTTTTTCTCTCTCCCCCTACAGTCCATTACTTCACTGCCTCAGCAGAGATGACTGCTCCTAGGTGTGTCATTGTCAATAAATCAGAATAAGCAAATGCTAAAAGCGCAAGAAGCTCTTTAAACTTTGATGAAGGCTTTTAGTTACATTTTTAAACTTACACTCATAACTTGAATCTTTTTTTTTTTAAATTGTCACTCCCCGGTAGTGATAGACTGTCAGGTTTCCAGTCATTTCCTCATCCAACGTGCCAGGGAAGGTGGAACTCCAAGTGTCATTTGCACAAGTTCTGGCTGACGGAGGAGGTGGAAGAGGTGTTAAGGAAGGCAGGGGAAGGGAGAGATATCAGAGATTCCAACAGGGTCAGACCAAGGCACTTTCCCTTTTGAGTGAGAGATTTAGGGGAGGCCAGGTATGGTGGCTCACGCCAGTAATCCCAGCAATTTGGAGGCCGAGGTGGGTGGATCACTTGAGGTCAGGAATTCGAGACCAGCCTGGCCAACATAGTGAAACCCCATCTCTATAAAAAAAATACAAAAATTAGCCGGGCATGGTGGCATGCACCTGTTGTAGTGCCAGCTACCCAGGGAGGCTGAGGTGGGAGAATCATTTGAACCTGGGGTCAAAGGTTGCAGTGAGTCAAGATTGCACCACTGCACTCCAGTCTGGGCAACAGAGTGAGACCCTGTCTCAAAAAAAAAAAAAAAGAGAGAGAGATTTAGGGGAGAGAGGAAAACAGGAGGAAAAATGGGAGGTGTACACACAGGGTGGGAGGAAGAGACATGGATTCTGGAATCTCATCCTCCTCAACCTTTCCAACTTGATTTATTGTCCACTATATCTGAGTCATTTGAGGAGTGTGGGCCTTTGTTTGAACGCCTTTGTAGGGACAGCCAGGACTACCAAACAGAGTCATGGGTTCTCAGACTTTATTTCTCATTCAACCTTGCAGAAGACATATTGGTGGGCCTTAAACTCAATACTTATCACCTCCTGAAAGGAGGAAGCATAGGAAGGATGGTAGCACTGGAAGGCTTCACCATGTGGGTTTCAGTTCTAGACTCTAAGATTTGCCAAACAAATCTGTGTTCTCTGCATCCATACTGTGGATGCAGAAGGGGAAGGCACTTCTTCCTTCTTCCTTCTCAGCCTGGACCTATTGTACTGACAAGCCCATGTCTTCCTAACCTGGGGCCAGTAGGGAGTTGGTGGTGGCTTCACATTGGGGCACCGCCTCTCAGGGACCTATCAGCATGTTCTGTTGGCTATTACAGACTGATGTTGAACCTAGGGGTGAGAGTATTTCAAGGGTGAATTTCTTCTTTCCTTTCATTTACTACCCATCCATGCATCCATCCATGCATTCATCCATCCACCAATTCATCCATTCATTCATGCACCAATTTATCCATCAACCCATATACCCATTCATCCACCCACCCACCTATCCATCCATCCGTCTACCCATCCACCCATCCATCCACTCATTCATCCATCCATTTACTCATCCATCCATCCATCCATCCATCCATCCATCCATCCATCTCCATCCATTATCAGTGCACTTTGCATGCAGCAGCATGGCATGAGCCCAGTGCATGAACAGGAGGTCAGAGGGAGAGTGTGGGAAATGCTATCTATCTCAAGATAAGCCCCTCTCAAGGTACTCCAGGATGTCCCCATGGTGGACATGGAGGAGGGCGAAAAAGCCTTGCATTCTTAACCATAGCCATAAGCAGGTGGGTTATTCTATGTATCCATATTAGTCTTAAGTCATCCTTTTCCCAAGAGTTACTCTAATGACTTTCTTGCACTAAATTCTAATTTGCTACTTGAGAGTTGAGTTTGGTTCAGTTTATCGAGTACATTAGCAGGACTATTATGCACTAGATACTAGTTTAGGAGCAAAAAATTCAATAAATTAGGGTCTATGCCCTTGAAAATTATATAGGTTTTAGAAAAGCTGTCATAATTTTAAAACTATGTTTTATTCGTTTGTTTTTCAATTCTCAACACCCAGGATGTGGAATGTATGCCCTGCAGGCTGGTCTCTTTCCTGAGAGCTGAGATGTCCTGTCCTAAGGTACACAAAATAGTCTTCTAAACATCAGCCATTTTAATAGACAGAGCCATGAGGTCTTGCTCATGTGAAAGCCACTGAAATCTTTTGGAAATATAATAATTGTCTTTTTTTTGCTTGTGATAATTTATGTATGTTCAATGTATTTAAATACAGTTTAATATGCTGCATCTTATAAAAATCACTGCTGAGAAAGTTTCTGTCTAATGTCATTTTTGTAAGCTCCAAGAAAGGGTTTTTGAGCAAAATACCAATTTTACAATTACTCCGTTGAATCCTAATTTAAGAAAAGAATCATTTATTCATTATGTGAGGTGGAAAGAATTTTCCAGGAGAGACTAAGATTGACAGTAATGAAGTAGGAGCTTCACAGAAGAAGCGGTAGTGGGAGTTTTGAAATTCTGGGACCAGCGCAGGCCCACCATAGGTATGGACACCTGGCTGGTCCTGAGGGCCCCCACAAGAGTGGGGCATATCAGGTTAGATGCCTCTGAAGACAATAAGGATGGATTCAATAAGTGTTTCCAACACTTGGCAGAATCCAGTGGACCAATGAATCCTGCCACCTGCTGGCTGGCCCTTGAGGGGAAGGGCGCTCTTCCTCTACACAGTAGTATCTCTCCAGCACAAGCTGACTTCACTATCCTCCCATTCCTGCTGTCTTTGACCTGTAGTCATCTTCTATTCCTACGTTATACAGAGCTTGCTTTTCTCTGAGCACATCCTTTGTACTCCTCTCCCTTCTTAATGGCTGTATGGAAGCCATGTTTCTTGATTAAAAAACCTCCTTAAACACACCTTATATCTTCAACGTCCATGCTATAGTGACTGCTGTGGTCTTGGTGATACACTTTAGGAAGAAACTTTCCCTGCAGCCCTCGAGGGTGGCATGTCAGGATCAGGAGTTTGTGTCTTCTTTGTATCCCAAGACTTTTGAGAACTATTTCTACTTCTGCCTCTGCACCTTTTAGATTAGCACCATCTGGCTCTGCTACCCTCTACTTCTTATGATCCCCAGCATTTACCACTCTCCTGGGCACTTTTGCCATTCACCAAGAATCATGAGAACTGGGTCAACATCCTCCTCTACCACCAAATATTGTCATTATGAAGGGTGAACTCAGCTTTAACAAGGATGATCTGTAGCCCATCACTGTTGTGTTACAGATGACTGATCCACTTGCCCATCTCAGTGACCTCACCCTACTTTAGCCAGCCAGCCAGGTGCTGGACCATCTCCGCCCCTAGGTGCACCATACCTTCTCCCCAAAACTACAACTCTCTCAAATCTTAAATGCTAGAACCATCTCATTCTCAGGTCCAATGTCTTATCCTAGCTCTCTTAAAGATTTCCTCATTTTTGTACATTTACTTCTATTTTTCTGAGACTTCTGGGTCTTGGATGCTGATATCATTTGTATTCCCACCCAAATTTTGACCTGTCATCCCAAGATGTCAAGGGAGGGACCTGGAGGGAGGTAATTGGATCATGTGGGAGGTTTCTCCCATGCTGTTCTCATGATAGTGAGGGAGCTCTCACAAGATCGGATGGTTTTATAGGGGGCTCTTCCCCCTTCACTTGCTTGCTGTCTCTCTTGTTGCTTTGTGAAGAAGGTGCCTTGCTTCCCCTTCACCTTCTGCCCTGATTGTAAGTTTCCTGAAGCCTCCTCAGCCATATGGAACTGTGAGTCGATTAAGCCTCTTGTATTAGTCTGTTCTCACGCTGCTATAAGGACATACCTGAGACTGGGAAATTTATAAAGGAAAGAGGTTTAATTGACTCACAGTTCTGCAGGGCTTGGGGGGCCTCAGGAAACTTACAATAATGGCAGAAGGGGAAGCAAACATATCCTTCCTCACATGGTGGCAGCAAGGAGAAGTGCAGAGTGAAGAGAGTGAAGATGGTTATAAAACCATCAGATCTCATGAGAACTCACCCACTATCACAAGAACAGCATGGAGGTAACTGCCCCCATGATTCAATTACCTCCCATTGGATCCCTCTCATGACACGTGGGGATTATGGGAACTACAGTTCAAGATGAGATTTGGGTAGAAACACAGCCAAACCCTATCACCTCTTCCCTTTATAAATTACTCAGTCTTAGGTATTTCTTTATAGCAGTGTGAAAACGAACTAATACAGATGCCTTCTGAGCATCTTCTGAGATTCTGAATAGAATCTTCTGAGCATTCTATTTTCCTTCTGAGCAGTGCTTTCTCCCTTTGTTTCTCCATCTCATCTCCATGGTCTTTTGTTTCAACCATTCTCATGCCACTGAGTCTCCTCTATGACACTCCTCCTTTGCTTGTTTATGCCTCACCCAGGCAAATTCTTATTCTTGAAGCAATCTCTTCATTCCCCACCTCTATTTTCACTCTGAGTTGGCAAGGACCACTGGAGAAACATCACGCAAACTTTGCAAAGCTTGCAAACTGGAGGCACCACAAACACAAGTTCTTTAGGTGCTGATGAGTCTTCTGCACTGATGAGCACTCCTGCAAGGTTTCTCTCCAGGGCAGTAAATCCTCTGAGTGGTTATTCCAAAACTCCTTAATGGTTTTCCAGTCCCTTACTGCCACCTCCCTCCCTCACCCTTCTCCTTCTCTCCCCTCTTGGTGGGAAGTCTGTCCCCATGTTGGAAGTAGTTCTCCTATCCCCACCTCCCTCCCTCATCCTCCTCCTTCTCTCCCCTCTCACAGCAGAAAGCCCATACCCTAGTGTTGGAGATAGGGCCTCTCAATTTCCCTCTGCTCCAGTCTTCCCATTCCTGCCCCCTGAGCACCATGGCTGGGTGGATTTATTCCTTCATACACACACACACACACACACACACACACACACACACACACACACTACCCAGGCTGGAGTGCAGTGGCGCGATCTCAGCTCACTGCTAAGTCTACCTCCTGGGTTCAAGCCATTGTCCTGCCTCAGCCTCCCAAGTAGCTGGGATTACAGGAATGCACCACCGCACCCAGTTGATTTTTGTGTTTTTAGTAGAAACGAAGTTTCACCATGTTGCCCAGGCTGGTCTTGAACTCCCATCCTCAGATGATCCACCCGTCTGGGCCTCCCAAAGTGCTGGGATTACAAGTGTGAACCACTATGCCCAGATCTCTTCTAGATTTTATCATCTCCCACTCTTTATCTCTCTTTGCTTATTCCTTCCAACAATTAAGCATACTTAAACATCATCCACATTTATGAAGAAAGATATCTCCTACAGCCCTAAGGACCTTTTTGTCCTCACAACCAGTAAGTTTCTAAAGAGTTATCATCTCTTGCTGGACCCACTTCTCATAGCTCTATTCCCTCTTTAACATACTACTGTTTGACTTTGGAGCCCTCCATCTCTCACCAAGATTGCTTAAATGCTTGCAGACAGATAACACTTTTCAATTTTCAGCTAACGTGTTTTATTTTTCCGCAAGCATGAGGGCATAACTACCTCTTGAAAATTTGACTTACGAGACACCACAGCCTCCCTGGGTTCTTTCTTTGCTGCCTTTCTGGCCATTCCTTTTTGGGCTCCTTCGGAGACTTCTCATGATCTCCTCTCTCTCTCTCTCTTTCTCTCTCTCTCTCTCTCTCTCTCCATACAATATGTCATTTCCTTGGGGTTTTATTGTATTTTTTCTCTTTACCCTACGTACTCTGTAGGCAAGCTTGGCCTCTCCTTTTGGGCTTCAAATATGACTTTAAGCCTAAACTTTCTGGGCATCTACTCTTGGATATCTCATGAGTATCTCCAAAGCGAACCTGCCGTCTCTCTCCCCGTCATCAATGGACTTCGGTTCTTTTCCAGGGATGAATGACAAGAGGTCATCCTGGGTTTCTTCCTCTCCAATACAGTCACTGTCTAATCAATCACCGAATTATATTGATTTCCCCCATCTGTCCATTCTTGCCGTTCCCACTGCCATGACCCTGATCCACCACCACTACTTTCTCTCATTTGATTAATACAACAGCTTCCATCTTGCCAGCCTTCACTATACCCAACATATTCCACACTGCAGCCAGCATCCTTTTTCTCAATGCAATTTTATTTATTTATTTTGAAATAGAGTATTGCTCTGTTGCCCAGGCTGGAGTGCAGTAGTGCAATCATGGCTCACTGCAGGCTTGACCTCCTAGGCTCAAGCAATTCTCCCACCTCAGCCTTCTGAGTAGCTAGGACTACAGGTGTGCCCCACCATACCTGGATAATTTTTTAAATTTTTTGTAAAGACAGGGTCTTGCTATGTTGCCCAGGCTGGTCTTGAACTCCTGGGCTCAAGCGAAATTTGACCTTGTCGCCTGCAGGCTGAGACACTGCTGCAGACTGCCCTCATCCTTGATGTGGTTTACAAGAACCTTTATGATGAGACGTCAGCCTAGGGTGGGTCCTCATTTGCCCACCCACATCACAGGTTCTAATCCAGAAACACTGAATTCATTCAGTTTCCTGAAGTTCTGATTTTTCTCTACTCTCTAGGCCTTTGTCCATGGTATTTTCTCTACCTAGAACACCGCTGTCTACCCATTTACTCCTCAGGTTTAAGCTCCACTGTTGCTTCCTCTGTGTAGCCCTCCCTAATGTCTGTCCCCACCTCCTAATCTCCCAACCCAGAGATTGGGGCCTGGGTTTCTGTTACTAGCAACACAGCCGGATGTGGCAGCTCACATCACGTGGCCTTGATGACATGTCTGTGCCACATCAGGCCCCACTCTGAGAAGACAGTACTCTGTGTTGGGGTAGAAGCTCCGTTGTGTTCATTGCTGGAGCCCTGCCAAGCACCACGCCTTGCCCAAATAGTTTCTCTGGAGGTGTCAGTCGAGTTGGTCAGATGCCTTAGTCATCGGTATCCACAGGGACAGACCTGAAGGTGCCTTTTCATATCCTTGCCTGCAAGTCAGTCTGTGTCTTAGACTCTAAAGTTTGGAATTAAATTTATTATCTACATATCTTTTGGATTTTATCTAATTTTCTAAGACAGCTGGGTCAATGAAAGTATCTTTATATCCCCAAATAAAAACTCACAAGCACTTAGATTCCGCATGAATCTAAGTAGCTGGTGATTTCAATCTCCTAGCAGATGCTTGGCCCTGCAATAGGCCCAGCTGGGCTGTGCCCTAGGGCTACCGCCCCTCGCACATGTTGGAACCCACCCCTGGTATTCTGGAGAAGCCCTCTCAGCTAGAATTATTTTCAGTTCAGCAGTTCCTGAAACCCTAGAGCCTGTAGAGGGAAAAACAGAAATGATTTCCAGTCCAGGGCAAAGTGAGGCTGCATGGAAAAAGAGAGAAAGTCAGTTGTTGGACGGCATCAAAAGTCAGCCTGTTCTATTAGGCAAAAATAAACAGAGGCAGGCAGAAACCAAACAAGACAAAAATGTTCATTAGCTGCGCCAACCCAGGCCACCCACTTCGTTGAACTGACCACATCACTTCGAGATTCCCTACACACGGCCCCACCCTTCCCTGCTCTCCCCAGGGGTAGACAAGGCATCAGAGTGGAAAGGAAGAGACCAGCTTAAACCAGAATAACCTCCATCCCCCACTTCCAAAGCTGCCCAGAGATGGGCTTTGGCAGCAGATCCACCAAGACGTCAGTCGTGGGGGAGTTCCCTGCCTGGCTGCCTCGGTTTCTCCTTGATAGCACAGACTCATTGTTATCCGTTTACGGAAATGAGCCTAAAACAGGGGTCAGAACAGATCAGTATCTGTGGGGAAGGGCAGCATTCTTTGGAGAGGCGTATTCAGGATTCATTATCTCTTTATAATTAAAAACAAACTATGTTTTCCCATTAAACTTTACAGAAAGTTAAGTCCAATTAAAGCATCTGGCCTCCTTAGGGAGTGCGGAGATAGCGTCCTCATTAGCTCCTGCAGCGACTCTTGGGGTTGGGGGAGGAAGGGCATGGAGATTTTACTTTATTTGTTTGTTCACTGAGTTTTTTCCTCACTCCACCGTCATGTGAAGGTGGGGATCTGCACATTTTGCTCACCACTGTATTCTCGACTCCTAGAACAGAGCCTGGCACGTGTCGGACAACTGTGGAGGGAACTGATGAGTGAAAGAGAGAATGGAGAAAGGAATGAATCAGCATAAGCCCCACAGGGACAAAGACTGTAACTGGAGCACCCTTTCATCCCCACTGCTGGACACAGGGTGGGGAACACTAAATGTGCGCTACGCATTGTTTATCGAAACAGGCTCTACATCAAAATAAAAAACAAAACGAAAAAACAGGAAGCTTTTCTGGATCAAGGCTAGCGTTTTACAGTTGAGATATGGAAGCCCAAGGAAGAAGGGAAATTTGAGATTTGCTTGTAGCCTCTGAGCTGGTCAGCTGGGAGGCTCTGGCCAAGGTGGGGTTGTTGAGCCCCAGGTAAAAGCCCCACCCAGCCCCTCTTCTTGCTGTCTGCAACAGGGCAGCCACACTCTGTGCTCACCAGGGAGTCTTATCTGGAGTTCAAGTCCCAAGACCTGACCTTCGGGGCCTCCCAATAAAAGGGCAGAGATCTTTCCTCATGAATACGCCGGGCCCTTGCGGCTCCCTCAACTCTCAGCAGCCGCCACAGATCCATTCTCCTCTCTGGCCCCAAGAGCACACCTGCTTGCAGGTTTCTGGATAGGGCTAAAATGAAACCGGGACAGGTGTCAGGTGAAGGGCCGAGGTCTAGGCCTAAGGGGTGCTGCTTTGCCCAGAAAGGCCCAGATGAGCCAGCCTTGATTTGCAGCACTTAGAAGAGCCCCTGTGGCTTTTGGCAACTCAGGACAATAGGTGAACTCCCAGGAAAGTCACTCTCCTTCCAGGCCCAGCCCAAATGCTACCTCCTCCAGAAGGCTTTGCTGCCCCCAGCACTGGTGCGATGTACCCCTGCTTGGTGGGAGTCCTCTCCTCTGGGTCTCCAGTCACTTCTCAGTGGCCTCCCTCTCAGCTTGTTCATCTGTCGTTGCATAGGACCGTGTGCGTCAACACCAGGACAATGTTTCTGGTCTTCTTTGAACCTTCTGTGTCCAGCACAGTGCCTGACTCCCAGCAGGTACTCAGGAAATACTTCTGACAGGTAGAAAAGGCCTCTCTGCATCTTTAGAACCAGAGAAGCCAAAAGAAACTGAAAAGATGCTCTATAAGAGGCTCAGGGGTTACAGAAGGAAAGGCTGTGAAGGAAAAGGATGCAGCCCTGGCCAACAAGCTGAGATCTCTGGCCGTCCTGTCGCCTTTCTGGGCCTCAGGGCCACGAGGCTGCTGGATGCAGTGGGACTGACCCCTGGTGTCCACCCTGGGACAGTCAGATCACATGATCCGTATTAGATAAAAAAAGCAAATATACACCTTTGTTTAAGATGCCACATGCCTGATCAAAGTAAAGGCTGTTTACTCAACCACTTGTTAAACTCAGGAATAGCAGACTTGCTCATCTGAACCCAAGCTTGCAGACAGGACGGGAGAGCAGAACTCATGCCCGAGGGCTTTCCCCGGAGCAAAGTCAGGGCTGGAATGCTTGCCAGGACAGCTTGGAAGGTGGAAGGAGGCGGCAGCACCTGTCCTCAGTGTGTGTGTGTGGTTTTTCTCACTTCTCTTCCCTTACCCAGTCTCTCCTCTCTTTGGAGGTTATTTGTGGGGCACATAGGCTGAGTTTCCTGGGAAGTAGACTCTTGGGAAGGAGATTAGTGTGCAGGAGTTTGCTAATGAGTACTCCTGAGATCCCATCTATGGCAAGGAAGGAAACAGGCCTGAGCAGAGGATAAAGTCAGGCTGCCATGAAATCTTGGCCGAACGCTGCAGCCAGTCCTGCAGAGAGTCCTGAAGATGGGATGAGCCTTCAGAGCTGCCCAGCTCAAGGGAGAGAGTGCCGAGTGTGCCTCTACATACCCTGTCCCCATCAATCAACACTGGGCATCATTGCCTGGGACAGAGGTAGAGCTTGGGCAAGGCAGTGGTCTTCAGCCAAGGCAATCCTGAAAGGGGCTGGCTGCTGCGGGCTGTCTGTCAGGGGCTCTCCCAACAGAGAGGAGAATGAGTTCTGAAACGAGGTCTATGCAGCCCCTCCCAGCGGCCACCACATGGGGGTTGACAGTGAAGGTGATCGGAGTGGCATCAGCCGTGGTAGCCAGAGAGCTGTTCAGCTTGATGGGGAAAGGGAGTAAGGAACGAAGAATGCAACCCATGTGAATTCTTCTAATCATGCCTTCTCTAACCCCCAGCACATTAATCTTGCCTGGCTTAGAAGGGAGTCAAGTGTCAAATTTAAGGCTATTCTACTTTTTTTTCTTCTAATTCTATTTCCATAGGTTATTGGGGAACAGGTGGTATTTGGTTACCTGAGTAAGTTCTTTAATAGTGATGTGTGCACCCATCACCCAAGCAGTATACACTGCACTCAATTTGTAGTCTTTTATCCTTTACCCCCATCCCACCCTTTCTCCCCGAGTCCCCAAAGTCCACTGTGTCATTTTTATGCCTTTGCATCCTTATATCTTAGCTTCCACTTATGAGTGAGAACATACGATGTTGGTTTTCCATTCCTGAGTTACTTTACTTAGAATACTAGTCTCCAATCTCATCCAGGTTCCTGCAAAAGCCATTAGTTCATTCCTTTTATGGCTGAATAGTATTCCATTGTACATATATACCACAGTTTAGTTTCTTTATCCACAAGTTCATTGTTGGGCATTTGTGTTGGTTCTACATTTTGCAATTGAGAATTGTGCTGGTATAAACAAACGTGTGTGCAAGTATCTTTTTCATATAATGACTTCTTTTCCTCTGGGATTGCTGGATGAAATGGCAGTTCTACTTTTAGTTCTTTAAGAATCTCCACACTATTTTCCACAGTGGCTGTACTAGTTTACATTCCCACCAGCAGTGTAGAAGTGTTCCCTGTTCACCACATCCACACCAACTCTATTATTTCTTGGTTTTTTGGTTATGGCCATTCTTGCAGGAGTAAGGTGATATCACATTGTGGTTTTGATTTACATTTCCTTGATCATTAGTGAGTTCAGTGAGGTTAGCATTTTTTTCTTTTTTATTTGGCCAGTATATATTCTACTTGAACGACCCGCATTCTATAAACTCAGACATCCAACCCGGAAGCCCTTCTTCATTGATCAGAAGGGGAGGAGAGGCCTGGAGGGGGGAAAGGAATGGCTCCCGGCCATGCAGCATATGGAGCCAGGAGTAGAGCCACTGATGCTGTCTCCCAGTCTAGGGTTGAGCCAAGAGCACCTTTTTGGCCTATGCCTTGCAGGTGACCATCTTTCTCTCCCATCAACACTGCACCGTAGACCCAACCTTGTGAAATTTTTGCACTTTCACAAAACCCAGTTCAAATCAATGAGGCTTTCTGAGTTCTTATTAACTGCTCAGTAGTGTCCTCAGGCTACAAGGAGGCAAGAAAGAGAGGAGTCAAGGTGCTGCCTTTGGTCCAGGAAACAATAACCATGGCCAGAAAGCAACCAGGAGTGGTGGCTCACGCCTGTAATCCCAGCACTTTGGGAAGCCTAGGAGGGTGGATCACTTGAGGTCAGGAGTTCGAGACCAGCCTGGCTAACATGATGAAACCCCATCTCTACTAAAAATACAAGAAATTAGTCAGGTGGGGTGGTGCGTGCCTGTAATCCCCACTACTCGGGAGGCTGAGGCAGGAGGATTGCTTGAACCCAGGAGGTAGAGGTTGCAATGAGCTGAGATCGCACCACTGCACTCCAGCCTGGGCAACAGAGTGAGAGTTGGTCCAAAGCAAAACAAAACAAAACAAACAAAAGGCATGGCCAGAGAGTAAAGGGAGAGCACAGCCAGGCAGGCCGGAAGCAAACACCCTGCGAGCATATTCCGACCCAAGGGGCAGGTGTGCACTGCTCAGGGTGGGCCAGGAGAGAGGCTGTGGAGGAGCCTTGGGAATGACTTTCTGTCCTGGCAGTAGTGTAAGGATGTCAAGAAAGATGTATGGGAGGACAAAGGCATTGCCTAGGGTGGGTGGTCCAGGCAGGGCACCCCTGCACCTCTTAGCAGAACTTGAGGTGAGCCAGGAAGTCACATTGCAGAAGGACAGAATTGTGTCTGATGGTCACTGTGGCAGGCCCCTGTCCTACCTGGGAAAAGGCCACTCTCTTTGGAGTTCAGTCAATGAGTGGTCACACTGGAGAACAGCAATCCTTGATGCTCTGGTGGCATCCAGAGTTCTGCAGAGGACCTGCCATGGTCGGGGGTTGTGATTCATAAGGAGGCCACTCGCTGCAGGCAGGCCAAGGCTGCAGAAGGAGACATCAGGGAAACAGAGGGAAGACACAGAAGCGGGGACATGGTAATATCCACATGGTAAATATCACAGCAGATATAGCCCTGCAGGAATTAAAGCCACCAGAGATTAGAGTCAACGGCAGCAAAGGAGAATTTTGGCGGCCTCGCTGGGACATTGGGCCATCCCAGGCTTTTCCATGAAGGTGGGGACATCTGGTGTTTTTATGGTGAGGGCCACCCAAGCCAGGCAAGTGTCTTTCCCAGGCTGCTGCAGAGTGGGGCAGCATTGGGTGCTCATAGGCATGGGGTTGGCCAGCAGCAGCCCAGGGGTCATTGTACTTTGCAACATTGCACTTGCACTCCCAAAAAGCTGCATTCCTGGAGCTCCTTCCCAGTTGTTTTGGAAAAGGTCAGAGCAACAACTGCATTTCTAGTACCACATCAGCAATCAAACTCCATGCCTGGATTGGCCTTGTTGAGGGGATGATGTTTCTAAGTGGTTGAATGGTGGAATACGAGCCCATGAATGCAGGGGTGACAGGGACTATTGCTGGGTCCCTAGGCTCTCATTCTACCAACATGTGCCCTATGTAATAGTCATTAGTGCCAGCAACAAGTATTCCTGAAGAAAGGCAAGCATTAATAGCTAGCTTTGTCAATGAAATGGGACAGATGTTACCTGTGTTTCTCCCAGGGTGGACACCTTTGGAAGAGTGCCTGATTTGCAATCTGCCCTGCTTCATGTTATGGGGACCAACAACATTCCAGGAGGCAGATTGTCTGTCAATCTGAGATTTCTGATGAAACCGCAAAGAACAGATTTCCAACACCATCCAACCCTGCCAAGATGGAGAAATTGTTCTAAGCTCATGAATTCGTAAAGTTGTTTGTTACTGCAGCACAACTTCTCCTATCCTGACTAATACAGCACATCTCTGCTTAAACTCTTCAATGGTTTTCCTGGAAACTATGGTATAATCCCAAATCCCCATCACAGCCTATAAGGCTTTATTTTTCTGCCTCTCTTCCAACTTCATCTTCCACTGGTCCTGCCTTTCTCACTCGGTTTCAGCCACAGTGAACTTTCTGTTTCTCAAATACGCCATGCTTATTCTGGTCCCAGAGTCCTGGCACTTGCTGTTATCTCTGCCTGGGATAATCTTCCTGACCCTCAGCTCTGACTGGATTCAGATCCTCTTAGATTCCACCGCCTTGAGCAGGCATTTATTTCCCTTACCACTCTGTCTAAAGTAGCCCAGTCACTGTCTATCATAGTAACCTCTTTTAAATTTTCTTTTGAGCATTCATTACGCTCTGCAGTTACTTAGGATTGTAAGTAAAATGCTTCTCTTTTCCCCTGGAATGTGAGACAGGAATCTTGTCTCTTGACAGCACCTAGAATAAGGCCTGGTATGCAATGAGAGTTCAGTGAACATTTCATGAGTGAATGAATGGATGTGTTATCCGTGGAATTCATTGACTCATGGACAACACACAAAGGAGAGACTAGATGAATGGTTCCATTTTTACAAACAGACAACTCAATGCGTCCCAGAAATCCAGCACTGCTGGCCCTACCTAGTTCCTGGCAGGGAACTCAGCTCTGATTTGGAGCACTGACCATTTCCTCCCAGATTCGGGCACAAGATTCACTGTGATAAATGGCCTGAGCTCCTCGTTGCATTTAATGGAAAACCCTGATCCAAGTGGAACTGCAGCCAGGTGGCCCGTGGGAGCCCTGGGATATGACTTCCAGGGAGACCACAAAACCTGGATAGGCGGACGCCGTTCCAGATACATTAACTCATAATCCCCAGGAAGCGCGCACTTCCGATGAAGGAAGAGGAGGCTTCCCCTCTCACAAACACTAATAGCCATGGTTAATCCTCATCCCAGGAAAAGGTTCTTGCCCAAGTGTCTGGAGAAGCTTCATCAACGTCAGCACAGGGACCCGATGCAGGGACAGATAATGGTTCCAGAAGGCGTCTGCTCAGCGGCCTTCTTGGATTATGGATTGTGTGGGGCCGTTGCTGGGGTGGTCCCTGAGCAGCAGGGAGACTGGTGCAGCCCCAAGCAGCTGCCCGGCTGAGCTCACCTGCTTGTTCTTGGTGTCCAGAGGCGGCTGTGGCTGTTCCTGGAATTTCGGATGTGTGCTTTTATGCTCAGTAGGGATGCGGGAGCCTGTGTCTGGGCTCCTAAAGTGAAAAGGGCAGGGCTCCAGTGATTTTGAATCAAGTTGGAAGTCCGAGATGCCCATAGAGCCAACCAGGCTGCCTCAGCCCTCCAAATGCACCTTGCCTGAGCTCCTCCTGCTGCCCTGCGACCCCGACACTCACCCCTTCCCCTTTGTCTCCTGTTCTTTTTCTTCTAGACTTGGCTGAGAACATCCTCCAGGTCTTAAAACCCAGCCTCCTGATTTTTGTTTCTCTCCCCTAGGCTGCGTGGTGCTGGGGGGATCCTGTGTCCTCCCAAATTTCCCATCTTCCCTCTCATGACTACTGCCAAACTCCACCCTCGGTCTTTTCCCCACCAGTTTCTTCTTGCGAGCCAGAACAGAGGCTCTCAAACAGCAATTCACACACCTGTGTCATTTGTGTTAAACGAAATAAAAAGAAAGGCCAAGAAGTAAGTATTTTTAAAAAAATATTTTTTGAAACAGGTTTTTTTTTCTTTCTTTCTTTTTTGAGACAGGATTTTGCTCTGTCATCCAGGGTGGGATACAGTGGTGCAATCATAGTTCACTGAAACCTCAATCTCCTGGGCTCAAGCAACCCGCCCACCTCAGCCTCCCGAGTAGCTGAGACTATAGGCACATGCCACCGCACCCAGCTAATTTTTTTTCTTTTTTTTTTTTTTTTGTTTTGTAGATACGGGGTTTTGCCATGTTGCCCAGGCCAGTCTTGAATGCCTGTCCTCAAGCAATCTGCCCACCTCAGTCTCCCGAAGTGCTGGGATTATAGGCGTGAGCCACCATGCCCAGCCTTCCAAGGAGTAAGTTTTTCATAAAAAGCTAAATGTATTTTCTTTAAAGGATTATCTGTTATTTGGGGAGGATTTTCATTTTGAGACAACATAGAGATGGCAGCTATTTATGCTCACATTTTTATCATGTGGACTGCACCTGGTATCCCGAAGCCTGAGCACATCCAGGACATGGGACATTTCTACCTGCCCGTCCTGTTGCTACCTGGAGTGTGTTAGGCTGAGACCTCATCATCCACCTTTCTGGGTCCTGTGTCTCACAGGGAGGTCTCTGGGCTCGTCTGTCCTCTAACCTCTTGACCCAGGGATCTCCTGCAGGAACCATCATGAGCTCACCCCTCATTCAGTGGATCACATTCATTCGTTCTTTTTCCTCTACTTCTTTGGGCTCCTCCTCCATCTCTCCATGCCACTGCCACTCCTGAAATTCAGAGACCTGTCATCTCCTGCTCACATTGCAGCATAGCCTCCAACTATTCCCGAGCCAGTGCGTTTTCAGCTCACCCTCATCCGCCAAGCAAAGGCCAGTGTGCCCATCTAGTTTAAACACGGCTTTAGTCTAGAAGTCACACACTGGAGGCCTTGGGGCTGTGCCCAATAAGAAGACATAGTAGCTACCCAGGGATGGTTTCTTCTTCTTCTCTTTTTCTTTTTGGTCAACATGTGTATATCTAAATATCAGAAGGCCCTGGCAAGGCTGGGTTTGCATTCTCGCATGTCAGTAATTACCTGGGGCTAAGCTTCCCCTTTGAGGCAGCTGGCCCTCTCCAGTTTGCCCAGATCCCGCCACTGCATGTTGTCTCTCACATGGTCCACTCCATTCATGAAGGTCACCTACCCATCATCTGAAGGCCCTGGTGGCTGCAACCCCTACGTGGTTTCCATCACCCTTCTTTCCAAGAAAAGTAAGCCCATAGATTCTGCGCAGAACTGAAAGAAAACTATTAAGTTAGGAGGCTGCCGTTAAGTTCCTTCCATGGTTTGGTGAGCCAGCAATAGCTCTCTACCTTGACTTCCCTTTCTGTGAAATGGGGATGCAATCAATCTTCACGTCTGGAGTACAAAGAGATGCCATGAAGAAGCACATTTACTTTGAATGCTCTGATCTCGTTGGAGAGCAGGTAACATAAAAATCCAAGGTGTTATTATTAGATAGTAAGAAATTTTGTTCCATGCTAATTAAACTCACACCTTACCACTTCCACACGGGGAAGAGGCAGCATGACAGCCTGACATGTTAGGAGCGGGAAGAGTTCTGCATGCGAGCACAAGACAGGCTGCCTCCTCCTCGCCGCGCCTGGCCGTGATGTGTGTGTAAATCTGCCTTCCAGCTCCTTCCTCTCATCCAACCGGGACTCCGACATTTGCAGAGAGGCTGATGGAGCTCTCAGCTCTGCACAGAGCATTGACTGTTCTCCGCGCGTGTTAAGAAGTTGTCAGGCTGGGGTCAGGCAGGTGAAGATTTAGTGAAGCAGCCAACAAAGTTTCCCCGCCATTGGGTTGCCACCACTTATGGAAACGCCTGCAGAACGCAAGCGAGAAAACAGATATTTCTCCTGCGATGACTTTAGCACTCCTTTGGGGATGGGGACATTAAGTCTTCCTCCACCGCCAGGAGGCTGCTGACAGGGCTGCCTCCCGAAGACTTGGTAGGGGGCGCCTTGAAGGAGAGTGGGCGCCAGCTCTATCGATCCGATTGCCCTATTGCAAGGGACAATTGCAGGAGAAAACAGCGGGTTTTTTTTCTCCTCCTTATTCCAGGGCCAAAGAAAAGACTATCCATGGAAGGTAATGTAGCTGTCACCAAGGAGAGAGAAGCGGAAATTCACGGTTCTCTTGTGAGGCAAAGACATCTGTGTTATTGCACCCTAAGCCAATAGTTTTTAAAACAAAGTCATAAAACAAGCTACTGTATATAAAAGAGGTGGAAGCTATGCAGGGCTCTCCCCTACTCTGTGCAGGGATTTGAAAAGAAGCAAACCTTAAAAGAAAAAAAGCAGAATGAGGATGACTGACTACAGAAAGCCTGAGGGATGTGGGTGGAGCTAAGAGGTGGTGGGGTGGCTTCCCTCCAACAGGAAGGATGCCTGCTTGCACTCAGGAGGGAGGGTTTGGGGGCACATGAAGAGTGAGGAGCTGGACAGAGGTGACACCCAGGCCTCCTTCAGCTCCAGCCCAGGAGAGGGTCAGGGCATATGCAGTCCCAGAGCTCTGTCACTGTCATGCACACACTCACCTGTGCTGAGCACCCATGGGCATACTCAGCTTCCACAAACATCTACCCATCTGATTTCCAAAACCACCTGGGAGACAGGCCAGATGGAATTACCGTCCTCATTTTTTTTTTTTTTCAGATGAAAGAACAGCAACTTGGAGAGATCCTCCTAGTTGGCCAAAGCCATGGTACAGGTCTTCTGACCTAAAATCCAGTGCCCTATTTTTTTTTTTTAATAAAACCTTCTTTCTTCTTCTCTGTCAAGGTAGGTCCATCAGCCTGAGTCTAAAACCCACTTAACTCCAGTGGATGGTGACATGCACTAGGCTGTTCTTGCCAATCCTATAGAAAGCCATGTGTTTGGCCCTCATGGCCATTGTAGATCACCGGGACCTGCTAGAATCCTACTACAGCCTGTTGGCAGACTGTTTCTTGGATGGCTGGACTGGAAAGACTTCACCAAATGGGCCAATTATCTAAATGGTGAGTTGCTGTTCTATTTATTTCTAAGGGATACAGTTTGGGCCCTAGAATTACAGAATTCAGAATGGGAGGGGGCCTTCATTCAACTTCCCATCAGCATAAGAATCTTCTCCCAAAGTTCTTGACTGGTGATGCTCTGGTCTTCCTGCACTACAGGGGGCATGGAGCCTGTCCTATGCACAGACCTGGTGAAGGGCACCAGCCACCCTTTTGTACCAGATATTCCCACCGTGTGTCCTGGCCACGCCCTTCATTGCACTGGGATGATGCCCACATGTACCAATCCCTATACTGGCCAGTGACCTCTGACCCTGCAGCAAAAGATAAGCTGAACCACTGTCCTTCCAGGAATGGGAGCTAAGATCAGTGTCAGAGGGCAGGGGACTTCCAGGTTGTGGGTCAGTTTCAGGTAGACAGAGCCACACTGGCAAGCCAACAACCAATGAGAGCTGGGGTTTTGAGGAATGGAAACTGTGAGAAGGAAACAAGGCTAGTGGGATGCAGGGAAGGATGCAGTAGACCCATGCCATGTGGCTGGCCTATGCTAGCATTGATCATCCAGGTCACCACCGGGGTCTGACCCTAGCTCAAGTCAGTATGAACAGGGGCAGACCTGCGGTATACGGCTGCACAAGCTGTGCACTGCACAAATTATGACCTCTTCTGGTTGGCAACATTATGGGAGCCTTTGCCTGGCTTCCAGAACCCAGGCTAGAGGTCACACACTGGAGGGTTGGGTTTGAGCTCAGCTCTGCCTCTGACTGGGTGGCTTCAATGGAACCCTGCCTCTCTCAGGGCTCAGTGCTGGCTGCCTGTGAAATAGAATAGCAATGCCAGTCCCACCTGCCTCAATGTGCTCAGGAGATGAGAAGATTGTGATGAGAAGGGGCTTTTAACATAAAAGCCCCATGCAAATATAAAAGTTATCGTTCTTTAAAAAATGTTCTGTGATGTGAAGAGTGGACGTGGATTCATCAGTGGAAACAGGAAATGGGTGGATGAGTCAGCTGGGCCCGGGTGGACATAGTTCATAAGGGAAACACTTGCTCTCCGGCATTGGGAAAAAGAGTGTGGATGGCTCTCAGCAGCCAGTGCCCTCCTCCTCCAAGTGCAGCAAGTGTGGCCACAGCTCATAGGTGCCCCTTCTCGGGATAACCACCTCTGCCATGGAAGCTGCCATGCCTGGGAAGCTGTGTTCCTGTCACCCCCTCCTAGGGCAGCCACAGCCACTTACCGGCTGAGATGAAAGGCCAGGCCCTTCCCGCCAGTTGCAGGCTGTGCTCCAGAACCCTCTCCCAGTGGAGCCAAAGTGAGGCTTTCCCTGAGACCGTGTCCTGATGGGGTGTTTCTCAAGCCCTATCCTGCACCCTCTATCTCTTTTTTTATTTTTATTTTTTAGAGGCAAGGTCTCGTTCTGTTGCCCAGGCTGGAATGCAGTAGCAGGATCATAGCTCACTGCAGCCTTGAACTCCTGGGCTCAAGTGATCCTCCTGCTTCAGTTTCCCAAAGTGCTGGGACTACAGGTGCATACCACCTGTAGTGCCTGACTCTCCCTCCATCTCTTAATAGGCCTTGCACAAAGATACTCCTTCAGAGCTCATCTCATAAAAATCCCTGGGGCAGGCCCTACTTCACCAGAGCCCAACGTACAGCGGCAGCTGGCAGAGAAGTGAGTGCGGGAGCACTTGATTGAATCTTCATGTAGCCAGGCCCTCCACATGCCTGAGCCACTGTACTGGGGCATAGGGTAGGGGAGCCTGGAAGCAAACTCTGCATCCTAGATTCACATGCAGACATGTCCTTAAGAGGGGTCCCTGAATCCAAATGTCCATCAATGATAGACTGGATAAAGAAAATGTGGCACATATACACCATGGAATACTATGCAGCCTTAAAAAAGAATGAGTTCATGTCCTTTGCAGGGACATGGATGAAGCTGGAAACCATCATCCTCAGCAAACTAATACAGGAACAGAAAACTAAACACCGCATGTTCTCACTCATAAGTGGGAGCTGAACAATGAGAACACATGGACACAGGCATGGGGGGCCTGACAGGGGGAAAGAGGAGGGAGAGCATTAGCACAAATACCTAATGCATGCGGAGCTTAAAACCTAGATGACAGGTTGACAGGTGCAGCAAACCGTGGCACATGTATACCTATGTAACAAACCTGCACTTTCAGCACATGTATCCCAAAACTTAAAGTAAAATTAAAAAAAGAAAAAAGAGGGAAGGAGGAAAGTACTGAGCAGAGGGAGAAGGTGAACCGGGATGCAGGCACACGTGAGGCCTTGGCCAGTCCCACAGGCAGCTCTGAACTGAATGTCTATGTCCTCTGCAAATTATATGTTGAAATCCTAACCCCCAATGTGACGGTATCAGGAGCTGGGGCCTTTGGGAGGGAGTAGGTCATGAGGGTGGAGTCCTCGTGAGTGGGATTAGCGCCCTTATAAGAGGCCCCATGGCCAGGCACGATGGCTCATGCCTGTACTCCCAGTACTTTGGGAGGCTGAGGAAGGAAGATGACTTGAGCTGAAGAGTCTGAGACCAGCCCAGGCAACATAGCAAGGCCTTGTCTCCACTAAAAATAAAAATATCAGCTGGACATGGTGGTGAATGCCTGTAGTCCCAACTACTCAGGAGGCTGAGTTGGGAGAATCTCCTGAGCAGGGGAGATGGAGGCTGCAGTGAGCTATGATGGTGCCACTGCACTCCAACCTGGGTGACAGAGCAAGATCCTGTCTCAAAAGAATAAATAAAATACAATAAGATACATAAATAAAAGAGGCGTGGGAGAGCTCCCTCATCCCTTCTGCCATGAGAGGATTCGGAGAAGATGGTGGTCTACAGACCAGGAAAACTGTTCTCACTAGACACGGAATCTGTAAGAACCTTGGTGTTGGACTTCCCAGACTTCAGAACTGTGAGAAATAAATTTCTGTTGTTTATCATCCACTCAGTTTAAACTATTTTTTTAACAGCAGCTAAAATGAACTAAGACCTTTGGAAGGGCCCCATCTTTGCATCCTGTCTCAACCAGTAATTGGGTGTAGGCTGCCCCCAGGGCATGGTATGACCTTGGGGAGCCAGCTTTCTCTAGCAGAGGTCAATTCTTAGAAGGAATTCGGCTGAAAGCTGTCAGGGACCAGCCTTCTCGGGAGCCAGAGAATGCATCTCTTGTTCCTAAAGGGGTCATCTGCATGGTGTAGCTACTATGTCCTTCCATCATGGGGCAAGCAGAGCTTTCCCTCAGAGTCAACTTATCTCAAGCATAAAGGATTCGGTTTTTCCAACGGAATTTCCAAATCATTGCTGGGTACCTAGTGCTGTACAAGTGAATCCCTCAGGTACGTTGCATCTGCCTGTGAAGAGACCGCTATGTGGGAGGAGAGGCAGGCAAGGCACGGCTTATACCTTGGCCACAGTGACTGCATGTCCGCCCAGGCCATTCCTCCCCACTCCGTCCCCAAGCTCCGTGGACCTACCTGCCTTTATAGGTTGTGAACCCAGAAAATCTGAGATAGGTCTCGGTTAATTTAGAAAGCTTATTTGGCCAAGGTTGAGGACGTGCCCGTGACAGAGCCTCAGGAAGTCCTGATGAAATGTTGCCCAAGGTGGTCAGGGCACAGCTTGGTTTTATACATTTTAGGGAGACATGTGGTTCGGTCTGGAAAGGTGGGACAACTTGAAGCAAAGGCAGGAAGACTGGAAGTGGGGAGCGAGCTTCCAGGTCACAGGTGAGACACAAACCCTTACATTCTTTTGAGTTTCTGATTAGACTCTCCAAAGGAAGCAAATCAGATATGCATCTATCCCACAGAGCAGAGGGGTGACTTTGAATAGAATGAGAGGCAGGTTTGCCCCAAGCAGTTTCCAGCTTGAGTTTTCCTTAGCGATTTTGGGGGCCCAGGATATTTTCCTTTTTCAAGGTGCTGAAGGGATCCCAAGAAGCGAGGGACTGATTTTTTTTTTTTCTCAGCCCCATTGCAATGGAATTTTTTCATTGTTTTCCTCATGTTCTACCTGCAGGAGTGTACCCTGCACCGCTTCATGCAGGACATTCTGAAGAGTGTGAGAAGCAAAAAAAGAATCTTTGCAATGTATATTAGTAACATTTAATTAGCCTTGGATTACTTATTAAGTGACAATTATCCCTATTATGCCTGTCACAGATGAGCGACTACATACTGTCTATGGTTTATGGGCCTAAAGTTCTCCACGGAGTGTCACAAATTCCCATTATGTCCCCAGCGCTGGGCTTTGCATTTGGAATGTGAGCAGAGGTGAATCGTCCCCTTTGCACAGCCAGATGTATCCCTGTTGACTTGGCAATGAGGCAGGGTCGGGCCAGCCTTCCTTCTGGTAAATGCAGAAAACTCATTAGCAGACACACTGTTGATGGGGTGCCCTGGCTGGCGGAAGGGGATTGAGCCATTGAAACTGGACAGGTCTCCTCCCCAGGCATCATCCTAAATTCTAGTCTCACAGATGTCACACTGGAGGGCCTCTGGAGATCATATCTTCAAACCTTTGAATTTGTCGCTGGGAAATCAGAGTTGCAGAGAGCATGTACGGTGTGTCTCTGGACCACAGCTGCATCCCTGAACATTCCCACTATGCCAGAGGCATGCCCTAGACACAGAATCCTGGACACCTCGCTACAGAAAGGTCCTTTTTAGCCAAATGTCCAAATGTCCCATAAGCCACATTCCCTCTCTGTGACCTCTTTCTGACAACTCCCTTTCCATAGAAGCTGGAGATCTCAGGAATATGTAGACAGCTAATGACCTCCCCCATCATCACCACCCCAAAAGTCACTGTGATACATGGAGAGATGGGCGCCATATTCCTCAAGTTCTATGGTGCATGAAATCCTGCCTTTAGACTTTTTATGTGGAATATGTCATACTCTTTTTTTTAATATTTTTTATTATACTTTAAGTTCAGGGTACATGTGCATGACGTGCAGGTTTGTTAAATGCTCATGATCACTGGCCATCAGAGAAATGCAAATCAAAACCACAGTGAAATATCATCTCACACCAGTTAGAATGGCGATCATTAAAAAGTCAGGAAACAACAGGTGCTGGAGAGGATGTGGAGAAATAGGAACACTTGTACACTGTTGGTGGGACTGTAAACTAGTTTAACTATTGTGGAAGACAGTGTGGTGATTCCTCAGGGATCTAGAACTAGAAATACCATTTGACCCAGCCATCCCATTACTGCGTATATACTCAAAGGAATATAAATCATGCTGCTATAAAGATACATGCACACGTATGTTTATTGAGCCACTACTCGCAATAGCAAAGACTTGGAACCAACCCAAATGTCCAACAATGATAGACTGGATTAAGAAAATGTGGCACATATACACCATGGAATACTATGCAGCCATAAAAAATGATGAGTTCATGTCCTTTGTAGGGACATGGAATATGCCATACTCTTTAAAGAATGTATACTGTCTCCAACACAAGCCATCAACTCTTTGGCATAAACGAGCTTTCGAATTTCCTCTGTAAAGTGCATTTTAAAACACCAAGGTCTAAGAAAAGTCAGACATGGGGCCAGGTATTGTGGCTCATGCCTGTAATCCATCACTTTGGGAGGCAGAAGCGAGTGTATCGCTTGAGCTCAGGAGTTAGAGACCAGCCTAGGCAACATGGCGAAACCCCATCTCTACTAAAAATACAAAAATTAGCCAGGCACGGTGGTGCATGCCTGTAGTCCAGCTACTTGGCGGGCCAAAGTGGGAAGATCGCTTGAGTCCCAGAGGCAGAGGTTGCAGCAGTGAGCCTGGATTATCTTTCTCGGATCTGTGAGCCAAGATCACACGACTACACTCCAGCCAGGGCAACAGAGCAAGACCCTGCCTTCAAAAAAAAAAAAAAAAAAAGCCAGACTTGGAGAGGGGACCCAAAGGTAAATCAGGGACAGTCCCACCCTGGGGGAGAAACTGACCAAGATGGGGAGTTTCTTGCAGGCTTCCCAAGGAGTGAAGGAGGTGGGCAAAACAAGGATGGAGAATGAGCAGCCTTAGAGGCCACATGCCCCTGGCGGGAGGTGGGGGAGAAAAATATAAGCTGGGGAAGCATCCTGGTAGTGTCTTACCATCTGACCATTTTACACAACTGAAACTCAGAGCTTTTGTACAAGGGCAGCCAAAACAGATTTGCAAGTTAAATGTAAACAAAACCACAAAACTATTACATTTAAATAGAAAGTATTACAAAACAATGGAATTTAAATCAGCAATATTAATTCAGCACAACGGATTTGTCCTGTTCTGACGTAAAAGGCTGTTCACAGTATGTGAGTGGCAATCAGGGCCACCCAGTGCACTGTGTCCTGTTTGGCCAGCCCCCCTTGGCATGGGCTATGGTCTGATTCCCTCACTTACCACAGTGAAGCCTTCACACATCCAGCCACTGTGTGCCAGGCGGCCTATCCTTGGACAGAACACATCACCTATTCATAGCAAGTCTCTCTCGGCAATTCTCATTAGTCTGCAACAACTGGGACTGCACTACTTTGCCAAACTGATCAAACCATAAAATCAAACACCAGCTCTGACATCACATGGTGGCATTCAGGCTGGGCTTCCATAATCCTTGTAAACATAACATTATACAATTCACAAATAGTAAGAGCTTATGATCTACCAGTTAAAAGCTGAGACATAGAGATCAGGCTGAAACTCTCTTTCATCACTGCCATGAACTTCATCCCATCTAAGTACAACCTTGTCCAAAGCAGAGGCAGATGTTGCAGGATTTTCGGGATGGAGTCTAAGGCCCAGAGGCCTGGGGTGGAGTCATCATTCTACCGCTTTGTGCTGTGTGGTCTTGGCGAGTCATCATTCTGCCGCTTTGTGCTGTGTGATCTTGGACAAGTGACTTCACCTCTCTGTGCTTCAACTCCTCATTCTGTAAAATAAAACTCAGATGGTAACTGCCCCCATAAAATCGCTGCGAGCATCATAGGCATGTTAATGTATGTGAAATATTTAGAACAGTGGCTGGCACTATGTTAGCACATGTAATGTAAATAAGCATTACTCTCAGGTTGATGTGGCTCTTTCTAGATCATTTGTACACATTTACTAATGTGCAAATATATTCAGTATGTTTTGATGTTTTAAAAAATATTTAAAGATGCAATCATACTTCCTGAATCATTCTGCAACTAGCCTTTGCTCTAAATAATCCATGAGCTTCAATATTTCCTCCCCAACACATCACTACACACGTGCCAAGCAGATCTGAAAGAGCATTTGAATGGGTGCGGCAGTCCACACCTGTAATATCAGCACTTTGAGAGGCTAAGCTGGGAGGACTGCTTAAGTCCAGGAGTTTGAGTCCAGCCTGGGTAACATAGTGAGACTCTGTCTCTACCAAAAGATACAAAAATTAGCTGGGCGTAGTGGCACGTGCCTGCAATCTCAGCACTTTGGGAGGCTGAGGCAGGGGGATTGCTTAAGACCAGGAGTTCAAGACTAGTGTGGCAACATAGCAAGACCCTTTCTCTATAAAAAAATAAAAAATAAAATTATCCGACCCTGATAGTGTGCACATGTGGTCCTATCTGCTAAGGAGGCAGAGGCAGTAGGATTGCTTGAGCCCAGGAGTTCAAGGCTTCAGTGAGCCATGATTACACCACTGCACTCCAGCCCGGGTGATAGAATGAGATCCTGTCTGTAATCCGACCAACCAACCAAACCAACAAACAAAAGCAAACATATAGAGCTGAGACTAAGGGTGGTGCTGGCTCATCCTCCGCCTGCTCCACTGGTCCTCTCTGGCCTAGCCTTTCAGAGCACAGCACTGCAGTAGCTCTCTCTGCTGATTCTGCCGTGCTGGGGCCTCCAAGTGCCTTTTACAGCACATTAGGAATCTGGCACCATAAGCACTGAACTTTCCTAAACTGAAGTTCATTTTAAATGCACTAAGGCAAAGAACAATTCAGAGGAAACTTAGCCCATCTGTGTGTGTGCGTGTGTGTGCACGCATGTGTGCATGCATGCAAGTATGCAAAGAGTCCCCTGGGAATTGCTCTAGCTCATGTATTAGGGCACATGTGGACTGTGTATTGTGAGAGCAGAGCTACCTACAATGGCAGCCACTGTATTTTTCAATATTAAAAACCACTCCTGGTTACTGGCAAACAGCCACCTTCTCTGCTGTGGAAAGCCTCATGCCCTGGGCTCCTCACCTTACCTAATGACAAGATATGCACATAGGCAACATGTTTGGAGGATGGCAGGGGCTGAAGGGATTATGGCTAGAGCACCGGGCCAGCAGCCCACCTCTCCTCCACAGAAGACAGAGCAGAAAGCATGGCGGCAGGCATTTAACTCTGCACTTAGCCGCTGCTCATTAACGAGCTCTCTGGTGGAAGTCTTTGCAGCTACTCTCTGGCACTGGAGGTTTTGTCATCCCACCCACGACAACCTCTGTTAGTCAATAATAACAGCTTATTTAAAAATAGCAGCATCAACTGTTTGCACTGTTATTATCTGTGCCTGGCTTCTAGCCCCAGAAGACTTGGGAAAGGTGTGCGACCTGCTTTTCCGGAGCTTCTCTTGCTGAACCTGTTTCCAGATCTGGGGAAAAGACAGGCACATCTTTAGCAAACACTCACAATGTAATTGCCAGGCAGTTATGGGCTGCGACAGTAAAATACAGCAGTTGGCGGCACGGTAGGTTCATTAGTCAATAAAGCATTGCCACGCGTTTTATTGAATTGTAACCCTATTTTGCCCTGATGCGGACCTTGTGGAGCCTCTACCTTCACATAAATCTGAGTGATTCATTTAGCATTCAAAGTCGAGTAAAAGGAGGATTTGGTCCAATTCCAATGCAACCCTGCTCCATTAGCTATCTCTATTATTATCTGCCTTTGCCTCCTCCGTCAGTGGGGACATTTTGATAAAAGCTTACATCGGAAATAAATCAGGGAGTGAATGGCAGGACATGAACAAAATAGCTTTCCTATAGGCCACTCTGTCCCTGGAATGCCCAGGAATGGCTCAGGGCTGGTAAGGAGACCGAGTGGACGATTCCCCTGGCATCCCTGCATCCAGCCATCCAACCCACTCAAGACGCCGCTGGTAAATGTATACTACGCTCCTATTTTTCTAATATCTGACTTGAAATACATTTGACATGGTCTACTTAATGTTAGATAGCTGAAAAATATTTTATTATTTACATTGTTTATTTCAGGACAGAGATTTAGCTCTATCACTAAAATGTCCACCCCCAAAGTGAGCAGGATTCTAAAACTAGAAAATAATAACAGGGCACAAGTCAATGTTATTCATTCCATATCTGTGAGAAGTACCCCAAATAATTTGCTAATTTTAAAAAATCATATCTGTTTGCAAGCAATATTCTCATATGGTTGGGGGATCTGGGATAATCAGAGCAAGAAGGTGGACTTACAAATTGTAGGGAGTGGAAAATAGAAAAAAGATTTATAAAATAATATGAAAATATGGGTGCTGATGAGAAACACAATTTTTACTTTTAGAAAATGGTATTTTTAAAGTGTAAGAAATGCAAAATTGATTACTGAGATCTAGGATCAACGACCAGCTATTTTTTTAAAAAACTGGCCAAAAAAATAGGAGGAAAATACTAAAAATTAAGGCAAATTCAAAAGAGAATAAGATAGAAGACAGGAATTTCAATGACCCAACATCAAGTCCATACTCTGACCTGCCTGCCCCACTAGAAGGAAAATGAGCATATCTTTTTACCCATGCCTTGTCTGAGAACCCCAAAGTGTCCAGTTATTTCTGAGACTTGAAGACAGTGCCCCATAATCCCATGGTGGGGTGCTGCTTGGCTTTTTAATTATGTTAATTACATGTTTGCTTCCTTGGAGTTTGAGGCCAGTGGTCCCGTTCAGCATTGCACCTTATACAGAACCAGTAACAGCAGCATCGGGGGAGGAAGCATCAGTTAAGGGAACCACAGGTGTGCTATTTGTTTCCGATGGCCTTCCTCGTCTCCTGATAGCTGACAGTTCAGCAAAGGGAATTAGTAGCACTTGTGGGCAAAGAACCGAAGAGACTCTTTTTCCCTATTCGATGAGTGCCATATGAAAGGTTGTTTCCGTAGCAGCTCAGAGCCCTCCTTGCTGTCTCCTAAAGAGAAGCCTGCCAAGTCGGGGCTGTGGGTTTTAAGAGGTACAAACAAAGGTGGCATGGTAGGGCAGACCAGAGGTGCGGGGACTCAATGCAGACTTCCCCATGGTTTCAGGGTGTCAATTTCCAAAATGTGGTCCCTGCTCTCCTTCCCGCCAGACTCTGAGAAGCAAACCTTGCTGGCAGGAAACCTAGCCAGGAGTGGCTCCGTTCCCTGGCCTCTTCTTTTTTTCTGCCACGTGTAGCCCTGATGCCCATAACTAAAAATCACGTTCATAATTTAATTTGGGGGGATCGGTTGCCAAATGCTCATTAAACAATTGGGTCTTTGAAAATGCTATCTTTAGATTTTTTTTAATTGACCTATTATTTTCTGGCTCTAGCTGCCAGATCCCCCACCGCAAACAAGGAGAAGCTTGCTACCTGGACTTTCTTTGATGAATAGTTTTAATTAAAAAATTCTGTACCATAAGTATTTTAATCTTACAAACATACCAAAGGTATGCAGTCATAAATTTACAAACACATTTAAATTAATCTATAAATATGCTGCAAAATTGACAAGGCATATTTAAGCCGAAGGATGCACCATAGATGTGCTAATAATGACAATTAAGAATCGTGTAAAATAAATGAAAATCAATACTCAGAACAGGTTGACAAAAAGGAAAAAAGGGAGGAACTAAAACAACGTGTAGTTTGACTATTAGGGGAAAAAATTAGTAGCTGCTTGTAGTTTTGAAATGTCTACTACCGTGAAGGAAGGGCTCCTGGTGGCATTTTTTTTTCTCATTCTCGTGGATCATAAAAACGCCCCTGCTGGGGTGACAAGACGGACCTATTTGGGTTGGGTGGTCTGGAAGGAGGAGGGCTCTGCTTCAATTCTCTAAACAAAATATACACCTTGCCAGTTACAGATCTGAAAGGAAACCATCCAAGGTAAGCTATGTGCCTAGATGCTGACACATGGACACATTTTTTTTGCACATGGTGATCTGTTTTCTGCTTTTTAAGCACTGGGACAAGTTGTGGGGGTGTCTGTGCTCCAGGAGGCAGGAGTATTTTGTGGCCAAGACAGGTAACTACCTGTGCTATAGGCATCACGGGTCATCCACTCACAGGAGCAAGAGGTGCTCAGGAGCACCTTTGTGTCTCCCGGCAGAAAGCACCAACTGCAAAGAGACGTGAGTGTGCCGCTCCCACTAATTCACAGAGTGCCTTGCTGTGCCGAACCAGGAAACACACGCTAACCTTCATGGCTACATTCATATTAAAAGACAACTTTGCGTCTTTCAATCATGTATTTCCCTCTAATTAAGGCATATTCACTTTTTCCCCCTAATTAGGTATTCTTTGTTGCATAATGTTTGCTCTAATCTTTCGGAATCTTTCTCAATATCCAGTCATTACAGGCTCCCCTCGAATTCAACCAAAGCATGTTATTTTTTCTGCTAATTACATCCTCATTTACAGATTGGCGCCTCCTCTGATTGGCTCTGCGCACCAGTTGCTATGACTTCATTAGTCGTGTCTCCTGACCCTGTTATTTCTTGTGACAGGACTTGCTCCTCGTGTCCTGTGGCTCCAGATCCCTGGGTCACTTCTCACCAGGGTTGAAATAGTGTCAAACACACGAGGGTTTAGGGTGCGGGAATCAGTGCTGCAGTTACTAATTACTACACACAGTAACGGTACAAATTACTGCTGCTGGCTGGGCCTTTATTTCCTCCTCTTTTTTTTAAATTAATGTTTTAAAGGTGTCATTAGCAGGTTAGTTTCATTTTAAAAATGTGCCTGATTAAAAAAAAAAAAAAAGCGAAATGTGTCTCCCTGCCAGGGCTCTTTCACATACAGAACCCCAAAAGCTTTAGTTTTGTAGGGGGCTGCCGCCTAGTGAGCACAGAACTTCAGCTTTGGCTCAATTACCATCAATCTCAAAAATATTGAATTTTAAAATCTCGAAGGTGGTGCTAATAGAATTTTCTAACCCAAGGCATTCACACATTTAAAAAAAAAGAAAACAAGCGAAATTTTTAAAACTATACAAAATTTCAACACACGAGCGTAAATTGTATTTATTAAATAACAAGATGAAGCTCTCTAGGTAACCACATTTAAAAAAAAAGAATGTAGCTCATTAGATGAGTTATGTATATTAAGGGATAATTAAAATGAATGAATTACATTTGAGTACCAATGCTATCTTTTTAACAAGCAGAATTGGGTAACAGGACCTGAACATTTAGGGGGTGCCCAAGGCAGAGAGTGTGTGTGATCCTCACTTTCGGATTCTAGGCCATCGGAATATCCCAGTTTCCTGGAATCAAAGGTCCAGGAAGAGTCAAGCCTGCAGAGTTTAAATGCAAGTTAGTTAATATGAAAAATGCTGTATCTAGTTGTTTGCAAAATTACTTTTGTTGATTAAAAGGCTCTTCAGAACTTCCGGCTGGTGAAAGGGTTTTAAATTGTCTAATGCTGATTGTGATTGCTATGCAGAAAAAAGGCAGTGCAAAGCAAACCATTATATCACTGAATCTTTGTTAAGCAGGCCTTGAAAGTGTCTGACAGCATAATTAATCTTGTGATATTAACAAAGAAACCAACTCAATAGTATTGAAGATGCTTATTAAAAATACTAAATACCTTTTTCCACTTAAAAAACCTTTTGAAACAGTGTGGGAAGTGGCATTACCTTTTTGTTTTTGCAGCATTTTCAACTAAAATTGATACTAGGGTCTACAGCGCAGCAGCAAAATTGTGAAGTGGACAACAATAAGAATTAGTTTAAAAAACCATAATTCCCAGCCAAGAACACTGGCTGGGCTCATCATCCTGGCAGCCGCAGGCTCCGACAACACCCTTTGCAGAAAACCCACTTTCCAAAGTTTAGGCAGAATGAATGGTTGGTAACAAAAATCTGCAAAATATGAGCCTTCTACACATTGTTATTTTCACTTGGGGATCTCAAGTGAAAAGACCAAGTGTATACAACCATTTATGTTTCCAAACAGTTTGAGAGGCATGGGACATATGTGGATTATTCGGGGTTCTTTTTTGTGAAGGCAGGGTTTGCAAGCCAGCTATTTAGGGCTTCCTGGACCCCCTGGGGAACTGAACCATGTCCATATCTTGGGAAAATAACTGGGGCCCCGACAAACCTCAGCACTGTATCTCACTTATTCTGGCAATGTGTGAGTATGGCAATGGTGTCCTGTAAGCTGGGCGAGACACTGGGGGTATGGGCACGGGCCTTGGTGAGCAGGGGTAGAGGAGAGGATTCCCCTTTGATATGGTTTGGCTCTGTGTCCCCATCCAAATCTCATCTTGAATTGTACTCTCATAGTTCCCACGTGTTGTGGGAGGGACCCGGTGGGAGATAGTTTGAATCATGGGGGCGGTTTCCCCCATACTGTTCCCCTGGTGGTGAGTGAGTATCACGAGATCTGATGGTTTTGTTGGGGGGTTCTGCTTTTGTATCTTCCTCATTTCCTCTTGCCACCACCACGTAAAAAGTGCTTTTCACTTCCTGCCATGATTCTGGGGCCTCCCCAGCCATGTGGAACTGTGGATCCATTTGAATCTCTTTTTCTTCCCAGTCTTGGTTATGTCTTTATCAGCAGCGTGAAAACTGACAAATACCTATTGGCAGAATTTTTACCTTGGATGGTGACTAAAGAGAGCATTAATATGTGACACATTTGCAATTGGCAATTGCTGTGCAACCAAACTAGTAACCACACAATGCAATCACCTGAATGCCTAGAGCAACAGCATTTATCCAGATTACATGTCTGTGGGATGACCTGAAGATCGGCAGGTCTTGGCTGGGCAGTTCCACTGATTTTGGTTGGGCTGGCTCGTTCCTGCATCTGCAAGTCAGCTAGACTAGCCTGGTGGACCAGGCTGGGGCAGTTCAGCGCCATGAGTCTCTCATGCTCACTGTCCCCAGCATGGCCTTCTCATAGTCATGGCAGAAGCACAAGAAAGCAAGTGAAAACCCAGGAGGCTGCCTAAGGCTGAGGGTCCTAACTGGGAGTAAATGTTACATTGAGTGGCCAGGACAGAGTTAATGGAACAGAAACACTTTGGGAGGAAGTCACGAATAGGACTGAAAGGCATATGTTAACACATTTGGATTTATCCTGCTTCCATCCTGCACTTTTCTTAAAGAAAGTTTTAACACCTAATTATAACTCAAGTCTTCTGCAAAGTAAAAATACGAGGTAATTTATTTACTTTGGTATTAAGGAGAAAAAAATTAGAATGCAGTATGGGTTTTCCACAATGTCAGTAGTTAAAAGAGAGCCAGTTAGAAGAGAATGGGTTGGACAATGTTTTAAGCCTTATCATTTTCAGATGACTTGATCATTCACCAAGCAAGCACACAAACAGAAAAATCCAAACTCAACAGAAAAATTCTTGTAATGAACAATAAAGTTATTTTATTTGTCAATTATCTCTCAATAAATAAGGGAAAATTAAATTCAGCAAAAATGTTGGATAGAACATCAAACTACAAAATTCAGTGGTATTTCTTTTTATCAACCATAACCAATTAGGAAATATAATTCTAAAATATAATACCGCTTACAATAGCAACAACATATAAAGGATACAGAAATAATACTTCAATAATCCTGACAGATAACAATATAAGCAGATCAACTATCCTATACTAAATCTATATCTTTAATTCAATCTAAATGAATATTCCAGTTGGGATTTGAAAAAAATAGATGTTTACTATAAAATGTACATTGATTTTAAGATCGCTCTAAAATTTGGTAAACATACAAAATAGCTCATTAAACAATAAAGAAAATCAAAGAGGGAAAAATTGCTGTATCAAATATAAAGTCATATTACAAAGTCAACACAATATAAACAGTGTGGTATTGTCAAAGAAAAAAATAAACTAATAAACAAATAATGGTGCTGATCTAGGGCAAGCTAGACTAGACCACTCTACAGAGAAATATAAAACAGGATCTCTACTTAATGTCACAGTTAAATGAGCTCAAAATTGATTAAATGTGAAAATGTGAAGTGTAAATTTGAAAGGTAAAAATATATAATTATTAGAAAAGAATACAGTGTCTTTATGACTTTTTAAACAGAACTTCAAAAATAAAAACAATAGACCAAAAAACTTTAAAAGATTTGATCACATGAAAATTAAGGCTTTGGTTCAATGAAGGACAAGATAAAGTTAATAAGCCAATGACAGAATGGGAGATGATTTTGCAGTATTTTCAACTGAAAAGGGATTAATACCTAGACAGTAACCCCAAAAGGAAAATACCAAATAAGATGTTCAGACAATTTATTTATTTATTTTAATTATTGTTATATATATATTTTTTGAGATGGAATCTCGCTTTGTTGCCCAGGCTGGAGTGCAGTGGCATGATCTCAGCTCACTGCAAACTCTGCCTCCCAGGTTCAAGCAATTCTCCTTTCTCAGCCTCCCAAGTAGCTAGCACTACAGGCGTGAGCCACCACTTCCACCTAATTTTTGTATTTTTAGTAGAGATGGGGTTTCACCATATTGGTAAGGCTGGTCTTGAACTCCTGACCTCAGGTGATACCCCCCTTCTCGGCCTCTCAAAGTGTTGGCATTACAGGCATGAGCCACCATGCCCATTCTGTTCAGACAATTTATAAAATTATACTTATTTACTACAAAAGTTAATAAATATAAAAAGAGAGACCAAAAATCATTAATAGTCAGAGAAATGCAAGTTGAAACAAAATGATACGACTTTATACCTAAAACATTTGTTAAAAAAAAAACCTGGACTACTAGAAAATCCCAAGTGTTCACAGGGATGAGGGAAGGTAGGACATTTCTGTGGGGCTTGTGGAGTGCTGGCTGTATCCCATATCCACCCTGGAGGGCAGCTGTGACTGCTTTCAGTGCACACACTATCTGCAACTCAGGTTGGTTGCAGAGTATGCAGTGCATGCAGGAAATTTCCCAGGGAGCATGTTCAGAATTAACATTCAAGAGAGTGAAATCGGTAGAAGTTGAACTGAAATGCATTCACCACAGAGGCCTCAGCTATTCCATTATCTTTTTTTTTTTTTTTTAGGCAAAGTCTCACTCTGTCACCCAGGCTGGAGTGCAGTGGCGCGATCTCAGCTCACTGCAACCTCCACCTCTCAGGTTCAAGCGATTCTCCTGCCTCAGCCTCCCAAGCAGCTGGGACTGCAGGCGCACGCCTGCACACCCAGCTAATTTTTGTATTTTTAGTAGAGACGGGCTTTCATCATATTGGCCAGGCTGGTCTTGAACTCCTGACTTCATGATCCACCCACCTCGGCCTTCCAAAGTGCTGGGATTACAGGCATGAGCCACTGCGCCCAGCCCAGCTATTCTGTTATCTTACAGGGAGATCTGGAGCTGGGATGGCCCTTCAGAGCTGTCTACCATTCCCCACCAGATACAAAGAGGCAAGTCCCAGGACCTAGGGCCAGGACCTCTCTGAGTCCCCTGGAGAAAGACTCAGTTGAGAGCCATTGGCAGCAGCTGAGGCTCCCTTGGTCTTGAACTGGATGGCTTGGTGGCCCAAAATTGTAACCACCATACTCTATGATCCAGGAATTCTACCACTTGAAACGTCTCTTCAGGAAGCTCTCACAGAGGACCGCAAGAGGCACAGTATGGATGCTGGTCACAATATTAATTGTTGGGGGCAGGAATTGGAAGTCTGTATGGGGAAGGTAAGTAAAATGTGAAAATGTGTAGTGATTCAAAGTAATGGATTATATGTTCACATAGCAATAGGGAACTTATCATTTATATCAGTTAAAATACATGCACACTAACAATATATGCCGGTCAAGAACACATACAAGGCTGGATGTGATGGCTCATTCCTGTAATCCTAGCACTTTGGGAGGCTGAGCTCGGAGGATCCCTTGAGCCCAGGAGTTGGAGACCAGCCTGGGCAATAGAGTAAGAACCTGTCTCTGCAAATAATAATAATAATAGCCAGGTGTGGTGGTGTGTGCCTGTAGTTCCAGCTACTCAGGAGGCAGAGGCAGGAGGATTCCTTGAGCTCGGGAGGTTGAGGCTGGGCGGCAAAACAAGACCTATCTCAAAGGAAATAACACATACTAAAGAATAGATAAGCATTAAACACACTGCAATGATTGTCTACAGAGGGAAGGGAATTGGGTTAAAAGAGAATAAATAAATAGACAAGTCAAAACCAAGGAATCTGGCTGGGCATGATGGCTCACACCTGTAATCCCAGCACTTTGGAAGGCTGAGGTGAGCAGATCACCTGAGGTCAGCAGTTCAAGACCACCCTGGCCAACATGGTGAAACCCTGTCCCTACTTAAAAAAAAAAAAAAAAAAAAAAAAGTTAGCGGCATGTGGTGGCTTACGTTGTATTCCCACACTTTGGGAAGCTGAGGTGGGTGGATCACTTGACGTCAGGAGTTTGAGACCAGCCTGGTCAACATGGTGAAACTCAGTCCCTACTGAAAATACAAAAAGTTGACTGGGTGTGGTGGCACATGCCTGGAGTCCCAGCTACTTGAGAGGCCGAGGTGGGAGGATTGTTTGAATCTGGGAGGCGAAGGTTGCAGTGAGCCAACATCGTGCCACTGCACTCCAGCCTGGGCAACAGAGTGAAACTCTGTCTCAAATAAATAAATAAATAAACAAACAAACAAACAAACAAAAACAAACAAAACCATGGGATCTTGCATAGATCAATGATGACAATGTGTTCTAAACTGAGGATTACAATGAACTCAAACCTCTGCACCTGAGTCCCAGGGGAAAAAATCATAGTAGTGTCAGAAATTTCTATCCATTATTTAGGTTAACCTCAGATTATTCCACATACCTTTTTTTTTTTCCACACCTAATCTGCAGTAGGTCTCCTAGAGCTGTGGTCCAGCTGATATATCTATTTTTTAGGAAATCAGGGATGATTTTCCAGATGTTTTGGATAGATGTTTTCATATTTGAATCTAATTAAGGGTTTGCAAAAGACCACAACAACAAAAAACTTGTAGAAAAAGGTTTACATTCTTTCTTCACTCTTTGGATTTGGTTTGAAGAGAACGAATCCAAGCATGGGGTTTGAAAAGATGTTGCCGATGGAAGTTGAGCATGGAGGAAATCAGGAGTTAGGAGAAGGGGGAAGAGAGCACTGCATTGCTCCAGCCGGGTGGAGGGTGTTCCTGGAGGAAACACAAGTGAAAAGTGAAGTTTTACAATGAGGAGGAGAAACAAAGTTAAAGAGATCCTCAAGTATTTTTAAACTGTGAAACTGCCAAAGAGAATTTGAGGCAGAATGTACACAGTCCACATGGGGAAATGTTTTTTATAGAAAAATCCAGTTTCTAGGATATTCTTATCACAGGGCTGGGAGGCAGAGAACAGATTCAGAACAATGGCTTTGTCGAACTCTTAAAGCCAAGAGAGTCCAGCTCCTTGTCTGAAAGTCTGTACTCCTGAAAGTAAGAAAATATATACAGGAAGATGCATTAAGAGGCAGCCCAGGTTCCAGTACCAACAGTCACAGCCCTCCTCTGTTCCTTCCGCAAGCCTCACTCTTTTTTGAGCCTCAGCTTGACCATCTGTAAAAGGAAAAGGTCAACTTTTTTTTTTCTCAACTTTTAGGAACTGATGCAAAAGAGTGATGTAAGAAAGTGTTGATAAAATCTCTGCCCCAGCTGTCAGGAAGCTACAGAGAAACAGCTGAGTCCCATCATGTAAGCAACAAACTGATGGTATTCTTTGGGAGGAGGAGTAGGATGAGAAGGAGGGGGAGGAGAGAGAGCAAGAGGAGGGTCTGGGTGGTGGTGGGAGAAGAGAAAGAAGAGGGGAAATAAAAATAATATTTTAAGTGGAGTGGCTGGTGATATTTGTCATTCTCTCAGTCGGTTATAGTGTGAGCATCTTACCACCCTTGTGTGAGTGTAGGGTTTTTAAATAAACAAACATATACACATAGATTTTCTATTATATGACCTCAATGCAAGTCAGCTACATCATCTGCCGCTCAGTGGAAGTAGCAACAATTTATTCCAACTCTGGAGAAAAAGTAGCCCTGTTGGATTTATTGAAAATTGACATATCTGTACACGGACAGAAAACTGGATGATTTAAGGATTTTTAGGGCAATTTTGATCAGATGTGATTTCATTTTTAATTTACATGCATTATTAGACATGTGCTATTACAATTGTCCCAGCATCAGATCACACTTCTTTATGAGGCAAAGTCCACCTGCCTTTATAGAGATCAACATTTTCAAATATTTTTCTATCTTTTCTTGAAAAGAGGGAATAGAGACATGAGTCTTTAAATGAAACCTTAATGAAGCAATGAAGTGGGGACTTCAAGGAATCCATTCTGCAGAGTGCAGTGGCAGCAAACTGTCCACACCTTACTTCCTAAGGCACCAATAGCATAATGAGAACACCAGTGATAGGTGTGTGGTGTCTGTGGTGTTGGCAGTATAGGCCGTGTGTCTGGACTCAGTTGTGTGACTATGGCACCTCTCTGGAGTTAAGTGGGGTGTCCTTCTCAGTCCAATTGCCATACCTGGCTCTACAAGCCTTCTGGATAGGAAGGTTACTCAAAATCTTTTTAGTATTTTTTTTTAAATTCTAAATTAGTCTGACTTTATTTCTGATGCTTGGAACTAAGAATCTATTCAGACTTTGGAATTCAACTCTCATGCAAGATGCAAAAATACTTCTTTAATGTTTGGTTTATTCACCAAGGAATCCATCTGGATTTGCAGTTTTCATTGTGATGAGTTGTTTAATTACTTTGTTGTTGTTGTTGATAATAAATAGGGCTATTTAAATTTTGTATCTATTCTTGTGTCTTTGGTAATGTATAACTTTTCATGTCTTTTATTTCTTCTAAGTTGTTGAAATTATTTATATTAATTTTCTCACACCATTCCTTTATTATCTTTTAAATGTTGATAGAAGATCAACATTAAAAAGGGGATGTACCCTCTTTCATTACTATTAGTCTCCATCTGTGTCTTCTCTTTTATTTTGTTCAGCATATCTAGAAGTTTGTTGATTTTATTAATCTAGTCAATCAACTTTGGTTTCATTGATTTTTTTCTATAGTTTGTATATTTATATTTTATTAATTTCTGCTTATTATTTTTCTACTTATTTGGCTTTAATTTTCCTGAATTTTCTAGTCTCTTAAGGTATAAGCCTATATCTTTTATTTTAGACCTGTTTTTTCTAATGTTAGCATTTAAGGATATAGATTTTCCTCTAAAGAATTGCTTTAGCTGCATCTGATGAATATATATGTTGTGTTTTATATTCACTCAGTTCAAACTGTTTTGGATTTTCTCTTGTGACTTCTTTTTTGATCCATGAGATTCCCAGAAATATTTTCTCCAAATATTTGGGGATTTTTAGATCTCTTTGTTTATTGCTAATTTTTATTATATTGGAAATATATCCTGTATGATTTCAATCCTTTTAAATGTATGTACACTTTTTCTAATGGCTTAGGATGTTGCTTATCTTGGCAAATGTTCTATGTGCCATTGAAAAGAAAAGCATTTTGCTGCTGTTGGGTGAAGTGGTGAAGTGTTCAATAGATGTCATGTCAATTAAATCCCACTGATTGGCAGTTTTATCCAGGATTTCTGTATCCTTATAGATTTTACATTCCTTTTATTAATTTACATTCCCTCTATTAATTACAAATCTGTAAGAATTTCTGTATTCCTATAGATTTACATTCCTTCTATTAATTACTAAGAGAAGTGTTGAAATCTTCAACTATATTTTGTATTTGTCTTTTTTTCCCTTTTAATTCTGCCATGTTTGCTTTAGGTACTTTGAGGATTTTTCTGGTGCATACATGTTTAAGTTTGTTATATGCACATATATATTATATTTATATTGAGATTTGAGCATTGTGTCCTTATGAAATGTCTTTTTTATCTCTGGTAATAGTTATTGTACTGGAGTCTACTTTGTCTGATATTAATATAGTAATGCCAGTCTCATAATTAGTTTCTGCATCACATACTTTCTCCTATCGTTTTCTTTTAAACCATTTATATATTTATTTTTAAGGTAAGTTTTCTGTAGATATATATTAATCTTTGGTATTCAGAAACAAAAAATAGAATTCCAAGGAAATATTGGGAATTCCTTAAATTACATTAGTCTGTATTTTTCATAACACTTTTTTGCTAAAGTACCTATTTGTAGGTAAATTTTTTTTTCAGTAACATAAAAGTAATCTCTACCTGACATAGACATTTGAGAATAGAAAATATTTTAAAGGTGAATATTAACACAAAATAAATGCCATGCAAAAATCATTTAAAATTTTGAAAAATAATACCACAAAATTTAATACCCCAAAGGTATCATTAAAAAATGAAAAATACACAAAGAATTAATTGTCTTATGCACTAGTCTTTTCTCTTTTTTCATGACAAACCTTACAAATGTGGAAAATTTTCATTCATTTTTGCATTGATGTTGGTTGAATGGCCAAGAATGTACCTGAAAGCATTTGTAAATTAGGCTTTAGGGCACATGTTTCTTCATATCAGATTATATCATTTTTTAACAATAAAAATATTTTGTGTGCTTGCCTTGATTTTGATTTTTGCTAATGAAACTGATATTCTTTTTGCAATTCAGGTTTTAGATCAGTTTCTAATCTTATTTCAGAGTATTCCACAAACATGTGTTTACAGCCTGGCAACAGCTATGACTGAGACTAACCGAGGAGGTTATGGTTACTCTTCTGCCTGCTCCTTCCCTGGTTTCTGTAAATGTTTATCTTAACCTTAGACTCTGCACATTAGTGGTTCCTGTTCATGCTTTTGAGTTGACATCAGTGGATTCCTCAAAACTACTAGGTTGGTGCAAAAGTAATTGCGGTTTTTGCCTTTGAAAGTAATTAAAAGAAATGTCTATATTTATCGTTAACCTTGAATTTGCATCCAAGATTTATACTTTTTTCATTTTCCCAATTTCTTGACTGAAATATAAAAATCTCCCAAAATGCAGAGCAGGAATTTTCACAGGAAAACATTAAGCATGTATTTGGTCTTGTTTCTTCATCGAGTCTGTTCATCTCTGGCTTTTAATTGGTGTGTTAGACTATTATATTTATTATAATTATTAATGTGGTATTTCAGTATTTATTTTCTATTTCTCCCATCTGTTCTTTGCTTCTTTTCCTACCATCTTTTGAATCAATCGAGTATTTTTTAGTATTCCATTTTATTTTTACCTTAGGCTTATCAGGTATACATTTTTCTTCCATTTTTCAGCAATTGCTTATGGCTTGCCATGTGTACCTTTACTTCTTTAAAGGCTGCTTTGAAATACTATTATGTTACCTCAGGTTTAACATAAGAACCTTAAAATAGTATCTTCCACTTTCTCCTTCCCGTCCTCCCATCCATTGTGCTATTGTGCCCAGACATTTTAATTCTGCAGACACTTTGAACTACACTACTATCTATATCTATATCTTTTTAAAGTTATCCTATCTAAAAAAAAAAAAAAAAATTGAAACCTATTTCATGATTACTCACTTATTAGCCATTTCTGGCAGTGTGTTTACTGGAGTTGCTGAATGCGTGAGGCATTCTTCCCTTACCAGTCCGAAAGTTAAACCAGTTAAACTCTGCCATTTTGCCTCTTAGTGGGCATGCTTAAGCCCGCTTGCCCAATTCTTGATCTTATCAAGAATTGACAGAATCTTATCAAGAATCTTATAAGATCCCAGTTCTTGAGATCTTATCAGGAAGCTGCTGATCACCAGTTTCAGATGTTTCTGTCCATCAGGAGACTGCCTTTCCCTGGCACTTACCCCTTTTTATAAATCTGTTTCAATTTGGTGTCATTTTTCCTCTACCCAAAAAGCTTTCTTTAATATTTTTGTAGCTTTTACATATGACATTGCTTCTGCTTGAAAAATGCTCTTCCCCCATTACCTGCATGGTCAGTTCCCTCAATCCTTTATGCATTTTGCTCGAATGTTGCAGTCTATGTGGGGTCCTTTAACCACCTTTCAATACTGCAATGCTCTGTCCCCATGGCTCTCTCTGTAACCCCGCCTTACTTTATTTTTCTTACAACACTTAACATCTGACCTGTTTGGTAGTTTGGTTTTTGTCTGTCTCCCTGTCATTAGAATGTAAGCTCCATGAGGATGGAGCTTTATACATACTTTTTTCCACCCATGTGCCTATACACCCCTTCCTAGTTATGTTACCAACTGAATGTACCCAAGTCACACAGCACCAAAGTATGTAAGCGGCGGCGAATCCATACGGGTCTGCAGCAACCTCAGTTCTTGTCTCCTCAGAAGAAAGAATCCAAACGAAGAGCAGAGTGAGAGACCGAGGCAAGTTTAGAGAAGGAGTGAAAGTTTATTAAAAACTTCTCCCCTGATTCTTCCCTTGCGGTGGGCTGTGCCCATGTACAGTGGCCCAGTAGCACTTGGGAGGGGCTGCATGCGTGGTGCGTTTACTGGAGTTGTACGCATGCTCACATGAGGCATTCTTCCTTTACCAGTCCAAATGCTATACCGGTTAAACTCCGCCATTTTGCCTCTTAGTGCTCATGCTTGAGCCCGCTTGCCCAACTCCTGAGATGTCATCGGGAAGCTGCTGATCAGCAATTACAGGTGTTTCTGTGTATTGGGAGACTGCCTTTCCCTGTCATTGATCAATTATTTTTTTAGAGAGATACTTAACAACTACCTCACCATCACTTGATGGTTGCCTGACATTCCTGATTGGTGAGGGAGAGAGGGAGGGAGTCAGGGGGGCTCTCCTGCCCTGTTCCTGTCTGACTAGCTACCTGCTGTAACAATTATACTAGTACTAGTGATAAACCTATCACTTGTGCCTATGACAGGGCCTTACACAAGGTAGATAACCAATGATTATGGTTGAATTAATAAACAAGGCCTCTCTTATGCCCCTAAAAATGCAGAGATGCTCTTCTCACCTCTCATTCGGAATCTACTCTCAATTATATATAAGACGGTAAGATTAGTCAACTCACTCTCGTCAGGTGGTTAACGTGCTAGTGGTTAATCCAATCCAATTACTTGTTCAAATAATTAGACCCATGCTGGATGTGTTCGTTCAGCTCAGCCCCACCTTCTCTGAAACTATCTCAGAACCAGTGGCTTTGGTTGGGCACTGGAAGTACATAAAGAAGAAGACATACATGCTGTCTCAGGGTGATCGTGGGTCTCTAGCCAGGAGTCAGATGACATCACCACCATCACAAGCTGGTGATGCCAGAGAGGTATGAATGGGGAATAGAGTTGAAATTCATATGGAAGTGACCAGTGGAGTTGTCGGGGAAGTTTTAAAAAGAAAATAACAAGTAAACTGGGTTTTGACAAAAAATAACATAGGGATTTCTTTTCTGCATGTGAGTACATATCTAAAGTAGAAAAGTATAAAAGTTAAAAAAAATACACAATTACTTGGTTCAGGTTAATGCCCACAGCCCAGAAGAAGGCTCAGAGCCTTCTCTGTGAGTGTAAAGTTTATCCAAGCCACCTTGGACACCATCACATTCTCTGCTTAAGCAAAGCTGCTTGTCAGAGGAGTTTCTGCATATTCTGAATATTCAGGGACTCTCCTGGCCCTACAGGTGGCTCAGGAAACCCTAGAGAGGAAACGCATCCTCATTGGTGAAAGGATCTCACCTGGCTTTTGCCGAGGGTGAGCAGTGTAGAGGGAGCATAATAAACTCTCATAGACAACATCTGATTTCCGACAGCTGTCCCACTTCTGAGGCTTCGTGCTCTCAGCGCCGCCACCGCCAATGCAATATCCTCCAGTTTAAGGTTAGGTACCAGAAATATTTCTGCCAGAAGTTCTTGATGTAATCAAAACGGGATTTTCATGGACTTGCGTAATTTTAGGATCTGGGTGAAGAAGCCTTACCCAGCCCCGCTTTGAGTCTGGCCCTCAGTCTGTCACATAGTGAAACAGCTCGACATCTGACTTTGAAGCCAGGTTCTTGGGTCAGTTCCTACCTTTGTGTATGTACCAAAGAACTCCTTCAAACACTTCCTTTCCCCACCCATCTGTCCCCACAGACATGTACCCCAATGCCCTTAACTTGTTCCTAAATGAGTAAACAAAGCTTCGGTAACATATAAACATGATTTATGAAAACAAATCTCTCCCCAAATCTGCTTAGAGAAGCAGTGTCACATAACTGTAAGCAAAGATGAAAGACCACGATTAACAGGGTCCACATCTGTTCGGGGGAGGATGCAGCTTGAGTCTCTGCCAGCCTCTACCTCAAAGAATGTGTGCGCTAGGTCAATAATGAAACTCGTGGCCCATCTGTCCTTCCGGTGTGCCCTGCACTGTGCTAAGAACTTCCCATCCACTGGATCTCACGGAGGTTCACAGTCATCTGAAGAGGGGGTCCTGTGTTCACCTGCATCTTGCAGGTGAGTGGACAGAAGTGCGGAAAGCATGAGAGCTAGTGCAGAGAAGAGCTGGGGCACCAGCAGTAGGACTGGAGGCAGGACATTGTCTTTGGTTACTACCTGGATGGACAAACTACATAGATGAAGATTAAAAAAACAAACAAACAAACCTGGGCCTGATTTATCAAATTGGGATGTCTCCATTGATCCAGTTGCTTGCATCATGTGTTAATTCTCTTCTGTTCTCTTTCTCATGTAAGCACCACCTGTCTTCCACATTATGATGCGAAGCTGAAGATTCACCCCACTAGGTCAATGGGGACACTAATTGGGGAATATTTGAGGTGCAGAGAGGAGGTAGATGCTACATCCTGTGAACCTCAGTAAGGGGGATGCCTCTGTGTGTAGGGATGTCAAGGCCCTGGCCCCGTGTCATCCCCAGATAAGCCCCATATCACCCTGGGAGCTCTGCAAGGACAGAATCCATGTGACATTTTGGGAACTTCTAAGATGCTAATCAGAGGCCTTCTCCTCTGAGTTCTCAAACAAATGAGAAGTAGACCCAAGGGTCAAGGGTTGATGAAAATAGCATGGTTGTTTGCAGAGCTGGATTGGATCTGCAGAGAGCCCAAGCCTCCCTGTCTTCCTCTGTCTAGTCTCCGGCCACTGACAGAGTCCAGGCAGAGACAGAACCAGGCCGTAGACTTGCTGTGGGGAAGGATATCTGTCACATGGAAGCAGAAGCCAACAGCATCTTTCCCCTGTGGTCCCTAAAGGAAAAATTGAGGCAGACCACAGGGAATAGCAACTCTTTCGTAGCTTAAGACACCCATGGACATCTTCTCATCCTTCCCAGCAGCTGTCCTTCAGGAAAGAGGGAATGGAGTGGGAATTTTCCCCCCAATACTTTCAGGGAAGAAGTCATCATTTGCTACTCTCTGAATGTTTGTGCTTTTTCCCCAAATTCCTATGTTGAAGTTCACCCCTAAGGTGACGGCCTTAGGAGGTGGGGCCTTTGGAAGGTGATTAAGTCATGGAGATGGAGTCCTAATGCACAGGATTGGTGGTTTTATAAAAGAGGCCCAAGAGAGATCTCTTTTCTTTTCCACCATGTGAGAACACAGCAAGCAGTCACCGTCTATGAACTAGAAAGCTGATTCACCAGACACCGAATCTGCCAGCACCTTGGTCTTGGACTTCCCAGCCTCCAGAACTGTAAGAAATAAATACCTGTCATTTGTGGGCCACCCAGTCTATAGTATTTGGTTATAGCAGCCTTAATGGACCAAAATACCATTCCTGTGCCCATCAGCAGCATGAAGAATAGGAAATGATATCTTCCCACTGTAGGTGTCACTGTTGACCTCCATCACACCTTCTTGCATCCACACCCTTGCTGTGGCCTCATCACAGGTTGCATATGCTTCCTTAACTCTGAGCTCTGAGGTTGGCTATGTGATTTACTTTTAGCCAATGGAATGTAGATGGAGACAGGAGGGTGCCAATTTTGAGATGAGGCATTTAGAAGCCCTTGATTTCAGTAGACCCTCTTGTGCCTCTGGTATCACCATGGGGAGAACATGCCCCAGTTACCTCTCTGATCCAAAAAGTGCGAGAGACAGGTGGAAAGAGACATTGTAGACACCCTAGCAATCCCAGATGGAGAGCTGCTTAGTCAAGCCCATTCTAGATCATCCAAGCCCCAGCCAACTCATAGACACCTGGGTGGTAATGCAGGATTGCTGCTTAAGTCCACAAGTTTTGGGCTGTCTGTTATGCAGCAACAGCAAACTCATAACACTTACCTTTCATATTTATTTTGGAACCCCCCAGACCTAGCAAAACTCCCAGAATAGTGTAGGTGCCCAAAAAGTATTCGTTGTTTGAATGAATTAATTAAATCTCCTTTTTGTAAACCAACTCATCATAATGTCTCACTAACAGCTGGTATACATTGCAGTATTTATCTATGTGATTTTGGAGGAATAATTTAAAAAAACAATACCAAGGCAAGACAGTAACCTCTCTTGATACGAGCTGCTAAGCATTTAAAGTCCTAGGAGTCAGAGATCACCTGGCTATCTTCAACATCACCTGCAGGCAGCTGGTGCATCACACGCCATGGTGTGATGAAGCCATCCTCCTTCACCCCTGTCTAAACTCTGATGGGGAGAAATGAGCCAACATGGCCATGCATTTATCTGGAGTCAATGCTGATTCTAACTCCATGGCCACCTTTACCCTCAGGTATGTGAGTCCCATCAGAGAGGTTGCCAGTATGACATCAGATCCACTTTTCCTCTTATTTTTCAGAGGAAATGTTCCAACACATCTGAGGAAACACATGCCTTCCCAGACTGGCCTGTTGCTGTTTCCCAGGAGCTGCATTCTGGAAGGTGGACCATCAGGTGGAAGAAGTATTCTTCAGAGAGCTGCCTTCCCAAGGGAATGGTGACAGCTTGCGCTTGCCGGGGAGTCCTGCTGCCTTCCGAGGTGTGAAGGGAAGGCATGCACTGTGCATATGCTGTACCATACAGTTTTGCCTACAACTGCTTGTAGCTTCATTGTAGCTGTGAATGCTCCGTTCCTCTCCTTTTCACCCCTGAAGATTCGCGAACATGCAGGATTGAGCTGTGCGAGGCATAGCATTCCCCACATGGTAGACGAAGGCGGATGTGGGTCTGATGGCTCTACTGCCGTCCACCCGGGAGGATGGACGTGTGTTCCGGGATATCAGAGCTTGCGGCTGACCAGCCCACATGTCCATGCAGCCCTCCCGCTGGCTGTGTCGACATTTTGGGTGTCACTGAAGGATTTTACTGGTGCAGACTTTACAAAGGCAAAATTGTTTCTCAAGGAAGTGGACATGAAAGATCTAAAATCAGGGCTGCTTAAAAAAAGCAAGCACAGATTAATGACCTATCTACATCCTACACGGTTTTAGGACTGCGCCTAGATGGGCTTAAAGACCCTAGCCTAAAAACTGTAAATGTGCTTCCGTCTTTGCCCTGTAGGACAAGAAAGCCTTACGGGCTTGCTTCTAACTGTGAGAGGAGGAGAGGCCAGGAAGGGAGAGGGAGAAAAGGAGGAGAACAGGAGACGAGAAGGAGGGGAGAGTGAGGAGAGGAGGAGAGAGGCTTGTCAAAATCTTTTTAGTGCACAAAACTAATTTTGTTCATCTTGGATTTGGTGAGCTGGGTAATATTCTGTGCACGGCTCCTAAATGAATTATTAAATGTCAACTCAAGATGGCTTAACTAAAATACTCAATTTAATAACCAAAAGTATCTAAGGTAACAACAACAATTTTGCAGGTGATTGTAGAGTTGTCAAGTCAAACCATTATAGACAAGCATTTGGGGTTTTCACATAATCTCCTTCCACATCTCATCTTCTGTCACTAAATACCCACTCTGGTGAGCATATTCCATTTCAATAAAGATCATCGCTTCGGTGCCAGCTTCTTTTTATTCAGATCGAGCCAGAAAACCTTTTTTTTTTTTCTAAAATATAAAGCAAAACAAGATCTCAGTCACAACCACCAAATCTTTATTAATGCATTCCTTGTGCTACTTCTGAATATTAATAAAAATTAATAATTAATTTTGCCTTTGGCATTGCAAGATATACTAGTTTTAATTAGTGTACTGTACTCCTATACAATTAAAAAATAATTGATGTCCATGCTTATTGGCGGTGTCTGTGATCTTCCTTTCTGTTGTTGTCAACAAATGCCTTAAAAAACAAGTTTCAAGAATGTTGTGCTGCCCACTTGATTTACACACCCAAAGTAACAGGCAAATCTTTTATGATGAAACAGAACAGTTTTCTGTTTAAATTATACACAAGTATATTAACTAGAAAGAGAAAATTAAAAGCTGATGTCTACAAGGAATAATGGAAAGTCTATAAAAATGTTTTATCTATCAACAAATTTGCCTGGAAAATATCAATGATTGGCACCATCTCTCCGCTGAAACATGGGGAGGCCATCTTGGATGTGTTATGTCAATTCCATCAAGCATTTAATTCTGACGTCCTCCTTAATCAGCTTCAGTTATTTAAATTCAGCATATCATGTTACTGTTCTACTACATCATTTTAATTGTGCCATGAACTACTTTATTATAGAATGCTAAAGTATTTCCCTGTGCCTCCTTCTTCCTCTGAACAATGCCAGCTGTAGAGAGACAGCCCATGGTGAAAGGAGGGAAATTGCTTTCTTTGAAAATATTTGTGTCAAGAATCTTGCATAGAGAGAGGGTGGTGGTTGTTTTAGCAAGAAATAATTCAAATCCCACAGCACATATTTCTTAGTTTTCTTTCTTTGAACCAGGATTTTTATTTTTTATGAAATCTCCATTGAACAACTACAAATGTATCTGTAATACCAAGAGGTAATAGGCTAAGAGGAAAGAGACTTAGGAAAACACATGGCAAGGAAGAAAGAGTCAATGTGAGATGCAGATTTCACACTTTACCCTGGACTCACTGGTTAATAAGGATGTTTACGGAAGAAAAATCACAAATTGATGCAAATTTTTATCATATTCATGATCTTAATAGCAATTTTATTTTTTAAAAAATCTACTCTACCAAAGTATCAGTCCTAAAAACGTAATCTTTGGTTTATTTTTCATAAGAGAATTGGCTTCAGAGAACCTATCACAATCTAAAATCATCTTGTCCATGTGTCTGTTTACTTGTTCATAATCTGCATCTCCTCCTAGGTCCAAGTGCATGAGTCCCGGTGCCTGACTGTCCCCTTCACAGCTGCACTCACAGTGCTGAGCACAAGCTCTAGCAGAGCACTGACGTTTCGCAAACATCCGTGGAATGAATGTATTAATTCTGACTCAAAATAATTTTTTTCCCTCCCCCTTTCTAGAGTCTTCTAAATTTTCTTTTTCCATGTCCATCAAAATGTGAATGGCTTAACCAGCTGTGGTCTAACTGTAAAATGTCTATTACTCAGTGATAAAAAATAAGCCACGAATACACACAATACCACATATGAGTCTCAAAACAATGGGTTGAGCCATATAAGCCAGCTTCCAAGGAGTCTACGCTGTAGGATCTAATGCATATGGAGTTGCAGAGCAGGGAAGGCTAAGCTATGGTGAGAGAAATCAGAACAGAGCATGCTTGCTTCTGGAGAGAATCTCCCCAAAAAGAGGCATGAAGGAACACTCCGGGGTCATGGAAAAGTCATAGAGCTTGATCAGGCTGATGTTTGCATGAATGTTATGCATGAAACTATACACCTAAGAGCTGTGCATGCATCCTATGTTAATTATGTCTTAATTTTTAAAATCTTAGTAACACATTTTTTTTCTAGTTCATTGGCAATGGAAGGAGGAAACTCAGAATATGAATACAGTTGAGAGGCCCTGGAATTCCTGTTTCCATATCACTACCTCCCTCCACAGATTCAGGGAACAGTGCTACTAAGCAGCAGGGTTGACAGATGTTCTCGCAACTCCCCTCTGCCCTGATGCATTTTCCTACCTGGTTTCACCCCACCCCTGGGGGCTGTAACAGGTCTCTCTCATGCACAGGTGATGAAAGCAGGGGTTCCTTCATTGCAAGCACGCTGTCTTGGATGCAGGGAAGCACCCAGCTCTCTGCCAGAAGCTGTGAATAACACTCTTAACAGTCCATGCAAATGCTGTGGTCTATGTCTGCATGCCCAGCTGGTCTGCTGATCAATTTTTACTTCTCAAATTGGGTCAGTGAAAAAGGACAGCGCTTTCTGTTCCTGCGATCTAAATTCTCAATGTGATCTAAATTCTATTAACACTGGGGAACCTGAAAATTCCAAAGCAAGCCTTTAGCCTCACTGGGGCCACCTTTCAGAAAGGCCCATTGACCTATTTTCTTTTTAAACTTTCCCTTTCTTTTAATTAAAAGGCTCAAATTTCCTAGATGTTAATCAAAGATTAGCTTGAGAATTAAAATGCTGTGCATCACTCAGAAAAAGAACCAAGTCGAATGGTGAACAACACTCCTCTCCTAATCAGTCCTGAACCACCTCGGAAGGACCTTCTATGCAATTTCCTCGTGTCTGTGAGAGGAACCAAGACAAGTGGGAAGGCCTCCTGCTATTGTGCTCTGGTGGGGAGATGAGCTGTGGATCTGGGGCAGCCTTTGGGGATTCTCTGTTGTCTTCCTGTAAGAATTGGATCTTCTCCTCTGACTGCACCTGAGAAGTCCTGATTTTCTCATCCTGACTTTTCTTCTCTTTTCCTTTACTCATGGGTAATGGGTCCATATTCGACCAAAGGGTCTAGGCATCGCAGCTGGCCTTGAGCTTCCTGGTCCACTGTTTTTGATTGGCTCCTGGGGTGCATTGGAGACCTGCAGGTGTCTGAACTGCCAAAGTGAGTCCTACACCTGGGACAAACGCTCTTGGTCTGTCCAGAGCTGTCCCTTCCACAAATCTGTGTCTCTTGTTGTCCCTCAGGTTCACCTAGGACAGCCTAGGTCATGTCTCAAGGATGTTGAATGGTAAACAACACAGACCCCCCGGGCAGTGCAGGCCTCTGAGAACCACTTTCATTGCATGCAATGTAGGGACATTATCAGGTAAGAGACGAGATGCTGCCTCCAGCCAGAGGCAGAGGATGTCAGGGACAGTGTGTCCCGCAAGAGTGAAACTCAGGCTGCATCCTCAAGGGAGGGATAGTTTCAGGTGGAGGAGGATATTCTGGGCTCCGCGGGCAAAGGAATATTGTCTGATGAGAGAATAAGAGCTGTTTTCTGAAGAGCAGTTCTTCCCTGAAATTCAGACATTCCCATGCTGGCTTCACGTGTGTTGCCATTTCATGTCCCCTCTGAGCACATATGGCCTCCCCAAAGCTTGCTGCAGTTGGGGCAGACAAGAGAGACACACGGAAAGCTGTGGGCGGCAACAGCCACCAAGCACATCAGGGAAGAGCATCAGGCGGTTCCACTGCACGTCTCAGGTCTGCCCACTGCTCCGTCTCTGTGCCCCATCTGTAAATGGGGTGTGTGGGGTTGGACTCAGGGAGTTGTTGTGAAGGCTAATGAGGCCCATTGCACCCTGTCCCTTGACATGTTGTAAAGGCTGAATGCATGATAGCTATCATTAATCGTTTTCTAGGTTAGAATCAAAGGATAAGAATATTTGTCTTAAATAAAAAGCCACCAAAGGGTGACTTTTAAAGAACAAGAAACAAGCACTTTGGGAGGCTGAGACGGGTGGATTACTTGAGGTCAGGAGATCGAGACCAGGCTGAGCAACATGGTGAAACCCGGTCTCTAATAAAAATACAAAAAAAAAATTAGCTGGGCGTGGTGGTGCACACCTGTGATCTCAGTTACTGGGGAGGCTGAGGCAGGAGAATCACTTGAACCTGGGAGGCGGAGGTTGCAGTGAGCCAAGATCACGTCATTACACTGCAGCCTTGGCAACGAGAGCAAAACTCCATCTCAATAAATAAATAAATAATAATAATTATAATAAAAAATAAGAAACATCAAAAAGTCACAGAATCATATAACCAGGCCACTCCAGTCCCTGTTTTCTTTTCTGTCGCCCAGACCTGTCCTCAGTCAGCTCTGCCTTATCCCGACCGCTGAGTCTTACCTGCCCTCTCTCAGAGTGCAGTGTCCTCTGCTGAGCCCGTTTCAGTCAAAGTCACCTTTAAGGAAGTTTGTGTTTTAAAATGGACCCGAGATCAATGCCCCAACTGCAATACTGTTTCCACCACAGTGTAGTTTAGTACATGCCCCTCGGAGACCTCAGCTTTCACTGCTCCCCCACTCCCATGTCACCAGGGGCGAGGCTGGCCTTCTGGAGTCTGCAGCTCTGTGAGTCCCCAACAGGGTGGGGCTTATTTAGCGATGGCATCAGGCTGCAATGTAGGCTGAAACACACCTACCACACACTGCGTGTGCAGAATGCTTTCACACGCATTAATTAGTATGCGAGCTCTCCTCTGCCCTGGAGATGAAGGGTTTTTTTTAGGAATGTATCTCATTTTGCTTTATTAGGTAATAAATTCTTTAAGACTGGGGACTTGGTCTTATCCTTATGATCCCTCACAATACCTAAGTGTCCCTTGTGCATTTTAGATAGTCAATCTGTCAATATATATTTTATTTTATTGATTGATTGATGGATTGAGATGGAGTCTCACTCTGTCACCCAGGCTGGAGTGTGGTGGCACAATTTCGGCTTACTGCAGCCTCTGCCTCCTGGGTTTAAGCAGTTCTCCTGCCTCAGCCTCCCAAGTAGCCGGGGCTACAGGTGCGGGCTGCCATGCCCAGCTAATTTTTGTATTTTTAGTAGAGATGGGTTTTCACCATGTTGGCCAGGATGCTCTTGATCTCCTCACCTCGTGATCCGCTTGCCTCGGCGTTCCAAGGTGCTGGGATTACAGATGTGGGCCACCGCACCCAGCCTTATTTATTTTACTTTATTTTTCCATAAGTTACTGGGGTACAGGTGGTATTTGGTTAAATGAGTAAGTTCTTTAATGGTGATTTGTGAGATTCTGGTGCACCCATCACCCGAGCAGTATACACTGCACCATATCTGTTGTCTTTTATCCCTCACCCCCTTCTCACTTTTCCTCCCAAGTCCCAAAGTCCACTGTGTCATCCTTACACCTTTATGGCCTTATAGCTTAGCTCCCACATATCAGTGAGAACATATGATGTTTGGTTTTCTATTCCTAAGTTACTTCACTTAGAGTATTAGTGGAAACAAAGTTATCTGTGTGACATTTTGTTTCACTGCTCATCCTCCTCCCCTCAATTAGACTGTAGGTTCTGGGAGGTCAGGGATTGCATGGGCCTCAGTTCTTACCACATCTCTGACCCTGGCATAGTGCCCGGCATACAGCTAGTGATCAAGAAGTAGTAAATGGAAAAATAAATAGTCACATTCAATAGATATGAATATCCAGTCTTCTCTTGAGTCTGAAAACCAAGTGGAGCTTTCATGCCCCAGGGTGTTGACACCTCGCTGATTCCTGCCCTTGCAAGTCTCCCAGGAAAGCTAAGGTTCCCACTGCCCTGTGTCCATAAGTTGTCTTGTGTCTGTCTCTGCTATCACACTGGATACTGGAACTGTCTCCCATACTAGGCCCAGGGCTGCTGGGGGACAGGGGCTTTGTCTGCATGTCACCTGAGCCATACAGTGGGTGACCCTAGCAGTTATCAATAAACACTTGTTTCAAAATTACGGATGGGTGCGGTGGCTCACACCTGCAATCCCAGCACTTTGGGAGGTGGAGGCAGGCAGATCACTTCAGGTCAGGAGTTTGAGACCAGTCTGGCCAACATGGCGAAACCCCATCTCTACTAAAAAGGCAAGAATTAGCCAGGCATGGTGGCACACACCTGTAATCCTCACTACTTGGGAGGCTGAGGCAGGAGATTCGGTAGAACCCAGGAGGTGGAGGTTGCAGTGAGCCAAGATTGCGCCACTACACTCCAGCCTGCGCAACAGAGTAAGACTCTATCTCAAAAACAAACAAACAAACAAACAAACAAACAAACAAAACAAATTAGTCTTATCCTGGTCACGGTGGCTCATGTCTGTAATCCCAGCACTTTAGGAGGTGGAGGCAGGAGGATATCTTGAGGCCAGGAGTTTGAGACCAGCCTGGGCAACATAGTGAAACCCTGTTTCTAAAAAAAATAAAAAATAATAAATTAGCCAGGTATGGTGATATGAGCCTGTGCAGCTACTCAGGAGGCTGAGGTGGGAGGATCACTGGATCCCAGGTGGTCGAGGCTGCAGTGAGCTAGGATCAAGTCGCTGCACTCCAGCCTCAGAGACAGAGCAAGACCTTGTCTCCAAAACAACAAAAACAGTTCATCTCATCTTTTTCCCTACCCACCCTGCTAACATTGTGGACCTGGAAATGGGCTTAAATTCTGATCTACCATCAAGGTCACAAAGGACCTGAATTTCGTTTGCCAGCCTTCCTCACTGCTGCCTTTAGAGAAGGCATCCAGGCATCCTTCATTCTAGGGGACTTCACGCCATCAGCACTGTGGGAACACCCTCAGGAAAGGGGAGCAGAGGCCTCAAGGGGTTTTTTCTGCTCTGTCATTCCTCTGCTGTCAGATGGAGCTCGTTTCCAGCCTAGTCCACTCTAGGCCTCTCCTTGGACTACACAGAGAGACATCAAGATGAGAGCTGGCCCCAAATGGGGTTGAATGTTGTGTGTGCTTAACTTTTTGTGTAACTGGCCAACATGACATGTCTAACTATACAAATGGAAATTTTATGATGATAAGATCAGTAGTTACTGAGATATTTATGTGACAAGCTGACAGATATAAAACTACAAAGCTTGCTTTTATGCCTCCCATCTTTTCAGAGGAAAAATATAAATACCGAGATGAGGGGTCACTTTGAGGAGAATTTATGATCTAAATTACCTAATACCTGGTGAACTTCTAATATGCATGATGAAGTCTGTCTATGGTATTAAAAAGATAAACTTCATGTCCCAAGACTGTAGCAAATAAATTCATCCTGAAGAGGGATCCAAGTATCTCATCTTCTCCTACCCCAGGTAAAAACCCGAAAACCCTGCCCTGGAGGAAGGGATTTTCACCAGGTTGCATTGCACAAGCATCTTCCCAGCCTGGGTCAGGATGGCCTCACGTGGTCATCAAACATTAATCCATTCTTTGGAGAGAAATCTAAGTCCTGAAATAATTGTGTGTTGATAAAATATAGCAATAAAATACAACATTCCCTTGCCACTGCGGAGTGCACGTCAACCAAGAAAAACAGCAGAGGAAGCTGCGGGACACGTTGTGGGCACTGCGGCTGTGGCTGCTGCCAGATCTGTCCTTCAGTCCAGGTGACAACTGGCAATGCAACACCTCACCTGCGCACCTGGGGTCAGCCTTCTCTCCATGCCTGGCTGCTGCCACTTTTCCTGCTCTGATGGGCATGGGAGTTGCCAGGCTGACACTGGTGGTGTCTGGGATAAGCCCTTGGCAGCTGGACAACCTGGGCTTTCTTGTTGACTCGGTGCCCCTTGTTACCACTTCTGAGGAGTGCAGCCAAGCCCCGGTGCCATGAGTGTACCTCTGTGCCAAGCCATGACCTGGCACTCTGCAAGCCTAACTTCCTTTCACACTCACAGGTGCTTTGCAAGCGGAGGCACCACTCATCATCCTCATCACCAGACAATAACGAGAGCCTGGGAGGAAGGTGAGGGAGCCCTGTGCTCTGCCCTGTCGGTGGTTGGGAAGGCTGAATGAAGCATCATGCTTTGAGTCACTAAATGTCACCTTCTCATGCTACTTACTCAAGATTGCACAGTCCTGATGGGGCTGGTGTTTAAAACCCAGTCTCCCTATATGCACAACCTCAAACCCTGGCTGTCTGGGGAACAGGAATAGATTAGAGGTGGACGAGACAGCAAGTTTCTCTCTTGTTTTGTAGTTGCTCCTTTACAATAGTGTCTCTTCCAGGGAATCATGGAGTGTCAGAGCTGAGTGGGCTCATTGCTAGACAGAGACATGGAACTCCAGAGAAGAGGGGGGCTTCTCCGAGGCCACACAGCAAGATGGTCTGCAAGGGAGGCCGAAAGCCCAGCTCCCTTCAGGCCCTAGACCAACTTTCCACTCTGCCTCCTCCTGCCTTCTTTGAATTTTATATTTCACTTCGTTAATGCCCTGCCTCTGCCCAGCGCGTTGTCATGGTTTGATTATTTTAGGGGTGTTTGCAGGGCACTAACCTTTCCCCTCAGTGTGTTTGTGAATTCATTGTGTAAGCCTGTGTGTGAGTGTGAGCTGCGTATCAAACCCAAATTAAACTCTTTTACTGTATTTTATCCTATCGATCTTCTGTGTACTCCTCAGCACCGTCTCATTTAAATAAAACTTCCATTTGTAACAATCCTATAAATAGAAAGTCTTATTGATCAGGGCCCCACCGGCAGGCTGCACTTTGGTTATCACTGAAGCCTGACCGGTTAATGCGAGGGATACTATTTATTATGCAGCAAGACACAAGGCAAGGCCGTGCCATTTAGATCTCTAAACAGAAGCGTGCTCAGCTCCAGCAAGAAGATCCAATGGGGCTGTCCTTGGGATCACAATTTGCTCTTCATTCGCCATTTCCCAACCCCAGATGCTCAACAGGGTTGGCCTTGTTGGAGACATACTTGCCCCAGCCTGCATGGGAGAAGTCAATTATTCACCACGGCAATGAAGATGTTAGTTCAGGAACATTACAAAAGCTGGGTTCTGGCCTCATGTGGCGGCTCATGCTTGCAATCTCAGCACTTTGGGAGGCCAAGGTGGGAGGATAGCTTGAGCTCAGGAGTTTGAGACCAGCATGGGCAATATGGTAAAGCACCATTTCTACAAAAACATACAAAAATTAGCCAGGCATGGTGGTACCCCCCTGTAATCCCAGCTACCCAGGAGGCCAAGGTAGGAGGATCACTTGAGCCCAGGAGGAAGAGGTTGCAGTGAGCCAAGATCGTGCCACCGCACTCCAGCCTGGACAACAGAGCAAAACCCTGTCAAAAAAAAAACCTGGGTTCTTCTCCACTTGGAGGTCATGCTGGGGAAATGTGAGTGGGCTTGTGGTCAACCAGAAATGTTAAACTAACCACATTGAAGTGTCAAGATTCTCAGCAGTACTAAATACTCACTATGAGCAGGACATGGTTACCTAGGAGTGGAATTTCTTTCTGTTGGAAGCTGTGCTTTAGATCATGCAGCTATTGCTTTGCTGAATAAGCCACTAACCATTGTTGTCATCATTCTGCTGGGCCTTTCTTAGAAATTGCCAATAACGCCAACCAGTGTTCCCAAAAGGTTTGCAATCAAACGGCTTCCCCCAAATCCGTGGAAGCCAGGCATAAGTGGAATGCTGGGCTACTCATGGAAATAAGGTCACATTTATGCTACAAGTGGAGAAATTTGGCCCAAACCCCTTGCTTGCTCCCAGGTGCCCTGCTCCCTAGCCAGGCTGAAACTTCCTGCTGGGGCTTGCCTGTGTCTGAGGCTCCATGCTGGGTCTGCTGACGGATGGACCTGTGGATACTGAACACCGTAGCCAACAACCTGAATGCTGGATGTGCTGGAAACTCACTTCCACCAGAATGCTGCAGAGACCCATCAGAGAAGCTGGTCTCTCATTCCAGACCCCAAAGCCTCCAGGACTGCTGGTTTCCTGTGCCCCATCTGCCAATATTGGATAGGAAGCCACCTTTCAAGTCCACATGGCACAGCAGGAGCTAGAGTGTAACGTTCCTTGGTTTTGTCTTTGGTTTTGTGGATCTCCCCTTGTGTCCTTAGCTGTCTGTCCCTATTTACAGCAAAGAGAAGGTGATCATGTTAAGGAGCCAGTCCAGTGTCCCCTGCCACTGGGCACTTATGTTTTCCATTAGATCTCTCCTCTGAACAGAATGCTTGACAGGTATCTCCGGACACACTAGGGTGAGGGCTTGTTTACTTGCTACATGGCTTCAGGGTAACTGGGAAAAGACCTGCCATCAGACATGGGGGCCCTGACATGCCAGTATCAACAGGAAACATCCCTGGGCCATTGGTGTCACACAGTAGCCCAGGTTCACACACACACACACACAAACACACACACACACACACACAGCTATAAGCAAGAGTATCTCTTTCTGTGCACAGTGCGGTCTACTGCTAGATCAGAAAAAATAAGCACAAGGACACTTCTTTCCAAAGCATCAACATGGCCTACAGAAACTAAGCGGTCTGAACACTCAGCCTAAAACATCTGTTTCCTCGGGTTTATCCAGGAACAACAGTTAGAACTTTCATGGGTACTTGTTCTATATCAGAGTAACTAACACGTTCATTCAGAGAGGTGTCCCAGGAAAGAGAAAATATGTATCAATGAAGTAATCGCATCTCCTTTGTAACTAGTTGAAGGCAAAAATAATGGTTTTTCCAGTTACTTCTGGGTCTGTGGAAGTTAAAAAATCACTCGGCCCAAGTTCCTGTGGGGACACTCGGCTTCCAAAGTGATCTCTAAACTCTCATTTATGGTCCTCTCTCATTAGGCCAGATGCTGAACTTGCTCATCTGTTACACTGCAATCTGGGTCTTCATAAGGTCTTTTTTACTGTTAAATTTTAATAACTTGTGTTATAGGTAGGATAGAAACAATATCTTAGTGGCATTTAAAAGCAAATCTATTAAATTTGAGGGTAACGGCATTACATGGCTAGAAACATTATCATTTCAATCTTGCGGGGGAAAATGGCTACCATACGAGCGAAGGAAAATTCTGTACTTTGGAAAACACAATCCAAGTCTAATATCATTTGTGAGAAGGAAATTCTTTGCTCATTACCAGGGAGATTGTTTTTATCTTACCTAGAACTAAAGTTATTAAAGTTTGAGAACTGTAAAATGCTTAATGAGAAACTGCAGAATAAATTAGAGCAGCCAGGACCTGCGCTGGTATTTGCCGATGATAAACTTCAAATCTCGATTGTGGGATAGTGCCTTGGCTTACCCAGAGCCCCCCTTGTGAGTGTACAATGACTAAATGGTTAAACGGAGCAGTAAAATATTAAGTAGGTAACCATGGAAACCATGATGCTGTCCAGTGTGGGGACATACCGGGGAGCATTTCCTGTTGGATTCAAGGGAGGCGTTGATATTCCTGCCAAAAGCCAGGGCAGCTTGACCCATCTTCTGGACTTGCTTCACTATCCTGCCCCTGTATAGACCCTGCATGCGATGAAGAGGAGAATGTTCTGGCAGGCACAGAAAGAGACGCAGCAGCTTGCACACGAGACAAGCAAAGAGAGGCACAAATGACTAGCTGCAGAATATTGCCACCTGCCAGGAGTGTCCACCGGGCCCCCCAAATCACACAGCTGAGGAGGTTCAATTGCAGCTCTGGGCATCTACAAACTGTAACAAAAGTGCCAATATGATTAGCCAAGGAGAGGCTGGCTCTTTGCTTCTTTAGGGGAGGGGAGGTGGAATTGTTCACTAATCTCCTCTGCACTGGGCCCAAGGACTGTTCCATCTGGTGTTAGCTCCTTGGGACCGTGAACTGTGTGGTCTACTTGCCACTGCACATGATAGGTTACCTTCTACTAAAATGTCCCTTGTCCTCCCGGAGTCCCACTTTAAAGCACCTCCTGAACACTGCTGTAGATCACTGGTTAGACCAACCTGAAGAGCATTTTAAAAAATATTCATGGCCAAGAGCCACACTGGGAGACTCCCATTTTATTAGTTTGGAGAGAAGATGGATATCCATGTGTTTTAAAGGCTCCTTGGCACAAGCCAAGGGCTCTGGCTGAGAACCATGAACTCTGACCAGTTGTTCATAATCTTTACTGCACATGGGGCTCACCTGGGGAGCTTTAAAACTACTGATGTGATGCACGAGTCCCACCCCCAGGAATGCTGCTATGATTGTTCTAGGGTGTGCAATCGGGACTGAGACCCATTCCTGCCTTGGAGGGTGGGCCCTGAGCCAGTCTCAACATTCAGGGAAGAAAGAACAGAGAGTGCCTCAGTGTCTCTGGGTAAAGTGCAGGGTGTTGCAATTGCAGAGAGGGGATGCTGGTTGGTTGCAAACAGGCACTTGGACCTGTGAGGTTTCCTCAGGGCTCTTGCAGACTCTTGGAGTGGTTTGCATGCACTTGGTAAGAGTATTAAAGCACCAAGGGGTCATATAGATTCCCACCCGTGTTTCCCAAAGTCCCAGAGTAGAGAAAAGGAGTTACTGACTGCTTTCTGCACTTTCTGTGGGCACAGAAGCTGAGAGGGGCTGGAGTCCTAGTGGGGGATGGATGAGTGTTAAGGTTGGAAAGGTGTTTGAGGATCAGGAGTGAAGAACCTTGAATGTCAGGGTAGAGGGATCTGGCTCTTATTCTATAGGCAATGGTGCATCTTGGAAGGATTTGGGGCACATCAGTTTGGGACATAGGGAGGGGAATGTGCTCAGAGCTGAGTTTAGGAAAATTAATTTGCAGGGATAAGACTTGAGGAAGACACTAGAACGAAGAGATGTTGACTAGAAGCAGTTATAACGGGTCAAGAAAGGGGTGATGTTTGTCATCCTTTCCTTAGAAAGACCAAGAATATACACTTGGTGTTGTTCAGGGTCTATGATCCCTCCCAGATCTCACTTGGTATGAAGGATGGAATTCTGTTCAGACAAAGGACTTGTTCAGGCCAAAGAGCCAAACTGGTCCCACAGGCGTGTGAATCAGGCTGTTTGAGAAGGACTTTCTGAATGGTGTTTCTTATGGAAAACTGGAAAACACACTTGCCAGCAAGTATTCCAATTCAAAATACTAAATTCTGAGTCAGCCTGATACCTCCCCCTGGGTGCATTTGAGCTCCAACTTAGAGATGGGCACTGCATTGGGTGACTCCAGTTCTCTTGCTACCCGCTCCTACTCCTTGACAGAAGGTGATATGGTTTGGATCTGCCTTCCAACCCAAATCTCATGTAGAATTGTAATACTCAGTGTTGGAGTTGGGGCCTGGTGGGTGGTGAGTGGCTCATGGGGGCAGCAGTTTCTCATGAATGGTTTAGTACCACCTCCCCACTGCCCTTGGTACTGTATAGTGAGTAAGTTATCTCAAGATCTGGTTGATTTTTTTTTTTTTTTTTGAGATGAAGTCTCACTCTATCGCCCAGGCTGGAGTGAGGTGGCATGATCTTGGCTCACTGCAACCTCTGCCTCGCGGGTTCAAGCCAATTCTCCTGCCTCAGCCTCCCGAGTAGCTGGGACTACAGGCAAGCGTCACCAAGCCTGGCTAATTTTTGTATATTTTTTAGTAGATACAGGGTTTCACCATATTGGCCAGGCTGGTCTCATACTCTTGACCTCATGATCCACCTGCCTCGGCCTCCCAAAGTGCTGGGATTACAGGTGTAAGCCAATGCACCTAGTCGATCTGGTTGTTTAAAAGCCTGTAACACCCCTCACCCCTCTCTCTTCCTCTGGCTCCCGCTATGTGAAATACCTCTCTCCCTTTTTCCTTCTGCCATGATTGTAAGCTCCCTGAGGCCCCTTGATGGGTGCTTCCATGCTTCCTGTACAGACTGAAGGACCATGAGCCTATTAAACCTCTTTTCTTATAAATTACACAGGGTTGGGTATTTCTTTATAGCAATGTGAGAATAGACTAATACAGGAGGCATCTTCCTCCTAGTATTTTGTGTCTTTCATCTTGTTCTCTCCATATACGGAGTGGTGTGGGGAAAACCCGCAACGAGGTAACGATGGGTGGAGAAGAAGGTGCCAAGAGAGGCTTCAGATCTCTTAGCCACTCAACCAACTCTGTCCACTGATGGCTTGGATGAGCTGGGCCCTAGCAAGCTCAGGACCAGCCCAGGGAGACTTCCCTGCACCCCTCCCTCCACCACGCAGAAAGTGTAGGCCCTCACCTTCCACCCCTGGCAACCCCTTATGTCCCCCTTCTGCTTACAAGCATGCAATTACTCACAACTCCAAGCCCAAGAGGGGGTTGGGGAGGGGAACAGCTCTACTTGCAAATTACTGAAGATTGATTTGCATCACTTTCCTTTAATTATGTAAGAATGTGTTAGAAATTATTAGGTAAAAATTTGATGTAACTCTTCTTCAATTAAACACAGTGATGGAGGCAAAATCTCTATTAGTGTGCAAATTCCTTGGGAGAGCATCTTCTCCGCACAGCGGAATGTCTATTAGCTTTCTGCCAAAATAAAGGTCACCAGACGGGAGCCTTCCCCATCACACTCTTACTTCCATGGACATGCAGTGTAATCAGGCAAGATGTGTCACACTCAGGAAACCAATGGTGCCATTATACTGAATATACCCAGTGCATTACAACCTGGTCCCCTGTTCCCTAAAGGTGCTCAGAATCTCATAGATCCTGGAGACTGGCTTAAGAGAGGGGAGGACAGATGTTTAGTTCCAAGAGCTGGAGTTTATCCTTCCTATTGTCCTGATTAAAGGAAGAGGCAAATAATCCCAGTGCCTCTTGAACCACCCCAAGTACAAGAAGCTCACTGTGGGTGATGTAAGCTGCAAAGAATATTTAGAGGGAGAGGGAGAGAGAGAGAGAGAGAGCCTCAATCCACAAACTCAGAGTGCAAGAATGCAACCTTCTTCATTTTTCTGCAAAAACTTAATGCTTACTTTGAGTCTTCATTCTGTTGTGTGACAAATTAATATCAGATTGTTTTCAGTTCTTGTCCAGGATTGGTGTAAGTTTCAGAAATTTATTATGCACAGCTAAGTGGCTGACAGAAGGAGGAAGGGTTCAGTGCTTGGTCTTCAGTCCATGCTGGCATCCACCAAAAAGTGCATGGTTCTGCCTGATTCTTGGTTATTGATTTCAGCAGGCCACAGCTTGCAGCATCTCACTTATCACAACAGAAAATAGGATCTGAGACATATTTGCAAATGGGTATTTCTAAGAGAAAAAAACAAACACATACACACAACCGTGGGTACAAGACACCTTTGGACTCAGCTAGCCCAGCATCTATTATCCTTAATTCTGGTAAGATCACACTGATTTTCTTTTGGGAGACTAGCCCTTCTCAACTCTCAGTCTAGATTATTTGAGTGAAATTGACTCTCTATCTTAGGTCTAGAAGGGGAGACGTGACTTAGCCAACCGGCCCGTTTTGTCACCCTAGAACTTCAGGATTGTCCATGGAGGGTCTGCCCCTGGAACTTGGCTAGAATGGCTTTGGAAGAAGCACTGTTTCCTGGGGAGATCACTAAACTGGAAGGCTCAAGCTGGGAATGGCTGGTGGCAATCTGCCACAGGCTGGAGACAACTTGCCTGAGAAAGAAAGCAATGTGGAAGACTACAGAGCTGCGAGATGGAAAGAGACGGGGTTCTCAAGGCATTGTTGAAGCCATCCATACCCAAACACTTTTCAGTTACTTGAATTGGTAATTTCCCTTCTCTGTTCAGGCTAGTTTGAGCTGGGCTTCTGTTGCATGTAACCAGAAAAAAATATAAGTAGAACACTACAAATCTAAAAGTGAAAATCATTCCAGCTCAAGAATGACTTATGGACAGGATAGATCCAGGTATGGAGGGGCCTGAAACTGGTCCAATTTTAAGAAAAATAATACAACTTTAAAAATACAAAAACAGGCACAGAGCCTGGGAAGGGGCGCATGCAAATGGGACCCATGGAATTTAAGCTCCTTTAGCTTCATTGCAATTGGGAGGCCTGGGTACTTGTCTCCATTTCCCCGAAAAGCCTTTGATAAAATCACTTCATCTCTTAAAGTCTCCATCTCACCATTGAGAGCAAGATGGTTGATCTCAGTTAAATTTCATCCAGCTCGAAAAACACCATGTCTCTACAATCTTTGCTGAGGAAATGACATTGCTTAAAATTATATATTTTTTGATACTTGCTTGAATAAAAGTTTCTTTGTCTGTCCAGGACCTGCCTGGGTGTTCTGATGCTCGGAACCTCTACATCCTTCTTCCATGCCTCCTACCTGCGGGCCGCTCTACTGGGCCAGTGAATTCACGACAGCTGTTCATTTCTGCCATCTTGGTAAGCATAAGGCCAACGAGGAAAGGAAGGCAGATCTTGAAAGAATAATACCAAGCTATTGTACTCTCTTAGGAAGTGTTTCTTCCTCAGCTGTCTGGGCAGAGAAGCTTTCTTAAAGAATGTTTTCATACAAAATTTCTAAAATGCTGAAAATACAATAAGATTAACGGCCCCTGGAGGCTATGGCTTAAATATTTTATCTTCTTAGATATCAGTTACACTGCACTTTCCTCCAAGGATCTAAAGTCTTTTAAATATAGCATCTAATTAATCCTCCTGTCATCTCTGGATGGAATAGCATCATTACCCCAATTTCACAGGTGAGGACACAGAAGCTATGGGAGGGGTGTCCACAGGCAGAGGTGGCCTGATTCCAATCAGTAGAGACCTCGGCCACAGCACTGGTGACTGACCCAACAGGGACATCATCAGGAAAAGTCCATTCAGAAGATGACACTCACGCCCTACACCACAGAGCTTATAGACTACAGCCAGCAGTCAAGAAAATGGTACCATAGGAGGCTGGGGGACATCTCTGCCTCCCATACACAGACAAGGCCTCAGAGAGAGAGTGACTCACCTCACCAAGAAGTGACAGATTCATGATCCTGATGACCGCATGGCCAATGAATTACACAATCATTGCGTCTTCACAAACAGAAACAACCACTTTATTAATACAGTTGTTGGATCAAAATGGTGTTTTTTTGGCCGGGCAAAAAAACAGGCCCACGCCTGTAATCCCAGCACTTTGGGAGGTTGAGGTGGGCGGATCACGAGGTCAGGAGATCAAGACCATCCTGGCTAACACAGTGAAAACCCATCTCTACTAAAAATACAAAAAAAATTAGCAGGGCGTGGTGGCGGGCGCCTGGAGTCCCAGTGACTCGGGAGGCTGAGGCAGAAGAACGGCGTGAAGCCAGGAGGTGGGGCTTGCAATGAGCCAAGGTTGTGCCACTGCACTTCAGCCTGGGTGACAGAGTGAAACTCCATCTCAAAAACAAAAAAAGGTGTTTTTTTTCTCCCCAAATAACCAGATAACCGCACAGATTGTCATTTGCTTCCATTCACCTGACACCTGCCATGTGTATCAGACATATTGGCCATGCATGACCTCTGTTTCCCAGCCCTGAAATGTACCTGCTGCTACCCTCATTCAGAGAGGCAGGAGACAGCTTAAACAAGCTTATCAAATTGGTTCCAGCAAGAGAACTAGTGGACAACAGGGCCAGGATTCCTTCCACAACTGTTTTCTGCCTGCCCTGTTTCCTTTTTTAAACGATTTTTATTGTTTAGATCCAGTGTTCAGCAATGTGGCCCATCACTGCTGGTGAATTCTACTGGATAACACAGCAGACGGAAGCTCCAGAAAGAGACGCTTCCACGGATTATAACCATGTCACCATAGTCACCACCACTGCCACTGCTTATGGGAGGTCAGGTGTGGGGTCTTGAGAAGGAGGAGTTGAAACTCAAAAATCACCCAAAGGCTGTCTCAAAGAAAGGTAGTTTTCTCATTGTCAAAACTCAAAGTTACTCACTCTTAAATGCTTTTCCTGCCTCCTTTTCGAATCTAAAGCATCAACTACATAGGGAAAGTCAGGCTGCTTTCCAAGCATCAAAGCCAAAAGAGTCTCACTTTTGGCAAAGGTAACAGGGTTTAAAAGAGAAAGAGAGATAGAACCAGGGAGAGAGAGGAACCAGGGAGAGAGGAGGCTGACAGTGGAAGAAAAGGAAAGAGAGGGAGGGGAGAGAGAGGAGAGGGAAAGGAGAGAGAAGAGAGAGAGAAAATAAAAGAGAGACAGAAAGAGGGAGAGGAGAGAGGAAGAGGAGAGAGAAAGAGTGAGAGGAGAGAGAAGAAAAGAGAGACAAAGGGAAAGGAGAGAGAGGAGGGGGAAAGGAGAGAGAGGAGGGGGAAAGGAGAGAGAGGAGAGAGAGATAAAAAAGAGAGAAAGAGGGAGAGGAGAGAGGAAGGGGAGAGATGAAGAGAAGAGATAAAATGTGAGAGGAGCGAGAGAAGAAAAGAGAGAAAGGGAGAGGAAGAGAAGAGAAAAAAGAGAGAGGAGAGAAAGAAAAGGAGGGAAAAGAGAGAGAGAAGAGAGGAAAAGAGAGAGAGAAAGAGCAAGAGGGGAGAGAAGAAAAGAGGGAGAAGAGAGAAAAAAGAGGGAGAGAAAAGATGGAGATGTAAAAAGAGAGCAGAGAGAGAGCATGAACATGAATGAGTCTATGTCACTGCGACAGCAACAACAAAGGAAAGAAAGAAGGAAGGAAGGAAGGAAAGAAAAGGCATGTAGCCATGGAAGATGAAATAGAAAGAGAGAGGAAAATGTGGAAAGAGGTGGAGAAGAGAAAGAAAAAAGAAAAGAAGAAGCTGCTGGAGAAACCCCAGCCTTGAGACGGGAGCCTCTGACCCACGTTGTAAAATGACAAGGATTGAGTGAGCGGTTTTTAATACAGATAATATTGTCCGTGTAGTCTATAAATATAAAATTAAATGCTGACCTCTCTGGTCCATGTCAAAAGTCCAAGCCAGTGTCAGCACATATTGTTTTTATTTGTTTCAAGAGAAAATAGATCAACAACATTAACCTCCCAATGAAGAGAGAATTGAATGAATTAAAAAGCAGAGCCATAAATCGCACCGGTTTTATTGGCACCATGATAAACATGCCCGAGGCCTCGCAGGGAGTGGGGTCTAGGATATTCTCAATACCCTGCAGCCTCTTTGCCACCAAGAAAGGAAGAGAGATATTAAGAACTAAGAACGGGGCGCTGTTCTCCCACTTCCACCACCTCTATCCATCACCATCTGACAAAGGCTCCAGCACACGCTTCGAGAAAAATATTGAGAAGAAAAAGAACCTAGAAACAGGGCAATTTGGAGAGGCCTTCGGGGAGCCAGGGGTGCCCAAGCGGCCCACTCGCCAGCTGCAATTAACAAGAGGACTTGTCAGGGAAGAGGGGGAAGCTGGGCGTGGGATTTCCAGGACACAACTCACAGGCCATCAGCCGGAGAGAGCATCCTGGGGGCTGCTGGCTGGTCCTCTGCCCTCTCCCGGCTCCAGCCCTCCTCAGACCAGTGGGTTATGCACACAGACAGCTGCTTGCCAATGAAGGAAACACACTTTATTTCCAGCTTAAGAATTCACACCATCACTTGGGCAGTTGCTAAATAAAGCACCATTTCCCTTATCCATTTCATGTGGACCTTTTAGCACTTACTTTATAATGATTCAGAACCATTTTTAATTATGAAGACTTAGCTGAACACATTCGTTTACAAAGAAGAGATATTCACAGACAGTTGTGCTTTCTGCTTTGCCAGCCTGGCCTCAGGAAGCCATGCAGAAGAAAATTTCCAGGAATTTAGAGTGTTCATTCCTCCTGTTCACACCCCTTCTTACCTTCATTCACTTCCTCTTTTATGGCTGGAAGTCTGGAGCTAGGGTGATGAGCAGAGTGGAGATTGAAGAAATTCTTTAAAGTCCCCGGTTGACTTTTTGATAACTCCCTTAGCCACCACCAGCAGAGAAGAGGAGGACTCAGTGATTTGGGGAAAAGAATCTTACATGAGAGAAGTACGTAAAAGGCGACATAAATCGTACTGAAAACAACTTTCGTTTATAAACAAAAGAAAATGTTATATATTTATAAACCAATGGCAGACCAATTGGCTAGACCTGTAAAACTCAAAAATAATTACCCTTTGGAACAAACCTACAAAGCAAAAGATTCTTCAGCTATTAAACTATTTTCGGTAAGTCATTATTTTATGAAGCTATTATTTGCTCTACCATCTCTACTGATTTAGTTACAGATATTTTAAGTCTGTGTCTGACTGTGACAAAACTCGGTCAGGGTGACCACCCAGTTATCTGGGCTCATGGACATGGTATTCTTTTAACCAGTTAAGGTTACATTTACTTAATTAGATCTGAGAAGTGTTCTCTTTGGCTGTGGGAGTATGTGCAGGTGTGAGCTTGGCACATTGTCCACAATCTTTCCAATTAGGACTTCCTTTTTTTAAATAATAAAAATAACAATAATTGTGGCCAGCACACACAGGACTCATGGTGTGTCATGTATTGCTCTAAGGGCTTAGCCCAGATAAACACATTTCATTCCCACCACTCCCCTGCCAGGCAAAGCATTGGCTGTGTGTCCAGAAAACAGAGGCACAGACAGGTCACATCGTTTGCCCAAGGTTACCCAATAAATGGCAGAAGTAGGATTCCAGCCCTGGCCGTCTGGCACTGGAGTCTCTGCTCTAGGTCACTCTGCTGTACGCTTCTTCCTTTCCTGGGCCCTGTCTGGCAGCTCCCTGAGTCTCTCATCATGTAATTTTAAAGGCCACATTTGTCTTTTCCAGCCTGTGTACAATGTAGGTTGCCAAGTCCACCCTGCCCAAGGCCGCAGTGTGGCTTAGAAGAGGAATAGCTGGAACTTGGCTGGAATTGACCCCAATCTGGTCACCCAGGGCTCCCATCCCCTGACACTCTCTCCAGTGTCTCTGTGTGTCCCCTCTAGTGGGCTCTCTGGGAGTCACAGTCATGTCAGATGGTGGAGGTTGGCCCAGAGCTATTTGTGCTGAAGCATTTCTCAGTACTCCTCATGGAAACAGCTCCTTGAGATTTAAACTGCAGCATCCCGGTCACCGGGCATAGGGCGGGGAAAAGGGATGCCCCTCTGTCCTGCAGGATTCTCGTCTCTCAGTCACCAGCATCCGTCTTTTGTCCAAACAAAAGAATATTCATGTAAACTGACTCAAGCACATTGCAGTGGGGCTGGATTTCAGTTTGCCAGACTCTCCCAAGCACTTTTAGATTGCAGTTTGCATGAGGGATGACATCCACTGTTGGAACACGAAGCAGGTATACCCAAGTCAGTCAACACCATTTCCATTTTAATATTAACACACACATAAACAACTCAAACCTGTGGCTTCAATGAACTGATTTCTCTCTCTCCAGCAGCCCAGTTACCTGAGACATGTTGGACAGCTTGGCTCTGGTCAGAATATATCACCCACCATGGCCTGGGACTTCAGAGACTACCTGCCGATTCCTCTATGATAGACATTTGTTGCTGTGAGACCTGGGAAAAGTTGCTCAGCTACTCTGAGCCTGTTACCTCCTCTATAAAAATGGGAATTTCTAAAGTATCAACCTCATAGGGCTTTTAAATGCTTTTGTAAAGCACCTGGCAGAGTTCCTGGGGCATAGTAGGTGTTCGATAAAAGTGAGCTTGTGTATGTGGCTGATCTTCCTAGTAATGCAAAATGAGACACGTCACCCATGGGTGACAGGCATCTCCCACTGCCCCACATCCCAGGGGACCAAAAAGAAAGTAGCTGCTGATAAATATCACATTGCTCTCAAATGCACCTATTTTGCAGAATTCTTGGGTTTTATCCAGAGGCTTGATGTCATATGATTTCAGCTTAATATTTTCTTTTTTATTATTATTATGCTTTAAGTTCTAGGGTACATGTACACAACGTGCAGGTTTGTTACATAAGTATACATGTGCCATGTTGGTGTGCTGCACCCATTAACTCGTCATTTACATTAAGTATATCTCCTAATGCTATCCCTCCCCTCTCCCCCAACCCCACGACAGGCCCCGGTGTGTGATGTTCCCCACCCTGTGTCCAAGTGTTCTCATTGCTCAGTTCCCACCTATGAGTGAGAACATGCATGTTTGGTTTTCTGTCCTTGCAATAGTTTGCTCAGAATGATGGTTTCCAGCTTCATCCATGTCCCTACAAAGGACATGAACTCATCCCTTTTTATGGCTGCATAGTATTCCGCGGTGTATATGTGCCGCATTTTCTTAATCCCCAGTGATCCCATTACTGGGTATATACCCAAAGGATTATAAATCATGCTGCTATAAAGACACATGCACACGTATGTTTCTTGCGGCTTTATTCCCAATAGCAAAGACTTGGAACCAACCCAAATATCCATCAGTGATAGACTGGATCAGCCTAATATTTTCAAGCCTGTTGGTAAAACGTTTCTAACCCATTTCCAAGACAGCCTTGGGAGGTAGGTGGTCTGCCCTTAGAGAAACATCTCTGAGAAGTGGGTCTGGCCCAGATGATGTAGAATGTGGTGCCTCTGGGACTGTCCTAGAGGGTTCTGTCCCCACTAACACCCAGTAACCACACTTCCTTCCCAAGACATGGCTAGGAAGTAGCAAGTCTCTACAGGGTGAACGTCCTTTCCCAAGCC